>NC_000012.12:92460128-93085128 GCF_000001405.40 Homo sapiens
GTTTTTTCTCTATCACTTCACCCTATTCATTTCCTTATTACAATTTACAAAAACCAAAAAGTGTTACTTCTTATCTCTCTTGCCAGCTCTATCAGAGCTGCTACCACATCTGTGTTGGATGTCATGTATAACCAGCGGCTAGTTCCATGCCTGGTACATCATTGCTTAATATCTTTTTGTTGAATGAATGAATGAATGGATGAATGACAAAAATTCCTAATCAAATTTTCTGTTGCTACCTTTTATACTTACAACTTAATATTACATCCTTATACTCTAAACTCATACATACTTCTATAAATAGGAGAAACTTTACCTACAGAAATAGCACACTAAGATTGTAAGCAGGAGAAAGATAACTGAAGTTTTTCGAATTTAGAATCTATTCTGGTCACTTTCTAATGAGTTCCAGAATCTATGTTCCCATATCTTTGGGAAGCAAATAATTGACTGTTAATAGCTTTTCAAATATGTCATCAGAATGGCAGATGAGGCCTGAAATTCTCAATGGATTGACAAAAAGCCCCTGTCCTCTTGGTAGAATGAAATATAGTACTTGTAACACTTCCTTACTTCCCCCAAATTACTTATTCTTTAAGTTACAGAAAAGGAATTCCACAAACTACAATGAAAACTCAAAGGAAGTAATTACTTTAGGTAATATACAAGTTAATACTATGTCTTTTGTTTGGTTTTTCTTCAGACAGAAAATAACCCAAACTTTTTTTTTAATTCATTCTTGAATTTTAGAAACCATTGTTAAAGTATTAATCATTTCTGAGCCATCCGTAGATTGAGTTTATTCATCCTTTCTTTAAGTTCCTCTCAACAAACTTAGCCATGTTTTATGATGTATAAAACATGCTAAAATATTTTTAATCTAAACCAAAATGGATTTTGGTCAGGTATGCTGACCCTGAGCAGTCAGTATATGACAGGGAGACCAAAACAACCCAACCAGTTCTGATTTTACACAAGTTCCTTGCCTTCTCCTTTAACATATATCGGAATTGCTACCTTAGATGGTTCAGTGTTATGGGAAGTTGACAGACAGAAAATGCAGTATTATATTAGGTCAAAGGTTGACAAACTTTTCCTGTAAAGTGAATATTTCAGACTTTGTGAGACATGTACTCGCTGTCACAATGACACAACTAAGCCATCTTAGAGGGAAAGCAATCACAGACGATATATAGGTGAATATGCATAAGCAGGTGCCTTACTTCAGGCTGCTGTCACAAAGTACCATAGACTGGGTGGCTTACAAACATATTTCTCACTGTTCTGGAAGCTGAGGAGTCCTAGGTCAGAGTGTCTCTCTTCTCAGTTACAGACTGCTGTCTTCTTGTATCCTCACATGGCAAGAAGAGGACAAGAGAGCTCTCTGGAGTCCCTTTCATGAGGACATTAATCCCATTCATGAGGGCTAAAACCTCATACCCTAATCACCTCCCAAAGGCTCTACCACCTAATAAGATCACACTGGGTGCTAAAATTTCAACATATGAATTTTGGGAAGAACACAAACATTCAGTCCACTGCAGTGTGCTATAATAAAACTTGATTTACAAAAGTACACTGTAGGCCAGACATGGCTTGCAGACCATAGTCCGACAACCTTTGAATTAGGTGATCACTACAACATGTAAATGAATATGCATTGTGTCTTAGTTCAGGCTGCTATAACAAAGTACCATAGACATGGTGGTTTACAAATATGTTTCTCACAGTTCTGGAAACTAGGGAGTCCTAAGTCAGAGAGTCCCTCTTCCCAGATATAGACTATTGTCTTTTTCTTGTATCCTCACATGGCAAAAAGAGGATAAGAGCACGATACCTAGATGTATTTGTGATGGGGAGTCAGCCATTTTAACATTTATTAAACACCCACTAAACTCCAAGGTTTCCAGACAGTGTCATAAATAAGCTTCACAACTGATCTGTATTCAGTAGATGTGAAAATTGAAACTGCCTGGTTATTAATCTGTGTGGCCAGGCCATGAACCCATTCTCTTCCGTCAGGTTCAGCCCTTAAGCACACATGCCACAGAGTCAAAAACAACCTAGGTTTGAATCTTGCTCAGCTATTTACTGATGGTGTGCTGTATGGAAAATTACTAGACCTCTGTGTATCTCAGAATCTTCCCCTATCTCATGGAGTGGCTAGGAGGATTAAGAAATAAACCACAAATAGCACTCGCTTAGAACAGTGCTCTCTGCTCAACGCATGTGGCTAGCTTTGACCACAATTCTGCAGACACTTCAGGTTCCAGAGAGTTCTTTCAGAAGTTCCACAAATGTTTGATTTAAATGCTGCTAAAAAATATTTTTCACTACTTAAAATACCTTAATAAAAAGAAACATATATTCATGCAATGTATACCAAATTGAACACATATTCTCATTCTATATGTTAACTTGTGTTGTCAGTTAACTTTTACACAGACATTGAAGCAAAGCTTTTCCTGTTCTTCCTGTTTATTTAAAAATTTTGCAGAGAATTCAAGGTAAGCTGATAAAAATAATTCTTACCATTGTAACCACTTAGCTGTGTGAATCAGAATTGTCTTGACACTGTGCAGCTGAAGTAAAAACAATCTAAAATTGGAGGCTGAGGTGGACATAAGATTCTCATCTCTAATATTGTGTTAATCAGAAAAACTTTATTATTCCCATTGATTGGCTTTACAATAAGTAAATGTTATAAATCGGTTTTAAAGCCTTTATATGAAAATGACTCACTTTTTCTGTTTTATATATTTAAGGTTTCATGTAAATTTTCATTTGGAGCTAAAAAAGACATTTTTCAGCAGAAACATTTAACTAGTACTTAACTAGTCAAGATCTGCCTCTTTAGATTGGGGCTTTTTTTAGATCAAGACTTGATTCTTACGTATCTTTTTTAAAAATTAGACTCTGATAATTAGGTCAAGACAAAGAGTTACCCAAGCAGAGTTCTTCATTCTCCTTTACTCTCCTACCCACATCATTATGTCCTAGTGGCCTTAATAGATATTTTCTCCTTAGATCTTTATAATAATCCTCTGAGTTTGCCAGGCAGGTGATATTAGTCTCATAAATGAAGAAGGTGAATGAGACTCAAAGAATATAAATGACTCCCAAGGGCATATGACTAAACAAGTGGTAGGGTCAAGACTCAAATCAGAAGGCTTCTGACTACTAATCGAGAGTTTTTCCCACCCGTTTTGATGTCAAAGATGGCTGAGATTTTGGGGAGGGGCTTTGGGAGTTCAGAGGTGACCCTTTAGCCACTGCTGAAGCTGATAGAGATGCAAGATCAGTAAACATATCTTATTCTTTGTTTGTTTTTCCATAGGTTGGCTAGGCTTTCTAGTGATTAAAAAAAGCAATGTAGACACTTGTAAAGTGTTTTAATTTATTGTCCTGGACTCTGTCTCACTTGTTGCAAGAGTCATTTGACATGACGCCTTGCTAAGAAATCCACACGTAGGTCTCAAATTCAGTCCTGGTTGATTTCCTAGGGTCTATGCTCCATGAGGGCAGGGACAGTACTAGATATTTGTGTCCACAAACATCTAGAGGCATCCAATTCTTATCTGTTCATAAATATATGATAGAATCAACCATCATTCTATACATTTTTCTTTAGATCTTTTTTCCTTTTGCTACCATTGCTTTTTGGACCATTATTGCAGGCATATCATAAACTTCCTTGGTAACTCTTGGCATTTTGGTCCTGCCTCCCTCAGATTTTTTTCTGCATAATCTCAAAGCATCCAGCAATGCTTCTCCAGCGCCTCTCAGAACAAGGCCCAGATTATCCTCCTGGGATTCAAGTTTCTTCATGATATGGGCATGCCTTATGAATACACCTTCGCTCTGGTCTCATCACCGTCCCTGCAGTCCTCTCTCTATATGGGACATGCTCATTGCTGCTTTGTGTCTCTGCCGTTGCTTGTCTGTTTGCCAGCTTTCATTTCTCTACACAGATCCAAATTGTACCCATGATTTCCTACCTAATTCAACTCTAATTTTCTATGATCCCTGCCCCAGTAATTTTAGCCCATAAGAATTTTTATAGCACAAATTTTGTACTTAATGACACTTGTATTATTTCATGGGTTAGTTAGTGCAATCTCTATGAGGCTGTAGGCAATCAAGTAAGATATTTAAATTGTACCCACATTGTCCTACCTTCCCACACTGTAGACACCTACTAAATTGGAGTAATGTGTAATAAAATAATTTATAGATTTAAGTAATTGAAATCATCCCAAGGCACAGAGAGAACAAACAAACATATTCCTGAGACATGTCTAATTCATGTGCCATGGTTATCTTGAGATAATTTTCCACTGTACTTTTAATAAAAGAGACACCTAAATTATTTCATAGTTTGCTTTTGTTTTTCCTCCTTGAGCATTGCCATGGTTATTGATATTTATTAAATCAAATCTGCCACTGAAGCATATATAACCACTCAAGAATGAATTACAGCAAATATTTAACTGCCTGCCTGCCTTTGAATTGGTTAATCAGAATGAGTGATGCATTAGCTGGTTCAACTCCTTTCACCTGGAAAGATGGCTATCGATTCCCTTTATTGTGATTTAAAAGATTTGAGGAAAGTCTAAAAGCATTTCAAAAGATTTCAATAAGTAAGACATAATTCTGCTTTTCATAACCACTAAATGAAAAAAAAAACTAAATACAAAAAAGATTCTTCGAGTAAAATTCTGTCATTCTCCACTTTTTATTGTGTTAAAAAAATCAACTATAATATGAGTGAAAGTCAAGTTCTGCTGGTATGTATGAAATGAGAAGAGAGGTGCTGTAGGTTATTAATAACAGGGGATGTTTTGTACCTGTTCTGGAAGATGAATATGCATTTTTGTGTTGGAGCCAGTCCATAAGTCAAATTCCTTTAAAACAGGCAGAGGCCAGCCTTGTTCTGGCTGCAGCCTGCACGGCCAGAAAAACAGAGGAAGAAGCGCCTTCCACCAGCATGAAATGTTATCCACTTTGATATGTAAACATTCTTCCTTCACCTGAAGTTGATGTCAGGGTAACTAAAACACAAGAACTTGGTTGACTGAGCAGAAGCAATCTGTTGTATTCTTCTGTTTTTCAAAACCAGAGATAATCAAGGACTGTTATGTCAGATGCTAGCTGACCTAACTTTTGAGTGGAAAACGAACCAGGAATCTGAGATAACTGGATAGTCTCCGCATATTTTTAAAAAATCAGCATGTCTCTTGAAACTGCTCAGACTTAGCTGATTTTTGTAGTTGTTGTTGTTCTCTTTATAGTTTTTTTTCTTTTTTCTCTGTATTCCAGACTCCTGGCATTTAATCTATTGGGTGGGAATAAATGACGTAAATTGTACTCATATTTGCAAAAAGCCCAAAAAAGATGTTAAGGCTGTTAACAACAGACGTCTACGCTACAGTTGAAATGGGCTAGGTGAATTGAGACAGAATTCTATGAACATTTTATGAAGCTTTCCTTAAATTTCTAATTGAAAATTGCTACTGTTTGTGTTACTGTTGATTCATTTCATTTAAGTCTTGGTCTTGTAGATTCTATTGATACCCCATTCTTGGGGATGAAAAACAATGTTAAATGCGCACATTTGTTAGGAAAATGGGCTGGGTGGGAGACGGAAGGCTTTGGCCGCCATCCTAGGGCATTCCTGTGCATTGCGATGGTCAGCATTTCTGTATCTAAACATCGAAAAAGTACAATAAAAATACAGTATTATAATCTGGGACCACTATCATACACGCAGTCTTTCTTGACCAAAACATCCTTATGCCGTGCGTGGCTGTGCTGAGAAGGAGGAGCACTCGTCCTCTCCAAGCACATCCAATTTGCCTCAGTCCTCATGACTCCCGCCCTGTTACCAGAACTGAGCTCATTTGTTATTGAAGTTGCTTTTCTTATACCCAGCCCAGTTTTCCATTGATGCTTCCGCTTATTCTATGTAGGTATTTTCATTTATCACACAATATCCCTAGTCTAAGACTTCATTTGAGGAAAGAAAAAAAAAAAAACCTCTGCTGCTAAAAATAATTTGAAAACTCCTAGACAATAGGACCTTTCAAATCCCTTACAATTCTAACAACCAGTGAATTCATGCTTCACAGCCATTCAGATCTATACGTATGAAATACAAGACATATGTGTTCAACTTTCCTTCATCGCCTCCTTTAAACTTTCTTTTTTCTTTTTTGAGTCAGTCCCTGCAGGAACAGACCAAGTGAGCCCATTAAGAGAACAGTTCATTCCCACCTGCTACCTCGAGCCAGCCAACAATCTCAGCCTCACCACTCCATTCTTGATTATGTAGAACCATTCCAATCCTGAGTGACAGGATTTGCAAAGACAGCTGTTGGGCTCCACAAACATTTGGAGGAGGGGAAAATGTGAGGTTGGTTGCTACATTCTCCTACTTCTTTTTACTGAAAGGAACAGCTGCGATCTTCACATGTAAGATGAAGTAAACAAAAGCTGACAATGCCCAGCACCATTCAGCAGTAAGCATTCAAATGGATTTTTCCTCACCGCGTTTGCAGGCCCGGCACAGTCTCAGTTCCCCACAGCACAGAGAGGAAGCAAGGTCTTTGCATGCCCTGTTCACTTGGCCAAACATTGCCCTAGATGTGCAATTCAACCCATATAAAGCAAGCGTAATTCAAGAGCCCTGACTCTTTCACCATTTCATGATGGCTTATTACTCGCACACGGCATTGTCAGGTTCCAGCAACTCTGTGTGCAGCAGGCAGAAATGCAGTGTTTATCTCTGACAGGCAAACATTCTTAGGCTCATCGGCATGAGTATCCACGCTGAACTGGCTATCGGGGAAGTAGATCCCTGCATGGGAAAGTCAAGGTATGTTTAGAGGGACTCGATGATTCAACCCCATTGGCTGGTTCATTCCTTTTGTTTCCTCTGCCTTTTTATTTGCTTACACAGAAAACAGAGCATTCATTTATTTCTTTTCCCTCTCTCATCTCTATTAACCACTAGGGCCATCTGCCCATCTGAAACTGTCTTTGGCTGCATGGTTGTGAATCCAGGTGACAGTGAAAATGAAGAAGTGGTGATTGTCCCTGCATGTTTTCTCTGAAGGGTTAACTAAAAAAAAAAAAAAAAAAAGCCTTTGTGTCTGTTTCGAGTTCTCCAGTTGAAATACTGTACTCATTGAACTGCAAGAAATAAAACCTGCAAGTAGGCACTGTGCTAATGTAATAGAAATGTGTTAGACAGGGGCACTATTTCTTAAATATGCTTGAATTAAGCAAGTTCTTTTAAAAAGTGGGTGGGACTTTTGATGTTTTACATAGTTATATTTTCAATTTCTTGTGCTCAGTTTAAAACTCAAGATTCTTTGTTTCTGTGTGTGTCATTAGGGCAGGTGTTGGATGACAAGTAAATGCACTGAAAAATGAAAAAAAAAGATTTGTGCCCTAACCTCCATGAATTTGGTGACTTAATATATCCATACAGATCTGACTTTTAATCAAAGGTGCTCACAGGTGGGGTAAGGGATAAGGAGGAATTTGTCTACAGGATCCTTTTATCCTAAGTTGCCTTACAACATCCAATTGTGTTACCGTTTTTTTTTTTTTTTTTACAAACCCATTGCTAGGCTAAGAAGTATTGATTCCATCTAGTTAAACATGTCGAGTGAGAGGAAGTGATCAATGGATTACTTCTTCAAAACATTTATCCCCCCTAGTGGAATCCTCTGATTTTTATAACATTAAAGAGCCAGGTATAGGAGTTGGGAGAAGAATTTAAAATTTGAAATGTCTTCTTTTTTCAACTCTGTTCATGAAAACTCTAGTTAATGCATGTGATTTCCTGGGTCTCCCTCTCTACTTCCCTCCATTATCACCACCTTTTGTTGCTGCTGGGGCTGTGGGTGCCCTGAAGGAGCATGAGATGGCCTTCCTCAGATATCTGGGTTTTAAATTCAGTTCGTATCTCTTAAGTGAAGTGGGTAGGGCCAAAAATGACTCACTGCCCAGTGGTGCCTGGAAACATTATCAGCAAAGACATTCACCTAGGGAGAAAATAAACACAGAATTCTCATATGGGCCCATCTTTCCAACCATCTCCTGGACTTTGGTAGTCTTTTCTGAGCCAGATATCTCTCTAAAGTCACTTGCTGTCAGACCTTTTTGTCTCATATTTAGGAATGGCTGAAGTTCTTTATAAATCCCAGATGAAACAGGAGGAAAACTACTTTGAAATGATCATTTCCATGATCTCTAAAATGCAACAAACCGTATTTCTTAAGATTAACGGATGCGAGCCTATGACAGGTTCAATGTGGGACCAACTCAAGGGAAATTGATGACCGAATTATTAAAAGGCATTCATTACATCGCAGTTTCACCTGAAGAGGGGGTGTCCCCCAGTAGTGCTTCTGCAGCAGAATTGCTTAGAAACTGCAGAACATCCACAAGGCAAGCACCCCAGGCCATTGTGTCTGACTGTCTTTCAAATAGAGGAATGGCTAGTTGCCATTTGCTGAGGGCATCTCCTGCACTGAGAACTGTGTGCATATATGGATGATATCGCCGAGACTCACAAGTATGCAAGATAGAAACTAGGTGCATTTTTTTCAGATTAGGAACTTGAGAATGGAAGATAAACTGAGAAGGGGAGCAGGGGAGGATAGGGAGAGATTGGGCAACGGTTAAGAAGTTACAGTTAAATAGGAATAAATCCTGGTGCTCTATTGCACAGCAGGGTGCCTGTGGTTGACAACATTGCATTGTCTATTTCAAAGTAGATAGAAGAGAGGCTTTTGAATGTTCTCACCACAAGGATATGATAAATGTTTGAGGTAATGGATATGCTAAATACTCTGGTTTGATTATTACATAGGGTATGCCAGTTTCAAAGCATCACATTTTACCCCATAAATATGTACAACTATCATGTGTCAATTAAAAATAAAATTAAAAAAAATTTATTGATAAAAGAATAAAAAATAGCATGCTTTTGGCCACTCTATTTGATAGGCATCATTTAAAAAACATAAGACTATAAGGCTGGGCATGGTGGCACATGCACCTGTACTCCCAGCTATTTAGGAGGCCGAGACAAGAGGGCTGCTTGAGCCCAGGAGTTCGAGATCAGCCTGAGCAACACAGTGAGACCCTCATCTTTAAAAAATATACGTAGTATAGATGATGTAAAAGGACCACCTTTCCAAATGAGTCAATTTCTTCCTTAATTTAATACATTCCTAGGTAGTAAGTTTTTAGAGAGCTAAACTAATTCCTTGCTATGTCTTAGGTTACCATTTATAAGTGTTCTTATGGGGGTTAGCTTCATTTTATGTACTAAACACTTATTTGAAAGGATCGTTGCCTTTTTCCATGTGCTAATTTGTATAGAGAGTTTACGTATTGTGGGAATTTAATTTATTCCTGCATTTTATCCAGGAAAATAGAGCCAGATGCTTTTGGACACTTGTTATTTGCTTTAAATAAGATATCAGGTTAAGATAAGAAAAATATATTGATTGGATATTGCGTCTTCCTCTGGAGAACGTAAAACCTTTCACGTCCTACATCTCATCATACCTTACAACTTTAGAACAGACTCTAATAAAAGGAAAATGTTTTAACTGTCCCTTTACTTATAGAGGGCAGGGATGGGAAAGTGCACTCAATTATACTAACAGAGCTCTCAATTAATCTAAATTCAAAGCGAAGGCTCCTGTTGTGGATCAGGGACCCTGAATAAACATGCTTTCTAGGAGACTTCACCGCCAGGTTCCAAGAGAGGTCACAGTACTCCTGCACTCCTGATGGCAGACCCTTGGATTCCATTGCAGGCAGTGACACACCAAGAGTAAGAGGAGCTGGCTTCAGCCCTGTCCACGTGTGTCTGCTGGCTCGCCCTTCTGTCTGGCATCTCCACGCCCCTCCTCTTCCGGACTCCCTTGCATGACCTTCCAAACAGAATGAGCTGTTCTTCCAAATATGACCCTAACTCATTCAACAGCTGGAGGCAAGAGCAAACTAGAGCTCATGCAAAGGGTATTAGCATTGAGTCTTTTTTTTCCCCCTCTTTCTCTCAGACTAATAGATATTTGGAAAATTCATCTAAAAACCTTTTTTAAAAAAATTTCATTCATAAAAATAGCCAAGGGGTTTCTCAGAGAGTTTCCTTTTAGCAAGTCTTTTGGAAGGAATAAATGTCTACTTTATTATTTTTCCTTCCTGTGCCTGACCTCGGAGAGGATTAGAGGGTCTGGGCAAGGAGAGGAGCCTCACACCCAGCCACCCACACTTTTCCTTCTGACGAGACCCACCGCCATGCCATGCTCTGTACAAGTTCTCTGGAGGAACATAAGAGCCACCTTATGTGTGAGGGAATAAGACCATGCTTTGAAGAGCCAGACTTTCTCCTTTTACTTGCTCTTGAAATTGTTTTCACTCTGATCTGCAAGTCAAAGAAATGATCTATTATACATGTAGGGACCTCAAAATCTGTTTGACTCTGTGCAAATAAGGTACAGTCCCTGCCTTCTTCCTATAGTTTTCTTATCACTAGGGGACTTGAAAAGGATTTAGTTCAACAACTGAGTCAGCATGAGCTCACACAAAACAAATCGTTTCACACCAATGTCAATTTCTTTCTTTCTTCCCCCCCGCCCCCACTTTTTTATTTAAATAATTCGGTCAGGGAAATCCCACATGCTTAGTATCATTTTGTCAGCAAGGTACATGACAACTCTGGTCACAATAGAAAGTCGTTTAGTGAATTAATGTCAACTCTGGAAAAAGTGGCTAATGTGTCTTGGGGAGTTTGGTCCTTGCCTGTACACCTGCCTGAAGATCACAAGAGTAAGAAGGACAGGTAACACACACTGAATGACAGGATCAGAGGTTAGCAATATCTCAGAAGCCTGCCATATGAGCCAAACCCAATACAAAACAATTTAGCAATATTAAGTAATTATCACATTTTGTACTTCAATAAAAAATTTAATATCATGACTTTGCGGTAGGAAAGGCCAAGTTTAATGTTGGTTAAAAATAGTTTGGAGATTATATTTGTCTGTCTTCAATATGATGTTTCTTTCAAAATATCCCAAATAATCTGAATTAAGAGTAGAAATAATATCTACCATTTATTGAGTACCTACTATCTGCTAAAATAACAAATTTATAATGAAGGTGTAACTATTCCCATTTTACAGATGAAAAAAATGGAGGAGGTTAAGTAACCAGCACTAAGTCAAAATGGCTAGCAAAGATCAAAACCAACATGTTAGCCAATGTTAGGCAGTTCAAGTCCTTTCCTCTGTGCCTGAAATGAAAGAAATTTTCCAGGAATTTTGCATTGGTTATTCATATCAAGTATAAAAAATGTTATTCATTTCAATGAACCAAAATTAAGTCAAGACACTTAAGGACTGTCTAGAGGAAAATGACCAGGATAGGAAAGAGTCTGGAAGCCATGCAAGAAAAGACACAGATGGTAAATATTTAACATGAAAAATAGAAGATTTGTGTGGGATATAGGAGATACCTTCAAATAATGAAGACCTGTGGTCAACTGGGGCAAATATTTTAACCCCAAATAAGTTCTTCAACAATAACAGTTTCATTACAAATAAGGGAAGAGAAAGTGCCCAAAATGAGCATTCTCAGTCACTAGATGCAGAATCAGAAAGCCACCTGCCAGGGCTGTTATTGAGTGAAATTCTGACTTTGAAAACATTTGGCCTATACGAGGGATTCTTAATCTGATATCCATGGAAGAACTTTAGGTAAAGTCTTTGAATCCCTGGAAATTATATGAAAAATTGTATATGTGTTTTTTTTTCTTGGGAAATGGTGGATATATTTCTTCAAATCCTCAAAGCAATTCTACAATATTGGTGGGGCAGTGAAAGGAAATCACTTCCAATTCTACAATTCTGTTTTGTAAAAGTAGTCTTACCCTTCACAGAGGTGCACCCAAGAGAACTGTGTGATTGATTTAATATTAGGGGTGAATGAACATAAACAATTGAAGAAAACTTCAAGGTTTTTAGCCTTGTAACTAAGATGTTCATACAATTTTTAAAAATCTTTAATAAAAGAGAAGCAAATTTAGTGGAAGATAATTAAGTAGAAATAAATAGGCAAACTGAAGCCTGTCTAAGATTCCAGTACTGAGAGTACTGAGTACGTAATTCAAATATTCTTTTACATCATGGCAGAAAAATGCTGAAATCTAGGGATATATGCTGACTAGTAACTGAGTCTTATATAAATAATTTTTTTAAAGCCACTTGAACTTTAGAACCATAAAATGTTATAACACTAACTGTTCTAGAGACTACTTACTTCAGTCTCCTAATGTTACAACTGAAGAAATCATGTCTCAGAAAAACTAAGAGACATATTCTGGATTCTGGGGCCTGGTTCCTGATTCACGTCTCTGTCTGCAAATTTAAGGAAAAAAAATTCTAAAACATTCAAATCTGGAATAAACCTATGCATTTTTCAAGAAGAAAATATATATATAAAAACTAGTCTTAACTACATATAATACACAAAGGTCCACTTTGTTATGGTATAAGGCAAGACCGTAAGGAGGTCTTATGCCTCCTTATGAGGCATAAGATTGCCCCTTACGAGTTTTAAAGTATGAATTCCACACGTCAGCATGCTCTGGGATGTTTTCACAGTATTTTTAACATTGGTCCTCATAGTCTTAATTTACCTCTGGAAATTTCCATGGATGATTAAACTATGAAGAACAAAGAAGCACATGGCTGTGTTATTTAGAGTTTAGTGAATTAGGTCTGCAAGTCTGTTGGTTTCCTTTTAGATGTTGTCTTGTCCGTTTCTAAGATCAGAGGGAGACCAGCTCCAGGAGTGCTCATGAATGCATCAGTGGTCTTCCATACCATCTGATGAAAAGATTCATTCTGTGTCTCAAAAGGATATTCCAGATCCAGTTCTGAGTCAGCAGGTCTTTGGTGTATATATATATATATATATATATATATAAATTTTTCCACTGCTTTATTTTTTTAAATTCATCTGACAAGGTCAAGGTGGGATTGAGACAAGAAAAATTTGGAACTAGTCCCATTTGAGACTTATTTCCTTAAAAAAGGAACTGTTTTTTAATAATCTGAAAGTTTACATAATTTTGACATGCAAGTTATATACGTGTGTGTGTACGTTTGCATGCTTGTGTGTATGTTCATTTTTTTTAAAGAGACTCAAACTAAATAAAATTTTGATTGGGGGTGTTGCTGAAAGGACTATAGTGTCAGCTGTTATAACTTCAGCTTTAAACACTAAACCAAAACATGGGCTACATGTTCCAATTCATACTGAAGCTTTATAATATATGGCCTTAGAGTAGAAGTATAATGATCTCTTGGGAGAGGCAAGATCCAATTAAAATTCAGTTTGCTGTCTTTTGGAAAGACATAAGCAGTTATATATCCTTTGAGACGGTCTTAAGAAATACACACCTGAGCTTTAAATGGCCACTCATTTGACTGTGAAGTTGAATTTCAATTCATCTGGGAGTCAGAGCACAAGAAAGAATTCAAATAACAACACTCTGATATTTCCTGGTGTGTTACCAGGGAGAAAAGAGCTCCTGGAAAATGAACGCCTTACACATTTGCAGATATTACCAACCACTTATAAAAACAAGGCTATTGTTATGCATAAAAGTCATTCCTTTTAGGGGAAGCCTAAGAGTGAATTGAAATGTGGCTGACATTTCTACCACAAGATAAAATGTTTTTTTAATATCATGTTTAAGTTCTCTTAGTTAAAAAAGAGAAAAGGGAAAAAAAGAAGAAGAAAGAAAAATATCTATAATCCAGTATTCAGAAGCAATTCCAGACACTTCACCCATGAAATAACTCACTGGAAGACATTACATTTCTAAACACAAAAGCTATTAGCAGCCTTTTCTAATTCTCTTTTAGTTCAATAAGGGAATTATTGACCGTATTTTGCAATCCCACATGTTTTTAAAAGACAAAAAACATAGTACATTGAACAGAAAACATACGAATGCTTTCTATTTAATTTATTAGTTCATGACTAAGATGAAACACTCCAACATATACAATAACCTCCCCACCCCCACTTCACTCTGAGGTTCTTTTGGTTACTTCTTTTTTACAACAAAGGTTTGATGTATTCTTTAAAATATAAAAAGAAAAAGCCACTATATTGCCTCAGAACTACTCCATCTCACTGCCTCACTTTAAATTCTGATTGACTGTAATGAGACCACAGACAGATTGATGAAATAAATTTAGATACTAAATAGCATTGTACTTGGGGTGATTTAGTTATATAGCTCATTTATTTCTTCAACAAATTTGTTGAACAGCAGTATTAGTTAAGGCAATGCAAGCTGATGTCATAAATAAACCCCCAAATCACAATGGCCTAAAACCTTAAAGGTGCAATTTTTATTCATGGAAGCAGGGCAATGTAAGTAACTACAGGATTCAGGCAGCCAGAATTCTTTCATCCTGTGTTTCCATCATCTTCTAGAGCTTCAAAGTCTTCTGCATTTATCCAAGATAAGAGAAAAGAAATTTGAGAAGGTGTACCTGTTTTTAGCCATCTTCTGCTCACTTGCTCTTGGAATTAACAAATCACACAACCATACCTAAGTGCAAAGTGGTTGAGAAATGTATTTCCTGATGGGACAACCACCTTCCAGTGATAACTTCACACTCTGAAAGGGCTCAGCTGCAACACCTGTAATAATACTGTGCTGGACATTGTGGAATTTTCTAAAAGAAACAAAACTGGGACCTTGTCTTCCACGAGCATGCACGTTAGCAATTTTTTGCAAGGAATTTATTCCCTTACCAATAATAATAGTTAATATATATATAAAGTTTGTTATGTATCAGGCTCATTATTGGACCAGAGGCTGTGTGGGTGGTATTTCAGGACTCAAACCCTGGTATCTGCGCTGTCCAAATTCATGCTCTTGCCTCCTGCCCTCCGTAGACTTCTAATCACTTAAGGCAAGAGACTCAAGTCTAGTTCTCTTAGAAGTTCCTACCACAGGGCAGAGCCCACACCAGACAGTGAAGGAATGTGGATTATACTAAACAAAACCCTAGGATCGATTGTATAGGTAACTGTTGGCAATAAATTAGAGCTCAATTCCAACTCATAAAAAGCTGTACTCCAAAATACAATTCACCATAAATGAAAGCTTTTTAAAGATATGAGTTGCCTATACTATAAATATTGATTTTTTTTCATCTGAGTCAATTGAGATGCAAATGCTAATTTGAGTAGATGAGCATATGAGCATTAGTGGAAAAACTCACCTAAAAAGGTACAAGAGAGAGCAAGATGCCCAAGATAGATTAACACAACACTTTAACCAGAATGTTCTATCATTTTCTTTCTGCACATACACCTTCTAACTTGCAAATCTGTCTTGCTTCACATGATCTCTTCCCATCTAATTTGATGGGTTTTTCTCTGAAAGAAATGAAGGGAGGATTCCTCCAGTTCTTGTTTTCTATGGTAATTATCCTAAGTTTTAGGGGAAGAATTTTAAAAGAGGAATTCTAGGCACTTCTCAACTTGGAGCAGAATAGAGATGTATTCCAGTAAGGAATATAGTTCATGGGCATAAGTGACTTGAATATGAGGTAGAATTGGGGGTAAATAACCTATGAAATGTATAGATGATATTCTATCAGACAAGAGATATTACCTATAGTTTTACAAAAGAAATAAACTTTTAGCTAGGCCTTTTAGAAACATGTAAAATTAACTGAGTTTACCAAGTATAGAAAAAATAGGAAATTGTCATTTAGAAGGGCATGATCTATTCAGCTAGCCAACCAAGAAATATGTCGAGTGCTCCGATGCAAGGTAGGGTATGAAGAGCAGTGGGGAGAAGGGGGCAGTGAAAAGTGCAAGACAACACCTATTCCCATATAGGTCAGCAGCTAAGAGCAACAACAAAAGAGAACAATGGGCATGTACAGTGCATCCACCTGTACCAGGTAACATGCCAGGTGAATTATTCAAATTATCTCATTTGGCACTAATGCATGTAAAGTACATAGCAAGGTGCCTGTCACAGAAAGAATGTACAATAAGTGATAGCTGTGATTTAAATGCCAGTTTTATGTGGAGGTTATTATCTGTTTTCAAATTAAAGAAAGTGAGGCATGGTGAGGCTATGTGATGCTATAAACTGAATGTTTTTATCCCCACAAAATTTATATGTTGGAACCTAATCACGAAAGTAATCGTGAGGCCCCGTAAAGGTAGGGTCTTTGGGGGTTGATTAGGTCATGAAAACTCCACCTTCATGAATGCTGTTATAATAATAATAATTAGTACTCTTATAAGAGAGGACTGGGGGAGCTCATTTGTCCCTTCTACTATGTGAGGATGTAGCAACAAAGTACCATCTTTGAAGCAGAGAGTGAGCTCTCATCAGACATTGAATCTGTCAGTACATTGATCTTGGACTTCCCAGCCTCCAGGACCGTAAGCAATAAATTTCTGTTGTTTATAAATTATCCCATCTGAGGTATTTTCTTACAGTAGGCTAAGATAGATGATATATCCAAAGCCCCTTAGCTGGAGAAACCAGACATACACGCATGGAAAGTTCAATAACAATGAGATTCTTTGTGAAAGTTGCTCTCCTGGCAGTTCTATTTTACTAGTAGAATATTCATCTTAGTTCATGGGTTGTTATTCCTCAATCTGGCTGCTGAGTGCCCTTTGGGTGTTTATGATTTTAACTGCCTGCCCCTGGTTCTAGTTGCCTGGGTTAGGCAATGAGGGTATTTTGTGCAAATTGTGTCCTGAGTGCCTATGCTGCAGCTCCCCATGAGTCTTCCATTCTAATTCTAATCAACTTCCAGCTATCTATCTTAAGCAGAGTACCTTTTAGGACAGGGTGATAGGGGGAGCCTAGAGGTCACATGCGAGGCCTCCCATCTGTGGAGGTTTAGTTGGAGAGAGCTGACAATGAGATGATTCCTGTGCAGCAGTAGTCATGAACCTGGGGCAGGAATGAGAGCACCATGCTATCTCCCAGGGCCCAGAGAGTGTGGCCCTGAGAGACAGATCAGTGAAATCTCTAAAGAGCAATGCGCCAGATTGATGAGATTATCTTGGGGGTACTTGCTAGTCTCTTTGGCTTCGGAGGGGCGTGGAGGGAGGGGAACAGATAGGCTCAGATCCTCTCTGCCCTTGAGGCTGGTCAAACATATTGCAGGTTTGTAGAGAAGTGTCTTCTCCTTGTACTTGTACAGATGATTTGCTAACCGGACCTGAAACTGTCCTATCTCCCTCCATTCCAGTGACTCAAGTGTCCTCAGAGCTAATCCAGGTAACTAGAGCCAGGGGCAGGCAGTTAAAATCATAAACACCCAAAGGGAACCCAGCAGCCAGATTGAGGAATAACAACAACCCATGCCCCAAGATGAACATTCTACTAGTAAAATAGAACTTCCAGAAGAAACAGATGACAACTTTAACAAAGAATCAAAAGTATACTTACAAAAATTGAAAAATAGCATTAAAATAACTTTCCAGCATTCAAAAACATGGCTTTTCAATTAAAAACATCAATTCAGTTAAGGAAAGGATGGCCTAGGATGAGACAGACTCACTTGCAATATAAGACATTATAGGGTAAATACCAAATGAGTCGTTTTGATTCTCAGGTGGAATTGACCATTAGACTCACCTGTTAAAAACACAGACTTCAACTTACCCAGCCCTAATAAATCAGGAACTCTGGAAGCCGAGCCAATGAAAGTGCATTTTGGTTGGAAGTGGCCACTGGTTTTGGGCACTGGTTATGGGGGCTGTGGAAACTGGCAGTACATGTTGAATGAGTTATCAGGGTGAGAGATCACTGGGTCTGCAGGGATGGTGGTAAGGACCGCGGGAGAGAGATGAGAACTGAAATGAGCATGAGAGGTGGGTAGAGTTTATTGATAGTGACCTAAAAATATGAAACAAGGATTGATGAATGTTTTGTCTGCATGATCCCAAGTTTTCACCAGATTTAGACACAAATACTTGTCACACCCGTAGATCAAATAGCAAGTCTAAAATTTTTTAAAGTTTAGCTTTAAATAATATAATACACATCAGATAAATAAGAAGTTGAAGTATCGCGATTTTGCAAATGTTTAGGAAGCTTGTGTTCATCCGGTTCACATTTCCTTCACTCTATGTGTGCATGTTTGAAACTGAAATATACAAGTTAAATCTTTAGTCTTACTTTTTTAACCACTGACAATGATGATGGTCCATTTATCTCCCAATGTTCCATTTCAAGACAGATGGATCAGTTTGTCAAGGTCTGAGTAGGAATAAATGGAGTGCTCCAAAGGCAAATCTGTAGTGGTGTGTTCAATTTGATAAAATCACGCTTGCATATTTTTTTCCTAAATTTCCTGAACCACTCCACTAAGGGAGACAACCTAGTACTTCTTGGTTTTTTTCTCTTCAAATGGCTGCTTCTGAGTCACAGATGTGAAATAACAGGAATCAAAGGATTCATGGATCAAGAAAAATGACTCCTGATCATTTCCAGTAGGTTATTTCCTTGGAGCTGTTCTGCTCTGCCCCCAGGAGGTGTAATGGATTTGAACTAAATGTAATCAAAAATTTTCACCTGCATCCTTATTTCCTGAAAGTAGCTCAGTCCCATGAAGCTGAACTTTCTGCAGCTGTGAGACCCACGGCATGGCTGCTTCCTTAGGGGAAATAAACTCGATGTTTCTCTGAGTCAGAACCACAGAACAACAGTCTCATGAAATGCTCTATGCCAAACAAAAAGCACTCTGCACTCAGATTTGGGATGAGATTCACATGCCATCAGCTCTCAGAGGGTGATAGAGCACATCCAAGCTTCTGGAGCCCCTGCAGCAGAGAAATCATTTTATTCATAACTCTCTGTAACTTAGTCACTTGTATTCATTTTTGAGTGCTGCCTTAACAAAGTAACAACTGGGTAGTTTAGACAACAGAAATGTATTGTCTCACAGTTCCAGAGGCTAGAAGTTCAAAGTCAAAGTGTTGGCAGCTCTGTCCCAAGCTTCCCTCCTTGGCTTGTAGATGGCTGATTTCATGTTCACAGGGCATTCTCCCCATATAGGTGTCTATCTCCAAATTCCATCTGTTTGCAAAGACACCAGTCATAGTGGATTAGAGTCCATCTAACGACTTCATTTTAACTTGATTACCTCTGTAAAGACCCTATCTCCACATAAGGTCACATTCTGAGGTACTGAGGTTTAGAACTTACATCTGAATTTGAGGAGGGAGATGTAATTCAACTGATTATACCACTGAATCCTTTTTTTCCCATGTCATCTATTAACAGCCTGAAGAACACGTTTAGAGGGATGTTACTGTGGCTTCACAGATACCATGCTCTTCCTCAATGGTTCCCAAATGCCATTTGCAGAATATATGCAGAATCACTGGGAGTGCTTTTTAGAATTCTAAATCTGCCAGGCATGGTGGCTAACACCTGTAATCCCAGTACTTTGGGAGACCAAGGCAGGCAGATCGCTTGAGCCCAGGAGTTCGAGACCAGCCTGGGCAACATGGTGAAACCCCATCCCTACTAAAAATACAAAAAATTAGCTGGGTGTTGTGGCATGCACCTGTAGTCCCAGCTACTTGAGAAGGTTAGGCTGCAATGAGCCATGAGCCCATGATCCTCCACTGCACTCCAGCCTGGGCAAGAAGAGTGAAACCTGTCAAAAAAAAAAAAGAAGAATTATAGATTCTTGGGTCTCACCTCCACAAATTAAAATCCACTGGATCTAAGGAGGAACTCAGGAATTTGCAATTTACAAAGTTGCCCAGAACATTCTGATGCATCACCAGGTTGGAGTTCCACAGCCAGTTAGTGCTCCCTTATTATTTTTTAGACTTGATTTGGGCCATAAATCTTATAATAGCTACCTAAGAAGTACACTTCTTCTTTAAACAATATGAACATAGAATTGTTTTCTCATCTCTGTTTTTATTACATCTTCTATCTTCCTCCACTGCAGTACAAACCACTTGATGTGCATAGATTCTGCCTTACTCATCTTTTTATTCTCAGTGTGTACCAGAGAATCCACACATAAATAACATTCAATAAGCGTTTATTGAAGAAATAAATACCTCCAGCAACACAGGCAAACTGTACAATTGTTTCATCATTTAAAGAAGTTCCTGGCCGGGCGCAGTGGCTCATGCCTGTATCCCAGCACTTTAGGAGGCCAAGACAGGTGGATCTCTTAAGCTCAGGAGTTCGAGACCAGCCTGGCCAACATGGTGAAACCTCATCTCTATTAAAAATACAAAAAAAAAGGTAGCTGGGCATGGTGGTGTGCACCTGTGGTCCCAGCTACTCAGGTGATTGAGGCAGGAGAATTACTTGAACCTGGGAGGCAGAGGTTGCAGTGAGCTGAGATCACGTCACTGCACTCCAGCCTGGGCAACAGAGTGAGACTCCATCTAAAAAAAAAAAAAAGAAAAAGAAAAAAAGAAAAAGAAAAAAGAAGAAAAATGTTATTGACATTGACATATCTTTATACTTGAGAGAATTCAGCTACTCTTAAGAGTTTAACCCGTGCAGCCATGCCCGCTGTCCTGACTCATTTTTACTCCTGCCATGATAGCTTACCTGTGGTTTCAGGACACATCTTTCTTTTTCCAGCCTCAAGGATCTTTTGCACATGCTATTTTGGAACTCTTCTGCCTACCCTCTTTCTCCACCCCATCCCCAGTTGCCACGACTATTTCCAAATGAATATTTGTTCTGCCCTTCAAATTAGAAGTGGTGCCCCTGTTAAACGTTTTCATAATGCTTCATTTTTTTTCCCATGGAGACACTGATCATGCTTGTAATGAATAGTTCAATGGTTGCTCTCTCTGACAAACTCTAATCTACATGTAGGCAGGCTTCATGTCTGTTGTGTTCATTTTTGAAGCCACAGAAACTTGAACAGAGTAGGAACTCAAATATTAATTGAGTCGTTATGCGCTTTACCATGATTATGTGTTTTTTCCCACCATTAAACTGGGAGCTTCTCTACAGCAGGGACTAGATTTAATTTATTTTTCTATTTTTGGCACCTGGCACAGTGCCTGGAAGGCAGAACAAGCACAATAAATTTTCTTAAAATTTGTAAGGTTTTTGTTTATTTGAATGGTTGTTTAGTTTTTGCCTTGATGAAAGCCTGGGATAGAAATTTAGAACAAGGTTGGATGTTGGTGATCATATAAAAATAGATTTGTTCTTTTTTGTCATTAGAGCCCAAACTTAAAAAATATGTCAAATAAAAAAATAAACTAGAATAACAGGGAACATTTAATGGAACCAAGGCACCTCAAACAGCTGACATACTTCTAAAAAGCAGAAAGTAATAGTAAGGGAGATAATAGCATACGAGTTAGTTTTCCAATTGCCAAAAGATCACTTCAAATACAGCTCTTGGCAGTCATCTTCTTATGGAGAAACTGCAACACTTATGGAATGGCAATTCCACCAATCCCCTTTTTCTAACAGCAGAAAAACCTGAAGGAGACAAGCCCAGCTATAGTCCAGCTGGGACCTGTGGCAATAACCTGACCTAAAGTTACATAAGTGATCAGGACCGTATGTGGTCCGTACCCCTCTGCCTGAGGATGCTACGCAGCTGTTTAACTCTCTCAAACATTTTGTTCTTTTACTGACAACCCACTGCAGTCAAGTTGTCTATTCCCATAATATGGAATATTGGGTCTATAGTAATTTCCTATTCCTATTTCTAGGCAATCATGTAAGATAAGGGGAATGGGCACCTATTTCTCTGGGGAAGGTATAAATGTGTCTTTTATCTCTTTCCAGTATCCCCACTGTGTAGAGCTGGTCCACAATGGAGAGGAGGAAAAGTTTTGCATTGGACCAAATCACTGCCTTAGAAGGAAAGAGATTGCAATCCCATTCATTTTTAAGATCTGCAATGGGTTGGGATGATACCCATTTAAAAAAGAAAAAAAAAGAGGTTACCTCTTTGGCCTCTTTGGCAAAGGATATGAACTAGTAATAAAGCCTCAGCATCAAGGCTTGGGAGTCTGGCTCAAAGTGGCTAAGACTAGAAGCATCTTCTAACATAAATATGGCAGCATTAGGAAAATAGCTTGGCCTTTAGAGAGACCCAGATTATCTTCACCTTAAAAACTACCAAGACCCTGGTCCAGCAAGACCACCATCACAGCAGTAAATACATAGCCACCAACTTCACAGAAGGTTTTCCACTGAGACATTGTGAAAACCACAATCCATTACCGGTGGATGAGTCCCAGCTCTCTTACTACCTGGAGCTTCCAAGCAAGACTTACCTGTCCTTTGTTCCAGATTGGTTCCTGGGATCCTGGACCAACACAAAGAGAAGAGGAAAGCCTCAAGGGAAATAAAAGTGAAGGTTTCAGTGATAGTTTAAATATATATTTTTAAATGTTAGCTTTTTTTTAAATACTTCACAGTGATGGATGGAGTATTTCAACCACAATGGCAAAGAATGAATTACCGGCAGTGTCAGAGTTTCTTGTTGCTGTGGGAAGACAGCTGCCATGTTGAGAGGTGCCTTGTGGAGAGGCTCATGTGGCGAGGAACTGAGACTGGCTTCTATCCAACAACCAGTGAGGAACTAAGGCCCTAAAGTCCTATAGTCCACAAGGAACTAAATCCTACCAACAACTACATGAGTGAGCCTGGAATCTGATTTTCCCCAGTGGGGACTTAAGGTACCTACAACCTGGCTGTTATGGGCTAAACTGCATCCTGCCCAAATTTATATGTTTGAGTCTTAACTCCCAGCACTTCAGAACATGGTTTTGTTTGGAGACATAGTCATTAAAGAGGTAATGAAGTTAAAATGAGGTCATTAGGATGAGTCCTAATCCAATAGGACTGGTGTTCTTATATGAAGAGGAAATTTGAACACAGACACATATACAGGAAAGACCATGCGAAGAAGACACAGAGAGGAAACGGCCATCTACAATCCAAGGAGAGAGGCCTCAGAACAAGCCAACCCTGCAGATACCTTGATCTAGGCATCCAGAATTGTATGAAAATACATTTTTGTTATTTAAGCTACCCAGTCTGTGGTGCTTTGTTATGGCAATCCCAGAAAACTAATTAACTAATTGACTGCAGCCTTGCAAGGGACCCTGAACCAGAGGACCCAGTTAAGCCATGTGCAGATTCCTGACTCACAGAACTAGGAGATAACAAATGTTTGTTGTTCTAAGGTGCTAAATGTTGGGAAAATATGTTATGTGGCTATGTTGTTTTGCACATGTGCCACATAATGATGTTTTGGTCAACAACAGACCACACATATGATGGTGGGCCCATAAGATTGTAATACTGTGTTTCTATTATGCATTCTCTATTTATAGATACACAAATACTTGCCACTGTGTTACAATTGCCTACTGTCTTCAGTACTGTAACATGCTGTACAGGTTTGTAGCCCAGAAGCAATAGACTATACCATACAGTCTGGGTGTGTAGTAGGCTATACCATCTATGTTTGTGAAGTACACTCTATGATGTTCACATAATTATGAAGTTGCCTAGTGATGCATTTCTCAGAATGCATGCCCGACATTAAGTGACACTTGGCTTTATGTCTATCATGCATTTAAGATATTGCAATATAGTTAACTTATGTTTTAATACACCTCTTAATTCTGTTTTGATCCCACACCAACCAAGATGCAAAACTAATTTTTTCGCCCATTTCCATAAAAAACACAATTACAATGGGCCTAATGTGGTTTATGTCATTTTCCCTGAAGATTTGTGGTGGTATAGGAAGCAGTCACAGCACCCTGTATAAAGCTCTTCCATGGCCTGCCCCCTTTTCGCAGTCACCTCTATTATTTGAAGGAATGGTCCAACCAACCTCAAAGCTCTGGAAATTTGCCCCAAAATAATTTTACCCTGAAGCCATTGAAGCTTAAGTTTCAGACCCCAGTTTCACATTCCTGTGAGTTCTGCAAGTCACTGGGAGCTATAGAGTCTTCTACGTAGATTTGGGAAACAAGGTGAAAATACCTCAAGAAATCTCAGAAGCCAGGGGCCTGCATCTCCAAGCCTCTGGCAATTTTCTTGTGGTTTCTATCCTCACTCTAGATATTTGCTTTTGAGACTGATTTTGAATTCAGAATTTTATATTCTCTCAAAAAGAGAATTCTCCAAATTCTATAAGCTTCAGGCTCTACAAAACTTGTCTATTCTGCCTAACTAGATTTATCATAGCACGTACCAAAGATGGCCCTGCCTCATGAGGACTTTTCATATCAGACCCTTAGATAATAATATTCCCTCATGTAAGTAATAATATTTCCGCATGTAGTTATGTATGAATAATTTTCATTCATCTATATCATGTTGGCCATAGTCAGTGTCCATGTCCAATTTATTTTTTGTGTCCTTGGTGCTCAGAAAGTTACCAGATGTTCAGTCAGAATTTTATTTAAAATATTTTGATGAACTAGATTTAAAGATAGATTAAATTAATTCCTACACATGATTTAATTTAATGGATAAAATAAGGGACTGAGCATTAGCCTGAACTGTGTACTTGCATTAGCCCTGATGTTCCCCAGAGGGAATAATATGTGAAGAATACTGCATAGGCTGAAAAACAAGAGTTCCCAGCAGACCAATATTCTTTCTTTCTGCAAGCTGTGAGACACCTGGGGAAAGTTCTCCACATTTGGTTTTTCAGCTACTCCACCCATGACTAGAAGGAAGATTTTATTTTATTATTTTATTTTATTGTATTTTTTAACAGTAAAAGAAAAATTATTGTTATTTTAATGAAAAAGAACCACCTGGAAAGTCTAGTGACATTTTTGAAGGCAGGGACCACTTTTTCCAGGGATTTGTTTCCCTATGCTAGTGCTCCATTCACCCTTGCACCACTTCAGCAAAGCACATAGTAGGTGTAGCAGGGAGATGTTAAGATGGAAACTTGGCCCTGACCATAGGCCAAGCCAGGGTGTCTAGTCGGGATTTATCCATAAACATCAATATTTATCACTAGATGATATATTGATTTCTTATCTGCCTCCTATACCTATTGATCTATTTTTCACAGCTTATAGTGGGGAGGGTCATGTTCAGTTATTATCCTTAAACCAAAACAATCTCTTCTTGAAAAATAGGATGCTATGCTCTGATGTTTGCAGAGGCCAGGAAATTCTTGCTCTGAGAGTTCCAGAAAAAAAGATTTGTCCAGATTTGAACTAATTTCAGAAAAACAAAACAAAAACAAAAAACCATCCAAGGTTAAGAGGTGACTTCTGACTCACAGAATGAACAAGAAGGCAGGGGAAAAAATAAGTCCCCCAAGATTCAGGTCAAAGGAAATGAACAGAAGGATGATGGAGTGGCCCAGAGGAGGATCACGTGACAGAAAAGTCAAGATAAATTAGTGGCAGGACAGAGGAAAAGAACTAAAGACCTGCAGGATCCTGAAAGAAAGAATGAAAGGAAGCAGATGAAGATTCTAGAGCCCAGCTGAATAGCCAGGCCGCCTGAGGGTAAAGAGGGAGAGAAAGAGGAAGCAGTGAATCAAATCAAAAAAGGATAGAAAAATACAGAGAAACAAGCCAGGGCACGGTGGCTCTCACCTGTAATCCCAGCACTTTGGGATGACAAGGAAGGCGGATCACATGAGGCCAGGAATTTGAGACCACGCTGGCCAACATGGCAAAACCCTGTCTCTACTAGAAAAATATGGAGGAATGTTTGAGAGATTGTGCACTGCCAGGGGTGAGGACATAAATTTATTTGCTATGTGAATGTTTTTTGAGACTCATCTAGTTCCTTTACAATTTTAATTTAGAATTTCTTTAGCTCCAAATCAGGATCATTAGCTGGGAGTTCTTATAAATCAAAAGCAAAACAAAGCTATTGCAAACAAGTGGGAGTTCTCATAACCTTAATCAGAAAGGCTTGAGTTGCATTTCCAAATCCTGTCTCTAGAGACCATGAGTTTTTAATGATAGTATTTCCATGAAAGCCCAATTGAATACAATCACCACCCAGACCAAAGTGTAGGGGAAATCATAAAGCTACTTTCAAATCCGAGTCTTCTTTGAAATTTAAAATTATATTCCATGATAATGGTTCTCATAAACCTTAATGCAAGGGAAAAAAAAAAAACTACAGCAGAATAAAGAAGATTTAAAAAGAAGCAGGATAGGAAAAAAGACAAGCCAGAGGCTAGCTATATCTTTTCATAAAGCACACCTGGTCTCATAAGCACATGAGAGCTAGGCCCAGAAGTTTCGAGCCTTGGAGACTCACTTCAAACAAATTCCAGGGAAAGACACTCAATTAAGTGTTCAGGACAATTGTATATCCCCAGTGCACTCATGTACTGGAAGTGCTTAAACTCTGCCCTCAGTGGTCAATAAAATGGTATTAAGTCACAGACAACCCATTGCCATTGGTATTGGCTGATGTCTCTGGTAGTTTATGTGATGACAAACATTAGCCTTAACAGCAGAGCCTTCCTTTCTTTGATTTCCGTGTGAAATTCTGTGGCTGGGAGATGTTTATGTTCACATGAACATAACTGTAAGCAAACCATCTTATGGTAGACATCTCTCCAGAAAAAGCAAATTCCATCTTTTTAAATAGAAAAAAAAAACAGCAGCAAAATGAAATTAATGCCTTTGGCTCATTGTGTTGTAAAATTATCCTTGAAGTTATTTCACACTGCCCTAAAAAATCATTGAATTCAGATTATAACACAGCTCTTATGAAGCTGTTAGGCAGTTGCATCTTTAATGAGGCTGAGTAGGTAAGAGGAACAGATACTCTAGATTGAAAGCCATCGCAAAAAATGTGAAACAACTGTATTAAATTTAATTTAATTTAACCAATGGGTGTATTTATTCCCTGCCTTCTTCCAGAAAGGATTTAGGGAGCTTAGGTAATGTGGAGGTCTGAAGGTGTAGATACTCATGAAAGCCTCAGATTAATATCTAGAACATATAATGTGTCCAGATAGTTTTCAATTATCAATGCATTAATCTAAGCTTGGAAAGGACTTTTAAACTGCAATGAAACCTCAACTAGTTTCAAACCTGCATTTTTTAGTAAGCTATTTTGTCATTTGGAGACCCACACAAAAAACCTATTGTTCCTTTAAAAAGGAGAGAGAGAAAAAAAGAAAAACAACCTGCTGGTGTTGCTTTGTTCATCTTATCACCTTATCATTCAGCAGCCTATTCAGGATCAAATGTGGGAAAGTCTGTGTGTGAGATTAAGCCCTATACTCAGCACAGGAATTTCTTGGATAAATGTCTTTCTTAAATGGATAGCTATGTAAAAAACAGAAGAGAAACTCTATTATTACAATGCAGTTGGGTTTTTTTGTTTGGTATGTTTCAAATCTAATATTTAAAATTAAGAAAATTCAAAGCAAACCATCTGTGTGGATGTTTTCATACTCCATTTTTGTGACAATAGCTTGCTTAACCGAGATTATTAGTGGATTCTTTCAATAAGAGGAAGAGAGTACCATCATTAAGATGGTATGCCTCCACTAGCCTTTATTTTTGAGATTAAAGAATGACAAAAATATTTATATATATTTTTTCATTATTAAGACGGAGTCTCACTCTATCGCCAAGGCTGGAGTGCAGTGGCGCCATCTTGGCTCACTGCAACCTCTGCCTCCCAGGTTCAAGCAATTCTCCCACTTCGGCCTCCTGAGTAGCTGGGATCACAGGCACCCGCCACCACACCTGGCTAATTTTTGTATTTTTAGTAGAGATGGGGTTTCACCACATTGCCCAGGCTGGTCTCAAATTCCTGACCTCAAGTGATCCGCCTGCCTCAGCATCCCACAGTGCTGGGATTACAGGCATGAGCCACCACAACTAGCCAAAAAATATATATTTTCTTTAAAAAAAAGTTATTTTCTGCCTAATTACTTCAATATTTCATGAACATTGTGGGGGAAAGAATATTCATACAGTTCTCTAAATATATCAGTGAGTTGAGGTACCAAATACAGAATTCTATTGAATTCTAATTGCAACACTGAAGCAGACTTACTCTAAGATCCTGCTACCTGGACTAACCACAGACTATACCCAGATTCCATCTGCAAGATGTAGTGGAGCCAAACATCACATCACTGAGGAATATTTATTATATATCTTTCTGTAGAGGTGAGAGAGTATTTATAGATATAACAAACAATTGGTCAGATACTACTGGAGATTTGGAAGCTTCACTAGGTTTTTCACTAAATTTGTTGATAGCCAACTCTAAAGCTCATTCTACTACTACTAGCCATCTTCCCTTGGACAATTTCATGGGCATCGCTTCACTGAAAAGAAAAATGAGTAAGTATAATCTCACTAGTACATGAATAACTATTATAAACACAATACTTTCTACAAGGTTTATTACTAATCTATGTCATTTAAGTTCTAGATTTTACAGTATTTTGGAGTGATGAATAAATAGCATGCTGTTCTTCTATAGCTAGCAAACAAGACTCAGCTTTGGAGACAAGAAGAAGGAATACAGGAGATGTTTCCTTGAATGAGTCTTCTTCCTAAACTCTGCTAGAAGTATGTCAGAAAGCGAAGGTTACCTCAGTCTCCAAGTCATGAAAACATGAGGTCTTTCTGTTTTCTAGGGAAAGTATTTCATCATTTCCTAGTGTGGCTTTTTGCACACCCCAGAAGGAGGAAGACAAGCCATCGTGTCACCTTTACATGGTAGTTGAGATGCTTCACATTTGTACATAACATCTTATATGATCGAAAGAGGAACTCAAACTCGACAGGGGAGAATAAGGAAATACATCTAAAACTGACAATTATGTTAATCCCTCAATTCCCTGGGCCCCCAAAATAGTCTCCTCTATTTGCCATTTCAAAATAGCTAATGAGAGGGTAATTGGACATGTAGACACTGAATTTCCACTGCTCATGGTTTCCTTCCCTGGGCTCCCAGTCACCCGGAAGGCCCCGGATTACCTCAAATGTCATAACGGGTTCATCGCATTACGAATTACCTCCTTCTGCCAATAAACTACAAGTTCTTTGAGGACAGAAACTGTGATTTATGGGCATTTGTATCCCCAGAGATTCAAAGAGTGCCTGATACAGAGTGGTGATAGATGATTTTATCATCTTATCATCATCATCCTCATCATCGTTGTACCTAAATAGAGGTTACTTCCTGTTTCTTTTATTTAACAATAACCTATTATAATATATACTATGCATTTTTAATGCACTTTACAAATATTGTCCTCATTTAATCCCTGTAAGGTGAATACTATTATTGGCTCCATTTTGCAGATAAGACACTGAGTCGTGAAAAGGCTAAGTACCTCACACAAGATCACACAGCCAGTGACAGAACTAGGATTTGGCTGGACTCTTAAAGACTCTGGTTTGCCATTTAAAGGTACGCTGAGCTCCACAACACTGCCTTAGAACTTGCTCAGAGCAATTGTCATATTACTATGGTAGGTTTCCCTGTCTCCCTTAAGACTTAAAGCTTCTGGAGATCAGAAACTGTATTGTTTACTTGCAAAATCATGGGCTTAGGAGCCAGAAAGATCTCGATCTAAGTCCTGCCTCATCTGCTTCTTCTTCATGGGATTAGTAGACTGATTTTCCCCTTGCTTAGCCATGCAGTTTGAATGGAATTCACCCCATTCTCAGCTACAACCACGGATCTTGTTTGCTTTAAACCAATCATCACTGCCCAATTTTCTGGCCTTTGATTGATTTAAAGGTGAACACATGACCGCTTTGGACCAATGAGGCTCAGGTGGTATTTTGTGAGGGTCTCTGGAATAGAAAATCATTTCTCTTCTGACAGAACTACAAGGCAAGGCGCAATCACTGATGGTGAAAGATAAAGATCATTATATTAGGAACTGTTGGCTGTCATACTGCTAATGTGAGGTGAGTTAGCCTTAGAAAGAGGATGCTACCTTGAAAGGCAGGGCAGATCTATGGAAATAAACTGAGTTTGTGGTGACATTGATAGCCACTTTAGTTCATCAGCTGAATCCCAATCTACTTGGTTTTTTCAGCTCTGTAAGCCAACAAATACCCTGCTAGTGTTTTAGCCTATGCCAGTTGTTTTTTCTGCTGCTTGTTAATAAGACACATACAGTCTTGGACAAATTATATAAAAATATGAATCTTTGGCCAGGCATGGAGGCTCACGCCTGTAATCCCAACACTTTGGGAGGCCGAAGCGGTCGGATCACAGGGTCAGGAGTTCGAGACCAGCCTGGCCAATATGGTGAAACCCCGTCTCTACTAAAAATACAAAAATTAGCTGGATGTGGTGGCACATGCCTGTTGTCCCAGCTACTCAGGAGGCTGAGGCAGAAGAATCGCTTGAACCCGGGAGGCAGAGGTTGCAGTGAGCTGAGATCATGCCACTGAACTCCAGCCTGGGAGACAGAATGACACTCGGTCTCAAAAAAAAAAAAAAATTCTGAATCTTTGAATGTTATCGTATAGCTTTTTAAAAGACTAGATTAAGCTATGGATGTAAGCACCAATGCATTTTTTTAAAAGTATATTGGATGAATGAGTTAAAGTCTAAGTGAATTCAGCAAGTTTGTAACCCTTGAGCTCTTGTGAGCTCAATCTGCCCTCAATCATCTGAGAATGAACAAAACAGACTCAACCATTTTGTGTCATCCAGATGAATAGAAAGGGCCTGAATATATTCTTTTTTTATATTTTTTGTCATAGGCCCTAGCGTTTTCATCTGCTCAGTTTTTGAGTGTGCTTGTTAGGGCTTTAATGCTAAACTCAATGTAAGCTGGGTTTATGTAATTTAGTGGTTTCTAGACTTAGGCTTCCTAAATGTTCCATTAGACAAGAAGACAAAATATGAAACAAAATAACATCAAACTACCATTAACAATTAGCATTGTCAGAGTCAGTAAAAACTGTTTTGAAATAAAGCAGCTTTTCAGGCCAGTATTTGAGAACTAATGATAGAGTTTTTTTGTAGGCAATGAATGAAGTGTTGTGGAACAAATGTGGATTTGGACTTTCAAGACCAACTTGAACCAGAGTCTTGAATCTGCAACTTTACTAGCTGTGGCTTCTTTTTAATTGATTAACTTTCTTTTTCTGTAAAATGGGAATAATGATTCCTACCTCTTACAAGCGTTGTGGTAGGAGGTATTCCAAATGAGATAAATATGTGAAATCACTAAAACTTCCAGAATACATGGAAATAATATATGTCTGTATTGGCAAATTATGAGTGTAGTAATGAGGGATTTACATGGACACATTTACATTCTTTAGTTCAGACTCCCTTTGACGACACATAACAAACACACACAAGAATATTTGCCCTGTGTCCAGCACTCTTTTGAGAATTTCTCTCTTCTCCTCCTTCTGATATCCCAACCAACCAACCAGTAGGAATGTGCCCTAGAAACTATGTTTTACAGCTCAGTCCACATCTTTTCACCTTACAAATTACTTATTGTTAGTTTCTTGGGAAAGTAAAATTGAGATATTAAGATTCTATGAAATTGGTTGGTGGTATTGAAGACTGTGCTGCTGCTGCTGCTACTGCTCCAGAACTCTAGTGGAGATATTACAAATGGGAGCAGAAAAAGTGAGAAGGTGGTCTGTAGAGACAGAGCACAGCACAGAGGTAGAAAGGTTGAGATAAAGAAACAATGCAGTGAGAGAAGGAGAGAACACAGACATAGAAACAGAGACATAAAGGCACCAGACACGAGAGCAGAGATAATTTAATAAGGCCGTAGTTTCTCTTGGATTTCCAGTTCCTTCTTTTAGTCAATTCTGATATTTAGCACACTGCACTGCACCAGATATCTTGTCGCCTTCAAATAAAGTATTTTTCCCCCTTAAACATGCTAATTTGGGCTTGTATTATTTGCAATCAATAGAATTGAGAAAAACACTCTATGTCATATCTGAACTAGTATATCAGAATGGTTTTCTGCCATTGGTAACAGAGACCCAGCTCAATGGCTTAAACACACAAGGGTTTATCCTGTCACATTAACAAAAAAAAAAGTGCAGAGTAGCAGTCCGGGGTTGGAATAGGGTCCACAAAGTCATCTGGGGCCAGGCTTCATCTATCTTTCTCTTACATCACAAGTGACTTCTGTCTACAAGGCCCCTCATGGTCCACAATTGATTGTTTTTACAACAGCTTTCCAAAGAGCAGAAAGAAAAACAAGTAGAAGAGCTTGTACTTTCTTTTCTATTTATGTCACCTCTGCTTACATCTCACTAGCCAGATATAGACATATGGCCCCATCTACCTGCACAGAAATCTCAGAAATGTAATTTTTCAGCTTGGCCATTGCCCAGGGTTCTGTTACTAGGGAAGAAGGAGAGAATGATTATTGGGAAGTGAGTAGTGAGTAGCAAACTGTATCCTTTCAGATATATATATATAGCCTCCAATACTATCTGCAAGCCCTCAAAAGAAGGGCACTTACCTTGAGTATAAACGGTGGTCCCTAGTTATAAGACAACAACTCAACAATGAGTGTCTCTGTGTATATGTATGTATATATATATATATATATATATATATATATATATAAATGCATGGAAGAAGTTTTATTCATTTACTGTATATAGCTCAAAGCACATAATCCCTCGGCATGCATTCCTTTCAATAGGGTTCAGCTGTGGTTTCTATAAGACCAAAAGACAAGTTATTACCTCCACTAGATGAAATATAAAATGATAGTGAAGGGAATAGGAAAACTACATTTAAAAAATCCCTGTGTTGGGGTTGGGAGGAGGGAGAAAATCTATAGCTGTTACAGTTTCCCAGCAATGATCCAGTTCCGCAGCAATGACCCAGTTCTCCAGCAATGATCCAGTTCTTCAGGTTGGAAACAGCACACACATGAAAGGATTGTGGCAATGGGAAGTTTTCTTGCTGACCTAGCTGGCAGCCCACAGCTCTTGTCCCTGGGACAATTTCCCATGGCCATTGTCTCCCACAGCCTCTTATACTGGTTGCCCCAGGAGGTTCTTCTTTCTCCATTGTCTTTCACAACCACATCTGACATCACATTGGAGAGTATTTCTTTCCTTGGGGTTACCTGCCTTTAGCAGTCCCCTTCCAGGTGGCATATGTTTAGCGGCCTGGAAACTTAGGGATTTTTATAGTCACAAGCTATTTCAGGACAGGCTTGGGGTTTCATCAGCCGTAAAGTTCTCTCAAAAATTTAGTAGATTTTAATCCATGTGCTGTTAGTAAGTGTCTGTGCAGGTGACTGCGGTAAAATATCTTCTTTTGTTTTAAACCTGAAGACTTATTTCACCTACCAGCCTCCGTACTCTGTCCATCTGCAAGTCCTCAAAAGAAGGGCTGTTACCTTGAGTACAAACAGTGGTCTCTAGTGATAAGACAACAACCTAAATCCCACCTTGCCAGTGACCCACCACACTGGCCATCTCCTGCTAAGGGTGTTACCAGCTAGCCTGCTTTGGACTGAGGTGCAAACGCAGTTGACTTCCAACCCAACAAAACTCAAAATTATTGAATGTAGACATAAATTGCAGGCTTCAGGCAGAGTAGATCTACATGAATATCATGGCATTTCTTTTTATCTCTTCCATAGAGTGGCTGACTCTAGCCTGAGGGCAACTCTCACTTATAGAACAGGCAACACACACCAGCATATTGAGTTTTGCCAGTTGTCAGTACTAAAGCAACATGTCTCCTTTCAGGGAAAGTAGGAAATCAGATGTGTCACTTGTGATTCTGCTCAATGAGCTTCTTTCTTTTCCATTTTCTTGAAGCTCTAGACCTGCAGCTGCCATCAGCCCACATAGTGTATTGAGTCATCTGGAAACCAGACAGAACTTTCTTCCTCCCCACTGGTCAACTTGTCATGGAGAGCATGCAATAAATTTTTAGAAATGGGTTGAGGTAGAGCTGGTGGAAAAGGAGGGAGTGAGTTATCTGCTCAGCCACTTACCCAAGGAGGGCTTCCAGCTCTCCTTAAACCTGTGAGGTGGTGATTGCCCTGCTTGGCTTCATGGCCCACACCTCTGCTGTCCAATTCAGCAGCCAGTAACTAGGCACATGCGTCCCCTAAGCACTTGAACCTGGCTTGTCTAAATTGAGATGTGATGGAGGTATAAAATACACATTATACTTTAGACTCAGTACAAAAAATTGTAAAATAGCTCGATAATTATAATTGATTATTTTCACTTGGGAGATTTGATGAAGCTGAGAATTCTACTTACATTGTAATCCAGCAACCCACTGGATTCGTCTCTTCCACTGATATTTGGCTGCTAGAGATGAGATTCCTTGAAAGTAATCATTTAAATGCTATGGTTTATTACCATGACTTAAATAGAGAATTTATAGCTTTGTACCTGACATTGTTTTTAAAGTTTTTTAGTACAATTACAAGTGGCCAGCAGTTCTCTCACTTTCTCAAGAGTCATTCCAGTGCTGTGCTTTTCATGTCTTATGACCACTACTTGGTCCACCAAAACTTTGCCTTTAAGAAAGAGGCTAATACAAAAAGAAAACAATTCTGCTTTGCAGAAATATTTATGGATTATTATGCCATAACAGAGAGTAAATGCTTGGGTAAGGAACACCAATATGTCAAAATGAGCTAAGGTTTGGAAAGAGGTTATCTGGAGAAATATTTACTTTTTTAGACAAAAAGTTTCAAGATATTGTCATTCAATTTAAAATATGTAATAGGTATGGAAATTAGGGGAATCCTCTAAGCAACTCTGCAAGTTGTGCAAACTTTTAGCTCTATTTCCTATGAAACAAAGGGATTGGACTAGATGATGACCAAGATTCCCTTCCGTTCTGTCTTTGAATTATGACATTTGGGTTAAATACTGCAGGAGTGTGTGTGTGCAAAATCCTCTTGAACAAATTCCCTAAACAGTCCAAAACTCATAAGGAGTTGCTTGCATTTGGTTCCTGTCTTTTAAGTCTTAATGGACACTAGAACACACCAGCTTTCTATTCTCAGTCATAACATAGCTATAAATAGAAAAAGTGCTACAGGCTTATCACTCAGAGTCTCTGCTGGCAGTGACAGCTTTGTGGAAACAGAAGGCATTAAAATACTAGCCAAAGGCAAATTCTTTGTTGAGATTCTTGATCAGGTTCTAGAGCAACATTCCTGGGAACAACACCATTCCCAACATCTTCCATGATTTTAGCAGATTCCATTATCTGAGATGATATCCCTTTTGCTTTCTTTCTTTTCTTTCTCCCTACATTCATAGTCAAATGCAATTTTGAAAATCTAAGTCATCATCTGAGGGCCTGAAATTATAATAGTCTCATTATCTTTTATTCAAAAGGGTAGAGGTTACTGTTATTGTTGCTTTAATCAATATGGAGAACTAGCAACTACAACATTAGCTGTGGGCGGGGCGTGGTGGCTCACACCTGTAATCCCAGAACTTCGGGAGGCCAAGGTGGACAGATGGCTCGAGCTTAGGAGTTCAGGACCAGCCTGGGTAACATGAAGAGACCCCCTCTCTACAAAACATACAAAAATTAGCAGGGTGTATTGGCACACGCCTAGAGTTCTAGCTCCTCAGGAAGCTGAGATGGGAGGATGGTTTGACCCTGGGAAGTCAAGGCTACAGTGAGCCGAGATCACACCACTGCACTCCAGCCTGGGTAACAGAGCAAGACTCTGTCTCAAAAAAAAAAAAAAAAAAATTAGCTATAGTCAAAATCCACATTTCATTATGATTGGATTTCAATCTAACTCTGCTTTTGGAAGGAAACGAAGGAAAAAAACACAACTTTTCCTCTCTACTTATGTCCCACTCAAAACAACTGGGATGGGAATGAGTTTGTTTGAAGGCCATGCCTATATTCTTATGGGGTTGAATAAGCCAGGCAAAATATAAACCACAGCCAATGACCAGATTTTCTTTTCCTCGTTCCTTATACAGGAAGGGAGTCATTATTAAAAGTAGCGTAACAACTAGGCTAAGACCATTATAACTCTTGGATAAAACACCATCGGAAATGTAGAGCCAAGAAAAGATAAAGTTTTTATTTTATTCATCATCAGAAAAATCACTTTGGTGGAACAGAACACTGAAAATCAGTGGTTCTAAGTGTGATCTGGTATCACAGTCTCCAAGGGGGCTTGTTAAAACACAGGCTGCTGGGGCTTAACTCCAGCATTTCTGATTTCTCAAGGTGGGGTGGGGTCCAAGAATTTTTATTTCTCACAGGTCTACAGGTGGTACTGATACTGTTGGTTTGGGGAACCTCACTTTGAGAATAATTCCTTTAAGGTATCATCATAACAAAGAATGTGAGTGCTCTACTTGATCAGTTCAATGTCTGAACCTGAGCTGTTTAGGAGGGCAAGAGGATCAATTTGCAATCAAACTCTAGATTACACCCATATTCTATCCACCTTCTAGCTCTCCTGCTTTTGGGGGTGGAGGGGAATGCTGACAAGGTTGAGATGCAAGAGACACTGTTTCAAGCAATTATAAATGCATGCAACTTGCTTATCATCCTTTTGGAGGAGATGGGCTTGAAGTCAGATTCTCCTCAGCAGTCTTCATTGAAAAAGAGTCAGAAACTACATGATTTTCTTCTAACTTCCACACTCACAGAAATATTAGTTTTGTTTCTCTTCCCATTAGTGGTTTCTAAGAATCATCAGCAGAAACCCCTCAAGGAATCAGGTAGTGGCACTAATTAGGCTGAGTCATAATACTAAGGTGAAGCCACACAGGGCAGTTTCTGGCCCAGAATAAAAACGTCTCTGAGTTATAAGAATATGACAGTGATTCAGTTGTCATTCCTGTGTGCCTACCATGTTCCTAGCATATAACATACTAATGCATCTTGCACAGGGCCTTGTTATATATCAGGTTCTTAATAAAGACTGAATGAATGGATGAGTGAGGGAATGAATGAATGTAAAAAAATCAGTACTACAATGTCTTGTATGTGGTGTCACACCAGCCCAGTGAACTTGCTGAGTTGAAGTCTATACCTTAGCAATATTTACCTCAACTTCTGTGCTTTACATTAGCATCAGCATTTTGTGAGGAAAGTATAAATTGTGATGTCTGCTCCGTTCACAGGAATGCTTCCAATGGCGACCTCCAATTCATTTAGTAAATTTCAGTCTTCTTGGTCACAGAGTGGGCAAGACCAATCAGAATATCCCATTTTCCTGTCCACAGTGATGGATCCAAGAGGCAGTCAGATGACCTAAGGAAGGCCAGTAATAGTCTTCCCTGGGATATTTTACATTGAAATTTCTTTTTTCTTTTCTTTCTTTAAAAAAAAAAAAAAACAGCAGGGTTTCACTCCCATCACCCAGGCTGGAGTGCAATGGCACAATATTGGCTCACTGCACCCTCCTAGGCTCAAGCGATCCTCCTGCCTCAGCCTCCTGAGTAGCTGGGACTACAGGCGCCCACCACCACAGCCAGCTAATTTTTGTAATTTTAGTAGAGGCAGGGTTTCACCATGTTAGCCAGGCTGGTCTTGAACTCCTAACCTCAAGTGATCCACCTGCCTCAGCCTCCCAAAGTGCTGGGATTACAGGCATGAATTTCCGTGCCTGGGCTTACATTGATATTTCAAAGGAGATATTGCTTTTTCTTTCTTGTCATATTGCTTTTAGGCTGTCACCTGGGCAGATGCCAACTGGGTAAATAGATATGTAAGTCGGGAGTTAAAAAGAGAGAGAAAGGTTGAGGCAAAAAGTAAAAATTTATGAGTGTGCTGAGAGACTTATCCCTAAGCCTACTTGCTTCTTTTCCTGGGTTCACATCTAGATTAAAGTTTCCAGCCACCCTTGCAATTTAAATCTGGTCATATGACCAAATTCTAGCCAGTATTATATGAGCGAAAGTGATGGATGCCATTCTCTGGCCCATAAAAATCTCTTGTGCCTGATCCTTTCACTTTTCACTCACTTGTTACAATCAAATATGACAACCTTGAAAGCTATGTGTCGAAAACAGCAGAACTAAAAAATAGAAAGAGCCTACATCTCCCCATTGAGAGGGTTGTTGACTAATCAAGAACATTCAGTTTGGACTTCATATCAGCTGGAAATGAGTCTATCATGCTTAATCATTATATATTTTTGAATTTGTTATATCAGGTAGCATTATTTTAACTAGTAAAGGAATTAGGGTATAAATGCCATTTAAAGCATGAGGTTATATGACATCTCCTAGGGAGAGGAGTTAGATAGGGAAGAGAAATGATATGAAGACTGAGCCCTGAGTCACTTCAACATTTAAAAATTAGGAAAAAGAAGGAAATTGGCAAAGGAGTCTGAGAAGGACTATCTAAGTGGGTGGGAGAAAATCAAGGGGACTGTGATGTTCTTGTAATAACATGAAGAAAAATGTCAGAGAAGGAAGGAGTAATGTGCTATATTTAGTCCCTGAGATGCTTTGTTTCCGCACGTTTTTTCAATTTTATGAGCTGCTTCAGTATTCTTCCAATACATTTCCTGTTTTTTTAAAAAAAGTAATTTGTGTTAGAGTTTTGTCAACCAAGAGTCGTTGACTGTGGTAGGCACCCTCTAAGATGGCCCCCAGGGACTTCTGCCTACTGGTATTCATGTCCTTGATAATCTCCTCCTGCCTTGAGTATGGACTGAACTGACCGATGTACTTCTAATCAATAGATTGTCACAGAAGCAATGGGATGTCACTTCTGATATTAGGTGAAAAGAAAATTGTGACTCCCACCATTGGTGCACTCGCACATGCACTCTCTTGGATCATTTCATCCTGAGGAAAGCCATTGCTAGGGTGTGAGATTGTGTAGAGGCCCATGTGGCAATGGACTGAGAACTTCCAATACCATGTGAATGAGCTTGAAATGGATCTCCCATCCTGGCTGAACCTTTGGATGAGACATCTATCCCAGACTACATCTTATGAGTGAAACCTCATAAAAGATCTTGAGCCAAAACCACCAGTGAAGCCACGTTCAGGTTTTTTATCTACAGAAACAGTGAGATAAGTTATTTTTAGCCATTAAATTTTGAGGGTAATTTGTTATGAAGCAATAGAAAACTAATGCATTCATTAACATGCTTGATGGGTACAGAGATAAACATTTTCATTACTTATAATGAAGTAGTGAACAGCCTAAGAATATTTGCTTATTTGTTCTATTTGTTCAACCAATATTTTTAGACATTTACTCTAAACCAGCATTGTTTTAGACATCGGAGATATCAAAGTGACTGATACAGATCAAGTATGAGTAAGAAGATAATTTAAGATAAGGGTAGGTCTTAGCAAGAAAATAAAAAGAATGGCATGATATAGAATTAGGCTTCTTTTTTGAGAGGTCAGGGGAAGCAGGGCTTCCTGAGAAAAGGTATTTGTGCTAAGAAGTAAATGAAGGAATGGACAGCCATGAAAACAGCAGTGGACAGAGATTTCCAAGAGAGAAAATGGTAAATGTGACACCCTGGGGTAGAAATGAAGCTACCATGTTTGAGAAGCAGAAAAAAGCTAGTATCGCTACTGTGTGAGGAGCAAAGGGAAGAGTGATCAGACATGTGGCTGCAGAGGGTAGACCTTGTAAGACAAGGAAGGATATGAAGTTTGGATTTTATTCTAAAAAACTTACATTCAAATGATGAACATTAGCACAGAGACAAGACAATTTTGGAGATGGCTTCTTTGAGAGCAATTAACTGAGAGTGTGTGATAGAGTAATGAAGATGCTAGGGCTGCCAATCTGGATAGATTGGTTGACAGTTGGGGATTGCAGGGGGGCTATAGGAGAACATGGTCCTGATGGATTTTTTAAAAAACAGAAATATAAAAATCTTGGGGAATGAGGTATTCCTGGGAGGAACACATGCAAAACCTCTGAGGCAGGCATGAGTTTGGATTCTTTAAAAAACTGAAAGATGACCAATAGGTCTGGAGCACAGTGAGCAAGACAGAGAGCTATAGGATGAGGCTGAAGAGGAATTCAGCCCACACTCTGCAGGTCTTGTAAAGCATGGTTAAGAGCTTGGATTTGGTTTGAAAAGCATCTGGAGTCTATTGAAGAATTAAAGTACAGAAATGATATTTTATTTTCCTTATGCTCAAAACACAATGAAATTGAATCAAATACATAGTAATTTATTGAACAGCTCCTAAACTGTGTGCATGGGAATTAAAGAGGCAAGAGATGTACCCTGGTGTTGAGTGGGCACATAGGCCACAAGTGGAAATAGATAGGGGCTCAAAAATCCACATATGCGAGAGTCCAGAAGAGAAATGAATCCATTTATTCCATGAGAGTAATGGCAAGACTAGAGAAGAGAAGACTTTCAACCTGGATCTCACAGGATGAGTGGAGCTCCCTAGGTAGACAAAGAAAGAAGAACCTCATAGAGAGTAGAAATATATGTAAGAGCATGGAATATTTGGCAGGGCTTGCACTATCCAGGGAGTGGGAAACAAGTTAATATTACTGAGTCCATGGAGAAAAAGTGAGAGGAGAGAAATAAAGCTTCAGATGTAGGTCAAGACTTTCAAATATTTAGCTTGGAGAGGGTCTTTTAAGGCTTAATATCAAGAATTGCCACTCATTGTTCCATCATAAACTTGTATTGAGAAACTACTATGTTCCATGCATTCTTTATCATGTGATCACATTTATGATTCACCTAAAAACCACATTTTAGATACAAAATTTGAAGCTTCTAAAGGCAAGTTACTATGCCTAAAGATGCACAGCTAGCAGGTGGCAAGCTGTGAAATCAAACTTGTATTCACTCTCTAAAGGATGTGTTTAGAGAGACTGAGTGGAACTTTATGGTTGGTGAAGGGTTCACATGTAGTAGTAGAGAGAGAAATCACTGAGGGTAGGTTGACTCCAAAGGTAGGTTGGAATCAGATTGAGGAAGGTTACTTTGAATATGAAGCTAAGGAGTTTGTACTAAATCTTGAGATAATAGGAATAAAGATTTTTGAGCAAAGAGTTGACATGATTGCAGTCTTGTTGGGAAGATTTATGAGGTGTCTGTTTACATCAATGTGAATTACCAGGGAAGAGACCAAAGGAAGAAGGGCCTATCAAGAAGCTAGCTCAGGCATATGATGATAGGAGTCTAAACTGAGTGGTGACAACAAAAATGGAAAGAAAGAGAGGAATGAGAGTAATTCCTCCAGGAACGAGTCATTAGGGTTTGGTGACTAGATTAATATAGGCATACGGAAGGTGAGGTTATGAAGAGTAAGTCTAAATAATTATAAGAATGGTGCTACAATATGGCCAGGCGCAGTGTCTCATACCTGTAATCCCAGCACATTGGGAGGCTGAGGTGGGTGGATCACGAGGTCAGGAGTTTGAGACCATCCTGGCCAACATGGTGAAACCCATCTCTATTAAAAATACAAAAATTAGCTGGGCGTGGTGGCACGTGCCTGTAACCCAGCTACTCAGGAGGCTGAGGCAGGAGAATCGCAGGAACCTGGGAGGCAGAGGTTGCAGTGAGCCGAGATCACACCATTGCACTGCAGCCTGGTGACAGTGCAAGACTCCATCTCAAAAAAAAAAAAAAAGGTGCTACAATAAACAGAATAGGGAAGTCAGCAGAAGGACCGAGTTTGAGTGAAGTGAGTAAGATGAAAGAAGATGAATATCAATCATATAAGTTGGATTAGAGGTAACAACATTGAAAGTGAATGTGTAGCTAGAGAGCAGAAGGGGCCTTAGCCAAAAATAATGATTTGAGGTTCATCTGCATAGAGGCAATAGGCAATTAAAATCCTGAGTGGTGGAATCCCACCACTTTGGGAGACTGAGGCAGGAGGATCACTTGAGCCCAGGAGTTCAAGGCCAGCCTGGGCAACATAGTGAAACCCTGACTCTGCAAAAAATGAAAAAAAATTAGCCAGGTATGGTGGCATGTGCCTATAGTCCCAGCTACTTGGGAGACTAAGGCAGGAGGATTGTTTGAGTCCAGAAGGTCAAGGCTACAACAAGCTGTGAATGCACCACCGCATTCCAGCCTGAGTGACAGAGTAAGATCCTGTCTCAAAAAATAAAGTAAAAAAATTAATTAATTAAAAAAAATAAAATATTGAGAGTTTGTAAGTTTCTAAAGAAGGACACAAAAGAGCAGTGTTACAGATGCTACTTGTTTCCAACATCCATTCCCCATCTTGACCTCCCTAACCAAATTCCCATTTGGTTCAGCTATACCCCACCTCCCTTCAGCCATGTGCTTCCCTCAAAGGTGTTTCCAGATACAGAGAGTGGATCCTGAGCAATCTAAGCCAACAGTGGTCCATCCCATCTCTCTCAGGAATGTGCACAGGACACAAAACTAGGTAATGAGACAGAAGTAAAGAGCCTAAGGAGGCAGATGGCTCCCCTGTGCCCCTGGACATTGTCCTATTTCTGTCCTAACTCAAAACCTGGAACTGCTATGCCATCCTCCGCCTCTGAGAGTCAGGCTTCATTGAGCAAAATCATCCCTTGATACAATGAGGAACCATGTCTCTGAAATTACTCAAGAACAACCAAACCTCTGAAATCAGTTTCAAACATCTAAAAACCAGTGAAACACAAAAAAGCCTTAGTCAGAAGCTAAGGAAGACAAAAAAAAAAAAAAATTAAGTTAGGTTCTAAACCAGGTGTCAGGAAAGTGAAAAGAAGCTGGAGATTTTGACAGAGCTTAGGACATGCTGGGGTGAAATACCCAAACAGAGATAAAGTGAACGAGACCTAGGAGACAACATTTGGAGGCAATAATCTTTTCTGACCAGCAAATTCAAAGAGCTGCTCTTCACGGGATTCCTGAGGTGATTCTAGGGACAGCAAAAGGTTATTTCTGAACTATTACACACATTCTCTTTTTTAAGAGAAATACTCACATCGACAGGGCAAGTCATTCCAAAACCAGCCTCGATACAGCTATTACTCAGATTCACCTTGTCAGTATGAAAATATGGGTTGAAATGGACTTTGCTACTTGAAATTAAGTGTGATCACACTCAGTAGCCAAGAGAAGCACTCCAATCCAAACTGCAATTATGAGAGGCTGGGAGCCACAGGGAGTGGGGTGTAGCATTCAGAAAAAGAGAAGGGGTTCATTCTCTGGGATTTTCCCTGTTTGCAGCCTGAATCCCACATGAATGTTCTTTCTCTTCCGTCATTCGTTTTTCCTGCGTTCAGCATCCTCTTCTCACTTCTCCCTCACAGTTATCTCTCCCTTGGAGAGAGTAATCTGGACCCTTGGGTGACAGTCATATGTGGCTTTCACGAGCTGCTGGAATTAACTAAAACTCACTCTTTCCCAATAAATCTCCCCTGAGCCGACACACAGCAGCTGCGAATTCCCAGCATGGGCCTGGACAAAATGCTAAGAAAAACTGGCTGTGTTCCTGAATCTTGCTCGTCATTGGTCCCCAAGAATCCTGGACATTGACACCCAGATATTCCAAAACGATTTGTGCTTTTCCAAGCTCGGCTCTTTACTTAACCTGCCTTGAAGATTTGGCACTATAATTTCCCAGAAGTGCAGGCTGGGCTTGTTTTGAGAAAAGGTGAAATGGACAAGAGACAGAGTTCAGAAAATAGTGATTAAATACAAACAGCACCAGCTATTAAGCAAGAGTCAAGGCCAGGAAATGCAAATAAAATTGCCGAGGGTTGTTTAGACAGTGGCCACTCAGAAGGAGAGGTAATATTTGGTTGTAAAGTGAGGCCACAGACATCTTTTCTGATTTAATGAATTTGTGATAGTTTACTTCTTTTCCCAGCTTTCATTTCATTTGTGGGGCGATGGCTGGGGGATGTAGGGGATATGGAAAGTTGAGCACAAGTGCACGAAGTATTTACTGGCTAAAGATGCCTATGCTTCTGCCAAGATTGTGTTTATTTGTTAAAAATATACTTCATTGTGTTGTTACAAAACTAAATCTGTCCCCAGCCCCCATGGAGACAGGGCGATTTGGTTTCAGGGTGAGGTGCCAGCTAGTGCTTTCAGGGGCATTAATGTGCCAGCTGCTCCTCCAGTATTCATTTTATTTGCAGTCCCTAGGCTGGTTTTACACTTTGTGTTTTTTTGTAAGGAAATCAGGATTAGAGAGCCTTTTGTCACTGATGGGGAGGGGGAGAGAAGTATCCCCTTTGAGCTCCATACACAGGGGCAGCCTAACGGGCAAGGCTCAAAGCTTTGATTTACTTCTCATTCGCTAACATTTTCAAAAAGAAAGGATCCACCGCGTCAAGCTGTTCTGTTGGAAGCTTGTAAGGCAGTAGATTTGGGAACTGGAGTTTCCAGAATGCAATCTGCAGCCACCAGGCCAGGGTTACCTTTAAGCTCCATGCAGATTAAACATGCCCAGCCTGGGCAAGAGGCATCTGTAGAAAGGAACCCCTCAATATCAAACAGCGAAAGGCATTATTGGGTGGTCCCTGTTTAAGGGCTGAAGAGAGTGAGTGGATTCCTATTGATTTTTATGAAGTTAATTCTTTTTACCCACTTAGAAATGCCAAACTGCTACTAGGGTCCAAAGTCCCTTCACTGGCCAGCTCGTCCCAGTGCAGTGACCAGTGACCTGCTGGAACCACTCCAGCGAGAGTCTCCTCTGCTGAACAAATCACCCAGCCTCCAAAAGAAAGAAGAAGCTGCTTTTAGTGAGCAACTCCTCTTAAAATGGAATTGCTAAACACACACTCACGCATACACACACACGTACACACATCATCATGCAATTTTTTGGTGGATGTTTGTGACAGGAAGAAATTACTAACAAAATTTCCCCAATAATACTTCCCTCTTTATTTTATTATTATTATTATTATTATTATTTTGAGACAGAGTCCTGCTCTGTCACCTGGGCTGGAGTGCAGTGGCAGAATCACAGCTCACTGCAACCTCTGCCTCCCAAGCTCAAGTGATCCTCCCACCTCGGCCTCCCAACTGGCTGGGACTACAAGCACACATCACCATGCCCAGCTAATTTTTGTGTTTTTTGTAGAGGTGAGGTTTCAGTGTGTTGTTCAGACTGGTCTTGAACTCCTGCACTCAAGCGATCTGCCCACCTCAGCCTCCCATAGTGCTGGGATTACAGGCATGAGCTACTGCACCCAGCCCCTCTCTTTTATTTTTAAGGGCAGAAAAAGACGAAGTGAGAAAGGAGCCTCCCTTATCCTCCTCCTCTTTCCCCTCGCAGTCCAGCATCAAAACACTCATTCTTAGGATGGAGCAGGGGTGGAAAAGTGCAGGAACATTAGGCCTTGTCTGTGTATTGGCTCCGTTAGGAGCTATTGTTGCTCAGCAGCTGTTCCTCTTGCTTCTTAGGAAGCCCTGCCTGCAAGTGGGCTGGGGAACCAGTGTGACACTGGCAGCTGGGGGAAGTGGGGAGGAACATCGAATATTTTTTCACCATGAGAAAGATGGGCTTTGTTTCTCAAAAAAGAACAGAGATCCTGTTTCTGGGTAGCTGTTATCAGAAACTGGTTTTAATAAATACAGTTGGAGAGTGAAAGTAAGAGTGTGTGTGTGTGTGTGCGCGTGCGTGTGTGTTTTGGGGGCGGGGGATAGAAGAGAAAGAGAACATAAAGTCACAACCTACTCAACCTTTAATCCTTTTTTTAAGGTAGGAAAAGCTGAAAAATTTCAGCCAAATGAAAAGCATAAAGTGGTTGAGAAAGGCTTTATGACTAAGAGAGGATTGCAATGGAAAATACGTAAAAAGAGAAGTTAAACCAGCTGGCTTATTTAATTTTGACTCCCCACTCCCCCTTTCACTTTTTTTTTTACCTTCAGCCTAAACTAGGGAAAAATGTACTGTGTAAATATTCAGTGTTTTTCTTAGTTTTTATCCCTAACAAAATTTTTTACAGGACTTAGTTTAGTGAATCTCCAGAGACTGGGTGTGAACGTGACTTTTCACCCCTGGGTCACGGGTCACTTCCTGCTTCTTCTTGTAAGTAAAAGCTCTTACTATTCCATGGGTCTGGCTGTACCCAGAAGTGGGGGTAGGGGTGAGGGATGGGAGGGTGGAGTGGGGGATGGGGGAAAACTCAATGCCTATTCATTTCTCACATTATTTTATTGTCAGGAACATTTCTCCTCCCATACTAAAGAGCTAAATGTCAAACTTCTATTCCAAAGTACATGAATAAATTAATACATTCCTAGTGTATGAATTTATTCATGCATTCAATAAACATCATCGAAGCACTGTCAATGTACTAGGCATTGTGTTAAGCACTGGGAAAACAAAGATAACTAAAATATATTCCCTGTCTTCTACATCTTCAAACAAACAGGAGAGACAGATTCTAGAACAGTAATTACAGCAATTACAGTAAGTACTGTGAAAAAAAAAGAGCAAAAAACATGTAACTCTGCCCAGGAAGGGCAACGAAGACTTCCAGGAGGTGGTGGTATTGGAATTGATTTTTGTGAGCTAAGTAGGAACAACCAGAAGGCCAGGAAGAGGAATGGCATTTCAGACAGAGGGAGTGGCCATGGAAAAACCTTGTTTTCACTTTGGGTAACGAGCAGTCTTTAATGTTTTACTCTGACTAGGGTTCTGGGAACTTAGGACAAAAAAAAAAAAAGGTGGGATAGGATAGAATTGGCCCATGAAGTTTAGAGTTGAAACCAAGGATCCCCAAAAGGCAACATCCAGAGATAAAAATACACTTAATCCCTAGTGGAAAATAACACCTACACATCATCCTAAGGGCACCAAGTAAAAAGAAAAAAAAAAATGCAGCAACTGGAGGCAGCACAAGTTTGGAGCTGTGAGGAGGGAAGTCTGGAGCTGTTAGGAAGAAGCCCTGGCACAGAGCTATAAGGGACTTTTAGAGGTACCGTAAGGCCCATCTGGGGTGGGGCACTGCAGTGTTAAAGACGCAGAACCTGTTCAGGCAAGAGTGGAAGCAAGAGGACGCATACCACAGTCTGGAATTGACAGTCATCCTGACAGATGCCCTGACAATTGAAAAAGATGGTAGAAAAGGGGGAGTCAGGGGCTACATCCTCAGGAGCCTTGAACATCATCTTCCCAGCAGGGATTTCCCAAGGGTAACATGGGTACCACTGGTAAGAACCAATGTGTCATTACATGGTACACAAACAATGTTTTAAAGACTTGTAGTAGATATGTACTGATTTTCTAGTTTTATACAAACTAGAAAAAATGTGTAACTAACACGAAATCTGCAATTACACAGATAGGAAGATTGCTTAAGAAGAAGCTAATATAAAAGCACCATGGTGAGTTGATCTTTTTTAAAAAAAATAAGAATATACCAAAAGAGGTGCTACACAAATATAGCAAAAATTGAGAAGGTAGTCTATAAATGACCGAAATTTGAAAATAGTGGCAGTAGGCAGTGGAGAATCTCTGAAAAGTGTAAGCATTGGACTCTATTTTGTAATGTTGCTCTTTTGGGGAAGGGGAGACTAAAGATACCGATTAAGGGAGGTTGTATTTATTGTCCAGAACCACAACGGACTCTGCATAGTTTTCAGGTTCATATTTCAAGATAAACTCTAATTTCAATCCTGAAGTACTTGGACAAGTCTTTAAGAACCTCTTTTTACTAATTTGAAATGTCCATAGCTTTATTTTCATCTTAAGTAACTTAGTGTGTATATTTACATGAATAATTTTATTAGAAACGTGCAGTGCTCAAAATGATTTTTATGGTGTAGGATAGTAGGGGAAAAAGCTATTGAATGTTGGATAGATCTGTGTCTTTGTAACAATTTGGTCAATCTGATTTACATAGACCCTAGTGTCTCATTTTGTGCTTAGGTCTGGTACATTTTCTATTAACCATGTTTTTTTATTTTCTGTAGTTCATGATGCTTTGACATCTTGGGGCATCTTGCAGACCAGGGATGGACTGCCCCTCCCAGGTTTGGCTAATTCCTGGAGATACTAAACAACTCGGCTTAGAACACATCTTTTATATGCAAGACAACAAATCCAGGCTCCATACCCTCATCTCATCCTTTTATCAGGCTCCTCCAGCACAGAACATTATCCTCCTGCTCTAAGTCACCCAGAGCCAGGTACTGGACAATTAGAGACCACTCTTGTAGCTCAGAGCCTGTCCAAAGGGTCCAAACTCTTCAATCCGAAACCTCAGCTCAGCTGCTTACCCTGCCTCGCCAATTCCTTCCCATAAAACCCTAAATAAAGGCTGTTGCCCCAGCTTTCCCCTCAATCTTTCTGCCCTCAAAGCAATCCTGGTGCTTCCCCATATGCTCCATTCTCTTGGCAACTATAAATAACAAATTCTTCTTTCAAGGAAGTTGTCTATGTGTCTATCACCTTACCATACCTAGTTTAAACAAAAATCCTAGGTATAGTTTAAAACATATTAAGGGCAGGGCATGGTGGCTCACACCTGTAATCCCAGCACTTTGGGAGGCTGAGGTGGGGGGATCACGAGGTCAGGAGTTTGAGACCAGCCTGGCCAATATGGCAAAACGTCAACTCTGCTAAAAAAAAAACAACAAAAATTATCTGGGCATGGTGGCAAGCGCCTGTAGTCCCAGCTACTCGGGAGGCTAAGGCAGAAGGATCACTTGAACCCGGGAGGCAGAAGTTGCAGTGAACTGAGATCGTGCCACTGCACTCCAGCCTTGGTGATGGAGTGGACTCCATCTCAAAAAAAAAAAAACACACACACACAAAAACACCATACTAAGGAAACTCAATTTGTAAAAATTTGTTAGATAAATGAATGAATGAATATCTTCACTCACTTAAAACATGTCTCTCTATGACCTTATTAAAAGTGTTCTTATGTGATTAAAAGCTGTTTACATTAGCTATCTATGGTCATCATTCTCTCATGCAATCAAGCTCAGAATTTGTGAGAAATTTGGGCTCAGAGTAAATTACACATCGCAAAAACAATACAAAGAAACTATGGCCTGCAAGGCAGTGTTGTTCCTTGGTTTCAGGAAGACATCCAAAGAGGAATTTTCCCTGGCCAATACACCCATTTTGCTGTCTTCCTGTGTGAGGTATTATTTTTATATGCCAGGGTGGTTAACTGCTCTAACAAATAACCATAAATTTCAATTGCATAAGAGAATAAAATTTATTTCTTAATCACTAAAATCCAGTGCAGGTGTTCATAGTTGGACAGCTCTCCTGGCTGTCTGCATGACTCACGAATCAGTAATTCTTTCATCTTGTGATGCTGCCATTTTTACAACGTGGTCTCCAAGGTCACTAGAGAAGGTGGCAAATTATGGAAAAAGTCATATCAGACACATACCCAACTTTACACCAAGAGCCAATCAAAATATCTGCATACATTCTATTGGTCAGAAGTGGTCACATGACCTTCCATAGATGCACAAGGACAAGGAAATACAGTCTGTGGCTGGGCTGCACTTACCAGCAACCACCCTTCCAGAGGAAACAGGAGCCCAAACCTTTGGAAGTCAGCTATCCTTTTCCACCAGTTCAAGATGTATTACCCAGAACTGCATTCTGGTAATGGAGCAACTACAATTGGTCAAGTGATTATGTAAATCAGTGGTTCTTAACTTTTAAAGGATCATGAATCCAATAAAACTGTACAGATCTCCTTCCTAGAAAAATACATAAACATAAGCACTCACAATCTTCATGGAATTTCAAAGGCTTCGTGGATTCTCTGAAGCCCATCTGTTACGATCATTAGAGAGTCATAGACCTATACTTTTGGTGTAGGTGAAATTATTTATTTCAGAAATTTGTTTTGAACAGTCTTATAAATCATAAACCATGGGCCAATTTAAATCTGATTTCTTAAAATCTGCTGCTAGATTGGGGTCTAATTTTTTTTTAATTAATTGCTAGAATGAATGAGATCCAGAATATTAGTTGTGTGCCATCCAACTTTCAGATGCCAATTTTGCACTGAGCAGAAATCCTTATTGCTACTACTGCAAAAGACTTTTGTTGGTATCCTGCCATCCATTTGCTGCTCTCCAATCCTTTCACATGACAACCAGAGTGACATCTAAAAATTCAAATTTTTTCATGTCATTCTCTTCTAAAAATCTTTCAGAACATGAAGACCCAAACCCTTGACATGGCATACAAGGCCTTGAGTACACTAACCCAACCTGCTTCTCACACTGTGTGCGCCTTTGCTTTTTATGCTCGTACCCAATTGGCCTTTCTTTCCCTTCCTCCCACCTCAGGGTCTCTGAACATGCCTTGTACCTCCTTTGAATTGTCTTCCCTTTATTCTCTTATATAGTTAGCTGCCACTCTTCCTTGAGATCTCAGCTCAACTGTCATTTTCCCAGAGAAGTCTTTACAGAGACGCAGAAGAAGTCAGATCTCCTACATGGTCTTAGAGCACTGTAAATTTTTCTCTCCTGGTGTTGATCATGGTTTATACCAATATGCTTGTGTGATTATTTAATTTGCATGGGTCACTGTCACTAAAAGGTAAGCTCCATGAGGGCAGAAACTTTCAGCACCTAATGACACAGCTCAGCACCTGGCTTAGTGCATGGAGCATAATGGCACTCAATATTTTGTTGAGTGAATGAATGAATGAATGAATGTTGCACATGCTTTCCACTATATCTTGGAGAGAGGGAAGATAAGTGATAAAGGGTCTTGAAACCAAATTATCTTCTCATTCTGAGAAGTGAATAGAATAACCAAGTCAGTGTTTGGCATAATTTTAAAGAACTTCACAGTTAGGCAATGACTTTTACTCTACTCCATTGTAACCTCTGCTCTTAGATATCTTCCAAATCAATTAAAGAAAAAAAAGACAGCAAAATCTGTGTTCATCATTTCATATCGGCACCAGATGAACAGCTCATTGATGGAGTAAGGGCAGTCGAGGGGGAGTGTCATAAAAAGACAATTCTTTTTATGGTAAGCAATATGCTATTTATTAGCAAGTAGTATACTATTGGGTCAATACAGGGAGGCTTCCTGGAAGAGATAGTCTTTGAGTTATATATAATCTGAAGGTCTCTTCATGACACCTCTTTTTTGAACTATATTTGATACCCTGAGTGCCAACAAAATATTTTCCCACAAATCTTGCTCCTCAGATTTTCTGGTTTGTTGTCACAAAGATAAAGCTATAAATTATGAGAAAGACTGGCAAGACTTGGGTTGAGCTGGCATTGTAGTCCTCCAGCAGAGAACAAGATATTAAACAATTGTGTTTCATATTTCCTCTAATAGATTGTATTATTTTTCAAAATATCCACTGTCTCTCCATTTAGGAGAATTTTACCCTCTTGTCAGTCTTGGCCATGTGATTTCATCTGGCAAATGACATGGGAGTGGAAGTGACATGCCCAGAAGATTTGAGAGCTGTGGTGAGATCCCATCATTTCCCTTCTGACACAAGGCACACCACATCCCCAGATGGAGGTATTCTGTCAATCTGGATCCCAAAGTGAAAAGGATGAAGGACAAAGTCACAACTGATGGAGAGCCATCATGGAAGATGAGGAAAATATTAGCTTTACTCTTACAAAGCACTGAGATTTGAGGGTCACTTGTTCTTGCAGCATAGCCCAGCAAAGAATGACCGATACACTTTTCTTCACAAAACCTCTGTCTAATTGAACTCAAACTCTGAACCATACGCTGAATGAAAGAATGGTCCGTTCCTATTTCGATAGGTCAACCCTCATTTTTATAAGTGCACAGCTTCAGGAAGGCACACATGCAGTCATGAAGGGAGAAAGTGGAGTTCTCAACTATTGAAGCCAGTGAGCTAACTTCTGCATTCACCGACATGAAACATGCTGAAGTCTGTTTGCCTTGCAGTTCTCTGCTGGATGTGCCAAGAGGGCTCTATTTTAGAGAAGGAAAACTAACAATAGATTCCCGCCAACTAAAAGGGGATTTCTTTTCCTGGGAAGGAAAAAATAAATGGAAAAAAAGATCTTTATCTGGTGATTTGTACTGAAATGAGAATAGTCAGAGCTCATCATCATATCATTTTTAATAGTAACGTCTCATAGAGAAACATAAAAGAAACTTATTAAAGACAAAAATAGTTTATACAAACTTTTTGCTAAGCATATAAAGTTGAATGCATAACATTCCTTCCTCCTCCAGTCTACCTTCTCCATTCTTGTTTCATTTCCTTTTTTTGTCTTTTTTCCTTATCCTTACCCAAAATATACTCTAGGCCATTTTGGAAGATGCAAGGATGATAGATATGGGTATAATAAATAAATATATCCTTTTATGTATATTTATAAATATATTTTTACATTTTCAAAGCAAAATATAAATTAAACATACACATGTTTCTAGGAGTTCATTCCATACCTCTACAATAGTAAAAGAACGTGCTTAACTGAAAACCTCTAAAGCTTTAAAAATTCTTTGAAAGCCAGTTGAAATTTGAGGGGCTTTGACACTTAGTTTTAAGAATACCAAAGTGCATTTCCATTTCCCGCAGGGTTAGCTGGCCATGAACAACTGCAGTTCAGTTTCATAAGCTTTCCTTGATGCTTGCTAGGACCATAAATTCCACCTTCACATACAATTTGCAGTTTAAAGGTATGAATTATCTTACTAAAGAGCCTTTTTGCTATGAGCTTTCTATTCCAAGGTGAATCCCAGTTAAATGCCCCCTCCTGCCCCAATATTCTTGAATTTGAATTGTGGTGCACATTACCAAGGATTACTCCATATTTTCAGGCAATATTGCTATCCTCCTATATGTGCTCAGTCTAAAATATTCAATGAAAAGTGTATATGCAAAGCTAGCTTTACTATTTAATCACTAAAGTTACCTTTGGGAAGCTGAGTATTGATACACAATGCAGAAATATCAATGATCAGTCCCTGAAACACATTTAAACCAGAAGTAGGAGCAGTTAGATTTATGTACCATGATGTCTGAATTTGCAAAGGTTTTCTGGTAATCTGAAGAGTTGTATTGAGTTACTCTCAGCAACTATTTTACTTTATTTTGTAGCTTTGTAATATAGTAAAAGAGCCCTGGGTGAGGAGTTAGGAACTTAGGGATTGCTAAAAGGATTTTATATGCAATATTTTTGAAATCTAACAAAAAATATAAACAGTTAACAATGTCATGACCATGAATATAATGAACGACTCTTTGTTCTGAATTGCTCTAGTCCAGTATAAAATGTTTATAATTAGGTTGATCTTCACAGAAATTCAAAGTAAATTATGTGTACACGCAGGAGAGAGCTGACTTTCCATAATGGCTCTGTAGTTTAAAATCATCAAAAAAGGGAGTATTGCAAAATGTACCACTCCATAAATACTACAGTTCATCAATTAAGCAATACACTAAACATGTAATGATGATAATTTTCCTGTGTATGTCAACCAGGAAACACACAAGCTGGTTGTTAAGTTGCTTCATCATAAGAATAATGATTGTGTGAGTGCTTGGCTAAGTCATTCTCTCTCCCAGCTTAAACATTAATGGGAAAATAATGGAATTATGGAGCTGGCTCTTTTCTTGAAAGCCAGATGTCAATGTCTTAGGATATCTGTGCTATTAAAAACCTCAAATACCCAATTTGTAACTTTAGATGACCAAGTCACTGAAGGTTAGAACTAAGTGGAATTTTAGACATCTTGTAGTTCATTACTTTCATTTTAATGATATGAACACTGAGGACCAGATAGACAGAGGAACTTGTTCAACATCACAAATCTAGCAATAACAAACATATAGAAAGGACTTTGCCCTCATCTATTGGTTCCTAGTCCAGAGCTTTCCTTTCTGCCATGTCACTTGGAAAATAAACACCATTTTCCAAAACCAAACACAGGAGTAACAAGCATAAAATGTCAACCTTTCAATTAGGATTCAAAACTATAGAATAAACCTTTGAAGTTTCCAATCTAGTAGCAATTTAAAAAGTGAAATCCTACTAGAAATGCCTCAAGTAGGCTCTTCTTCCTCCCGTGCTATGGGGAAAAAAGACTTGCTACTCATGTAGTAAGCTTAATGTTAAGAGAACTCCATAGTTTATTTTCTACTCAGAGTAAACTTGTATTACTCTCACTCATTTGAAATATCCTTAAAGCCAAAGGATTGTACATGAGGTACAAAATAGAAAGACAGAACTTTATAGTAAAAGTTTTTCTCTAAACCAGAGTTGCTGACTTCGTTTGACTTTTCTTTTATCAATTTTAATACATTCATTTTCCTATTACAAAATCTGCATTATGCTGGAACTATTGCTTATGTGTATATGATACACACACAAAACTGAGTCTTATAAACACCCTTGAAATAATTCAGACACACAAAAAATTGCTTTTTGGTCAAGTGACACCTCAAGGGGCCACAGACTCAGTGCTGCCACAGTTCCACACAATGTTTGTTGTTCATGTATTATTCACTTTTTGGAAACTGCCTTTTGAGCAATGAGTTTACACAATTAAATTTGATTTAATTATAGCCACACCCTGTGTTTCACCAAAAGCCTTATCACTTTTGTCACCCATATTTTTGTTTAATCTCAACTCCTGATTATTTCTTCCTATTAAAGAAATAAAATGTATCTTAAAAGGGCAATGATCTGTCACCAATGAAGATCACTTGGAAATAATATTAATCAGGCTCTATAAAATATTTCAAAAAAGGCCAGGTGCACCTGTAATCCCAGCACTTTGGGAGGCCGAGGCGGGCAGATCACAAGATCAAGAGATCAAGACCATCCTGGCCAACATGGTGAAACCTCATCTCTACTAAAAATACAAAATTTAGCTGGGTGTGCTGGTGCACACCTGTAGTCTCAGCTACTTGGGAGGCTGAGGCAGGAGAATTGCTTGAACCCGGGAGGCGGAGGTTGCAGTGAGCCGAGATCGCACCACTGCACTCCAGCCTGGTGACCTAATGAGAGTCTCAAAAAAAAGAAGAAGAAGAAAATAAATAAGTTTTTTTTTAGATTTTTAAAATTGATACACAGTAATTGTACATATTTATGGAGTACGTGTGATGTTTTGATATGTGCATACAATGTGTAATGATCAAATTAGGGTAAAGATATCCATCAGCTCAAACATTTATCATTTTTTCTCGTATTTCAAAGAAAATTTGATTAACTATGGGCAAGAACATTGGAAAAAGCACATGAACATTGGAAAAAGCAAAAAGATTGGAAAAAGCCTTCCAATCTTTACTACAGGAAGAGACTACTTTCATCAGTATGGACACGTCTGGCACACTTCTTATACATCAGTCTTTTTGACTTGAATAATCTACAACATATAACTTATGTTTCCACAGGTGTATTTCTAAACATTTCTTATAGGGTGGTTTGACACCAAAGGTGAAAGAAGTCCTGCTACATGTCCTAGACTATTACTTCTCTTATTTCTTGAGCAAAGAGGGCAGAAATATTCAAGCTGTGTATTAGTCTGTTCTTGCACTGCTATAAAGAAATGCCTGAGACTGGGTAATTTATAAAGAAAAGAGGTTTAATTGGCTCATAGTTTCACAGACTTCACTACAGGAAGCTTAGGGCTTCTGCTTCTGGGGAAGTTCAGGTTCGCTCCAGGAAACATAGCAGCTTCTGCTTCTGGAAATCCTCAGGGAGCTTTTTTACTCATGGCAGAAGGCAAAGTGGGAGTAGGCATCTTACATGGCAGAAGCAGGACCGAGAGAGAGAGGCAGAGAGGTGCCACACACTTTTAAATGACTAGATCTCACGAGAACTTACTCACTATCACCAAAGGTGAAATCCACCCCCATGATCCAATCACCTCCCACCAGGCCCCACCTCCAACACTGGGGGGTTACCATTCGACATGAGATTAGGGTGGGGACACAGATCCAAACCATATCAAGCTGTAATAATTTTCATTTGCTCCATGCAACCACAATGCTAGCAAGTATCAATTTATTAATGCTGAAATATGAACATTCAAACATATATGACTATCATGTACTCTGTGTGTGTGTGTGTGTGTGTGTGTGTGTGTGTGTGTGTGAGAGAGAGAGAGAGAGAGAGAGAGAGAGAGAGAGAGAACAGGGGGTGGACAGTAGTTATCTCTGCTTAATTATCCTCAATAAAAATGTTTCTTCAACCTGCTTCAAGGCAATCATCCCAGCTAACCTGCTCTGAAGCCCTTTGGGGGCATTTGAAGAGGAGAGAAGGCCCTTTGTTCCCCCTTTCAACACTGGGCTAGAGTCTCCTTACCTCTCTCAGATACTCTGACTCAGTACAGGCTGCAGACACTGTAACTCCCTTGATGAGTAAGCTGTCCTTTCCACCTGGAGCTGGGGCTGCTATCTGAACAGGAGAAGAAAAGCTGTGAGTATTACATGAAAAAGGATAGTCCCTTCTTTTCTTAGAACTACACCCCGCCCCCCCCAAAAAAAAAAGGAAAATGAAAAGGGACCCAGGGAAGGGGACCCATATGCCAAGCTGGTGACAATAGAGTGTAAGAGAGGTTATCCAGAGTGGCATCCTGGAGCCATTCTGGATGGGTTTGAATTTTGGCTCTGAGCTTATTTTACAAACTTAGACAAAATCCATAAATCCCCTGTGCCTCAGTTTTCTCATCTATAAAATGAGAATCATAGTGCCTATACTATAGTTCTCATGTCATAGGGTTATTAAAACAGTGCCCAGGACATGGTGAACACTCAGTCATTGCCAATGACTATCATTTACTGAGAGGCTACTGTGTTTCCCAGTGCCCAGTTAATGTAGCACCCACTTCCCTGGGAATTCTCCGGTGAACTTCTACTTTCCAAACCAAAATCAACTCTCAACTAGCTATTTAATGATGGTGTTCTCTTTCTTTGGTTAACACAATCATTCTTTAATAGTACATGTACATAATTTTCATTTTTTATAATGGTTAATTTTACATTCTTAGATATACATGCAAATTCCTTAAACATAAAGAAAATGAAAACTCAACAATGATAAAAACAAATTTACAGCCCTCACTCATTCTCACTACACCTGCATTGTATTCGTTTTTTAGTGTCAGCCAAGATAACTCATGTCTTAAGAGAAAAGACAGGACAGAAACCAGAAGTCATAACAACCCATTATGCCCAACTTCTAAGCCTAGTTATTGAGCTAAATATATACATGCTCTTTGGTATGGCAATAGGGAGAATTGTATACCCTCCCCAGAGTTATGACAGCAGTTATGAAATGCAGATGACTTTGCTGGAGATTGAGTGGGACCAGCGCTAGATACTTCTGGAGCAGTCATGGAAGAAGTGGAGGGCCTACTTAAGGAGTGTGGCTTGAGTTAAGATGTTTCATTCTTCTAAAGTGAAAGGGTAGTGTTATTTTTTTGTTTGTTTGTTTGTTTCCAACCTTCTTTCTGGCTTTCTTCAAGTAGTCTCAGCTCAGGAGCCTAAGTCTAATTCCGGATACTGAAATTTGCACCACAAACCACCACAGGGACAACAGGAATTAATGCCCAGGAACGAATGCTAAATTGCATCAATCTCCAAATTATCTACTCTACTGGAAAGCCCACTTAAAACTAGACTTTTAAAGTAAGTAACATTTTGGAAGGAACCCACAATCCCTTTTTGCATCACCAGGAAAACAGCTTGCCTGTAATCCCCTAATAAAGAAAAAGTCTCGTAGATTAATCTCCCTTAGGCAAGCACTATTACTGGTGTTTTAACTCCATAAGCAAGTCAACTGCAACAAATAAACTAAAAGAATGATAATAAGAATATTATAATTACCACACGCTTTTGCCTTATCAATGTCTTTCTTTCATGAAGTACTTTAAAACTGCTTTAATATATATAAGATCTTTACCTGCTCATCCTTACCCCTACTTCCCAGCAACTCTGATAAGAAATTACTGTCAATAACTCTGAGAAATGTCCAGTGGGATTATTTTGAAGGACATAATTGCAGCTACTGAGAAAGAGACTCAGTGTAATTGAAACTAAATTAGGATTAAATTGTTTTGAGGAGATTGATAATTGTAACTTGGGCTTTAAAATAACTAAACTTACGCCACTAACCTCACCCAGTCCGAGGGCGGATGCATTCCCATACATCTGCTGGAGTGTTTTGATGTATCTTGGAGTATGGCCAATCAGTGTTTTTCCTCCCACATTAGCATACACCTATATTTATCTAAGATAGTTTATTATCTGCACATGACAACACTTACGAGTGCTGCAAAGTTCTATGGAGAAAATTAAGCAGTAGGCCATTGTTGAAAGTCCTGCTTCCTCCCTCTGAGAAGCAAATAATTTAGTATGGCTTTCTCATACATACTGCTTTAACCCTTCATTGCCTTCTTTTAAAGCAGTCCAAACTAAACTGCTAGTGCTTACAAATAGCCATATTCCCCTCTTCTTCCTAGGCAAAAGCCGGAATATATTTTTCAGCCTCCCTTATGGTTGGGTGGTACCTGTGGCTGAGATCTTACCAACAGTGTGGGCAAACGTGATGTGTACCATATCCAGTCCTCGGCCATAAAAACCTTGCACCTGTGAACCTAGTTCTCTTTCCCTAGCTGAATGGAGAGGACTGAGGATTTAGAGTATGTGGTGAAGCCATTAGATGGAAGACCCTTGGTTCCTGAATGACTGTGTGGAACAGACTCTATCATTTCACCTTGTCATTCACCATTGAACTATGATATGAGCAAAAAATAAATCTTTGTTGTGTTAAGACACGGAGGTTTGGGCTTTTATCTGTTATAGTCATTAGCATTATTTATTTTATCAAATATAGTAACTTTCTCACTTGCTTCTGTCTCTCCATTTCTACAGTTATCTTATATTTTCTTCCTTTCATTTTTTTCTGCAAAGAATTATTGCATGTCCAATACATGTGCCAGAAACAGAGCAAAATGCACTGTAACTACGTTCAAAGTAGCACAAATGAACAACCATATACCTAACAATTTCAAAAGCACAATAATTTAGGTCTACTAATTCTTTTGAAGAGAGATCAGCAAACTACAATCTGACCTGTTTTTGTAAATTAAGTGTTTATGGGAACATAGCCATGCAAATTCATTTACGTCTTATATATGGCAGCGTTCACACTACACTGGCTCACAAAGCCTAAATTATTTACTATCTGGCCCTTTACAGAAAAAGTTTGTTGACTCCTGTCTAAAAGGTCTCGGAAAGGATTCTCAAAGGAGATGATACATGAGGTAGGTTTTGGTGGAGTTCACTGTGGTAGAAAAAGAAGAAGGTGACATGCTGGAGAGGGAGAATAATAGCCAAGCAAAAATCATGTGATGTTAAAGGTTACTCAAGCAGTACTGAGAAAACACAGAGACAGTGATTCTCTCTGTCTCAGATCAGCAAGCATTACTGGGAAAGAGCAACTGGAAGAACCAGACAGAGATGTTTTGAAACAAGCAAACTTGTTGACCTCAGACCTTTAATTCTGTCTGGGTGCCAAATTTTAATGAATAATAGTCTATTAACACTAAATAGCATCAAGTTCAACTATAGATAAATGTACAGTACAAACTCATCCACCATTTCATAGCGTAGAGCAATAAGATTTCCTGGTGAATCAGGAGATGCATCAGCAGGTGCCGCTCTGAGATGGACTTCACTCATCAATTCTCTGAAAATCCATTGAAAAACTAAAAGAGTAAGCTGTATCTTACAAAAAAGAAAGAAAGAGAGAGAAAGAAAGAGAAAGGAAGGAGAAAGAAGAAAAAGAAAAGAAAGAAAGAGAAAGAAAGAAAAGAAAGAAAGAAAGAAAGAAAGAAGAAAGAAAGAAAGAAAGAAAGAAAGAAAGAAAGAAAGAAAGAAAGAAAGAAAGAAAGAAAGAGAGAAAGATAGATCTCAAGAGCAAACGTGGAAAATGTATGTGCTTATATACTCCTTGTCTTTGTCTTCTTGGGCTGCCATAACAAAATATTAAAATATTTATAGACTGGGTGGCTTAAACAACAGACATTGATTTTCTCACAGTCCTGGAGGCTGGAAGCCTGAGATTAGGGTTCCAGCATGAAAGGTTTCTGGTGAGGGCTCTCATTTTGGCTTGTAGATGGCTGCCTTTTCATTATATCCTCACCTGGCAGGGAGAAAGAGAGCTCTGGTGTCTCTTTCTCTTCTTATGCAGGAACTAATCCCGTCATGAGGCCCACCCTTATGATCTTGTCTAAACTAATCATCTCCTAAAGGCCCCACCAACAAATACGATCACACTGGAGGCTAGAGATTTAACCTATACATTTAGGAGACAAACAATTCAGTCCAAAGTGCTCCTCAAAGCATAAATACAAACTTTCAGTAAAAATAAAAACATTTATTCATTCAGTGTATTTTTTGAGTATCTCTTATGTGACAGGCACTCCTCTAAATTTGGGGGTGCAACAGTGGACAAAACACACAAGGTTCCTTCTCTCCCTTGGCTTACTCCTTAGTGATAGGAGACAGAAAATTAACAGATAAATTATGGAGCAGGATACTATCAAATTTTGATCAATGGCATGAAGAAAGAGACCAGGCTTCTTTAGAATAGAAACTCAGGGAAAACCCCAGGAAGTGACATATGCAGTCATGCTAGAATCATAACAAGGATCTGGCTATGCAAAGATTTTGGGATGGAGTGTTCTAGGCAGAGGGAAGAGCACAGGCAAAATTTTCAAAGCAGGAAAGAATTTGGCCCATTTGAGCACTGAAATAAGGCCCATGTGGCTGCAACTTTGAAAAGTCAGGGAAGAATGGAGGATGAGGAGGTTGAAGAAGTAGTGAAGGAAAAATCCTTTCACAGGAGGACTTGTGGACATCATGTTGATGCTCAGCCTCACTAGTTATAAAAAGAAATGTTCAAAGGAAGAATCTTTTTAAACCATCAAACTTACCTTAAAAAGATTTTTTAATTGGGTGTGATTAGAGGAAAACATATCTGTTCCAGCACTGGTTAAGGTGAATATTGGTACAAATCTTCCAGAAGGTATGTTGATCATGTATTTATCAAGGCTTTGAAATGCCTGCAACCTTGACCCAGCAATTTCTGTTCTAAGAAATTATTCTGAGAAAATCATAAGTGACTTTCTTCATTTGATGATGTTCTTTGTAATGTTACCTATTGTAGATTTTGCAACATTTTTAAAAATACAAAATAAATTTCCTAAAGAGTAGACTCTTGCCATCACTTTGAAGGCTTGCAACCTACTGAAAGTTTCATATGAACCAAAAAAAAGTAGCCAAAGTTGAAGATGTAACACTGTTATAGACATTGTTTGTGACACTCCAAAATTCTTATGCTGAAATCCTAATCCTCACTATGATGGTATTAGGAGGTGGAGTGTTTGGTAGGTAATTAGGTCATTAGAGGAGAACCCTCATGAGTGGGATTAGTATCCCAATAATAAAAATAGACTCAGCAGAACTCCTTTACCCCTTCTGCAGTGGGAGAAAACAGCAAAAAGACAGCCAACTATGATCCAAAAATTGGACCCTCATCAGACACTGAATCTGCTGGCACCTTGATTGTGGATGTCCCAGCCTCTAGAACTGTGAGAAACAAATTTCTGTTGTTTATAAGCCATCCAGTTTATGATATCCTGTTATAGTAGCCTGAACAAACCATGACAAAGATTATAACATAATGTTTTCCATTGAGATTTGACAATAGGTATCAAACAGTAATAAATTTCTGCTTTTGAGTAAGAGATATAAAGATACAAAAGATATTTACATCTATGGTACCAGTAAGAAAAGCCTGCATAAAATAAAAATTATATGTTTCTGTGAGAATAGCAAGGAGTGGCAGATGCAAGTAAGCCTTGATGAACTGAATTGCAAAGCCAGGCAATCCATCCCTTTTTAAATGAGGAAAGAGTACATAAGTTCTCATTCCTGCAGGTGAGCCCCTAGTCTCTATCTAGATGGATGGAGAAACCAGCTTCTTGCAGTTCAGGAGATTTTCAGTGAAGGAGGTGATATGGTTTGGCTCTGTGTCCCCACCCAAATCTCATCTTGAATTTTACCTCCCATAATCCCCACATGTCATGGGAGGAACCCAGTAGGAAGTAATTGAATCGTGGAGGCTGGTTTTTCTCATGCTGTTTTCATGATAGTAAATAAGTCTCATAAGATCTGAGGGTTTATAAAAGGCAGTTCCCCTACACACGCCCTCTTTGCCTGCCACCATGTGAGACATGACTTTGCTCCTCATTTACCTTCCACCATAATTGTGAAGCCTCCCTATCCATGTGGAACTGTGAGTCAATTAAACCTCTTCCCTTTATAAATCACCCGGTGTTGGGTATGTCTTTATTAGCAACATAAGAGCAGACTAATACAGGAGGAGAAATCAACCAGCCCTTATTCAACAGTGAATGCTGGCAGGGAAGACTAGAGTCTGACAGAGTCCCAGATGAAAAGCAAATTGCTCAGCCCAACAGTACTCTCCTCTTCCCCAACCTCCAAATTATAGTGAGAAGGAGATAGTAGAGGACAGGCTGGAAAAAGAACATAATCACATCATCTCTCACATTCTCGTGATGCTTGGATTCAAGGTATATGTCAGATTGAATTCTGAGGTGAAGCTACAGCCCAGCCTCCTTCCAGTTTAAATATTGACATGGTTAAAAAGTCTGCAAAGGAGGTTGGGAGTGTGGTTAATCACAGGTGAATTCAATTTAATTAAAGCTATGATTCAGTACCAGCTCAACCCCCTTCTAGGAGATAGCTAAACCATTAGTTCCTTCAGCAGAAGTTACACTCTCTGGATAATAAACAAAACAAAAAATAATGTACTTCAGTCTCTGTTTTTCTTTTATATACAATATCCAGAATACCATTAAATAAGTGTAAGACATGCAAAGAAACAGGAAAATGTGATCTTACATTTAAGAGAAACTATAGTCACTAGAATCAAACCAATAGATGATCCAACTGTTGGAATTAGCAGAGAAAGATGTTAAAACAATTTTTATAAATATCTTTTTAAAATGTACAGGAAAAGTAGATGCAATGAATGAAGCAGTAGAGTTTTCTTAGGGGGAAAAAAATAGTAACACTAAAAAAGAGCCAAATGGAAAATTATAGGACTACAGGAATACAATATCTAATAAATTATTTATTAAAGAAACTTAAGAACAGTAGGTTAGCCATAAATATGTACTGTTCAGATCTCCTACTCTGGGGAGAAAAATTGACTGATAGCTCAGCTATTATTTCTATGGATCTACTGTAGCATTCACACCAAGACAAGCCTCTATAGGCTAATCCAGCCAGTAGCTAAGAATGATAGAGCCATTAATGCAAGCCCATTCCTGTGAGCTGTTGGATGTCTCCAGTGGGTGACTTTGATTAAGAAATTCCCATCAGTCTGGCAAAACTGTTTTTAGATCTTTGCAGCATTCCTAGACCTTATCAATACAATCCTCCTTCCTTTCCCTTCTCTCCTATAGGTATGAAACTTTAATCATGGCCTGACGGTTCTCTCTACTTTCTTCTGTTTCCTCATCTTTTATCCTTCACAGACATTTCCCAAATATATCTTTTGGAAGTCTAACCCCATCTTTGCATCTGATTCTCAGTGGATCCAAACTAATAGGAGAAGATTTTACACTTTAGAAGGCGGTAAAAATGAACTTGAAAATAGATTAGTAGAGACTTTATAGCCTGAATCTCAGAGATGAAGATGATTGAAAGGAAAAAAGGGGCCAGGTGCAGTGACTCACTCCCATAATCCCAACACATTTGTAGGCCAAAGTAGGAGGATCACTTGAGGCCAGGAGTTCAAGACCTGCCTGGGCAACATAGCAAGACCACATTTCTACCAAAAAAAAAAAAAAGTTTGAAAATTAGCCAGGCTTGGTGGTGCAGGTGGTGCACACCTGTAGTCATAGCTACTCAAGAGGCTGAGGCAGGAGGATCGCTTGAATCCTGGAGTTTAGGGCTGCAGTGGGCTATAAACATGCCACTGCACTCCAGCCTGGGCAACAGAGCAAGACCCTGCCTGGAAGGAAGGAAGGAAAGAAGGAAGGAAGGAGGAAGGGAGGGAGGACCAATGTCCCGAGGGATCAAATTAACTAGTCTAGTGCATTTGAAGTGTCAGAAGGAAAGGAGAAAGAGAAATGTTTGAAGAGGTAATGGCTGAGCAACTTTCAATTTGATTAGAAATAGCCACCCCAGGATGAAAAAACCTCAATAAAAATCAAGCAGAATGAACAAAAGCCAAACAACAATGAAGCACACTATGGTCAAACTGCTGAAAACCCAGTATAAAGATAAAATCTTAGGTTCAACGAGAGAACAGGTGATGTTACATAGAGGGAACAACCATGGGGAGGTTCACTGACTTTTCATCAAAAGCAAAGTAAGCCAGACTGCAATGGAGCAACAGCTTTGACGTGCTGAAGAAGGGAAATTGTCAATCTGGAGTTTTATAACCAGAAAAGCTGCCCTTTATTTGTGGGGATGAGACAGAGATGTTCTCTGATTATCAAGGCTGAGATAGTTTATTGCCAGAAGACCCATACTACAGAGGATGTTAAACGGGGACTTTAGATTGTGCAAAGATGGTGGAAGATAAAGGATCAGATCTAGAAGAAACACTGATGACACCGGAGATCGTAAATGTGAATGTTTTCTTTTTCTTTTTTCTCAACTTATTTGGTGCAAGTGAACTGCTAAAAGCAAAAGTGATGACAAAATTTGGTAGAAACAGGAAAATGTATGCAGAAGTAAAATGTATGCAGATCATGGCACCCAAGGCCAGAGAAGATGGTTGGAGGCATATTGTAGGATTGTTGCCTTTTTTGTGAGGTAGTGTTATGTTACTTCAGACTAGACAGTGGAGGGGTGGAATGTATATTATGATCCTACAGCAACCACTAGGGAAATAAAACAAAGGGTTAGGACAAAAAACACGAAAATAATAAACTGTAATAACTATAAGCTTTTTTTTTACCATGATCCTCAAGAAATATTTTATTTATTTAGTTAGTTATTGTTTGATTGATTGATTGGAGACAGAGTCTTGCTCTGTCACCCAGGCTGGACTTAGGTGATGTGATCATAGATCACTGTAGCCTTGGACTCCAGGGCTCAAGAAATCCTCCCGCCACAACCTCTCCTAGTAGCTGGCACTGGAGGCATAAGCCATCGTGCTTGCTCAGCTGATTTTTAATTGTTCTGTAGGGACAGGGTCTCATTACACTGCCCAGGCTGGTCTTGAACTCCTGGCCTCAAGCAACTCTCCCGCCTTGGCCTCCCAAAATGTTGGCATTATACACATGACCCATTATGCCCAGCCAGAAATATTTTATATTGCTTCCAAGTACACAAGTGTTACACAACTCTCTCATACAAACAAACATATCATACAGAAAACATTATCCCAAGCAATATTTATGATTACTAAGTGCAATGAATATTTTCTATTCTATTTCAGTTTTTAACATCAATTATGACCTATTGGATCAATTTTTACTACCAAACTCCTGCACTGGATCACAACTTGCAATTGGAAAAACACTTTTGTGTAGCCTCTGCTATGTCAGGTCATTTACTTCTTAATTTCTTTAAATTTTTATCTTGTCACTTGATTTTCACCAAGAAAAATCTCATGCATAAGATAAGCTATCCCCATTTTAGAAATGAGTAAACAGACTTGGAGAATTTAACTAACATTCTTAAGACCACAGGCTAGTAAGTAGAAAAGGGAGGATTTCAGTGTAGATATAAATATAAGAAATCCAACTGCAGAGCTCTTAAGAACTCTACCACACTGACTCCACCTTGATCACTAAATTTGGGCATCTGGGTATCGTGAATGGTTGCACGTACTCATACACATTTTTCTTGGGATAAAAGACTAGTTTTCATCTGTAACCTGAAAAAAGCAACTGAAGAACAACAATACTACACTGTTCTGCCCTAGTTTACTGCCCTAGTTTGTTTTTTCATGCCATACAACCAAGATCTGTTCGCATTATTTGAGCAGACACTTTTAAAAGCTCCAGTCACTTAACTATGATAGAACTCTAACCTGCAAAGCTTCACATCTTATACTTTCCTTTGTATATGCTATTGGTGAGTGGGTGGCAATGGAAATCTACAAACATATAAAAGAGAAACTTTAATCTACTGAGGCTATTTTTCAGCTCTAAGATTCTGTAAACCTATAATTGTAATCAAGGGCCCAGCCACCTGCTATTCTATAATGAAGCCACAAGATAGGCAGTTGTCTAAATTGCTCAGAAAGATATACAAAGACAGGGATTCCTTTGTTTCTTTGTTAGTCTTCCCTGGAGTTTTGCAAGACCTAAAGTTAATTAGAGTCTCTTAGTGCAATTTAACCATATCCCTCTTAGTTTATTGTCTATCATAGAGATAGAATAATTTAGCTTTCCTTAGGATAATCTTTTTTCACATACATATATACTTAAAGGTAACTATTTATTTATTCATGATTTAGCTTTTTCCTCTCTAGACTAAATAAATATAATCTCCTTAATTTTCCCCCACTGGTTTGATTTTCTTCATAATTATTTTTGTAGTGCTCCCTAGGAAACCCACTTTAATTTCTGCATGTGCATTTTAAAGGGTGGATTCCCATATTGATCACATTACTCTACTAAGGGCCTGACCAGTACCAAGTATGCCTGGATGATCTGCAGCTCTTTGCTGGCTGCGCTTTCTAACAGAAAGCTGAGTTCAGGTTGAGCATCCCTAATCTGAAAATTCGAAATCTGAAATGCTCCAAAATCTGAAGCTGTTTGAGGGTCAACATGATGCCACAAGTAGAAAATTCCACATCTAACCTCATGTCAAAACTTTGTTTTGTGCATAATAGTATCAAAAAATATTGTATGAAATTACCTTCAGGTTATGTGTATAAGGTGTGTAATAAATTTCATGTTCAGACTTGGATCCCATGCCCAAGATATCTCATTATGCATATGCAAATATTCCCAAAACCTGAAAAAATATCCAGTGTCTGAAACACTTCTGGTCCCAAGCATTTTGGATGAGGGATACTGATCTGTATTATGTTAACATTTCCAAAGGCATTATTGCCAGTTTTCTGGACTGTCAACAGCTAAGATTGAATCTCACTCACACAAACTGCCATAAGCCAGCTGAACTAATACCCTATATTCTCTTTTTAAAGGTGTCTGCTCATATGCTTTTAAGACATTTAGATTTCTTCTTTTATTACTGAATTCTCTTCCTTGTGGTTTGAGGTTTTTATTTTAATATTTCTCTATTGTGACATTATTATTTGTATTGATTTTAAGAGTTCCCTTTATAATAAGGATTTTAACTCTTTGATGGTTATGTATTTTTTTTAAGTTTGTATGCAATCAAATATATTGCCAATTTTTTCTTTGCTTTTTCTTCCATTGTTTTTTTCACAAAGTCCTGGTTTCAAGCCCAAGATCAATGAATAATTATCTAATTTGTTTTAACTTTTTCAGGATTTCACACTAATTTGCAATCAACATTTTAATCACATAGCATTAACTTTGGTATTTATCTTCGTGTGCAATATGGTAAAAAAAAATCTCACGTATTTGTGTGTGAAAGAGAATTTGCCAGATTTTCCAGTTCACCCCTTTTCCACTGGTTTGTGTACTTTCTTTATCATATTTGAAATTCTTACATAAAGATATATGCTTCAGCGTTACCTGTTGATCAATCGAAGTATAAATATAGTTTATATACATGTGGCTCTTAAGAAATAAACCCTCCAGGCGAAACATAGGCAAAGACTTCACAAAAACAGAAAGAAAATCCCCAACAAATGTGAAAAGATTCAATTTCATAAGAAATCAAAAAATTATGTGTAACTTTTTCTATTAAATCAGCAAAAGTTTTTTCAAAATTATTACAATGTTAGTGTTGTTGAGATTGTTTAAAATTGTACAACTTCAAACACCACTGTTGGTGTTCTTTTTACTAAGATTTTCTTCTGATAATTTTTAAACCAGTAGAAAATCTAAAAATATAGTAAAATGAACACCCACATATCCCTCACCTATTCTGTGTTAACTTCCCTGGGCCAAGTGGAGCCCAGATTAAACATTATTTCTGAGTTTGTCCACGAGCAGGCTTCCAGATGAGATTGATATTTGAGTCAGTGACCTCAGTAAAGAAGACTTGCCCCCGTCCTAGTGGTGGTGGGCCTCATCCAATCAGTTGAGGACCTTTGCCTTTCTACTGAATAGAACAAAGAGTGAAGGAGGATTTCATTCTTTTTGCTTCCTACCTGCCTGCTTGATTTGCACACTGATCTTCTGCCCTTGGGCTTATATTGACACCATCAGCTCTTCTGGTTCTCAAGCCTTCAGGCTTGGATTGGAATTACACCATGGGCTTCCCTGGGTCTCCAGGTTGTAGATGGCAGATTATGAGACCTCTTATTCCCCATAATTGCATGAGCCAATTCCTCATAATAAACATAAATGTATATAAATATAAATATAAACAAATATAAATACACACACGCATATATATGTGTGTGTATATATATACATATATATGTGTGTGTATGTATTATACACACACCCACACACACACATATATATACGTATTCTATTGGTTCTATTTCTCTGACAAATCCTAATATGTCTATACTGTAAATATTTGTCATATTTGCTTTCTCTTTCTCTCTGTCTCTTTTCTTTCTCTTTCTCTCTCTTACTGCATGTGTGCATGTGTGTATGTATCTGTGGGTTTATGTATATACAAATATGTGTGTTTATATGTGTAATATATATAACATTTTTGCCGTACCACCTGAAAGTTAGTTGCAGACATGATACTTCACCTTTAAAGATTTTAACCTGCAATGGTTGGTGTTTTAAACACGAACTATATCTTTTAAAACAATTTGGAAACATGCATCACAACCTTCAAGATGTAAAACTGGCATAATAATTTCACTTGTAAGCATTTGTTTAAAATATATTTTATTTTCATTTCTCAATTTTGAGCCTACTTCTCATGATATCCAGTATAACATTAGTTTCTTATTTATGATTCAATAGAAAAGTACTCACATAATTATAAAAGAGACACATAAAATTAATTTTAGCTTTTGACACTAAGGAAATACATGTGATAGCTTTTTCTCCAGAAATTTGTTCTTTCATTTATTTATGTATCCCACTAATATGTACTGAGCACTGTACTATAGCGAGATAAATAAGATGTGGACTAACTCTCCAGAGGTTGTCATCATGAATGGCTTTTTAGGCCACATCTAGAAATTTAGCCTTTTCTTAGACAAGGAAAAGGATTGAAGGATTTTAGATATAGATCTAACTTGATTTGCATTTTGGAAAGATCATTATAAATACAACTCATAAGATAGATTCAACGGGAAAAAGATTTGTTAAGAAAAGTAATTGAGAGGCTGCTGTAGTAATACAGGTGGTTGGATTGAGAACTGAGATAAGCAGATAGATTTAAGAGAAATAAACAAGAGAGAAATAATAGGAGATGAAGATTTGTTGAACATCTGATTAAATGAAAAGGAGGACTGAAGAGTCCCCACCAGGTTTCTGGATGTGGGCTGCTGGGTTGGTGGTCATGCCATCCCTGGCTAGGGAAATAGAAACACATAGTTTAGGGAGGAAGGGCAGTCCACTCAGGAGTTCAGTTTGGCATATGTGAGATGTTCAATAGGCAGGAGACTGTGTGAGTTTTGATATGGACCTGGAAGACATCAGTGTATATTCACAAGTTAATGTCATAGGTGTAAACAAAATCATCTAAGAACAGTGTGGAAGGTAAGAAGAAAATTGAGGCTGGATCTCTAAAAAACAGTTATATTCAAAATTTAGACAAATGAGATGATGAACAGGAGCAGTCAGAGAAGTAAGAGGGCACACAGAAAAAAATCAGTGATAGAGAAGCCAGAGGAAGATATGGTTTTAAGAAGGCAGAGTCACAGTGGTGCCCCACACTTCACAGAGGTCAAGAAGATAAGAGCTGGAACAGTCATTTGACTTTAGCCACAAGGAACTCAATGGGGACTTTTTGTCTAGAGCAAGTTTCTCAACCTTGGCACCATTGACACATAAGGCTGAATAACTTTATGATGGGGGGCTGTCCTGTGTATGATGGAATGATTAGCAAAATCCTTAGCCTCTACACATTAGATGACAGGACCAACCCCATTTCCCCTGTCCATCTCCCATTTGTGCCAACCTAAATTGTCTCCAGACATTGCCAAATGTCCCTTAGGATGCAAATCACCCCAAGTTGAGAACCACCAGCCAGAGTAATTTCAGTAGAAAGATTAAAAATAAAGCCAGACTGCAGCAGGTGCCATCATGGCAGACACAAGTCAAGTCCTCCTTGGTTCTGGTCTCACCATCCTGTCCCAGCTGCTCATGCGGGATATAAGCCTCTTCCTCCAAAAATAGGATGCAATATTTTTGGATGGCAAGTATTTCAACTTCCTGGTCTCTTTTGTTACACTCAACACATTGCCAGTATCAATGAGAGGTATGGGTTTTTCACAGGCTTAACTCCAAGACTGTGTTCGGGAGGCCTTCAAACTGTGGCCCATGGAAAAGTTTTACAGCATTCCCAGGAGTGTGATGAGGACCTGGAAATGTGCATAAGGAAGTCTCATCTTCCTTTGACTGAGTTATCAAGGAGACAGCTTGAGAGATGATGGCTCATTCTGCTGCTATCCTCATCACATATCCCTTCCATGTGATCACTCTGAGACCTGTGGTACAATTCATTGGCAGAGGACCTAAGTACTGTGGACTTTGTGACTTCATGACCATCTATCAGAAAGAGGGCATCCTAGGGTTTTTCCCAGGACTGGTTCCTCACCTCCTAGGTGACATCATTTCTTTGCGGCTGTGTAGCTCACTGGCCTACCTCATCAATACCTATGCACTGGACAGCAGGGTTTCTACCATGAATGAAATAGAGTTATTCTCAAGCTGTCACAAGATTTTTGCTGGCATGTTGACCTGTCCCTTTGTGCTTGTCTCTAATCTTATGGCTGTCAACAACTGTGGTTTTGCTGGTGGATGCCCTCTTTACTCCCCAATGTATACTGCATGGATAGATTGTTGATGCATGCTACAAAAGCAGGGAAATATAAGCCCAGGAAATAGCTTGTTTTTCCAGAAGTTCCTCTTAAGGAAGACTTATTCGTGTGATTTGAAGATGTGGGGCAGAGACAGTGATATTTCTATAGTCCTAGATACGCAAAATTATGGCAGAAAATGTTGATTTCCATACAGTGTGATGCACTTTTATAACAATCATTTAATCTTGGGGAAAAAAACAGACCGCAAAGGGTTATGAGTGAGCAGGTAGTGCAAAGTGAAGTCAGCAACTTAGCTGGAAAAATAAAGAAGGAGAGAGAGAGATAGTAACTAGAAGAGAATGTATGATTAATGGAGGATTTGGGTTTTTTTTGTTTTTGTTTTTTAAGATGAAAGAGGCTAGAACGTGCTTAAATGATGACAAGAAGATCCAACAAAGAACGTGCTTAAATGATGACAAGAAGATCCAACAAAGAACCTATATTTGAAAGTGGCTAACAGATGGAGCAAAGTCTCTAGGGAAACAGGAGAGAATGGGGTGCAGAGAATCTCCTGAACAGGTTTTCCTTAGGGATAGCTTTATAATGTTGGGAGGGACTCAGGACTTTCAAAGAATTTCCCTCTGTTTGCCTTTATTGTTTCTGTGAAATAGGGAACAATCTGGAGAGTGAGAAGAAAGTAGAAAGGCAAAGGCCCTATGACAGTGAAAGTTTTTAAGTGGCCCTGATTGGAACCCAGATAATTCTTTTCAGGAGACATAGACAACACAGTTGAAGTTGGAGATCATGAATGGTCAGTGATAAAAATGCTCTTAACGCCATTTTTCCCCCCAGCAGTTTTCAGTAGCCCAGGAACAGATATGCAGGAGATTAAAAGATTGATCAAGACATTGGTTTTTGCCAGGTGAGTGTGATGGGCAGTCAATGTAGCAGGAAAGTTAAGGATTTGGGAAAGTTGGATCTTTTTTTTTTTTTCTTGTTTTTTTTTTTTTTGAGACAGAATCTCACTCTGTTGCCCGGGCTGGAGTGCAGTGGCACAATCATAGCTTACTGCAGCCTTGACCTCCCAGACTCAAGCGATCCTCCTACCTCAGCTTCCCAAGTAACTGGTACGACAACCATGTACCACCAAGAAAAGCTGAATCTTTAGGAAATGGATTGCTCTAAATGCTCATCTGGAAGAACAAACCTGCAATATGACCTTATATCACATATAAAATGTATATAACATATTATATTACATGTATTATATTATTATTCCACAGTTTAAAGACTTAAACAATAAGACAAAAAAATAGAAAATGTATAAAATAATTTATATAATCTAGAGAAGAAAGGTCTTCCTAAAAGTAAAGCACGATGCCCAGAAATCATACATAAAAAGAGTTATATTTAACTATGTGCATTTTGAAAAAATTTTCAAAGCAAATAAATGATACCATTAAACAAAGTTAAAAGGTAAAACACAGGCTGCAGCGCATATGATAAAGAGCTCCCACAAATCAATAAGCAAAGTGCTAACATCCCAGTGGAAAATGGGCAAATATATAAACAATGTTATCACAAAGGGAAATTCAAAGGATAATAAATATATGAAAATATACACAACCTAACAAGTAGCTACAGAAATGCCAATTAAAATATATTGATGAGATTCCATTTTTTGCCTATCAAATTGGCAAAAATTAAAGGATATGTTCAATTTCAGTGAGAAAGTGAGGTATTGGAAATTGCTATTCTCTTTTGGGAAATCAATAGCAACATATACTAAAGGGTAAAACACATATGAGGAGACATGGCCAATATCATATTTGAGAGAAACAAAAGCACTAACATTTATGTGTGTAGGTGTAAGTATAAGTGTGTATGTATACACTTATAAATGCATATAAATATAAGAATCTTTATTGTAGCATTCTTAAAGAAATCACAAAAATAGGCTGATTGTCCAAAAATGGGAAATAATTGAATTAGCTACGAGACATTTATACAACAGAATATTATTACGACCACCCAACGGGTTCACCTTGCGCACTGCCTAGACAGAGCCAATTTATCAAGACAGAAAAATTGCAATAGAGAAAGCATTTAATCAATGCAGAGCCACTGTACAGGAGACCAGAGTTTTATTGTTACTCAAATCAGTCTCCCTGAAAATTCGGGGATCAGAGTTTTTAAGGATAGTTTGGCTAGTGGGGTGCCGGGGGTGGGAATACTGATTAGTTGGGTCGGAGATGAAATCATAGGGAGTCAAAGCTGTCCTCTTGCACTGAGTCAGTTGCTGGGTGGGAGCCACTCGTAGCGATCTGGGCGGTGCCAGCTGATCCATCAAGTGCAGGGTCTGCGAAATATCTCAAGCACAGATTTTCAGTTTTACAATAGTGATGTTATCCCAAGGAGCCATTTGGAGGAGTTTAGAATCTTGCAGCCTCCAGCTGCATAACTCCTAAACCATAATTTCTCATCTTGTGGCTAATTCATTAGTCCTGCAAAGGCAGTCTAGTCCCCAGGGAGGAAGGAGGTTTGTTTTGGCAAAGAGTTGTTATTATCTTTGTCTCAAAGTTGAACTATAAACTAAGTACCTCCCAAAGTTAGTTCAGCCTATGCCCAAGAATGAACAAGGACAACTTGGAGGTTAGAAGCAAGATGGGGACGGTTAAGTCAAATTTCTTTTACCATCATAATTTTCTCAGTTACAGTTTTTGCAAAGGCAGTTTCATTATGCTACTATAAATATAATTGGTAGGCTCTATATTAGTTGACCTGGAGAGACATCCAGATGAAATATTAGTGAAAGAAAACAAGTTTCAAATGTATGTAAGTTGGGTGATTTCATCAACACACATATATGGAGCATGCATTTATGTTTCTTTGTATGAGCATGAAGAAAAATAGACATAGGACCATAGGTCATACCATGGCTGATGGGACTGTATATTGCCATCTTCTTTCAGGAAATTTGTTTTTGAAAGGAGTAAAAATAGGTTGGATGGGATAAGAGAAGATTGTCAACTTTTTCTCTATAAATTTTAGGTTGGATTCAAAGCATGCGTCACATTAATAACTTTTAAAAATTGAACTAAAAAATACAAGACTAAAGCATGAAATGATAATTCACAAACTGTCAAGAAAGCAGAAGATATTGGCGATGATCCATTCTCATTTTTCTATATAAGTATAATATATAGAAACATTGTTAAAATGAAAGCACATATCACATCTCACTACTTAACGAAAGAATTGCTTTCATGTCAGAAGTCTCAATTTGCGCCTGAGTAGATTTGCCACCATAGTATTCAGACATGTCTGGACACGTGTAGAGGCTAAGGGTTCAGGCCCACTGGGGGTTGATTTGAATGAGGGAAGACTAAGGAGTCTCCTAAGAAAATCTCATCTTAAACTAGTTAGAGTTGGACATATGTTTTTGGTCAAACAATATTGAAAGGGATGGCATGATTTTAAGCACAGCATAAAGACAAAAGGTAAACATCCTTACTATTTAATGTTTTCCCACCCAATCCCTATGTCTGAGTTCTAGGACCAGGTACAGTTGTATTAATTGAATTGATAGACTCCACACAGAAACATCTCTGAGATGCTGAGGAGGCAAGAAAGCAATTCGGGGACCTGTGTAAAGTGTGGCACTAAAGAGGGTGCCAGCGTGGTGGGATTTCAGGGGCATTCAGCGGGGGAATGGGCCTCAGCAAAGCTTGTTGGAGGCAGAGGGAAGCCCCTCTACATTCTGCTTTATTCACTTGACATTAAAACTACACATTTCTCTCCATTTCTATGGTCTTATCTGTCATTTTTAATGAATAAATACTATTTTATTGATATATGTATAGATATTTATTAACCTCTTATCTGTTTTTTTTTTAACTGTTTGAGTTAATTTGGACTGCTATAACAGAATACCGTACACTGAGCGGTTTATAAACAACAGAAATTTATCTCTCATAGTTCTGGAGACTGGGACAGCCAACATCAAGGTACTGGCAGATTCAGTGTCTGGTGAGGGCACCCTTCTTGGTTCATAGACAGCTGTCTTCTCTCTGTGTCCTCACATGGTGGAAGAGGCAAGGAACCCTCTGAGACCTCTCTTCTGAGAACACTAATCCCATTCATGAGGATTCCTCCCTCATCACCTAATCACCTCCCAAAGACCTCACCTCCTAATACTATCACCTTGGGGGTTAGGATCTCAACAGATGAATTTCAGAGGGCAGGGCCTAAACATTCAGGCCATAGCATCTACTATTACAGAACTTCATATGTATGGCTTTGTTTTGATGCTCAATTATCTCAATTATTTTCTTAAATTCCCAAGAGCATACACTGACAAGCTCAAAAGATTTGAACATTTGCCTGTGTATAGTGATACACTAGACATAGTCATGTTATTTTTCGAAAGCATTGAAGCAATTTAGCATGCCATCAGCAAAGCTAAAGTTATCAAAATTTTGTCACAGATTGGACAGCTAGGTTTTATCTTTTGCATTTAAAAAATATTTATTGAGTATCTACTATCTACTATGATCAGACACTCCTCTGCATATTTCCCTCAAGTTCCCATGTGGCTTCCTGAGTCCTAGGATGATGGTCCTAAGCACTATGTTCTGTAAGCACCATACAAAATGTACTCACAGCCAAGAAAAATCCACCTGCCATGGGATCCTGTTTTCCCTATGAGGAGACCTTCTCTTTTCCAGTGGCTCTTTGGGAGACACTGTCTCCATCTTTCCATTACCTGCAGAAGCAGTTTCCCTCCTTGCCACTAAGGTTGATTTTCTAGGACAACTCTTCCAATTCTTTTTATATCCAGGGCTGTTTCCTCCCTCAGTGTTTCCTTCCTTTCTACCTCCTGGAGTAGAGCACCCTCCTAGAGAGAGACAGAAGTCCTGGGTAACCACATCCTGCCATAACCTAGGATCAATGTGATTCTCCAGTCCCCAGAGACCCACTGGACCTAGGTGGGAGTGAAGTCAGCCCCGCCTTTCCCTGTGCCCAAGCAGGTCCCCAAGACGCCAGCCCTGCTCCCTCCTAGAAGCTAGTCTTCCTCTGTCCTTCCGACAGCCTGCACTTTGGGAAGAACTGGCCCACTACTTTCAGCTCTCCAGTGGGAGTTTTCACCATAGATGATAGCCTCTGTTTGTCATGTTTGTTGTGATTCTTTCCCATCTGCTGACCTAAGTTATTTTGTTCTTCTTGTTGTTGCTCATATGTTTGCAATCCTTTATGTAGCCACATTTGTCAGTCTTTTTCTTTGTGATTTCTTCTGGCACTTCAAAGTACAATTTTTTTTAAAAAAAGACAGTGTTTTCTCCAAAGATCTGACAATCAATAACTTACATTTTCTGCAATATTTTCTATTATCTAATACTTTAGCCATATAAAATTTATTTTAATCATAGGGTATTAAATTGCTGTATTAAATTGATTTTTTCAAAGAGAGATCTAGATAAGAATACTAAACAATCTGTTTTAAATAATTCTTTATTTTATTGTTTTTCAAAGATGCCTCTTGTTATCTGTTATATTCTTATATACAATATGTTTACTTCTGAACTGTGCTGTTCCATTTAACTGTATGCTTATTGGGGGAAGATATACCTCCATTTACTGTTCTCTTTGCAAAATACAAGTTAATGCTCTTAGGTGAGCATGGGGGTGGTAAGTGCTAAATAAATGACATCTATTTTTGCAAATAAAAATTACAATTATGTTAAGTTCAAATATCCTATGGAGATTTTTGAGGTGGACTATAGTCAACCTATAAATTTGTTGAATGAGATAGAAGGCTTTCTGATTGATCATTATTTTCAAGGATAATAGTACACCTTTCCATTCATCTTCTCTAATATTATTCAGTAAAGTTTTATACTTTTGTTTCTATTAGATAAGACATGCAACTGTTTCATAAGAATTCTTATTGTTAAATAATTTAGATAATATTATATTATTCTGGTAAAAATAAAAGGACTCCTGGTATATATTTATATATATGGCATTCATCTGTCCATTTTATTGATGCCTATAGTTATTTTATTTTTTAGATTATTTCTTATAGTTTTTAAAAGTATACAATCATAACATCTAAAAATGATATTTCAATTTTGTTTTCCAGTATTAACTCTTCTGAGTTTTTTTAATATTTTCTTGCATTGACCACAACTTCCAAAGTTGTGGTCATATGTATATGCATTGATGAAACCCATATGAGAATGGTTGCCTTGGTTTTCTTACTGATTTGAAAGGGAAACTTTCTAACAGGAAGAAGAAAAGGAGGCTTTTGAATAAGACTTGAAGGTTGCTTAATGCTGATGGTGTCTCTTACAAGCTAGAAATACAGAACAAATTCCACAACCTCCCTGAATCCCAGTTCCTTCACCAGGAAGATGATGATATGAATACATCTCACAATGTCATAGGAATAACTGAGATATCATTTGCAAAGGGCCTGGCACTCAAGGCAGATACAATACATTTTACTTTTATCTAGTAAAAGAGTTGAGATTTAAAGCCAGATCTACCTGACTTCAGGCCCACACACATAACCCTGTGCTCTGCAGCCTCTTCAGGAGGAATTCCATTTATGCGTAGGCCATGCCCATGTATGGAAACAAACACAGCCACAGATGTCTAGGTCTATTAGCCACAACAAAATAAACCCTGAAAACTAAGCTACCTCTCTGTGAATATACCAGCTTCCCTTCATGCACAGCATCATGTACGGATCTGAAATCCGTACATGTCTAGCCAGCCTGGCCAACACAGTGAAATCCTGTCTCTACTAAAAATACCAAAAAAAAAAAAAAAGAAAAAAAAAATAGCCAGGCATACTGGTGGGCGCCTGTAATCCCAGCTGCTCAGGAGGCTGAGGCAGGAGAATCGCTTGAACCTGGGAGGCGGAGGTTGCAGTGAGCCGAGATCACACCATTGCACTCTAGCCTGGGTGACACAGTGAGACTCTGTCTCAAAAAAAAAAAAAAAAAAAAGAAATGTCTAAACTCTATCCAGTAAGTGCAAATTCTAAGGTAGTGGCTATCTTTAAGGAGGGGAGGCCAGAGATGGGGTGGAAGGACAGAGGAAGAATATGAAAAGAAATGCAAGTCATTGAAACTATTATGGTACTTAGGTTGGGTGGTGGTTTCACAGGTGATCATTATATTATCAGACTTCATAATGTACATGTATTTTAGTGTCATGTTTACTATGCATCAATTTTATACAAAATATTAAACAAAGCCAAAAAAAAGAATCCTCTGGCCCAGTTTAAAAGACCATGAGTATTTAATTAACAATTCCTGACCAGGCACAGTGGCTCACACCTGTGATCTCAGCACTTTGGGAGACCGAGGTGGGTGGATCACGAGATCAGGAGTTCAAGACCAGCCTGGCCAAGATGGTGAAACCCCATCTCTACTAAAAGTACAAAAATTAGCCAGGTGTCGTGGTGGGTGCCTGTAATCCCAGCTACTCAGGAGGCTGAGGCGGAGAATTGCCTGAACCTGAGAGAGAGAGGTTGCAGTGAGCCGAGATCATACCACTGCACTCCATCCTGGGCGACAGAGCAAGACTCCATCTCAAAACAAACAAAAAAAAATTCCTATTCCCTCTACCCTGTATTCACTGTTCACTGTACTCTACCCTACAGTGAACAAAAGGTACCTAAGCCAGGACATGCCCCTGAATCTTTTATCCTGATAATCATATTTTCCTAGGCACAAGGCCTGAGAGTTAACAAACCTGATTTTTTGATAGTATTTGTCCTGGAAAATAAAACAAAATGTCTTTCTTTAAGGGATAGTCTTCCTTTTGTCAAAGTGTCAAGGGGGAAAAAAGGGGAAATTTTAAAAGCAGCCTATTTCATTGTCACCACTTCATAAACACTGCACTAAAGGGCAAGAGCCACGCTTTATTCCTCTTGCAAAATCCCAAAGCACCCAGTACAAGGACCTGCACTTAGTAGGCGGACAATTGACATTTGTTAATCAATGTATGAATGATGAGCCAAGTCTCATAGCTTCCATGGAGAATCTTAAATGTCACTCCTTTTGAAATGCGACCATGCTTCTCAACCTACTAAAAATTTCTTAATGAACCACCCACAGACACAGTCTTGTGTGAATATCTCCTGTGTTCCCCAAATCCTTTGTGACCTATGGACACAATTGCTAAACGTGAGTCATGCTTCTATCACTCCCACACAATGGGTATTTTTAATGCTACAGCATTTCCTGAAGTCAAGCGCTCAGGAAATGGTTTTTGCAATAATGACCTCAGCCTCCCCATATTCCCCCCACCCCCCATCACAGAATCCAAGAATAACTGAACAGGTGTCCAAATACCCAGAATTACCCAAGAAACCTCACAACCTGTCTTCTGTTTTCTATCAAAGTCATGAGGTTAACCTCTTGTCCTTTGGAGTTCGAAGGAATGTGTCCAAGAACTGAACACAACCATATCTGTCCTTTATTTATATTGAGACACAGTTTATTTCCAAGACTGTCAATGGTCTCCAGACCCCAGAACTAAATCTGTATACCATCATGGCTAAAAGTATGAGTTCTGGAATTCAAAAGCCTTAGAGACTGAATTCTGACTCTGCCACTAAGTATGTGGCTTCAGCCAAGTCATTTAGCCTTTCAGAGCCTCAATATTCTCACCTGTAAAGTGGAAATAATGGAAGAAACTATTTCTTGGAATGTGTGAAAATCACTCACGTAAACTGCTGATCTCCAGGCCTGATACACAGCAAAATGCCTAGTACTTGCTAATTGTTATTGCGTCAAGTTTCCCCAGATTGAACCTTAGGTCTGGTCAGTTTCTCCTGGACAGCAGTCATTTTGACAGCTTAGGATCTTTAGGTGCCCACATACCTTCAGAACCTCAACCCATTCTTGGGAGCACTGTCTGACCACCCTCTGAGGACCAGAAGCAGGAAGAGAGATCAGATGGTGAGAGGATAAGGACTGTTGATACCCAAGGGAGGTTGTAAAACCACTTGGGCACACCCAAGTTCAAAACAAAGAAGCCATCACACGAGGGTGAGAGAAGAGGTATTTACTCAGTGAGGCCCCTTCCAACCCTCATGGTAAAAGTCTACACTTGTTTAGAAAAGAGTATGTCTGTTTTATGATTTTATTTTTTAAAAAGGGAAACTCAACAACAAAAATGATGATGAAAATGACAATCTGACTATGGAAAACAGGCTCCTGCTATTCTCATCAGACCATCTGACAAACTACCCAAGGGAGTTTCCGAGGCCTCCCAAACAGTAACAGCAGAGCAGCCACTCAAGAGGATGCCCCGGGGAGCCGCCAAACTGCAATTGCCCTGGAAATCAGATTCGAACAGCTCAGACATGAGGGCAAAGGGCGGGATGCATGCATCCCTAAGCACCAGCCCTTCAGCCCAGCAGAGGGGCACAGACAAAGCTGCCCCGGAAGAATTGTTTGGGAGGTGCAGATACAAAGAATAAGATCCTGCTGGCAGCGCTGGGAAACACAGCAGCAGTCGGCACACGCTGGCCCTGGCAGTCAGCAACCGCCTGGCTCAGGCTGAGCAAAACCTTTCTGTGAATATGGCGTGAAAGCAGATCTCTCAGAGGCTCATGCTCCCTGAAGGTGAAAGATCAACAACAAAAAAGGCATTAACCCCTCTCCTAAATGATATTTCATGGCCATCAAAATCCCATCAAAGGAGCAGCTCATGTTCATAAGCCTGGGGGAGATGCTCCCAGCAATTTAGACACATTGGCAGCCCCAGGGAGGAGGACATAGCCTATGGGGACTCTCTATGTGTGAAGGGCAGCAGTTTGCATAACAAATGTTCCATGCACAATCTTGGAACATTGGCATAATTCTTTCTGGACCCAATAATGATAATTACTCTCTGTCCTAATTAAGGAGAAAATAAAGAAGCTAATACTTTTATAAATCAACAAGTAGGATTAGTATGATGTACAAAGCGCCCTTGAGTTTGCTTCAGGAGACTTCCTCCTCTGTGTGACCACAAGTATATCACATCGGCCACCTGGGCTTTTGTTTCCTTATCCATAAATCCTTTCTTTAAGGGGACATCTTATGGGTTCCTTTGAATGCTCCTATCCTAATTTATTCTTCTTTTCCTTTAAAAATGTTTGGTAAAGGCTTAGCATGCATGCAGTAAAATACACAGCATGATGTGTAGTATTCTTACTTAGAATTTTATGCCTTTCAAAGGGCGAAAGATGGTGATCAGGTGATATTGATTCTCTCCTTGTATAGCTTCAAAGATCGTGTTATAGATGAGAAACTAGATATTCAAAGGCACAGAGAACATGTCATCCGTATCACTCAGATTAGAACTTCCAAGTGCTCACTCATGATATGTAGTCTGGTGAGCCAGGCCTCAGAGTGTCCTACTGTGGGCTCATGGAGCAGTTCTTCAGGATGTGGACAACATTGCTTGGACCAGGGACAGGAGAGAAAAAAAAGTGATAGGCTGAGAAGAAATTTTTATGTGACATGCAAATACTTAGAAAAGATGAATGCTAGTACATCGGGAAATTTATAATTTCTTTTGACATTCAGGATTTGCCATAATTTAATAGTTCTTACCTGTTGGATGCTTACTATGTGCCAAGCATTGCACATTAACATGTATTATCCTGTTTAATCTTCAAAATAACCTATGAGGTGGACAATTTTATTACCCCATTTTACAGAAGAGGAACAAGAGTTTCAGGGAAATTAAGCTAATTTTCCCAAGTTACTGATAGAATGTGGCAGAGCTAGGTCTTGAACCCAAGCCCACAAAATTGACCGTGCCATTATTCAGTTTCTCACAAGCACTTCCACCTTACTCTGCAATGAAGGCACCACCACCCCCCAGGAAAAGGCACTACCCCAGCCAGATGGTACACTTCATCCCCACTTCTGCTGTTCAGGCTTGAACTTGGCATGGTCTTCACCTTTCATTCTGCCATCCAAATCCATCCCTCAAGACCTAAGTCGAATACTATCTTCTCCTCGCCATTGCCTTCTACCCTGAAAGTTCTGTACTCTGAATCAGTTTAAAAGGTGTTATCTGTTCCATCCATCTGGGGTCTTCATCATTTCCTTAAATATGTACATTATCCATTCCTTCAATAACATACATATTCAGTGTGCTTTCTCCTCAAATAATTGCCAGATACTAGAAGTCAGAAACCATGTTGTCTATTTCTTTTGTATCTCTGAAAGAATCATAGTACAAAATTTATAAATGAAATCATGTAGCTCTGTGCTATATGAAAATTATATCATATGACATTACAGCCACCCTGTATTTGTTGACTAAATTGTCCTTTCTGTTTAATTCCCAAGCATTTGAGCCACTCTGCCCCAGATTGAATTGCCTTGCCTTTTTTTTTTTTTTTTTTTAAGATGGAGTCTCACTCTGTCACCCAGGCTAGTGTGCTCACTGCAACCTCTGCCTCCGGGTTCAAGTGATTCTCCTGAGACTTAGTCTCCCAAGTAACTGGGACTACAGGCAACTGCCACCACACCCGGCTAATTTTTTGTATTTTTAGTAGAGATGGGGTTTCACCATGTTAGCCAGGATGGTCTTGATCTCCTGACCTTGTGATCTGCCCACCTCAGCCTCCCAAAGTGCTGGGATTACAGGCATGAGCCACCGCGCTCGGCCTGAATTGCTATTTATTCATTTATTTTGAGACGGAGTCTCGCTCTGTTTCCCAGGCTGGAGTGCAGTGGCGCAATCTCAGCTCACTGCAAGCTCCGCCTCCCAGGTTCACACCATTCTCCTGCCTCAGCCTCCCCGGTAGCTGGGACTACAGGCGCCCGCCACCATGCCCGGCTAATTCCGCCAACATGCCCGGCTAATTTTTGTATTTTTAGTAGAGACAGGGTTTCACGGTGTTAGCCAGGATGGTCTCCATCTCCTGACCTTGTGATCCTCCGGCCTCAGCCTCCCAAAGTGCTGGGATTACAGGCATTAGCCACTGCGCCCAGCCCTGAATTGCCCTTTAAAAGCTTTTTTTCCCTTGTAAGATCATAATATTCCACCTTCCACTATATCCAGACTGAGACAATAGCAACTGTGTGTGTTTATATGTGAATATGGAAGATATGTGTGTGTGTGTGTGTGTGTGTGTGTGTGTGTGTGAGAGAGAGAGAGACAGAGACACAGAGAGAAATGTGTGTTCTGATAAAGCAAGGTACATTAGATAATAGCCCATTGCACCTTGCATTAAGCAAGCCTGTCTGAGAAATGAGCAACTTTCTCAGGCCACTGCTCAACCTAGAGTGTTGACAACCTTGGGAGAGAAGACTTTAATTGCAGTCATTCCCTTATTCCCTCTGGATTACTTGTTTATAGTCTGAAATTGCTGAACGAGTTCTGCAGGTTTTTCTTGTCCATTTGCTGAGCTTGAAGCAAGAAGGGAGAGACCCAGGTTCACTGAATTGTAAACAGTACTTCTCAAGGTCAAACTGGAGAGACTGCACAGAAGAGGGGGTTGGGGGGCAGGTTTCTGAATGTGACAGACAAGAGTAACATATTGCATATATACTTTACTGCAAGCCTGCACAGAAGAAAATCGAAAAGAAAATAATATTGCAAAGAATCCTGTTCAAACTCGATTTCTTACAGTGTTTTTTTTTTTTTTTGGCCAAACTTGAAAGTCAACTTTTTAAAAGTAATTAGACATCTAATCTGTGCTTTATCCCACTGCCACAATCTCCAAACTTTTTCTGTCATTATATAAACATTATTTGAAGTTATAAAGAACACAAGCAAGTGGGCTAGATATTATCAAAAGATACTTCCAGAAATCACCGGAAATGACCGGAAGCCCAGTCAGCCCTGTTGTCTTGAAATAAACACATGAAACTGAGCTCCACATGCTCAGGCTGCAGTATATTCAGCACGCTAACAGGTACAGGCACTGCTTTGCCCCAGACTGGTGGGAATGTGGCACTGAAGAAAGCCCAGGCTCTACTATGGAAGAGCTTACAATCTGGAGAGAGTGGAAACGTACACAGCATATCATAGCACCATAAAGCCAGGGAAACACAAAAGGTAGAGATGAGAAGACCCTCCTTTTAATGGTTTAATTTTTAAGAACACTATTCACCAATTGTAGATTTAGGAGAGGTTTTTTTTTTATGTGTTTTAAGTCGAAATACCTGAACTTCAAGCCCAGTTTGCCCTTTCCTACCCTTGAGATCTGAGTCAAATCACATCGCCCAGTGGACGGCAGTTTCCTCATGGATGAGATCAGAGTGTTGGTGTAGACCATGGGTTAGCAAGTAACAACAGCTAGGGGTAAAAATCCAGCTCACAACCGGTTTTGTAAATAAGATTGCTGGAACACACCACGCCCATTCATTTACATATTGTCTATGGCTGCTCTTACTCTACAGCCGCTGAGTAGTTATGACATATGGTCCACAAAGCCTAAAATATTTACTATCTAGCCCTTTCCAGGGTTCCTGACTCCTGGTGTAGCCAGTCTCTAAGGTCTCTTCCAGGGGCTTGCAAGGTGTTATGTAGACACATAACAGCACTTCGAAAATTTGAAATAATCACACAAACGGAAGAAATGGTCAAAAAGCACATGCTGGGTCCCAGAAGACAGCAGCTCTCCTTGCTTTATGTCATCAACAGCAAACAGCTGCTCCAAGGGGTCGCAACTCGACTCATATTAGAATCACCTGGGGAGAATTTTATTTGTCGTAACAAGGTTTGAGGGAGGCACATTTCACACATTAGCATGAAAACCCAATCATCATGCTTTGGAGAATTTTTTTTTTTAATGTCAATGCCCAAGACCCAGTGTCTACAGTTTCTGATTTAATTGCTGTGGAGTGGAGACCTGGTATCAGCTGTTTTTAAATGCTGTCCAGAGGCTGGGCATGATGGCTCACACCTGTAATCCCAGCACTTTAGGAGGCCAAGGTGGGTGGATCACTTGAGGCCAGGAGTTCAAGACCAGCCTGGTCAACATGGTGAAACCCCATCTCTATCAAAAATACAAAAACAATTAGCCAGGCATGGTGGCAGATGCCTGTAGACCCAGCTACTCAGGAGGCTGAGGCAGGAGAATCACTTGAACCCGGGAGGCAGATGTTGCAATGAGCTGAGATCTGTACTCCAGCCTGGGCAACAGAGTGGGACTATGCCTCAAAAAAAAAAAAAAAAAAAAAAAATTAGCCAGCAGTGGTGGCACATGCCTGCAGTCCCAGCTACTCAGGAGACTGAGGCAGGAGAATTGCTTGAACCTGGGAGACAGAGGTTGCAGTGAGCCAAGATCACACCACTGCACTCCAGCCTAGGTGATAAAGTGAGACTCTGTCTCAGGAAAAAAAAAAACCATCCAAAGAATTCTACCTTGCATTCAGGGTTAATTTAACAAAAGCTTACACGTAATACCAAGATATGGAATCAACCTAAGTGTCCATCAGCAGATGAATGGATAAAGAAATGTGATCAAAATGCACAATGGAATACTATTCAGCCTTTAAAAATAAGAAAATCCTGTCACTTACAACAACATGGATGAGCCTGAAGGACATTACGTTAAGTGAAATAAGCTAGGCACAAAAAGACAAATACCGTATGTTCTCACTTATATGTGGAATCTAAAAAAGTTGAGCTCATAGAAGTAGAGAGTAAAATGTTGATTACCAAAGGCTCGGGAAAGTGGGGATGGGGTTGAGGAAATGTTGGTCAAAAGATACAAATTTTTATCTAGACAGAAAGAGTAAGTTCAAGATATCTATTTTATGTCATGGTAACTATATTTAATAATAGTATATTGTACACTTGAAAATTGCAAAAAAATAAAAAATATTAAAAAATATGTGAAGCAAAAGCTATTTAAAAAATAAGGAAATTGAACAAAACTATAATATTAGAAGGGTATTTAAGTACAACTCTTATGACCTTGGATAGTTCAAGCTGACCAGGGAGATGAAATAAAGATACAAATAAATACATTTTTAAAAAATACCACTGAACCTTTTTAAAAAAAACATATCGATGCCTGTATTTCTTTCCAGGTATATTACACCAGAATATCTGGGATTGTGGCCCCCAAACCTGTATATTTAACGAGTTCTCAAGATAATTCTTATGCAGACAACTCTGCAACAGCCTGCATTGAGTAGCCAGGTATGTGAATCATGCTCAAGGCCAACTATGATGCAGGAATTCAGAATCCAATAGAGAAGTGTTAAGGTCCATTTCATACTTCTTTATCTTTGACTCTCAAAGGTGTAACGCAACACCTGGAACTTAGCAGATATTTGGTAAATGTTTAATAAAGAAAACTTAATTTAACCTGACCACTGAGTGTTTCGGTGGAGAGAGAAACACACAGGAGGTTTATGCTTAATCTTGAAAGAGATAAGGCTAAGACTCATGTTCTATACACTTAATTAAATAGCCATCAACTGCAACCTTCCTCCACCTATCTACACTCAAACATTAACTACAAAACCTGATCAAAAAATCATTATTTTAAAATCACCAACCCACGGAAGCTCCTTTAGTTAGACTGAAGTTCACGTGATTGCTTAAACCTTTTTTCTGGGAATGGATCTTTTATGCCAAGTAGGCAGGGTTACTGCCCCATAAACCTACCTTCTGTCATTAGCTTTGACTGTTGACACTTGCAATGATTAGACAGGGTTGAGCAAAGGGTATTTTTGCAGTCTGTGGGGAAGAGTATAGAAAATAAACATTGCATCTCATTACAAAGCCCTGAATGTGCAAAACATACTGGTCCAAATGCCATGATTAGATAAGCACCTGCAACACTCATTAACTTTGAAGGGAAATTGAAGCCAAATTTGGGCCCATATGCCACCTGTCCTTACACTTCAGCAATCAGGTGACCTCTATTCTCACATTAAGTTAATTTCTGAAACACTCTACATGATAGCTATTGCCCCAGACTTCTAATAATTAACCCAGGGTGTCCTCTCTCAAACATCCTGTGAAATAGTCTCCATCTACAATTTCTAGGGTTTCAGATGAGCCTTTGCCCATAACCTGAACATGTCCTTTTTAAAGATAGGTCATTGTAAATGACTCTGAGTGACAGCCTAATGCTACCCCACAAAGTAGAATGAAGTGTAATATTGATCCACTCATCCACAAACACAAAAATGCATGTGTTTTGTGTGAGGGCAAATAATTACTAAAGTAGCCAGAATAAAAACTAAGGTTGACACAGGAGGATTGAGATGATGGGCAAGTGATCTCTAAAGAAGAGTGCACCAAAGGCCTCTCTGTCTCACTCTGTAATAGTCTATTTGCAAATTGCCCTACATGCTGTATCACATGTAGCTCTAAAAGTCTGTGGCTCCAGGCGAGAGCCTCTAAGTAACCTGAGAAAAAACTACATTTGGAAATGTTTCCGTGAGGCTACTCGACAAAGTAGCTCCCAAAGTTATGATTCATTCAATCAGATGGCCTCATCTGGTCAGGGTGCAACTTAGGCATAGGTGTAGGGAACAATTGGCCACATGGAGTAAGCTGAAGAGCCTGGGAAGACTCCTCTGTTCAAATATGTCTTTACTGCTTAAGTGTTAAAGGTCCCAGAATCCCATCATGAGAGTCCAGTTCCTTTGTATGTTTAGACTATAACAGAGCCATGTGCCACAGAGAGGAGTACAGGCTGGAGAGCTGAGTGGTCAGAAAGATAATTGGATGAAAGAGGTCCCTGGTGTGCCAGAAAGATCTCTCCAGCAAGCCATAGTTCAGATAATAAAGAAAATTAAAATCGGTGACCTTCTGTGGAAAGTGAATTGATTCATCCCTCTCTTCCCAGCAATTTCAGAATTAACTGACATAAAGCCATGGATAGAGAGCTGGTTGTGCAATGACTACAAGGTCTCAAAAGCAGCAACTGCAGCAGAACACAGCACAAGCTTCATGAGAAGCACGGGGAGGACAGAGATGGCAATTCCACCAAGAAGGATTAGGAAGGATTTTTTTTTTCCTTTCCCAAGACTGAACACATCATGTGATGCTATGTGCAACATGGAGATGATTAAAATCAGCATGCCTACTGAAGTTCCAGGACTAGCAGGAAATTGTGAAGCCTGTACTGCAAAGTAATACCACCTCCAGGTTACCAGATGGGGTGAGGGGTTACTCAGAAGCCAAGGCAGCTAAAGAATTATAAATCTCTATATAATTCTGATATCCAGATAGTAAAGAATTTTTAGTCTATGAGACTTCTAAATAGCACTCTGTGGCAGGAGCACATCTCCCTTGGCTCAGATATACCCAGGAGAGCTATGCCTCTCAGCAAGATGCTATGAAATTAATTACCTAGGGGAACAAGAGAAGCATTGCAAAGACTATGGTGTATCATATGTGCAGGTGATCTTTTTTTCTATGCAAATATTATTGATACGGGTAACACTTCAAATCATTAACATTTTAATCTGAAGGAGAATCCTTCTAGTGACAGATGGGGTCCAGGGTTGAGGTGAGAGGTAAGGGAGAAGACAAGTTCTGTCTATAAGCCCACTCTGATACGAAACAGAACGTTTAAGCATTTATTGCAAATTCCTCAAATATTTATTGAGCACCAGCAATATGGGAGAAGATGTGCCAGGCATTTGGGAGGATATAAACATGTATATATGTACTAATGCCACCATCAACTAGCTCAAGACATAATTGGAGAAATGGCATAGGGATAACTGTGATATAGGATCAATTTAGGAAAGTCTTGGAATTGGCACAAGGACCCACAGAATCAACACCAGCTGGGAGTGATACAAAATTAGATTGTCGGGCCCTATACAGGATCCCCAGAATCGTAATGTGCATTCGACCATGATTCCGTAGGTGATTTGTGTGCACATTTGAGAATCACTGGTCTAAACAACAACAAAAAAATGGCATGTTCGTGGAGGCCCTCTAACATATTACAAGAAAGCTTCAGAGATAGTTAAGGTCTCACTGTGAGATATGTGAGAGCAGAGGAAGAGGAATGGCCAAAAGTTCAGGAGAGAATCATCATTCCACGGTTTTCTTTTTTCTTTTTTTTTTTGAGACGGAGTCTCGCTCTGTTGCCCAGGCTGGAGTGCAGTGGCGCGATCTCGGCTCACTGCAAGCTCCGCCTCCCAGGTTCACGCCATTCTCCTGCCTCAGCCTCCCAAGTAGCTGGGACTACAGGCGCCTGCCACCAGGCATGGCTAATTTTTTGTATTTTTAGTAGAGACGGGGTTTCACCGTGTTAGCCATGATGGTCTCGATCTCCTGACCTCATGATCCGCCCGCATGAGCCACCGCGCCCGGCCCACAGTTTTCTTAAGTATGCTTGGGGGATGGCAAATAGACTGGTTTTAGACACATTTAAGGTACTGGTAGAATGGTCATGGGAAAAAAATTCTAGAAAGGTAGGTGTGGGCTGAGTTCCAGAATAACCCTAATTTCTGATTTCCTAGTTACACAAAGATGTGCAATCAAAAGGACATGAGAAAATTTTAAATGGCAAAAAAAAAAAAATGTTTAACTTCTCCTTATAATTGTTCAGACTTCAGTCCCAACTCAAGTTCCTTCTTTACCCTGTCAAAGCCCTTAGGAGGCTCATGTGTTATCCTTATGTGTATGGTCTTGATAGAAAAGATGTAGACAGCCAATGGGATGAGAACTCCAAGAAGGGCTCCAACCCTGAGGGAGAATGAAAAAGAATTCACATCAGAAACCAGGTGGAGGCTGGGCGCGGTGGCTCATGCCTGTAATCCTAACACTTTGAGAGGCTGAGGCAGGCGTATCACTTGAGGTCAGGAGTTTGAAAACAGCCTGACCAACATGCTGAAACCCTGTCTCTACTTAAAAAAAAAAAAAAAAAAAAAATTGGCCGGGTGTGGTGGTGGGCACCTGCAATTCCAGCTACTCAGGAGGCTGAGACAGGAGAATCGCTTGAACCCGGGAGGCAGAGGTTTCAGAAAGCCAAGACTGTGCCACTGCAGGCCAGCCTGGGTAAAAGAGCAAGACTCTCTCTCAAAAAAAAAAAAAAAGAAAAGAAAAGAAAAGAAGAAGAAACTAAGTGGAAACTCATCAATTCATCAATATACACAGGGAATGCATGCAAAGATTAGTGGGAACCTTAGCTCTAAGAATATACATATGTTCAGGGCCTTGACCCTGTACTCCAGACAATTAGCTCTGGGTGTGTCAATTTCAGACACTCTTCTTCACAGAGCCCCAGTCTCCTGCCCCATGTGCAACACTATCTGGAGCTCAGAGCCTTTGTACCCAATTTCACTTTTGCCAGTACTCTGCTTTATGACTGGACTCTGCCTCCATAACTAATAGATCAATTATGGTAGCACTTACAATCTGCCAGGGACATGTCTACATGCTTTATATCCTAAATCATTAAGATCCACAACCACCCTATTACTTAAGTATGATTATTACCACCAGTTCACAGACAAGAAAACTAAGCTACAGAGAGATCAAATGCCTTAACTGAGGTCACTCCACTCACTCCACTAGTAAGGGGTGATGTTGGGATTTGAATCCATGCAGTTGGCTCCACAGTTCACACTATTAAGCAGATGTTTCTCTAGGAAGCTTTTTTATCCACTTACTGAGAGGCTGGGGGAAAGAGTTCCAGAAAGCAACCACCTGACTCATGAGCAGTGACCATTCTCTGGGATATGACCCACCCACTTCACTGATACCTAGTGCTCATCACTTTGACAAATACAACTAAGATTGTTTCCTGCCTTGGGTTTCATGATTGCAATTTTCAGAGCTGGCCTCTGGATAAGGTCCTTTTTCTAGACATTATTATGCCCCATATTTGTATTTGTCAGGAAACTGGAGAGTTTATTCCAGGAACTAATTTGAAATTATAAGAATTTTTTTTCGTCCGTCAGAATAACCATTCATGAAAAGATAATGCATACATCAGTGAAGGAAGGTTCTTAAAATGGGTCAGCCAGAAAAAGGAAGAATTAAATTGGATGGCATGATTACATAGGACAACCAAGGACACCAAAGGGGCCCAAAGAAAAGAGAGCCCATGAAGAAATAGAACTGACCAGCATGAAGGTTGTACTTGGATGTTTAATGTGAAGCTGTGTTCGGTTGCCTTTTTCAGATGGAGAGAAGACGGTCCCAGTCTTCTAGGTCTGGGAAGCCAGGTCTACTATGGAGGCCTTAACTCCTGTGTGGAAAAGGCTGAGGTAGCACATTTCACCATAGGAGGAAGAAGAGACACCAGTGAAGGATACACAGCAGTAAGAGATATGGAAAAGAACAAGGGTAATGAATGGTAATTAATTCATTTATTTGCCCATTCATTCATTCTACGAATATATATGGAGCACCTACTGTGTGCTACCCTCTGGGGCAGATTTTGGCTTCAGGGAGCTTACTTGACAGTTGGGACCCAGAAAATGAGCAAAGCAATTGCCCCTTTCTTCCTGTGTACATATCAGAGGGGTAGATGGAGTGAATGCTGTGAGAACATAGGACAGGAATGAACCTTCTGTCAGGGTCTCATGAAAGCCCGGGTTGGTGAGTTTTAAAATGAGACCTGCAAAATGAGAAGGAATCTGTCACACAAAATGTAGGGAGAGAGGGTAAGGAAGAAGAACATTTCAAAAAGAAGTGTTGTTGTTTATTCCCCAAAGATGGCCAGAAAAGTGACTAAGAAAAGATCACAGGACTCCAGGTTGCCTGGGCAATCTCTGAGAGCCCTGTCTAGGGTGAAGTGGGAGTGAGACCAACAGAATAGTGTTAAGGGGACAGCTTATGGCAGGAAATGGGGACAAGCAATGCATGTGATTTGTCTGAGCTGGAGTGGGGGAGGATGAGCTTGGTTTTGCTATGTCAGGCCATTAGTTGGGGCAATTTTCAGTTTCCATTTGAGCCTGAGCCTGGAGTAGGTGCATTCCAGATATGCAGAAATCATGACCATGGAATGATTCATCTCCAGTTAGCTCCCTCAAAAATTCCCCACAGTCACTATCTGACACCTTTTCCTCAGGCCTCCACCTTGCACCTCCCCTGCCCCCTCCAGAATGACTTTGTGTCATTCTTCACTGAGAATGAGGCCATCAGAGAAAGCCTTCCTCATTTCTCCCTTTTCTACCTCTTTATTTCTCTAGATCTTCACCCTCCCTTTTTGGGAGAGGAACACTTCCTCCCTCCTGCAACCTTCCTCCACCTATCTATACTCAAACATTAACTACTAATGTGATCAAAGAATCATTATTCCTTCATTCCATAAATAACTCCACACCAGCACTTGATCCCTGTCTTCCTTTCTCTTCTGTAACTTGTACCACAAATCATGCTTGTTTATTTAATTTCTCCCTCACTACCACCATCTATTTCTAAACCAACAGCCTACTCAAGTCTGCCTGCTTCCCAAGAGTCCTCACTCAATCCTGCTTATCTTTTTGGCCAACCTCCAACTCTCTGGAATTTGACCTCAGGACTTCTTGGAGATGATTGGATGGCTGTTTTTACCTTCTAGTGACCCACTCACTCCTCAGCCTTTATCATCTGACTTTCCAGCCTGCCTATGTGTTTTTTACCCTGTTGCAGCCCCTGCCACCACCCCAGAATGCTGTTCTGTTGCACTCCTACCCGCTATGGGACTGTGTACCTGCCAGGCCTCTAGATGCTGCATCCCTCTCCTTGACCCTCATCTGAAGCCCAACCCTATGCCAATCTATAGAATGAACCCCAATTCAGACAAAAGAGATGTCAAGGTAACCAACTCCACCCTCTGAGATCCACGACTAGCCAAGGCTTGCCATTGCTCCACGTTACATCTCTGTTGTGAGAGCCATCTTGATTCTCATGTGTGAGCCCAGATTTGGCTCTAAGACTGATCTCTTAGTTTCATTCCTGTTCAACCTATTTGTTGAGCATGTATTATGGGCCAGACTCTGGCACACAACTCCTACACATGATTACCCCTCCCGTTCACAACACGGCGATGCTGGAGAGCCCTACATAGTCAGCAGACCCATGCTACAGAGGGTTTGAGGAACTCTTCCAAGGACACACAGCCATTCCATGGTGGAACCAGAACTCAAACAGGCATTCTGATTTTAGAGCCTTTGCTCAATAAATAGTTATAACAGAAGAGAGAGTGGAGACGTGTGTGTGTGTGTGTGTGTGTGTGTGTGTGTGTGTGTGTGTAGGGGTAGAAGATAGTGGTGGGGGAGCTTTCTGAGACCCTGCTACTCATGCCAGATTTTCTGGTCCTGATTAGCTACTGCCTGGCTGCCAGAAGCTGTTATTATCACTCACTCCCGTGCTCCTGTCACTGGGCTTGTGGAAACTTGCCCTTCCTTCTGCTCTCGGTCTCTGATGCTGACAGCTATGCTGGAAAATCCCATGCTGGCCACTGCCACACTTACCAGAGGCATATTGTACGTGCTGGTCTGGACTTCCTGCCTGACCCCTACGTGTCCTGTGCCTGCCCCTTCACAGGAGGTCGGTCTACTTCCTGGCCAGGGCCTTTCCAGCCTGTCTCACCCCTGTGCAGGTAACAGAGCTCTTTTCTCTGCCACCACTTCCCCACGGAGTCTTTTCCATGGTTCTCCCTGACAGAATTCATGCTACATAGTCTTTGTTAACTCATGGCATGCACTTTCTTCCTGCTTCTTTCCTCAATTTATGTGAGATTAAGTTAATACCAACCTATCTTGTTAACCCCTTCTAATACGTAATCTTCTTTATTTTAAAATTTAAATGTTTGTTATATTGAATTCAGTAACTAGAACATTCTCCTCCAAAATAAGAATGGTACAAAAACCTCAAATAAGTAAGTCTGTTGGGGAAAACAAGTTCCCCCAAAGAATAAATCTACCAGGAGAGTAAAAACGATGATAATCAGAACAATGATCAATAATCACTATTGTCAAAGTGCCTGGCAATCACCAAACACCAGATTCATCGGCTCTTCACCGTCCTGTAGGATGACTTCTGTGACTTGCTAAAACCCACACAATAAGTATAATGGTGACAAGACTCAACTCCCAGGCTCTGACATTAAGTCCTATTGTCTTCCTAAAATGCTCCTTAAAGAGAGGATTTCTGTCTCACATGGTCATCTGGATCATTTGAAAACTTCAAGCAGAAAGTCCCAAGGTCACCATTAAATGTTTTCCAAGATTACACATCTTCAAACAGAAACCCAAAATAATGAAAACCAGGAACCAAGACTTCCAGCTTCTCTAATGAGAGTAAGTCTTAGTTCTTTTTCCTTACTCCACAAGAAAAATTATATCTCCCAAGGGGAGTTATGGGCTTTCCAAAAGAGGAGCAAAGGGATTTGAGCTTAGGAAATGAAACTTTGCTCAGCACTCTTCAGGAATGACGTTCTCCTTCCTCCCCTATAACAATGCAAGTGCACATTCATTTTCTTACATTTTAAATCACTGAACAAAAAGGCCTAGTTTTATTTATCCTGCTGCTGCCACTGTGGCAAAACTAAATGTGTGGTGCATAAACTGTTTATAAATCTTGTCTCCAACAAGAGAACTGAGTGTGCACTTTTTGAGGACCTTAGTTCATTCAGAATGATGAGAAAATTTGGGAGAAATTTTTCTCTTGATATAAGAGCTGTATAGGCCAAATGGACTTCCTTTTCTGGCCTAAATGCTGTGTTTATAAAAATGGTGTGCTGTAAATAGCAAAGTATAGAAGTGAGAAATTATGCCTCTGCTGAATAAACCACACTCCCGGCCGACTGACTCCCTGCTTCTTCAAAGTGAAGAAACATTTGTTCCTATATCTTGTGAACAACAAGCTGGATCCATTGAAAATGCCAGATAACATTGATCTTGGGGAATAAGAAAACAACCTTTTTAAAGGTCAGAACTGTCTTAGTTTTTAATGGATTATTGGTTGATGAATTCTTTCATGAAATATTTCTCTAATGCCTTCTGTGTCGAGAACCATTCCAGGATCCAAATATACCCTTGCTTCCATTTTCTGCATCAGGGTCAGTGATCCTGCTGAAAGGTTAATTTCATTATACCACATCAGTCTCCTGCTCCAAACCTCTCACTGGTTTCCCTCTGCACTTAGAACAACTTCCAACTCCTTCCTGCCATGTACAAGGCCCTGTCTTCTCAGGTGGCCTCATCACTCACCTCCTTCACACTGTACCCCACCCCAGCCACACTGGCCTTCCCACCAGGCTCATTTTCAACTCAGTGTTCTCCCACGTGCTGCGGCCACTGCAGGGGCACTCTCCCCGAGGCTTCTCCCTCATGGGACTGGCATCTCCTCACCTCTCAGGTCTCCACTCAAATATCACCTCCTGGACCTGGCGCAGTGGCTCATGCCTGTAATCCCAGCACTTTGGGGGGCCAAAGTGAGTGGATCACCTGAGGTCAGGGGTTTGAGACCAGACTGGCCAACATGGTGAAACCCCGTCTTTACTTAAAATACAAAAATTAGCCAGGCATGGTGACACATGCCTGTAATCCCAACTACTCAAGAGGCTGAGGCACAAGAATCTCTTGAACCCAGGAAGCAGAGGTTGCAGTGAACCAAGATCGCACCACTGCACTCCAGCCTGGGTGACAGAGCAAGACTCCATCTCAAAAAATAAAAATTAAAAAATCACTTCCTAGGAGGTGATTCTTTTTCTAAATTTGCTCTTCCTTCTCTATTTTCTATCCCCTTACCCTGCCCCCTTTATTTTATAAATAGTAATTATCACTCTCATAAACCTTTTTTATTTTCCTGTTTACTAATTTATTATCTATTTCCTCCAACTAGAAGATAAGACCTTTATGAAATTTGTCTTAGTTATAGTTGCATTCCCAACATGCTGAATTCAGTTCCCTGAATAAACTTTCAGGATGCCACCCACAAGACAATTCTGTTATATTTTTCCCTCATATGTTGAAAAAGCCATAGGATTTGAGGATACCATCAATTATTTTTCATTGATAAGGATTTTTGACTTTAGAAACTACAGAGAAGGGTCTCTTCACTCAGAGTATTTTTTATTTTCTCTGTGTTGTAGGCATACCCACAGTATTTGGGTCAGAAAGAAAAGTTCTTTGAGTCTGCGTCTTATTGCAAATGTTGAAGAAAGAAAGTGAAACAGAAAGATTTGTTTCTTATGCCTTGTGGAGGTTCTAATAAACTCAGTGCACCACCTGTTCTGTGGAATCCTTTGAATGGTTTAATCTGGTTGTTAAACCTTTTCTCTCCAGAGCTGCAGAAGAGAGGAAGATTCATTTATTTCTTCAACAAACAGCTCAAATGTCACTTTTCTGAGAGTTTTCCCTCACCATGATGTCTACAAGAGTCTTCCCAGCCTCTTATCACTTTTTAGTTCATTACATTCTATTCTTTTCTCCATAGTATTTATCTCTATCTAAATGTATATTTCTATGAATGTTTTCCATATTCTCTGTCCGATTCTTCCTGGTAGAATATAAGCTCGTGGGAGCAAGAGCCATGCCTTTCATCCACTGATGGTTCTCCAGAACCTAGAGTTCCTGGCATGTGGAAAGCCCCAACAAACAGCAGTTGAGTAGATGAAGAAATGAAGTGGCATCGGCTCTGTGAAGGTTTTTTTGACAACTCCTTTCTAACTTTGATGTTCTTGCCTTTCTGAACACTCTGCACCTGTCAGCTCTGCTCCATCACAGGACTTTATTCTCTAAAGTTCTGTTCTTGGACATTTATGTAGCACCATTGAACCCTTGGCTGCTTCATGACACCAAACAGACCTAAACAACACAAGCTTGTTTGTGGTTATTTTATGCATTGGTATTTTGTTTCCCCAGACAACACTGTAAGCTTCCCACAGGGAAGGCATGTGTCTTAAGCCAGGAAATAGAGAATGAAGAGAAGGTTTTGCGGGGGTGGGGTGGGGGATGATAACAAAGTGAGTTTTTAAGATACTGAATTTTACGTCTATAGGATATGCGGGTAGAAGTGTCCAGTAAGCAGTTCCTGTACATACTTCTGAATGTCGGCAAAGAGGTCTAAGCTAAAATCATTCATTTGTAACTCATCAACATGTGCTCACTATGAGTAACAAGTTAAGAAAATGCGCTCACTTGGGGAAAGTAGGAAGAAAGCTTGAGGAGATGAGCGAAGAAGGGCAGATGAGTGAAGAAGGGTCAGATAGAAGATGCAGGCAGGAAGGAAGCTTGTCAGTGGTCGGAGGAGGACCAGGTGAGTGTGTCACTGAGGAGGCCAAGAAAGTTGAAATTTTCAAGATGAGAGAGAATGGTCAATGGCGGCCAGTGTCACAAAGAATCCAAGTAAGGGAAGACCAGAAACATGTCCACAGGATTTGGCAGGTGAGCCTTGCCACAGCAATTTCAGCTAAGTAATGAGAACAGAAGCCTGGCTGAGAGAGATTAAGAACGGACTTTACTGGAAGGTGAGTAATTAAACAAACCAAATTAAGACAATGCCCTTAAGAAGCTTAGCTTTGAAGACAAGAAGAAAGATACACTGGTACCTAAATAAGAGTTGCTGAAGAAAATGAATTGGGTTTATTACTCAAAAGTAGCTTTTAAATTGTACACTTGAAATACGTGTGGTTTATTGTGTGCCAATTCTATCTCAACAAATGCTTTCAAAAAGCATGGTTTAGAATTTCACAAAATATCAGTAACTTTTCATTTCAAATGTATTATAACATATTAAGGTATTACCTGATATCTGAATGAGAAAAATCCAGATTAAAAAAAACAGAAATATGTAAAGTCATATTCCTTGTTTATAAAAAATGAAAAGAATATGAATAGTATCAAAAGGACTCTTTTTCCTGTGGTAGAAAGCAGGAAGGCATGATCATCTGGAATATGGGCCAGCATAGGGAAAGGGCAGAATTATGGAATTCTGGTTATCATTTGTAGATTACTGACTATTTATCTAAGAGGGTCCACATTGGTCTAGGTTAGGACCCAAACTAAGGTGAACTGAAACCAAATTAAAGCCTCCAGTTAAACCCAAAGAGTTTCCTGAAAAGACGATGTCACAAAAACTTCATTTAGGGCCATAATGGGAAAAAAATGCATAGTGAGACAATTCACAGAGAAGGGAGATGAACACCTAAGTTAAATATTTTTCCTTTTTAAAAATATTTGTCCTTTTCCCAAAGGTTCAGCTATTGTCTTACCAGTGTTCTCAAAATTGAAGTGAATAAAATGCCAAGGTTTCAACAATTACTCAATAGTCAGTAGATTCAAAGATAAGATAAGTAGACAAAACTAAGAGAAATATTAACTTGGTGAAAGCTGTTTATTCAGAAAGCAGCCATCTAGAATTTTTTCTCCAGTGTTTTCACATGGAATATTTTAAAGAACAAATAGAAAGAAAGCCAGTAGACTAAATACTGATGTGTGCAGTGCTGGACTTTTCCTCAAAGCACACTTTCCCTCAGTGGATCCTTAAAATAATTCAGAGAAGGAGGCAGTGTGCTAGGGCCTTTCCCCACCTCACCCAGAGTCATATTTATCTTTGAGTTTTCACACAAACAGACCCCGAGAGGTAATAAGTTTTTCCTTTGACTCCTCTTGTTTTCTGTAACATCATTCAGACAAGCAGACTTAGCAGTGACTGAAAATGCAATAGAGTTAAGTAGAGCAAAGAGGACAGGAGGCATTTTATATCTGCTGAAATGTGTACAGTCACCTTATTAATTACAAAAGAAATCTAGGCACTAAAGATAAGTAGCATGGTTACCAACGTACTCATTAAAGAACTATACAGAGAGGCTAAGGATGTGACCATCTCATTCCAGATTGGAATTCACGACTAGAAAGGCAACATCCAGTATCTGTCATAGAATTAGTACAGTCATCATAATGTTCTATACCCTGTGACTTCAGGGCATAGAGATGGTCAAAAGTATGATGACTGATGACTCACAAGGCCTCTCAAGATATTCAGCATCAATTTGGTGTCCACTGTATTACCATCTTCAGTTATTCATCACTCTTCCCATTTCCCCCCACCCAATGCTGTTTATGCCTCCTAAAATAGTAGCTAATATTTATAGAGGCCTTACTATGTACCAAGCATTGTTCTAAGCACCTCTCATGTCCTAAATCACTTAATTATCACAACAACCCTATTAGGTAGGTGATATTCTGCTCATAGCCATTTACAGATGAAATGGCCATGACAAAAAGAGGTTAAGTAATGTTTCCAGTTGGCACACAGATGGTGAGAGTAAGAGCAGAAATTCAAGCCCAAGCAGTCTGGAATCAGCCTTTTGTTCCCAGTCTCTAGGCTATACTGCCTCCATGCTTATTTCAGGTCAGGACCATCTCTCTCCTGGAATACTACAATAGACTCCTAGCTGGTCTCCATTCATCTTACTTCTTCTCACATTATTTTTTATTATAAAAATAATATATGAATACATTCTCCCTGTAAAATACAATAATAGTATAAATTAGATAAAATCCCATTTGGCCACCAGCTGCAATTCCAGTTTCCTCCCCAGGATCAGGTATGTCTACTCCTAGATCTTTTTCTGTGTATGTATGTACCTTTAAAATATATACAGTATCGTTTGATAGTTTTTTAAACTTTTATTTTAAGTTCGGGGTACATGTGCAAGTTTGTTATATAGGTAGAATTGCGTCATGGAGGTTTGTTGTACAGATTATTTCATCACCCAAATATTAAGCCTCGTACCCATTAGTAACTTTTCCTGACCCTCTTCCTCCTCCCACCCTCTGTTCTCTGAAAGGCCTCAGTGTGTGTTGTTCCCCTCTATGTATCCGTGTGTTCTCATCATTTAGCTCCCACTTATAAGTGAGAGCATGTGGCATTTGGTTTTCTGTCCCTGAGTTACTTTGCTAAGGATAATGGCCTCCAGCTCCACCCAGGTTCCTGAAAAGGACATGATCTTGTTTTTATGGCTGCATAGTATTCCATTGTGTATAGGTACCACATTTTGTTTAGCCAAGTTTGATAGTTTTTTTTAAATAAATGTTATTATAGCACTCATGTTCAAATTTCATGTTTTAAATTTATCTATATGTTTTTGAGAGCATTCTAAATCAGAACTGTGTGACCTTTAAAAGAAGAAAAACCCAGTACCATTTTTTAAAAGCACCCTCACTCCAAAATAGAGATGGCATAACCCTACTGAAGTGGTCTGCTACTTCCCTTTTAGTAACAGTGAAACCTAGCAAAGTCTTCCAAAGGAAAAAACTAGAAAAAAATTAAAGGAGTAACAGTTTGAGTGGCATATACACAGAAGAATGAGGGGCACTGTTTTATGGAAACTAATCTGTAGGTGAAACAATATGGGCATTGTCACCTGGAGATTTGCCATGAAGTGAGTCCAGATCCATTTCTTGATAAAGTCTACATAAATAACCAGACTATTCAGTTTACCAGTACATCTCATTCCTATAGCAATCTGGAGTATTGGATTGCATTAAGGTTCTACTCACTGAAGTAATCCCTTCACAGACTTCAACATGTTAATCTCTTTACTTGCTTACTGTTTCCATAATGTAAGCTCATAAAGACAGGAATTGCATCTCTCTTATTCCCTGCTGCAGTGCAATTACCTTACTCAGTAGCTGTCACATAATTGGGGCTCAACAAGTCATTGTTTAATGAGTGAATAAACCCAAAGACACATGATTAATTAGTGGTTCAATCACCCATGACCATTGTACAGTAGAGATGACCTAAACAGTTATAGATTTACAGCAGTCACTAATAACAAGTCATCAAAGTAAAACTCAACTGTGACAGATTAAAAGGAGCATAAATTCTAGAGTCAGTTACCTGGGTTAACAAAACGTATTCACCACATGCTTGCTGTGTGACCTTGGTCAATTTTCTTAACCTCTCTGGTATAATTTGAATATTTGTTCCTGCCCAGATCTCATGTTGAATTGTAATCTCCAATGCTGGGGGTGGGGCCTGGTGGGAGGTGTTTGGATCATGGGGGCCGGTCCCTCATGAATGGGTTGGGCCATCTCTTTGGTGTTAAGTGAGCTCACGCTCTAAGTTCACAGGAGATCTAGTCATTTAAAAGTGTGTGGTGCCTCTCACCCCCACTCTCTCTCTCTTGCTCCTGCTCTGGCCATGTGACGTACCTGTTCCCCTTCACCTTCCACCATCATTATAAGCTTCCTGAGGCCTCCCCAGAAGCCAAGCAGATGCCTGCACTATGCTTCCTGTAGAGCCTGTAGAGCCGTGAGCCGGTTGAATATCTTTTCTTTATAAATTACCCAGTCTCAGATATTTCTTTATAGAAATGCAAGAATGGCCTAATATACTCTCTCTTCAGTTTCTTTATCTGTAATAATGACAATAATCAAATCTTTAGAATTTTGCCAGGACTAAATGAAGTAATGAATTAAGGCATCTAATAATGTGTGAGACAATGAGTAGGTGCTTAGTAAATGTCAGTGCTGTGCCTATTTTCCCTCCGCCCACTTGCCACCTCTTTTCTAATAATAAGACCAAGTTTATTTACCCTGATAAGCACGTCTCTTCTCTCATTTCCATTTGTGGCAATGTAGGCAACCACTTCTTTCTCTTTCAGTGCTGACCTACTGTTTTGTTGGAAACAGTCCCAGGGCTCTGGGCTTTAGAGATTGCTGTTGGATTGCGAAGCATTATGGACCAAATCCAAGTGCTGCAGCACATAATGGCTCTGGCCATTTAAAAAATCTAAACTGCTGTAGCTATTTTATGGGGTGCAATATATATCCAAAATTTTATAATAGGGTTACCAAATGCAGTGCTCTAAAAATCAAGAATCATTCAAAATTTTCTCATCTCTCCACAGAAATAAATTGCTATGTTGGTTAAAACAGACACCTTGCTCAGGAGTCTGAGGTTTTCTCTAAGATGTTCCACAATTATCATTTAAAGCCAGTGCATGTTATTCAAACAGGAAAAGGTAGAATTCTTAACTTAACTTCACCAGAATTAGACTTTCATTCTGTGATATTCGTTATCCAATTCCCAACATTTCCGGTACCTCCAACTCTCTTAGATCTACCCTCAATCCCCTTATTTACAGAGTCTTCAAGTCTCAGAAACACTTGCATTTATCCTGTCATGTACACACCCTAAAAGTCATCCTAGGTCTTTAAAAAGACTTACAGATGACCGAGCCAAACACAATCCTTTCCCTATTCTAAGTCTTACTCTTCTCAACATTTGAGACTGCCTTTGCTTAGACCACTGGGGCAGATCTATTGTGTTGCTACCTGAGTGCTCTCCTAGCAATTAGACATGTCTTTAAAACAGGACATGTATTACTTCTTCTTTATCTTGCATTATAAACTTGAGCAATGTCTGGCTTGATGAAGGCAGTGTTTCTACTATCTTGGTTGGGTTCCAACCATAACCTTTGAGTAGAGAACAGTTTGGGCAACTTATAAATCTTGTTTTAAAAAGTAAATCAACTTCTTGCTTTGAGATCTGGGTCATTTCAAGAATAGCTGGAGTACTCCATTCACCCTTGGCCTGAAGATTACATCTTTTCCCCAAAGTTCTAGCAAGAGCCACCCAGTTAGAATTATAGTCAATAGGATTAGCTAAATGTACTACACCCAAAACACAAGCAGCAGCTGGATTACCATCCTACAGCTCACCTGTTGGTAAATGTTGATCTTATAGTTCTTATTTATATAAACCTCAAAGCCTGGAGGAACTCATACCCCACTCAGACATCATCACAAGAGAATTCTGAAGTGGAAATTAACAGCTAAATGGACCTGTATAGGACTAAAAATATATATCTATGTATTTTATTAAAATACATATGTTATTAAAATATATATTATTAAAATATATTTTTAATTAAAATATATTTATTAAAATATATATATTATATATATATATTATTAGTTCTAGATTCCAGTATTCTTTTTTTGGTCTAAATTTGTAAGACTCAGCAAAGACATTCATCCAGGACATCTATAGCTTGCTGTGAGCCTTTGCTGTCTTCAGTAACCAGCATGCGAATTTCATAGAGATGCCAATGGAGAGAAAGATACAAGGCTTCCTTCCCTTTAAGAGGCATATAATCAAACTAGTCCAAGAAAGCTAGTTTGACAAAAGTCAAGGGAAGGAGGGGAATAGGGAAATATATGTTAAACTACATGGCTAGTTAAACATTAGTCCTGCAGGCCGAGTATTTGCTGGGAAAAGGGGGACCCTCATCAGTTACTTCAGGAGCTAGATTTTTCCATGGCCCCAAATATCCTTAGTGTGTTGTATGTCCTTCCAAGGATTGGTGTCTGCACTACACAATGCCCAATCATCTTAAAGTACAGTATGTCTTCTAGTATTGGTGGTTCCTTACAGCAGCTTATTCAAGTATCTTAATTCTTTAAATCTGGAAAAGAGACAAAGAGAAATATAGGCTACAAATTTCATCCTCAGAATGTATCATCAGCTCACTAGTTAACTATAGTATTTCATTAGTAATAAGATAAGGCAAAGATGAAAATAATAACTGAAAATGCACACATTTCAGACAAAAAAATCCCAGCCCAATTAAAATTATAAATTAAAATTTTATATCTCACTATCTCTCTGTATTTTAAAAAGCAATTTGCCTCAACCCCAACATAAGTTGAACCACTTAAATTGCAGTGACAAAATCAAAGCTTTGTTCTGAATATTGGGAGCTGAGATCTATTTTGCTACATATCTTGTAAAATTATCCCCAATTTCAGGACATAGAGCTACAGCATTAGAAAACCTTATGTTTCTTTTTGTATCATGCAATGAATTTTAAACAGTCTGTTTTTCCATTGCAGCCTTTTTTCTACTGGTGGTGAGCAGTGGGATGGAGTGAGGTGGAACAGAGGTTGGGAAATTTGTGAGCAGAGCGTTTTTTAAGAGCTCAATTCAAATGGTTAAGTAGTTACAACAGAGTTCTCAGATGCTACAAAATTATGTTAGATCCTTATATGAATATCATATCCTTATATGAACTCCTAGTTCACTCTTGTTTTAAATCTAAATTCTTTAGACTTAACATTTGGTAATGCTTAAACAAAAAACAAAACAAAAAAAGGATCAGGAAAACAAAACAGAACACTGTGAGCTTGAACATATCAACAATTTTTCATGGACAAAGAATAAAACAACTGCATAGTAGACAAAGATCTGCCCAGCTAAAAATCAATATTTGTATCCAACTTTGGGGGGAGTTAAGAGAACTAACTGCTTATGACATCAGCCCTAGAAATGTGCCTGTAAATATCCACATTAGTAATGCTTCATCTACCAGTTTCTTATAACCAACATGATCCAATTCAGTAGCTACCACAACTGATCCAAGCTGCCCTACGGGAAATTATGCACACCCACCAAAAAAAGTAAAAATCGTCTCTGACCAAAAGAACTGGGTCACAGGATGAGAGGTGGCACCATTCTCTTTAATATCATTAACTCTTGATTTTTAAGGAAACATGGTTCCCATAGGCCTAAGAGGGTTTCTTAAATGTGACCTACATTCAAGCATAATTATCTTTCTTTCCCAACTGGCAAACATACACTACATAACCTTGTTGTAAAATCCCATAATTAATACAGTTTTGAATATTATGAGCCAAATTATCTGACCTAAAATATAGTAAGATATATAATAGTTGAAGACAATTAAAATTGTCTGATTGTACCTTGGCCCTGCCTCCATTACTTTTGAAACAACAGCTTTTCTTTTATGAAACATAATTTATTTTATCAGTATAAGTTATCCATAGAGTTTGATGAGAGAAGTTAGGACTGCCATATCCTTATCAAATATTCAGGACCAGTTTTAAATATTATTAAAAAGTACAACCAAGCTGAAAACTAAAGCAGTGCACATGATGCCCTGTGAAAGTAGAAATTTATTCTTTAAACAGATTAACTTATTTATTTATGCTGTTGTATTTATTTGGTTTTATCAAATGTTGTCTAAGAGACATAGCATAGCATGAGAGATAAACAAATTTACAAGCAAAAAACAAACAACCCCATTAAAAGGTGGGCAAAGAAGGTAAACAGACACTTTTCAAAAGAAGACATACATGTGGCCAACAAGCATATGAAAAAATATTCAACATCACTGATCATTAGATAAATTCAAATTAAAACCACAATGAGATATTGTCTCACACCAGTCAGAATGGCTATTATTAAAAAGTCAAAAAATAACAGATGCTGGTAAGGCTGCAGAGAAAAGGGAACATGTATACAGTGCTGGTGGGAATGTAAATTAGTTCAGCCACTGTAGAAAGCAGTTTAGTGATTTCTCAAAGAACTTAAAACAGAACTACCGTGCAACTCAGCAATCCCATTATTGGGTACATACCCAAAGGAATATAAATCATTCTACCATAAAGACACATGCAGAAATGTTTATCGCAGCACTATTCACAACAGCAAAGACATGGAATCAACCTAGATGCCCATCAGTGGTAGACTGGATAAAGAGAATATGGTACATATACCATGTATATACATAGTATACCATGGAATACTATGTAGCCATAAAAAAGAACAAGATCATGTCCTTTGCAGCAACATGGTTGGAGGCTGTTATTCTGTGAACTAACACAGGAACAGAAAACTAAATACCATATATTCTCCCTTATAAGTGGGAGCTAAACATCGACTACACATGGACACAAAGAAGGGAACAATAGACACTGGGGCTACTTGAGGGTGGAAGGTGGGAAGAGGATGAGGACTGAAAACTACCTATTAGGTACCACGCTTATTACCTGGGTGATGAAACAATCTACACACCAAACCCCCATGACGTATGCAATTTACCTAGGTAACAAATCTGCACATGTACCGCTGAACCGAAGTTTGGATCTAACCAGGTCAACATTTATCAGCTTTATTATCTTAAGCTTATCATTCAACTCTCTTGGAATCTCCGTTTCTCGTCTGTAAAATGAGATGGTGGCAATACCTATTTTACAGAATTGTTTTTAGAAAAAATATAATTGAGGTAAGTTACAACCTGGAAAGGATTTTTTTAAAAGTTTGACCTGTTTATACCTTAAAATATTGAGAAAATTGTCAGAGAAATGGTACATGCCAAAAGGCACCTTACACATATGCACTAAAAACACATGTTTACAAATGATGTAGACTATAAATAAATACTAAATATGTGTCTACAGATTTCAGGTCAGACAAATGTATATTTAAAAATTAACAGGGACTTCTAGATAAAGATGGCAGATTATGCAAATGTATTTATATTCTCTTCCATCCAAAAGCCTATTAAAATGTTAGTAAAGGAATACAAATAGGTACAAATTCATAAGCTAAAATAAGAAAAAGAAATGGACATAAACTGATAAAAGATTTCAACAATTTTTTTTTTTCAACAAACAACCCCAGATGAAAAGTGAAAACATGCTGACAGGTGAAAAGCATCCAAAGGGGTTAGCTTAGAGCAAAATAAAGAGGGTGGAGGGTTAGTGACAGCAATGGATATAGGTTGCCTGGAAGAACCATTGAGATGCTCAGAAATCTGAAAACTGAAATACCACAGGAGTGGGAGTGAGACATAAAGGCTAAAATGCAGAGGAAATCCATCAAAACTCTACTTATGAAACAGCTGATTTCACCACAATATAAGTTACAACCCCAGTCATGGCATTTGCTTTGCCCTAAAATATCAACAGAAAACCAAATATTCCCATACACTTGGAAAAACTTCTGAGTGTGAGACACTCTAATCAAAATAAACAAGAAAAGCTGATTACAAAATAGAAAGCCATATTATTTAAAAAAACAGACATTTTTGCAGAAATTCCAACACCCTTAGAAAGATTCAAGAATACAGTGCTTTCATTAGACAAGAACTGGATACTATGAAAAATGAACAAACTGAGATTTAAAAGGTTTGATTTTAAAAATATGATTGCCAACATAAAAAAGAGAAATACATTTTAAAAACTCAGAAAAGTCTCCCAGAAGATGAAATAAAAATAGACAAAAAGATCAAACCAGTCATGAAGTCTTTGCCCATGCCTATGTCCTGAATGAAAAGCAATGGCAACAAAAGCCAAAATTGACAAATGGGATCTAATTAAAGAGCTTCTGCACAGCAAAAGAAACTATCATCAGAGTGAACAAGCAACCTACAGAATGGGAGAAAATTTTTGCAATCTTTCCATCTGACAAAGGGCTAATATCCAGAATCTACAAAGAACTTAAACAAATTTCAAAAAAAAAAAAATCAAAAAGTGGGTGAAGGATGTAAACAGACACTTCTCAAAAGGATATTAAGGTGGCCAACAAATATATGAAAAAAAGCTCATCATCACTGGTCACTGGATAAATGCAAATCAAAACCACAATGAAATACCATCTCACAACAGTTAGAATGGCGATCATTAAAAAGTCAGGAAACAACAGATGGTAGAGAGGATGAGGAGAAATAGGAACGCTTTTACACTGTTGGTGGAAGTGTAAATTAGTTCAACCATTGTGGAAGACAGTGTGGCGATTCCTCAAGGATCTAGAACTAGAAATACCATTTGACCCAGCAATCCCATTACTGGGTATATATCCAAAGGATTATAAATTATTCTATTAAGACACATGCACACATATGTTTATTGAGGCACTATTCACAATAGCAAAGACTTGGAACCAACCCAAATGCCCATCAATGATAGACTGGATAAAGAAAATGTTTCACATATGCACCATGGAATACTATGCAGCCATAAAAAACGATGAGTTCATGTCCTCTACAGGGACATGGATGAAGCTGGAAACCATCATTCTCAGCAAACTAACACGGGAACAGAAAACCAAATACCACATGTTCTCATTCATAAGTGGGAGGTGAACAATGAGAACACATGGACATAGGGTGGGGAACATCACACACCAGAGCCTGTCGGGGGGTGGGGGTCTGGGGGAGGGATAGCATTAGGAGAAATACCTAATGTAGAGGACACGTTGATGGGTGCAGCCAACCGCCATGGCATGTGTATACCTATGTAACAAACCTGCACGTTCTGCCCGTGTATCCTAGAACTTAAAATATTTTTTAAAAAATAGATAATATTGGTTACTATTTTACTGTTAAAGATCAAACCAGGAAGACTAACAGATAATTAGTAGGAATTATGAAAAATAAGTAACAAAACGGGAGGAAAGCAAATTGCTAATTTGAATGATAAAAGAGATTCTGTTCAATTGAAAGCCTTAAGATTTCAGATGGGAAGAGCCCACCAGTGGCTGTAAAATGACTTCTACCACGTGATCACGGCTCAAAGGAAAAAGCAGAAAGGAAAAGCAGATCATATCATCTGCAAAAGAATGAGAATCAAGCTGGCATTAAATTTCACATTAGCAATACTAAATGCTCAGGAAAAAGGAATAATGCCTTTAAAATTCTGAGGAAAACATATTTTTAAACTATATTCTCTATACCTAATTAAATTACTATACAGGTGTGAACATAGATCACATTTGCATGTACTGATTTTCACACATTCAAAGAATCAGAAAAGCTGCATCTCACATACAGTTTCTTAGGAATTGTGTTGAGTGTGTCTTTCAATAAAAGGCTGGAGTTCCACAAATGAGGAAAGCAGCCCAACAAAGAAGAGACAGTTGTATAGGAGGCCTAGACAACAAGTACAGACAAGAGTAACAGGATGAAGCACTCTTCCCTGAAGTAGCTTCAGAAGAAGGAAGTTTCTGGAAAAATTTTAACCAAATCTCTGATGCAATGGACAAAAAAGTTGGGCACGTAATAAAGGCAAATAGTACTTTTAAAAAGCCAGTTAGCAACTTCAGAAAAATTAAAAGCTGTACAAGACAGGAAATATAACAGCACACTTCTTGACACTGTGATAAACAATACTGTTTTGAGTCCCCGTGTAAACACTATTCATTGATTTACAAAGTTACAGACAAAGATGATGGAATTACAATTAGAGAGCAGAAGGCAAATCTTACTAATCTCAACATCATGTAGGAACAGCAAAAACGGAGGGAAGCAAATTGTTAATGTGAATGATAGAGGAGAGTTTGTATAGCTGAAATACAAGATTTCAGATCAGAAGAGCTCGCCAGTGGCTGTAAGAAGACTTCCATCTAGGATCATGACTTCAAGAAAAAAGCAGAAAGGAAAAGCAGGTTATCTGCCAAAGAATGAGGATCAAGCTGGCATTAAATTTCACATCAGCAATACTAGATGCTCAAGAAAAAGGAAGAATGCCTTTTTATTGGGAGATGGAAGTGGAAGAAAAGGACTGAAAAGATGAGGACTCACAATAAATTGCTTACTGTTAAAGGAACAAATGTTTTCCTTACATAACCAATAAAGGTCTAAAATAGAAATATGACTAACGGGAGATATTGAGTGACTTAAGTTACATTCTCATCTGTCAGTGTAGGAAAACAAATATCATATATAAAACTAATAACTCAAGAGTTATCAATGTAAGCATATTATTCAGAGATAGAGAGGTTACTAACCAAAAAATGCTATAAAAATTAAAAGTTACATGTGTGGAGAGACATTGAGGATAAGAGGAGTGGGACAGGAATGATTACTCTTCAGCTGGAGTGCTTTTGTCTTTTGTTATTGTTGTTATATGGAATTTTCTCTTTTTGATAAAATTTTTAAATGGTTAATATAAAAACTCAAGTATACAAATGTTACTAAGACATGTGCAATCCACTATTAGACACAGTTGATCAAATTTATGTAAAACTTAAGCGACAAAGTATTCTTCTACAATATATTTAATGCTGAACATGATTTCAGGACAGGGAGATGCTCACTTTATTTTGATAAACAGCCATTAATTCTCTAATGTTCAAACCCAACAAGATGTAGAGTGTTCTCCAGTATCGCCTTCCATTTGGAGACATCTGTGCTCATTGATCTACAAAGGGCAGGGAATGCCTGATTATTTTATTATGTCATTTGCTACTACAGGAATTATTCATGATCATTTACCAGCAAGCTGAGAACACGTGGGGCTGATATCTTGATTCAGAACACCAAGCCTAAAAGGGATACAAGTACTTAGTAAATTTAGAAGCCGATTCCACTCTACCACCAGCACCCCCTTCATCTTACCTTTAAACACATGCATTTATCACCATCTACCTTTAAACACATGCATTTATCACCAGAAACTGTATGTGCATTTTGCAAAGAATGTCCTTTTGTGCAGCAGAGAACAAAGGGATTTTTCTGCAAAACGATACTGAAACCTGATCACTGATGCATACTCTCTTGCCAGCATCTTGCCTATTGAATATCATCCCAGCCTATTATTCCCATATTGTTCTCTTTGGAAAACAAAAAGATGAGGAGTCCATTTAAAGTGCTCAAACAGCACCCTCTGCTGGTTGAGTTTAAGCTGAAGATTTGATGTGTAGCAGGGCTTAGTGACACATGGCAGAAAGAAGAAAAGAAAGCAAGGGAAAAACTGTAGACCAGGATGCATAAGGCAAACATAAATAGAACTCCATCAGTAATTTTGGTTACATATAAGGAAACGGATATTTTAGGCATCATAGCACATATATAGTGCAAAGACACTGTATTAATTCCTAATAGAATACTCCGTTCTTACAAAAAGAATATATTGAGCGACTTTGCATATTACCTTCAAGTTCTTTACTTTACAAAATAATTCACAAATTCCCCCAGTGAGTTCCTCTAGTGCTCTGAATATGTGGCATGACTTACACTCTATCTTTGGGTAACATATTAACTGTGCAAAACTAACTGCAAACTGTTTCTTAGGTCACAGACCAGGGCTCTTCATGATACCAGAGATACCTGCACTTACGTGACGTGTTTTTAAGTGTTTAGGAAACATTCAAAATTAATTTTTAATGTCTTGCTAATATGTAAGAAACAAGGGTTTGGAGATGGCAAGATTAATTTCTCCAACAAAGAAAAAAATGAGTAGCATATGTTCTCCAGGGCAGGGGATCTGGAGATCTGTTTTGCTTAATATAGTATAAATTCTTAATATATTGAGTAGCAATTAAAAACAAGTGCAGTCTTACATTTTAGAAGAGTGGAGCTAGGATTTTTTTATATCTTTGACTAAAAATCAATTAGATATTCAGCTCTCCCTGCTTGCCCAGGGAGTGGAGTTCACTTCCCATTCTCACTAAGCGTTGGTAGCAGAGAAAACAGTCAACAGATTTTAGACAGTTACATAGTGAGACACCCTACGGGCCTTTATTCTGTTTCCTCCAAAGTAAGAGCAGGGGAAATTTAAATGTCCACAGTCACCAAGCCATAAAGTACATGAACGGCACACACTGAGTTTGAGGAAAAGCACGTGATCCTCTTGGTCTATCTTTAATTTTTGGTGGAGACAACAATATCAAGAAACAATTATCCACTATAAGAAAAGCAACAGTGCAAATATGATGATAAACGATAACTGAAGCCTTGCTTTGATGTTAGGGAGAAAATTAGGAGTAGGAAGACTGATGAAATGGAGAGTGTGTGCCTCACTTAAACTGGCCAGATACCGCCAGATGCGGTAGCTCATGTCTGTAATCCCAGCAATTTGGGAGGCTGAGGTGGGCGGATCACTTGAGGTCAGGAGATCAAGACTATCTTGGCTAACACGGTGAAACCTCATCTCTACTAAAAATACAAAAAATTAGCTGGGCGTGGTGGCATATGCCTGTAGTCTCAGCTACTCAAGAGGCTGAGGCAGGAGAATCGCTTGAACCCGAGAGGCAGAGGTTGCAGTGAGCCGAGATCACGCCACTGTACTCCAGCCTGGCAACAGAGTGAGACTCCGTCGCAAAACCAAAACAAACAACCAAAAAAACTGGCCAGATACTTAGCACTTGTCATTGCAGCCATGAAGCCCACAGGGACCAGGGTTGCCACATCATTTGATGATTCAAGAGGAGCTTGAAATCAGAATATTTACTCTTTGGGGCTCAAATCTTCACAAAAGAGTCTGTGAGCCAAAACAGAAAAATATTTACAAACTAAATTTATCCCATGGGCCAGCAGTGTCCAACTACCACAGACTCAAAGTTCTTTCCTTCTGCCTCAGGGCCTTTGTACATGCTCATCATTCTTCCAGTAATTTTCTTCTCTCATTCCCCCTGCCTTCCTCCTAGTTAACTACACTCATCCCTCTGATATTGACTCAATTGCCACTGCCTCCAGGAAGTCTTTTCTGATCGCTAGATTAGGTTAGGCCTCCTTGTGATATGATCTCCCACTTTTCTGCATCTTTTCATCATAGCACATAGCACAGTTTGTAATTATATGTTTATTTGTATAATTTGAATTTTTTTCTCCTCCACCATGAGGTCAGAGGCCATGTCTCTGTTGTTCAGCAGCACATTGCCTATAATAAAGGAGGTATTGGTAAATAATTGCTAAATGAATGGTTAATAACTTTAAAGTAGCTCTTCATAGTCATAGCTGGAGCTATTCGTCTGTGATTAATATCACAGGAACCCTTAGATTTGGGCATGAAGGTGGGAAGGTCTGGGTTTGAATCTTAAACAGCCTACTTACTGTCTGAGTAAGTTGCTGACCCTCCCAGAATTTGTCTCCTCATCTAAAAAAAATGGACCTCAGATTTGTGCTGAGGACATACCTAAATACTTTTACAGTACTAACACCTAGTAGTTGTTCAATAAATGCTAATTATTATTATTATCATTACCTTTAATATTAATAGTCTACTCACATTGACTTGCCCACATCCCATCTGGTCCCAGTGGTGAGAGTTTGACAGATCTGAAATAATAGTCCCATTTCCATGCTTTTGACCTCAGAAGAGCATTCTCCCAACTAATAACTAGACACAAATATCTGGACTCTACTCTGTATTCAGGAAATCAGGCCTGGAAGAGGTCTTATAATCCAGTGTTTTAATCATAGAATTTTATTTTAAGTCAGAAAGATTTATTCACCACCGATATCTTTCCTGAGTGTGTAAGTGATCTAAATCAATCCCCTAATAACATGGGATATTTATCTTAGGCCCCACAACCTGCCAAGAGAGAGTTACAAACTAAGATAGAACAATGGGCATATTATCCCTGAGGAAAACCATGTGATTCTCCGACGTAGGATGTCTGGGAAGGAGGCACTAGGTGTGAGTCACGGCATTGGAGCCAGGCTCACCTGGGCTCATGTTTTTTGTCACCTCAGCTCTGTAGTCTTGGCCAAATCATTAGGCCTTGCAGGTAAAACTAGGCTCATAAAACTTGCTGGGAGGGTTTTTTTCAAGATGGAAGAGAGTGTGTGGAACAGAGCCTGGCACATGGAATAGGTGCTCAATGAATGATACCTGCATAACCAAGGGGGATTTGAGCATTGAACTCATTGCCCACCACCACTTCCCCCAAATAAAATTCTATTTAGTCCACACAGAATAGTACAAACCACCACAGGCTGGGTTGTGTACTGTAAATCATATAAGATTTCAAACTTATTATGGAACAAATGAGACCATCTTTGAGACATTTAGGATCACAGATAAACTGGGCCAGAAATTTACCCATTATATACAACCCTTTGTCCTCTCCTTCCACCGAAAAGCAAGGAGAAGTCTGACCTCACCCGTAGTGCTTCTCTGGAAGTCTGGCAGGGAAACCAGCCAACTATAGTCACTAACCTACCACATAGTGGCTGTTTCCAGCATTTACATTCTAAGATCAGGTTGGTACCAGGTTCATCCTGTGACACAAATCTGGACCACTTTGTAACAAAATGTCCATGAGTCCCGCCTTTCATCATTTTCTTTTTTCTTTTTCAATGTCTTCATGATCCCAGAGACCTCACACCAGCTTCCCCAGCCCTTAGCCTCCCCCTCAAATTGAGCACAATACGGATAATCATCTATTGCTCCCAATGGAGAGCATCCACAGTTCTCAGTTATACCCACGTGGCAGCAGGCCCTGAGGCTGACCCGGGTACCTGTTGGTCTTCCTGACCATGGGAACACAAAACCATAGTCAGATTTACCTTCGTTTTCCCAGAAATTGGAACGTAGAAGATGCTTGCTTGTATCTGCCCACAAAAGGGACTATCTGTGGCTGATTTATCAGAGAGGAATTTATTCAAAGGATGTTGGGTGATTCCCAGAGTCTCCAGGAAGCTAGATCTGTGTGGCCAAAAACAAGGCCCCAAATAGAGCCAAGTGGGGTCACCCCTGCAGAACAGATGCTGCCCTGGCACCACCAACACCACCGCCACCTCCTCAGCTGCCTTGACTGTCCTCAGGAGCCAGCTGTGCTGCTGCTAAGAAACAGCTTTTTCTCTTCCCCATCTGCTCTGTACTACCTCCCTCCCAATTAAAAATCCAGGGCATGTGCCCAGGCCTACCTGCAAGGGAAAATGGAAATGCGGCTATCTAGCACTATCAGCTTCTACCAGGAGATGGCCTCTTGCCCAAAAAGACTTACAAGGTAAAGAGTTTCTCCATGAGACAGGGTACAAGTCCTCGGCAGCCAGAATTATAACATGGCCAGTCGTTACTACACCTACTTCTGAACATTGACTGGAGTCCAGACTGTGTGATATTTGGTTTTCTTAGGGCTTACTACAGCAGCTGAAAATGACAGTGCTCAATATCTGTTTGTTGGAATTAGAATTAAAAAAAAGAACAGTGAATCTAATGCCACTGAGTTTCTTTTCCTCTGGGTCCCATGACATCCACTTTGATTCTCCGTGTTGTCCTAAACTTTTAAAGTGCCCAGACTCAGACTCGCTCTGCGCCACAGAGTGGATGCTGAGAACAGCACGCTGTAGGCACACCAGCCACACTCGAACCCCTTCCTCCAGCCTGATTGCTCGGCCAGAGCCCCAGAGCTGCCTGGCTTCCCTGTTCTTTGGCTTTGTCTTCTTCCCATCACCCCCTTGCCCTTTGGACTTCCTGACTGCATTTGGCTCACTTACTTTTTGACCCTGGGCTCTTTGCAGTGTTTCTCAACAGGGGCGTTGGTGCAGAACAATTCTTTGTGAAGCTGAACTGCCCTATGTGTTGCAGGACTTTTTAACATCTCTGGCCATGCTCATTAAAGGTTAAGACTGTTCTATGGTCATGGGAGGAAGATCCCCAGTGGAGAAGCCCTGCTTTATAAAGACTGCTCCCATTCACCCTGGGTTGCTCCTTGGTTGGGTCACTCCTTCCTACTCTGCACTCTGGACTTGAACCCAGCTACCTGCCCATCTTGACAGAATTCCACACCCATTTGGAGGGGGCAAACTCAATCAAAGTTAGCATTGGGAGGAACTATTGGGTAATAACTGTACAGAGTCAGGGAGAACTGAACTTTTTTCCTCCTCTGATGTGTGATTTGCACAAACAATCATTTTGAGCTCCAGATTCTTCATTTGTAAAATAAGAGGTGTCTTAGGTCAGGCTACCCAGGAGCAGAGCCTGAGACGGGGATTTTTTATTCAAATGAATTAATGGGGGAGTGCTCTTGGGAGAAAAGGAATGGGGAGAGCAGGTAAAATAGTTTTTACATTTGCAACAATATGCACATTGCCACATTACCTTCCAGAATGACTATAAGCATTTCTATGTTCCAGGTTCTATATGAGGATAAGACTGACTCTTCTTTTGACCGACACTGTGTAACTGTAAACTTTAATAGTGGAAATGATGCATAGTGTTATTTTTAAATATTTCAAAGGAAACACTCATAGTTTAAATGACCCACATAATTCTGCTAATTGCTAACTAAATTTTTTCTGTATTTATAACATTGGTTATCATAGACACTTTGAAAATACTGGTCTAAAAATTATATCTGAGAATACATTATGATTAATGTCCAATTTTAGATTTATAAAATAGGTTTTTAATAATAAAAGTTGATATTAATATGACTGTCTGGGGCTGGGCACAGTGGCTCACGCCTGTAATCCCAGCACTTTGGGAGGCAAAGGTGGGTGGATCACGAGGTCAGGGGTTTAAGACCAGCCTGGCCAAGATGGTGAAACCCTATCTCTACTAAAAATACAAAAAATTAGCCGGGCATGGTGGTGGGTGCCTGTAATCCCAGCTACTCGGGAGGCTGAGGCAGAGAATTACTTGAACCCGGGAAGTGGAGGTTGCAGTGAGCCAAGATGGCACCACTGCGCTCCAGCCTGGGCAACAGAGTGAGACTCCATCTTAAAAACTATATATATATATATATATATATATGTGTGTGTGTGTGTGTGTGTGTGTGTGTGTGTGTATGTATTTATGTATATATGTGTGTGGGTGTGTGTGTGTGTATATATATATATATATATACATATATATATATATGACTGATGCTTAGGTTTTAACCTAGATCATGAGATAAACAGACTGTCAATCATATTTGCTGCTCACCCACTAGTTAACAAATCAGAAATTATTAATAATCAAAAATTGAAAATTTGTCCAAGCAAACAGAAGGAAAGAAAAATCTAAAAATACTATATGAAATGATAATTGCATTCAGTAAGCAGACAAATAATTTTGGCATTAGGAAATTTAGAGTTTGTTCCCAGCTTTGTCACTGATTTGCTGGCCTTTGAGGAGTTACTTAAGTGTGCCATAAAACAGAGAAATAGAAATGACCCCTGCATTTCTACTCTCCTGCACCCTTGGCCTAATATTGCACCAGATTTTGTAAGTTTCTTAGAAACTATCTGCCAAGCACTTTGAACTCCTTGAAGACGGGTACTTTATAAAAAGAATTTCAGCCTATGGGTTCCTGGGCTAGTTAAATAAGTTTATCATGTTTTTTTTTCTTTTTTCTTTTGTTTCCAGCCATCGTACAGCTTAAGGCATTTCATGTTTCTTTTTTTTTTTTTTTATACTTTAAGTTCTAGGGTACATGTGCACAAAGTGCAAGTTCGTTACCTATGTATACATGTGCCATGTTGGTGTGCTGCACCCGTTAACTCTTCATTTACATTAGGTATATCTCCTAATGCTATCCCTCCCTCTCCCCCCACACCACAACAGGCCCCAATGTGTGATGTTCCCCACCCTGTGTCCAAGTGTTCTCATTGTTCAATTCCCACCTATGAGTGAGAACATGCAGTGTTTGGTTTTCTGTCCTTGCGATAGTTTGCTCAGAATGATGGTTTCCAGCTTCATCCATGTCCCTGTACAGGACATGAACTCATCATTTTTTATGGCTGCATAGTATTCCACAGTGTATATGTGCCACATTTTCTTTTTTTTTTTTCCAGTAGGAATGAATTTGTAATTTTGGGGGTAACACATTTACCTTGAGCTAAGTAGAGATAGATGAAAAAGAATTTGCAGTAAGAAAGTAAATAATCCCTAAACTAGCTATCTTCTGGGAAATATATACAATTTTAAACAGTAAAATGGTTTTCTACCAAGTAAATTATATAGCAGAAAAATACACTTAAATTTGGATTTAAGTTTTTCCCTCGATTCTTTTTTTTTTCTTTCTTTTTTTTATTATTATTATACTTTAAGTTTTAGGATACATGTGCACAACATGCAGGTTTGTTACATATGTATACATGTGCCATATTGGTGTGCTACACCTATTAACTCGTCATTTAGCATTAGGTATATCTCCTAATGCTATCCCTCCCCCCTCCCCCCACCCCACAACAGTCCCCAGTGTGTGATGTTCCCCTTCCTGTGTCCATGTGTTCTCATTGTTCAATTCCCACCTATGAGTGAGAATATGCGGTGTTTGGTTTTTTGTCCTTGCGATAGTTTGCTGAGAATGATGGTTTCCAGCTTCATCCATGTCCCTACAAAGGACATTAACTCATCATTTTTTATGGCTGCATAGTATTCCATGGTGTATATGTGCCACATTTTCTTAATCCAGTCTATCATTGATGGACATTTGGGTTGGTTCCAAGTCTTTGCTTTTGTGAATAGTGCCGCAATAAACACACGTGTGCATGTATCTTTATAGCAGCATGATTTATAATCCTTTGGATATATACCCAGTAATGGGATGGCTGGGTCAAATGGTATTTCTAGTTCTAGATCCTTGAGGAATCGCCACACTGTCTTCCACAATGGTTAAACTAGTTTACAGTCCCACCAACAGTGTAAAAGCATTCCTATTTCTCCACATCCTCTCCAGCACCTATTTTTTCCTGACTTCTTAATGATTGCCATTCTAACTGGTGTGAGCTGGTATATCATTGTGGTTTTGATTTGCATTTCTCTGATGGCCAGTGATGGTGAGCATTTTTCCATGTGTCTGTTGGCTGCATAAATGTCTTCTTTTGAGAAGTGTCTGTTCATATCCTTTGCCCACTTTTTGATGGGGTTGTTTGATTTTTTCTTGTAAATTTGTTTAAGTTCTTTGTAGATTCTGGATATTAGCCCTTTGTCAGATGGGTAGATTGTAAAAATTTTCTCCCATTCTGTAGGTTGCCTGTTCACTCTGATGGTAGTTTCTTTTGCTATGCAGAAGTTCTTTAGTTTAATTAGATCCTATTTGTCAATTTTGGCTTTTGTTGCCATTGCTTTTGGTGTTTTAGTCATGAGGTCCTTGCCCATGCCTATGGCCTGAAAGGCATCTCATGTTTCTTAAAAAATTATTGTACAAGAGACGGCCAGGCGCGGTGGCTCACGCCTGTAATCCCTGCACTTTGGGAGGCCAAGGCAGGCAGATCATGAGGTCAGGAGATCGAGACCATCCTGGCTAACACAGTGAAACCCCGTCTCTACTAAAAATACAAAAAAAAATCAGCCAGGCGTGGTGGCGGGTACCTGTAGTCCCAGCTACTCAGGAGGCTGAGGCAGGAGAATGGTGTGAACCCTGGAGATGGAGCTTACAGTGAGCCAGAGATCACACCACTGCACTCCAGCCAGGGCAACAGAGCAAGACTCCATCTCAAAAAAAAAAAATTATTGTACAAGAGACTAAATAGGAGACACACAAAGCTTCCCAGTCTCATAACCTACCAGTTTCTGGAAAGCTTCCCCAAGACAGTCTCCTTTTATATATGCCTTAAAACATTTATAATACTTCTCTGTAACAACTTTAAACATTTCTTTTTTTGATCCCAGATTAAGACTCGATTCTATACAAAACATTTTTGTGAAGAAATTTAAAAAATAGTACCTGTGTTTCCTCAATTCTAAGACACTTTGATTCTATAACTTATCTTCAATTTAACAATAGCTTTATTGTCATTAGGAAAAAGGAAACATTACAATAAAAGTACACATATGGAGAAAATATTTGCAAACTATATATATGATAAAGGGTTAATATCCAAAATATATAAGGAACTATTATCTAAGTTCAGATTGGCTTAGAGTAGAGGACCTGACTGCCAGTCCAGGGTCCCAAGTCACTTAGACACGAAGCTTCCCCAATGTGTCTTGAATGTTTTCATTCCCAAACCACCAATGGGCCTTTGTCTCAGCCATGCTCAGGAAAAGTAGGATTTACGGGGACCCATAGGACTCGCCTATTCCCAGATGGCTCCCCCAGCCTGCCATACATTCTCTGCCCTGTATCTATATCCTTTGAAATCTCCACTGAGATTTTCTTTTTGGTTAAGAGCAGGGCATATGTGAAATTATAGCTGAAATGCACATTATCTAAAAGGGAGCATTCTTTTATACATTACTAAGATGAATTTCAGATTAAATAAATCACACCTATGATTTTTTTTTTTTTTTTTTTTTGAGATGGAGTCTCGCTCTGTTGCCCAGGCTGGAGTACAGTGGCGTGATCTTAGCTCACTACAACATTCACCTTCCGGGTTCAAGTGATTCTCCCGCCTCAGCCTCCTGAGTAGCTGGGACTACAGGCGCGTGCCACCACATCTGGCTAATTTTTTGTATTTTTAGTAGAGACGGGGTTTCACCGTGTTAGCCAGGATGGTCTCGATCTCCTGACCTCGTGATCCGTCCGCCTCGGCCTCCCAAAGTGCTGGGATTACAGGCATGAGCCACTGCACCTGGCCAACTCCTATGATTCTGTTCACTTGTTCATTCTGTTTATTTGTCCCTCTTCCTACAATGACTTTCCCTGCATACACACACATACATACAAACACACACACACACATATATAAATGAAACCATTCAGCAAATATTTATTGAGGTCTGCTACAAGGTAGCGCTGTGTTTATAGACACTGAGGGTACAGTTGTAAGGGAAAAAAGGTACTAACATTTCCCTAAAGAATCTTACAATTTAATAAGAGAAATCATTTAATTTCTATTTAATTTCTATTAATTGTGTAATTTCCATTATTCTTTATCAATCGCTTAATTTAACGATTATAGGAATAAATCCATAAGTAAAATTGTAATCCATCCTCTATAAGCCAAGCAGGCAGTGTTTGGACTATACGATCAGTTGTCTTAACCTTGTCAGGTGGAAGGGGAAAGCCTTCTAGCCCTGGTGGCAGGTCCCAGGGATGTTCATTTTAACTGGTCCATGTATAAACCCAAAATGCAAAAGCAGGTCATATAGGTCTAGGTGATGTTTCCAGCCAGGAGTCATGGAGGGAATGGGACTTTAAGGGATTGTTTATTCTTCTGGAAAATCTCCAAGAATAGCTAAAGGACACAAGGCAAAGTTACAGTATGCCAAAAACTGCCTATCCAAGTGGCAGCATCACATTCCCTAGCCTGCTGCCTTTCCAGGCCACTGCCCAATGGTGGCCACTACACACCTACAGGAGATGGTGTGTAGGAACCTCCATGACTCCTTTCATGCAGGACAGCAGAGGTTGGGTGGCCAAGAGCATTAAGACGCCTGGACTCTACAAGATGAGGACCACGGAAGAATAGATGGGTCAGACAAGAGTATGACCCACAGAGGAAAATTTGAAAACCATCACTCAAATATAATGTTCTCTCTTGCTGTGAGTCTCCATTTTCTATTTTTTTCCTTATATTTTTGGCACATTATTTTAGGTGCGGTGGGTCTATTTTGGTTTCCCCAAAGCAATACTTTAGCAATAGAACATCTGTCACCTTGAGAGCCTGAGAGGAATCTCAATATTCTTCATCATTTTGTAACCAAATCCTAATGTATCAGACATTGACCCTGTTAGTAAGTATCTAAAATGTGCAGGGTACACGAAATTAAAAAGATTATAACCCCCAGTACCACACACGCACACAGATCTTGTTCTTCCTGTGCCATGTGACAGATCTTATCACAGATATGTCCCAAAAGGATACACACATCAATTATCTCATTTGATTTCTCTTTACTGTTTTTTTCTTTGTGTCATTTTAATCAATTTTTTGTAATTACGGACAATGTTCTTATCTAACAAGCAGTATTTAAAATATTTGTTTTTGGGAAACAACATTGATATTGAATTTTCTACTCTCAAGAACTTTAAAAATCAAGTGAGTGACAGACAGTATGTAAGTAACACAGAGGGCTCAGCCATTGCACAACTATGAGACCCGGCCACACATTTAACCTCTCTGAGCCTCAATTTCCTCATTTATAAATAGGAGCAATAATGCATGGCTCACAGGACTGTGTAAGAACTAAATTAGATCATGTATGTAAAGCAAATCGTACAATGTAGGTGGCTACAGCATGTTAGTCCCTCCCCCTTTTCCCTCAGCTTACTGAGGTCTCTGGAGGATACAGCAAATAAACACAAATGGCATGGTGAATTCTGTGGGCTAAAAATGTGATCTTTTCAAGGCATAGGGTGTTTTAGTTTCTGAAACAACTGTTGTACATCTAAGAATAGCTCTGTTTATGACTGTGTGATTTTATCCATCTGGGTTCACACAACCTCAATGTATCAGTTAGTCTTTCACATTAGGTTTAAATTTTATTTTCCCAAAGAAAGTCTTCTCCAGGCACTTCAGTTCACAGTGATCTCTCCCTTTCTTAAATCCTCCTCCAACCTCCAAATGCATTAAGCAAAACCTCACCCTTGAGAGAGAGAGAGATTTTCCTTAATCAATTTGTCCACCTCTAAAGCAAGGATTGTAACCAATGCCCCTTTGTGTTTTTGGAACTCAACACAGTACCTTGCATTCAAGCAGGTCCTAAAGATATGCTTGTTGGTGGATTGGTTGGTTGATAGATGGACAAGGACTTAACTCCTTTGTTATAACTGTGTAACAGTCTTGCATTATCTGGAGTTCATACAGGGGAGGAGGACTTTCTCAAGGAATTCAACTGCTAATTCCCCAACAGCCCCCAAATGGTACCACTTGGAGTAGCTGAGGAGGAATCACTCAGGATCTATGATTTGAACCACTCTGAGATCTACTATAAATTCAACAGCTTCATCCGCTGCTCCCCTAGCTAAGCAATGAGCAGTGTTTCTTCTCCACTGAAAACAGAAACATTTGTCCAGTTTAGTAAATGTCAGCCCAGCAGCATGAAGAACAAAATATCGAATGTCATTTCCATGAAGCAAAGTTACTGGGCCAACAGCAGATGCATCCCTTGGCACCAGGCGAAACTCATTATGTTAGCAGCCGTAGCACCAGAGATCAAGAGCACACAAAGCCCAAGCTTTCAGGGCTGGTTAAAAAGATCCATCTATTGTCTCTGGCAGACAGTGCTAGAGATAAAGTATCCTGGAGACTCAATGTAAGGCAGGCTGGAAATGCATGTGCCAAGCCAAAACGAAAGCAAGGCTGCACAATGGTAACTACTAAAGGAGCAGCTGGTCCTGGTGGCACCAGACTGTGACTTTCAGCCCATGTCATCAACACTTGTCCATAGGGTAAACATTTTCTGAAGAGGTGCCTGTCAGTTTCCATTTATTTATAAATAAGTGAATGAATAGCATCCAACTTACACATTTTTCATGGTCTTTTTTTTTTCTTTTAAATTCTGAGGGCAGATGAGAAAGAGCACCATGAAGCAAAGTGATAACACAAGGAGAATGCAGCTCTGTCCTGGAAGGAGGGTTGACGACTGACAGATGATACATGTTGAGTCAATGGAATGAGGCAGTTGCAGGCTATTGTTGGAACAAAAGGAGGTCAAGTTTTATTCTTTTCTCCTGCTGGGACAGAAGGAGTTGGTCACAACTTTTCTTTAAAAAAAAAGGAAAAGAGGAATGCATTCCTAAATCAAGGCTTCCTGGGGCAGCGAGAACAATTGCAGCACTCCTCAGCTACACTATCTCTGTTAGTGGACAAACGCTGCTAACTTTTTAAGCTGAACTTGGAATCTTCTTGGGCTTGAGCTGTCACTCTAAGAAAGTTCTTTAAAATGCAGATTAGCCACAGGCATCTCATTTTATTAATTTCCTCTTGGAAATAACAAAATGGCTATGAAAAGACAAAACTGTGTACATTCATAAGGTTTTATATGGAGGTCTGTAGAATGCAATGATCACGAAGTAAGTTTCCTATCTGTAAAAATGGCCTTGGAGTTCTTACCAGCTTGCTCTTCAAAACAAAAAATAAAAATAAATAAATTGTATCAAATCCATCTTGGAGCAGAAGGTAAATTGGAAAAATACAAAAAGGCTGAGGATTAAATAAATGCACTTCTTTGAAACAGATGATGACATTTTCTAGGCCCAATTCAGATGATGCAGAGCTTCCTTTTGCAAAGCAGCACGCTACGCAACAAATGGCCTGACGGGCCTTTGGGTTTAAATCTCAGCTGACATCTCTCACCAAGTGTGGAAGAATGATTGCATTAATTCCCCAGTTCCTTGCTCCTTCCTGTATCCAGGTTCTGACTACCATCCCAGCCATGTTACTTTCTTTGACCAAAGGGATGTTATCAAACATGTCACAAGCAAAGAGATTAGAAACTGTGAGTTTCCATTTGTGTCTTTGCCCTCAACGACGGCCATAAAAATATGCCAGAGCTAGTCTACTGAATGATGAGAGACAACTGGAACATAGGTGAGATCACCTGATCATCTCATCCTAAACAATCCTAATCTGCTGACAGTCAGCTGACTTCCAGGCATGTCAGGGAGCCCAGCTCAGACCAGAAGAACTGCCCAGCTGAGCTCAGCCTAAATCACTAACCTGCAGACTTGTGAGCTGAATAAACACTTATTGTTCCAAGCCACCAGGTTTTGTGGTTATTTATTATGAAGCATTATTGTGGCAAAAGATAACTTATATACTACATGATACTGGATGAATCCCTTTACCCCACAAGCTTTAGTTTTCTTTAATATTCTCATATGCAAAATGAGTGTACATTTTCTTCTCAAAGTAGATGTCACAATTAAATTCATTAAATTAAATAAGGTATATGAAATTATTTAACACAATCGTGGCACATAACTGGCATGTAATCAATGAGAGTTCCTTCTATGCCTCACATTCTTCCTTTAGATCTCTCTCATCAGAAGAAACGTCTTCTTAATGTCCTCACTATTAGTTTCCATTCACCAGACACCACATGATTCATAGTTGTGCGCTGTTTGGAGCACTGTGCTGGCATCCATTGGGTACGTCGCCAACACTAAACAGAAAGATTCTTGTGATACCTGGAAAAATCCTGCGATGTGCTTGAAATTTCCCAGGTTATTGCAAAGATTCCATTTACTTCAGATCACAGCTCCAGGTTGAAGCCCAGAGAAATGGCACTGACTTTCCCCTTCCTGAAGGCTGTCTCTGAAGATACAAGCCCACGTTTCACTGTTTTACTTCTTCACTCCTCTAATAACATTTCTTGGGATCACCTTTCACAGGAACTGCTTGTATCCAAGTTTTTGCTGAGGTCTGCTTCAGGAAAATCCAAACTTCATCAATCCCAGATACCCATCTTTCTATGGAACCCACCTGAAAACTCAGATTCCAAGAGGCAGATCTAGCAAGAATATGAGAGGGAGCAGAATCATACCCTCCTTTGAAGAATATTTGATGAGTATAGACATTGAGATCACATCGATGATTCCATTCAGGCCTTCGGTATCTCCCTTCTGAGATTTTGTAGTAATCATCTAAGTGGTCTTTCTTTCAAGTTTGTCTCACATCTCCTCACTATCCCTCCTATATTCATCTCCATACAATCACAAAACTGCCATGTGGCTTCCCTCCTTAAAAATTATTAAATGCCCCCCACATCCTCATGATGAGTCCAATCTACCTAAAATAACATACAAGACACTTCTGATCTCATCATCCCTGTTTACCTCTCCTGCCTCATGCCTTACCACTTCCCTGTACCTCCCACTTTGGCCACACTAAGTAACTTGCAATTCCTGACTCTGTATGCCATGTTACATTGAAGTGCTATTTCCTCAATCTGAAATCTCTTCCTCCCATATACCTACTTCCGGAACCCCAATTCCTCCTTTGAATCCCACACATAATTGTGATCTTAAGGGTCCCAGGGACTTCATACACTGCTGAGTAAGAACTCACCATTTGTTGAGGTAATCTACTGGATTAAGGTTTCTGAAAGTGTAAGACTATCACTCATAGAGAAGCAGGCTCTTCAGGCAGGCTTGGGAGGTCATAATCAGGACATGGAATGGATTGGGCAATCATATCTACTCTGTTGCTGACTGTTCTTTCAAAACATATCTCTAATCCCTTCAATTCCTTCCATGCCTACCCCACCACCCATATCAGATCCCCCTCTCATAGCACCATGTACCTGCCCTCACTGCCTTTTTGAGTGTTTTAATTTTATATTACATGCAAGGTTAATTGATTAATGTCTGTCTCCTTCTGTAGATGGTAAATTCCTGTAATAAAACAGCCAAGTCTACACTCAGTCACTATGGATGCAGTTCTTAGTACAGAGTATGGCAGATAGTAAGCATTCAATAAATATTAGTCAAAGTAATTAGTGAATCTGTCCCTTCTATTTACAAAATTTAACCTTCAAGTCACTTCCATCATTTCATACCTAGTGCTCTATAGCAACTTTTGGCTCACATGTTAACTTCCCATACCTAATTGTGATCTTAAGGGTCTCAGGGACTTCCTACAGTGCTGAGTAAGAAGTCACCATTTGTTGAGGTAATCTACTGGATTAAGGTTTCTGAAAGTGTAAGACCATCACTCATAGAGAAGCAGACTCTTCAGGCAGGCTTGGGAGGTCAAACAGTACTTCAGTCGGCAAAGATGATGGCTTAAACACGGCTTGATAAAAAACAAAATGCAGGTAAAAACAACTTGTGTAGGAAATAGTAAGTTGTTGGCTGGGCACAGTGTCACCTCTGTAATCCTGGAACTTTGGTAGGCCAAGGCTGGTGGATCGCTTGAGCCCAGGATTTTCAGACCAGCCTGGGCAACATAGCAAGACCCCATCTCTACAAAAAAATATAGAAATTAGCCAGGAGTGATGGCGTGTGCATGCAGTCCCAGCTACTTGGGATGCTGAGGTGGGAGGACCGCTTAAGCCCAGGACACAGAGGTTGCAATAAGCCAAGATGGTGCCACTGCACTCCAGCCTGAGTGACAGAGTGAGATTCTAAACTAGCTGAGAAATAAGGTAAATAAGACAGATTAAAGACCAAAATATTACTTTTATTATTGATGAAGTTGATATTAGAGAAAGTGACTTATGCCTAAATAAGAAGGACAAATGGACTTTCACATACTAACTCAGAATTAGACAAACCATCCTTCAGTGCTAGTCTGGAAAGGCATCCTCAGGAAGAGACAAAAGTGCATGCTGCCTACAGGCAGCTGTTCCCCAAGGAAAAGAACAAAAAGGGGCAGGCCCACTTTCCCCTCTAACCTCCCCAATCACATCAGGTCACTCTACCTCTCCTGGTACATATTCAGTGAGGATCTGAGGAAAGAGGCAGGTGGTTATTCTAATGAAGCTCACTTCACATAAGATGTGGACAATTAATAATCCTTCCTAACAATTTATATCAAGGATCAACAAATGATAGCTCATGAACTGAATCCTGCCCGCTGCATGTTTTCGAGCTCCTCCCAAGCTAAAAATGATTTTTGTATTTTTAAATGATTGAAAAAACTCCTGGCCAGGCATGGTGGCTCACACCTATAATCCCAGCACTTTGGGAGGCCAAGGAGGGTGGATCACTTGAGGTCAGGAGTATGAGAACAGCCTGGCCAATGTGGTAAAACCCTGTCTCTACTAAAAATACAAAGATTAGCCGGGCATGGTGGTGCATGCCTGTAGTCCCAGATACTTGGGAGGCTGAGGCAGGAGAATCGCTTGAACCTGGGGGGTGGAGGTTGCAGTGATCTGAAACCGCACCACTGCACTCTAGCCTGCGCAACAGAGCAAGACACTGTCTCAAAAAAAAAAAATTTGAAGAATAATATTTCATGACACATGAAAATTATACTGCTTACCTATTTTCCTGAGAAGATTTGTTTCCACTTAGCTTATTTACTTCCCCTCACATCCCTCTGTTTTCTCACCCTTCTGTTTGGCTTGTCTTCCCTCTGCCTGGGGACTAGGTCATATCCATTGTTTAATCCCATCTCCATTCCCACTGAAATCATTGTCTCTGTGTGGACAATGCTCAGTTCTCCCCTTCACTCGAAATATGTTTCATCTTGAAATTTTGGCTGTATTTCTCAAGGTACCATCTCAACTCCTCCACCAACTTTTACTGCTAATGTTTTCAAAAAGCACATATTTTATACTTAATCTATTCTACTTCATCATTCATTGACTCTTTTTCAGTTCCTTCCGTTCTTAAAGCACCACATGTGGAATGGTTAAAGGACAGAAGTATGTTTACTTTGAAGAAGAGAAGGCTCAAGTTTGTCATGCAAGTTGTTAAAATTGGACAGGCTGTCAGGTGGCGGAAGGATCACGTGTCTTATAAGCCCAAAATGGAAAATGAGAATTAGCAAGTAAAAGCTACAGTGAGGCAAATTTCAATATAGTATTGGAAAGAATTTTATGTCCACCAGAATTATCCAGGGATGAAGTTGGCTGCTGTGGGTAACAGCAAACTTTCTGTTACTGGAGGTATTCAAACTTACATTAGATTGTTGTAGAATCGAAGAAAGCATTAAATGAGCTTGTAGACCAGATGGGTGCTTCTGTATGCTGAGATTTTCGTGATTATCATAAACAAAGCCATGTTTCAAGTTCATGTTATTTTGTGTGTGTTGTGTATATATAAAAATAAACCAGGCCGGGTGCGGTGGCTCACGCCTGTAATCCCAGCACTTTAGGAGGCCAAGATGGGTGCATCACAAGGTCAAGAGATCGAGACGATCCAGGCCAACATGGTGAAACCCCATCTCTACTAAAAATACAAAAAGTAACTGGGCATGGTGGCACATGCCTGTAGTCTCAGCTACTCGGGAGGCTGAGGCTGGGGAATCCCTTGAATCTGGGAGGCAGAGGTGTCAGTGAGCCAGGATCACACCACTGCACTCCAGCCTGGTGACAGAGTGAGACTCTGTCTAAAAAAAAAAAAAAAAAAAAAAAGGCCAGGCGCGGTGGTTCACGCCTGTAATCCCAACACTTTGGGAGGCTGAGGTGGCAGATCATGAGGTCAGGAGTTTGAGACCAGCCTGACCAACATGGTGAAATCCCATCTCTACTAAAAATATAAAAATTAGCTGGACGTGGTGGCATGCGCCTGTAATTCCAGCTACTCAGGAGGCTGAGGCAGGAGAATCGCTTGAACCCAGGAGGCAAGGTTGCAGTGAGCGGAGATAATGCCACTGCACTCCAGCCTGGGCGACAGAGCGAGACTCCATCTCAAAAAATAATAATAATACTCTTTTTTTATTATCATAAGAGAGTCAGGAAAATGGGAAAGAGTGCATTGTTGAGTTGAAAAGTCAAGTTAAAGTATTCACAGTGACTGAAAAGGAAATAAAAGAGGGAATCAACAGGACTTAAATAGAAGGAACATTGAGCTGTGGTGAGGGCCAAGTGTACAAAAAAGTGGACAGGTCTCAAGGGTTAGTGAGTTTTTCCAACAATGTTTAACAACTCATGGCTTTCCTACATCAGCCCTTTTCCCATACACCCCCAAATGCAGGGTCCAGAGTGATTGCACCACTGATTGCTGTGGGGGTTGGGGGGTGGGGAACCTGAGAAGCTCATTGCAGGGAAGACAGCAGTGGCTCTTTGTCTCCAGCTCCAAGCATATGTGTGTCTTTGTGAGTGCAGATCCTCAAGCATATGTCCCAATAGAAACATTCTACTCTATGGGCTTATTAAAGAATCTTAACACCTTCTAAAATTGCCCAAACCCTTATAGATGCCCAGTATTCAACAATGTGAACTGCTTGACCTATTCAGTCAGAAATAATAGAAAATGTATTAAAAGCACTACCTTTTCATGCTCTTAACATAATGCTTTGAATTTCCAGTGCATCCCAGTGGATTACTGTGAATTGTTTTGTAGGCACAAAATTTTCTGTTTGTTTTCCCTCCTACTGTATGCTATAATCTTTGAAAGTGTATTTATCCAAAGATGAAGGCACTTGTTTCTCCCCCAGCCTTCTCTGGAGGAGCACTTAACAGCATGTAGGAAAGCCTATGTTTAAAGTCTGGTTGACCCCCTAGTCGATTTCCCACCCCCGTGATTGCTCTCTTTTAATTTTCATCACAGTTCCCACCTCATTCTCCACCCCACTGACTCTCTAGGCTATCTTCCTGTTACCTGTGTTAGAATACTCCCACTCCTCTTGCCACCCCTGTGTTCAAGAGTCATAACCCTTTGGAGTGCTGTGTCTCTGTGAAAGAAGACAGAGACTGGTCAGACTCAAGGCCTTCAGGAGATTTTATGAATGTGATGGTGCCCATAGCTCCATAGGAACTATGATTATCATCATCAGCCCAGCTAGCAAAACAGACCTGCTCATCACGGTTTATACATGAAAGGGAAAAACCATTTTTCCCATCTTGCAATGATGAGCTTCTCCTTTAGGTGTGTTTTTGAATGATCTCCTGCCATTTTCTCCCCAAGAACTCTTAACATTATTTGACATTCACTTCAGCATCTTGCGACTTGGGTCCAGGAACAATAAACCAAAATAACCAAGTAAAGGAAACATGCATTCTTTATTTTTTCCCCATCCAAACACTTGCTCACTTAGAGCATTCACTGGTGAAAAGCAATGCACCTCCAGCTGGAGAGGAAGAAAGCACAGGGAAACCAGGATGGAATAAGAGTGAATTTGCTATATGGAGAGAATGTCAGATTTTTGGTTTGAATGGGGAGAAAAAGAAAAAGAATAACTTCAAAGGTACTCTGCCTTTGAGCAGGGTAATCAGCACATTTCACCTCATTTTAACTGAATATAGCCTTGCAAGTCCACTGATTCTCTCCTATTTTATTGAGAAAAATCACAAGAGCTTCCCAAATTTTTCTTTTCTTTGTCAGCATTTTATAGACGATTGGGGACAAGTTCTTTGGGCACAGACAGGCCTGAATTAAATTCAAGACTTCTCTGTCATTTACCAGGTGCTTGATCTTTCCAAGGAAGTTTCCTAATTGTAAAAAGGTAAAAATCATGCTGATGTTATCAATATGTTCTGAAATTTTATTTACATAATGTATCGAAAGCCCCTAGTCCTTTCTTAAGCTTAACATAAAACTACTGGTTCTTGATCTGTGTTTAATAACATGGGTCAAATCAAGTGTTTAATAAGTGGTTAGTATTATTTCTTTGTTTTCTTTGCTAGAGATATGGAAAAGAATAAGAAAATAAGCAAGGAAAGAAGCCATGGGGATAAAAGGGTTTGGAGTGTAAACTAACACACATCTCATAACTAAAAGGACTCCTACCAATATAGGAACTACTGGAACATTGTCTCTTAACTGGTCCTCTATTTCTAGATTCTGCCTATGATCTATATCAGTAGTCTCCAAAATACAGTACGTGCAATCAAGCAGGTGTACAAAACAATCAATGGGGGAGATGGAAGAGAACATTAGAACTTCTGTATATACCCACTTTTATCAAATAAAATAAGAGATTAAGCTTTTCTGATATTTAATATGTCATGGCACTCTCAGTCTCTATGTTAGTGATCACCCCTCACATAGGATATGTGGGAAGTCTTGAGGGAAAATGGGAGTCTATAAATCACAGGAGTGGACAGTGATTCCCTAACATTTTCATTTGTTTAATAATTTATGATACATGCCCAGTTGAGTGAATACGTGGAACTATTGTCTAATTCTAACTTGCTGAAAAAATCATAAAATAAGTGAGAAACTTAAAAAGACCCCAAAAATAAATAATGGGTCAAAGATACCACAACAAAGCAAGCCACGTGGTAGAAAAAGTTGATTGTTCTCCACTTAGAAGTACTTTGTCACCATATTACAATATATGGTATAATATAATTATATACATAATAATTATAATTAGATCTGACAAGAGATTAGCTCACCTCAAGAAGATGAATTGGAATATGGATTTATACATACACTCCTTAACAATGTCACCCTAGGTAGACAATAAAATATTAGCTATAATGTTTAGTAAGACTTTAAAACTAAGTAATCAGTACACTAACAGTGTGGCTGTATTAGTCCATTCTCACACTGCTATAAAGAACTAGCTGATACTGGGTAATTTATGAAGACAAGAGGTTTAATTGACTCACAGCTCCACAGGCTGTACAGGAAGAATGGCTGGGAGGCCTCAGAAAACTTACAATCATGGCAGAAGTCTAAGGGGAAGCAAGCATTTCCTACCATGGCAGAGCAGGAGGGAGAGTGAAGAGGGAAGTGTTACACACTTTTAAACAACCAGATCTTGGGAGAACTCACTTACTATCAGGAGAACGGCAAGTGGAAAATCCGCTCCCATGATCCAATCACCTCTCACTAGGCCCCTCCTCCAACACTGAAGATCACAGTTCAACATGAGATTTGGTGGGGACAAAGAGTCAAACCATATCAATGGCTTTTGGTGAGATAAAAATTGAAAATCAAATTTTACCTCTCTCTTATGCTTTTTAATATCCACATATGTACTTTATACTGTACAAAAGTTATTAGTACAAGCATGCACGTATATAAATTACACATAAACAGAGCCTGGCACGGTGGCTCATGCCTGTAATCCCAGCACTTTGGGAGGTCGAGGAGGGCGGATCACTTGAGGTCAGGAGTTTAAGACCAGCCTGGCCAACATGGCGAAACCCCGTGTCTACCAAAAATACAAAAATTAGCCAGGTGTGGTGGTGTGCACCTGTAATTCCAGCTACTCAGAAGGCTAAAGCAGGAGAACACTTGAACCAGGGAGGCGGAGGTTGCAGTGAGCTGAGATCCTGCCACTGCACTCCAGCCTGGGTGACAGAGTGAGACTCTGCCTCAAAAAAAAGAAACAAAAAACTTACACATAAAGAGATATGAATATATGAGTGGGACATGCTCCAACATGATGGGGCATGTTACTGAAAGCTTGGAGGGCATTCCCTACGCTGATGCTGTGTGTTAGCCTTGCCTTTGGGTTATGCCACACCTCTGCTGTCTTGGTCAGCTTACACCACTATCACAGAGTACCAGCGGCTGGGCAGCTTAAACAACAAACACCTAATTCTCAGAGTTCCAGAGACTGGAAAGGTCAAGATCAAGATACCAGTACATTTGGTGTCTTGCGAGGGCCTGTTTCCTGGTCCGTAGATGGCTGTCTTCTTGCTGTGTCCTCAGCAGGTGGAAAAAGAGCTAGCTAGCTTTCTGGGGTCCCTTTTATAAGAACACCAATTCCATTCATAGGGGCTCCACTCTTATGACCTAAATACCTCTCAGAGGCCCTACCTCCCAATATCATCACATTGGGGGTTAGGATTTCAACATGTGAATATTCAGTCCATAGCACCTGCAGAAGGATCTACCTTTAACAGTTCTCTGTTGTCAAATGAATATGGTGTGAGCTACTTACAGGCACATAAGGTACTTTCTAACCTGGCCCCAGCCCTGGTAAGAAACAGACTGGCATAGGTAGTTTGAAGAGAGATTAATAGAAGGACTACAAAGATGTAGGTGGACTCTAGAGAAACTACGAGGGATAGTAATGTGGAAAGATGGGAGGAGGTGCCTGCCCCCCGACCGCAGGCCTAAAGTGGTGGAAAGGAGGAAAGAGAGAGGCTGTGTGGAGAGGGCCCTTGCTGAGACCTTCAGGGAAGGAATGCAGCCAGCTCAAGGCCACCCTGACCCCTCTCCTCTCACCCTTACCTGCGCCCTATTTACTGAATCCAACACAGAGGGAAGATATTGAGGTGGCCCACACAAGCAGCTTTCCATGACACAGAATTGAATAGAGAAGGGTAGTGGACCTGGAGAAACCAACGGAAGATATTCAAACCAATCTCTTTCCAAATTTCTCATTCATTCATTCATTCACTGATACTTTTATTTCTTCATTCAACAACTTCGATTGAGTGCTGTGTCAGGAACTGACTAGGATACTAGAGATACACCAGGAACAAGACAGTTGGTGTCCTGACCCTGATGTCTCATGCTACCTTCCAGAGAAGCAGGTAAAAAACATGGTGAGAGGTAAAATAATTACAGGTCACAATACATTCCTAGTGATAGATGCTGTGATGGGGAATAACAGGGGACTTGCATCAGGGAAAGTGGCCATGGATGATCTTCCTGAGGAGGTAAGACCTGAGGATAGAGAAGGGATTGGCCATGAAAATAGGTTGGGAAGAATATTCTACAAATAAGAAGCAGAATGTGCAGCAGCCCTGAAGTAGAACTCTGCTGTGGTGATCCAGGCACAAAAAGGAACAAGTGTGGCCAGGGTTGGGAAGTAAGAGATGGGCTCGGGACGGTGGGCAGGGACCGCCCCCTGCCAGGCTCCACCAGCTACAGTAAGGAGCTTGGGCAATGACACGTCCTTGAACCAGGGCATTTTGTAAACATCCTTCTGAACTGCTCACCCTGCCAAATATTGTGGCTTTCATGTGTCATGCCTCTGTGCCTTTGCGCATGTAGTGCCCCTGCCTAGAAACTCACCCCCTCTCTTCTACCAGACAGTTACTCATCCTGTGTGACCCAGTTTATATGTCATTTCCTGTGCGAAGCCTTTCTTGGTCTCCTCAGTCTGTCTCAGTCACTTCCTCTTCTGTGCTCCCTTAGCACTTTGTACATGTCTCCCTGCTTTGTCACTATTTGTTTACTGATCATCCCTCTCTCAGGACAGTGAACTCTTTGAAGGCAAAAGCTATTTTACGCTTCTTTGCATCCCTACCCTACTCCACCTCACACCCCCAAGCCCTTGAAGAACTGATACCATGTTCATCTTTGCATCCTCACCCTACTCTTCCCCCAACCCCTAGTTCACCTGGCCCAGGGTGTGCCACGTTAGTAACATCCAAGAATGCATGCTGCATGAATAAAGTTGCAGAAAATAGACCTCCCACTAATTCTGACCTTCAATAGCAATAATACCTGCCCAGAAGAGGCTACCAGTGAATTGTGATGTTTTAAAGCTTCCTGAGCATATAAGACAGCTGCTGGAATCCACTTAAGCAATTAGAAGTTAGATGTTCAACTAGAGTTTACAGGATGCCTTTAATCTATAAAGGATAATAATAGGTAACATTTATTAAATGCTTACTGTATACCAGTCTATTCTAGCAGCTGCACTAGAATGTATTCATTTAATCTTCAGAACAAAACTCTGAGCTGTTTACTCATACTAACCTACTTTACAGATGAGGAAACTGAGGTACAGTGGGGTTAACTGATTCAATGAGGACCACACAGCCAGTAACAGGCAGGACAGGGATTGAGACCCAGGTAGTCCAGCTCCAGAACCCAAACTCTTTTTGCGTGTGTGGATAATTTTTTTTTCTTTTGTTTTTTTGTTTGTTTGTTGTTGTTCCTGTTTTGTTTTGTTTTTGTTTTTTTGAGATGGAGTTTCACTCTTTTTGCTCAGGCTGGAGTGCAGTGGCACAATCTCGGCTCACTGCAACCTCCGCCTCCCGGGTTCAAGCAATTCTCCTCCTCAGCCTCCTGAGTAGCTGGGACTACAGGTGGACACCACCATGCCTAGCTAAGTTTTTGTATTTTTAGTAGAGACAGGGTTTCACCATATTGGCCAGGATGGTCTCTATCTCCTGACCTCGTGATCTGCCTGCCTCGGCCTCCCAAAATGCTGGGATTACAGGCGTGAGCCACCACGCCCAGCCACTTTTTTTTTTAATTTATTTTTTAACTTTTAGTTTCAGGGTTACATGTGCAGGTTTGCTCTATAAATACACTGCATGTCAAGGGAGTTTGGTGTACATATTATTTCATCACCCAGGTAATTACCATACTACCCAATAGGTAGTTTTTTGATTCTCACCCTCCTACCCTCCACCCTCTAGTAAGCCCCAGTGTCTATTGTTCCCTTCTCTGTGTCCATGCATATTCAATGTTCAGCTCCCAGTTATAAGTAACAACATGCGGTGTTTGGCTTCCTGTTCCTGCATTAGTTCACTTAAGACAGTGGCCTCCAGCTCCATCCATGTTGCTGCCATCTCTAACAGACTCCCTTCAAAGATAGAAAAATAGCAATAATAATTTCCTGTTTGTGGATGAAGCTAATACTATAAAAGTTCGTCTTCCTCATCATTATCATTTACAGTCACATCATCTCTCCAAAAGAGATGGATTTGTGTAGACTCGTTGTCATTCTCAGTACCATATGTGCACAATGGCTGCTCATATTTAGTGGAGGGTCTTCATTGTCTGCCCTACCCCATCAAGGAAATAGAAAAATCTCTGTCTGTCTCTCATGGGTATTTTGCCCTGGAGGACACTCAATGCATATTTCTTCAATTAAACCAACCCAACTAAGGAATGTACCTTAAGTGAGAGAGACTTAGTTCACACCTTGAACCAGCTGATTCATGGTAGACCCAGCCCTTCATTACTCTGGGCATGAGTTTCCTCATAGAGAAAAAATTAAATGAGAAATTCTCTTAAGATTGTATCTAGCTCTAAAAATTGGTGAAATTTAGGAATACAAGTCCATGTAAAACTATAATTTCTTTTATTTAGGTGATGGATACTCTCACACTTTGTATCAGCCTATTAACTGCACATGATTAAAAATCTCACAAAACAGGATATGAGAATTTATCGCTTATCAAGGGCCAGAAATAATATCAGTTCTGAAAAACAGAAGCAGAATTCAAAACAACCTGAGGCCTGCACAGAATTTCTTATTACTCCGTCCTGTCCCGTGGCCAGTGAATACAATAAAATGTGACAAGAGAGATTTTCTCCATGTTGGTGACAGACTAGAACCCTTGCACTCAGGGCATGTTTGGGAGCAGCAGCCCCTGGGGCCCTCATTGTGGAGGATGTAATCAGTGTTCCCTACTGAGCCCTCATTGGTATATGGAGACAGATGTGTTTTTCTTTAAACTGTCATGAAAATTGCAGCGATATGGACACAGGCTATTGAGTCATGCGGGGATAAGGTAATGAGTGGAACGCTGTTGACAGGAGAGATGGGAAGGGCTAGAGGGGCTAAGGAGGCAGGAGAGTCACAATTCATACTCCAAGTGTGGCTTAGTGCAGAGATTATTCTGCAGAGAGCTGCTCCAGTGAGATAACCAATTGCATGATTCTGAGCGAGTCACCCGATCTCCTGTTTATAAAATGAGGAGGCTGGATTCAATCAGGAGTTTTCGAACTGAATCCGTAGAAGAGAAGCATCTCATGGAAAAACCAAGTGGGTGGAGAGAGGCACAAACCTAAGTGATCATGCTCTTGACCCTCCATTCCATCTCTTCCACTCTCATCTCTACTTTTACATGTTTTGCATTGGAGTTCAACAAAAGAGTGTATTTCAAAAAAGGTAGGCTATTATAAAGAATAAAGATTTTGAAGCCACGTAGATTAGATGACCTCAAACATCCCCTCCCAACTTTTGCTATGAGTCCACGAAATCATTAACAAATAAGCAGGCATACACTTGCCTTCCCAATTCATTTTCACACCCCCAGCAAATATCTCAGAGTAAATTAAAAGTAATTCTTTTGAAGTTGCCCACTTTTTTCTTTGCCCAGCAGTAGATCCCCCAGCTCCTTGATAAAATAGTCTAACTTATTAAAATCACCAATGATCTCTCTTCACCAGAAAATAAGGCTGGCTTTCAGCCAGAAAACTGATGTGACTTGTTTTACTGATTTCCCAAAATCATTATTCTCTTTCTGCCTCATCATGATAATAATTATTATTGTTATTATTCATGACAGAGTCCTTGCATAATCAACTCTAATATCACACGTAAGCCTTCTTGTCTCTACCACCTGAGCAGAGGTTGGCAGCATTCCTCCCAGTGTTTGATCAAAATGCTGCCACTCCGATGAATCCCAACTAGTCTGCAGTCTCATGATGCTGCACACAGTCACCTGAATCTTCTGTATGGTAAAAAACAAAAGGCCTCCATTTGCTGGAAAAGGCTCTGAGGTGGGGGAGGGATGATAGAGCCACATTAAATTGAAGTGAGTAAATACAAAGCAAGCCATCTTTGTGCATAGAATAAGATAAGGGAAATTGAGAATGGTCCACCATATCACTAAATACAGCCATATGATCTGATTCCATGGCAATTGGCCCAGCCAGACCTGTGGAATTTGCCCAGTCATAATTGGGCTGCTTTTCTATACCTAATGGATCCCAGAATGAAATCACACTGACATCCCAGAAAGCTTTTCATTTGTTATCAGACAGCTTTGGTTCAAATATCATGGTGAGGGAGAAACACTGACAACATTGTATTTCAGCTCTTGGAAGCCGTTCCAACTTTTCATCACATAGACCGTCCCTTCAAAGTTTTGTGCTTGTTCCATTTTGCAGTGTTGGAAATTATATACACAGTGCCACACATGTTGAGGCATTTCTCTGATGCATTCTCTATACTGGAAAGATGCAGACAGTGAGCAAATACTTGCTTGCTGCCTCAGTTCCCTCCTACACCTAAGGTAGAAGCTGAAAATTGATGACAACACTCTTTACTAAATCCAGATGCAGCCTCAAAACAGTTTGTAGAGCATCTGCAAAAAAAAAAATTCATGTGAGTTGACACTTAAGATGAAACTTATTCTCCACCCTGAATGTACACTAGGTAGTCATGGATTTAACATTTATAATTTCAACCATTCAGAAATACCCATCAAGATCATGATAGCTATACAACTTGGCTTAGTCACATAGCTGAGTCACTCGTGATGAAAAGATCCCTCAGCTGAAGAATGAGTCTAACTCTTCCCCATATTGATATCTGAAATACAATATGGGGGATTTTCTTTCTTTTTAAAAAAAAAAAAAATTATGATTAAAACAAAAATGCAGACTATACATTACAGACTAGTACTTATAAATTTGGAGAGTTAAAAATTTTTCCTAACAGATCTCTTCATAAAGGTTCCTGTTATTTAAAACCCCACTATAATAACTACTACTATTGATATCCATGCACAACACAGGCCTGATCCTTAATTCATTCATTGTCTCCACTGTTATCATCTCAATCAATGATGTGAACATTTACAAAGTTGTTCAGAGCAGAAACTTGGAGGTCAAGCTTCAATTGCTCTCTGAGCTCCCCATGCCCTACTCTGAAAATATTCTACAGATTCTACCTTAAAAATATACCACAATCTGCCCACTAATCTTCCACTTTGATTTCTGCCATCTTGATCCAGCCATTTGTCATATCTTTCCCACACTATTGTTCCTGACTGATCTCTTCCCCTGTCTGCTTCCCATTCTACTCTCTGTTTTTTCTATTGTATGCTCAAAGTGTGGGTCTACAACAAGGTAAGGTGCTTACATCAGAATATATATGTAAATCAATGCACTCCTTCTTTCATTTTGTCTGTCCATAAGCTCAGCTAAAAAGTGTTCTAGGTGATATACTTGATTTATGTCTGCACAAGCTCCTTTTCACCACAGACAGAGAGCCACAGGTTGCAGACCAGCCCATGTGCAGACCACAGGTTAGGCAACACTGGCATCACAACCCCAAATAATGAGGCCTTTGCCTACTTCTCAAACTTCATTTTGAGCCTACCTGCCTTTTCTTCCTCTGTTCCAACCACAGTGGGCTCCTTTTGGATCTTAGACATAACCATGCTGTTTTAGAGACATAACTACCTTAACCACACCTGTCCTAAAGAGGGCACTTGCTCTTCCCTTAGCTGGGAATACTCTGTCTCTGACTTTTTACTTATAAATGACATTTTCTAATACCCTCTGTATTAGTCCATTTTCACACTATTATAAAGAACTACCTGAGACTGGGTAATTTATAAAGAAAAGAGGTTTAATTGACTCACAGTTCCACATGGCTGGGGTGGCCTCAGGAAACTTACAATCACAGCAGAAAGCAAGCGGGAAGCAAGGTACATCTTACATGGTGGCAGGAGACAGAGATAGCAACGGGGGAAGTGCCACATTTTAAAACCATCAGATTTCCTGAGAACTCACTAACTATTATGAGAACAGTGAGGGGAAAACTGCCCCCATGATCCAATCACCTGCCACCAGGTCCCTCCTTTAACATGGGGGTATTACAATTTGAGATGAGATTTGGGTGGGGACACAGTGATAAACCATATCATTCTACCTCCGGTCCCTTTGAAATCTCATGTCCTTCTCACATTTCAAAACACAATCATGCCTTCCAAACAATCCCCTAAAGTCTTCACTCATTCCAGCATTAACCCAAAAGTCCAAGTCCAAAGTCTCATCTGAGACAAGGGAAGTTCCTTCCACCTAGCAGCCTATAAAATCAAAAGCAAGTTAGTTACTTCCTAGATACAATGGGGGTACAGGCATTGGGTAAATGCTCCAATTTCAAATGGGAGAAATTGGCCAAAACAAAGTCTGAAACCCAGCTATTTAATCTTAAAGCTCCAATATCTCCTTTGACTCTGTGTCTCACATCCAGGCCACACTGACACAAGGGATGGGCTCCCAAGGCCCTGGGCAGTTCCATCCCTGTGGCTCTGCAGAGTACAGCCCCCAAAGCTGCTTTTACAGGCTGGCATTGAGTGCCTGTGGCTTTTCCAGGTGCATGGTGCAAGCTGTCAGTAGATCTACCAGTCTGTGGCCTGGAGGACAGTGGCCCTCTTCTCAAAGCTCCACTTGGCAGTGCCCCAGTGGGGACTCTGTGTGGGGGCCCCAACCCCACATTTCCCCTCTGCATTGCCCTTGTAGAGGTTCTACATAAGGGCTCCACCCCTGCAACAGACTTCTGCCTGGACATTCAGGCATTTCCACACAACCTCTGAAATCTAGGCGGAGGCTACCAAGCTTCAACTCCTAATCTCTGTGCACCCACAGGCCCAACACCACATGGAACTCACCAAGGCTTGGGGCTTGCACCCTCTGAAACAATGGCCCAAGCTGTACCTTGGCCCTTTTAAGCCACAGCTGGAGCTGGAGCAGCTGGGATGCAGGTTGCCATGTCCTGATGCTGCACAGAGCAGCAGGGTCCTGGCCCAGCCCACAAAGTCATTTCTTCCTAGGCCTCCAGGCTGGTGATGGGAAGGGCTGCTGTGAAGATCTCTGAAATGCCCTGGAAACATTTTCTCCATTGTCTTGGCTATTAACATTCAACTTCTGTTTACTTATGCAAATTTCTACAGCCAGCTTGAATTTTTCCCCAGAAAAATGTTTTTTGTTTTTCTACCACATGGCCCAGCTGCACATTTTCCAAACTTGTATGCTCTGCTTCCCTTTTAAAAATAAGTTCCACTTTCAGACCACTTTGTGAACACATATGCCTATATGCTTTCAGAAACAGCCAGGTTACATCTTGAATGCTTTGCTGCTTAAAAATTTCTTCTTCCAGATATCCTAAATTATCTCTCTCAAGTTCAAAGTTGCACAGATCCCTAGGGCACAGGCAAAATGCCATCAGTCTCTTTGCTAAGGCATAGCAAGAGTGACCTTTAATCCAGTTCCCAATAAGTTCCTCATCTCCATCTAAGACCACCTCAGCATGGACTTCATTGTCCATATCACTATCAGCATTTTGGCCAAATCCATTCAACAAGTCTCTAGGAAGTTCCAAACTTTCCACAACATCTTTCTGTATTCTTCTGAGCCCTCCAAACCTCTGCCCATTACCCAGTTCCAAAGTCACTTCCACATTTTCAGGTATCTTTATAGCAGTGCCCCATTCCTAGTACCAATTTTCTGCATTAGTCCATTTTCACACTGCTGTAAAGAACTACCTAAGACTGGGTAATTTATAAAGAAAAGAGGTTTAAACCTCTTTTCTTGACTCACAGTTCAGCAGGCTTGGCAGACCTCAGGAAACTTACAATCATGTCAGAAGAAAAAGGGGAAGCAAGGCATGTCTTATGTGGCAGCAGGAGAGAGAAAAAGAGAGCAAAGGGGGAGAAGAGAAGTGCAACACTTTAAACCCATCAGATCTCATGAGAACTCACTCACTATCATGAGAACAGCATGGGGCAAACTGCCCACATGATTTAATCACCTCCCACTGATATAGGAGTTAAGAAGGAATTACTTAGGCAGATAGCAAGGGCATGGGAGTCCTTGATAAGGCTTTTTTTTTTTTTTGTTAATGAAAAGCAGCCCCAAATCATTTTCTAACAAAGAGCAGCCTGCAAGCTGGGAGCTTGCATGGATGAATGCCGGCAGAAACTAAGGACTAGACATTTTCAAAATGGTGGCTCCATCTTCCCTTCTCTGTCAGCCACGTGTATTATAACAAGCAGACAAGATGGTGCTGATCAACTAGAAAGCCCATTTGCATAAGAAGATTAGGGTGGGGTGACCAGCCTTCCCCACACGCTATGTAAAGGAAATACCTGATCTTACCAATCTGTGAGCCCTACGTAAATCAGACACCACGTCCTCAAACTGGACTATAAAACTTGGTGCTTTTGCCACCAGCTGGTCCTCTCTGCTCAGAGACCACTTCCTCTGTAGAGGAAGCTGTTTCTCTTTCTCTTCTCTTCTACCTATTAAACCTTCACTCCTAAACTCCTCGTGTGTGTCCATGTCCTAAATTTTCCTGGCACGTGATGATGAACCCCAGGTTTATACCCCAGACAGCATAGCCGCTTCACCACCAGTTCCCTCTCTTGACACATGGGGATTGCAATTTGAGATAAAATTTGAGTAGGGACACAGAGCCAAACATATCTCCCTCCTTCCCTGACCATTTATGTAGGGCTTCCTCTTTATTATCCATCATCATTTGGTCTCTAGTTGACACCATTTTTTCCAATCTACAAGTACATACTTATGTATGTGTTTACCTACTGATAGTCTGTTTTCCTTACTAGACTGGAAGCTCCCTGAGGGCAGAATCTTCATGGATATCTCTGATTTCTCTGGTCAGAGGACCACTGCTTTTGTCACATTATGTCCCCATGTGTGTACTGCAGATGGAAGGTTAGAGAAACCAGGGCCCACCATGCCAACACTCCAAGATGTTAATCAACTGTTTCAAAGCTGCCCTGGGTCATTTGCAAAATCTAAAAACTGACTCTTTGACTCAGGTTTGCCCAATATATAAAGCCACATTGTCTATTGTTCTATAGTTACAAGTCTTAGCCAGTTTAAGGTTAGGCAATTTATAAAGAAGAAATGGGAATTACTTCATGTGAGAAAACAATTTATTGCCTTACATAGGATTTTTTCAGCCTGAGTCACTGGAATGTTTTCATGTACATTTGCATCATCGTCATTCTCCTTACAGACCCAATCATATAACAACTAAAATGTATAAAGAGCCTATTATGTGGTAAACACTGGGGCTCTCTCAGGGAATAAGACCAACTAGACCTCATCTTCACTGAATTTATCGTCCAGCAAGTAATAAACATAAAGAGTGGTGAGTGAGAAGAACACAGTGTGACAGGAGCACATTGCAGGACAATTGAACATATTTTAGGAGTTGGGGAAGATTGGCACCAGAGGATGGGTAAGACACAAATAAAGAGGGTAGAAAAGTGATTCAGACAACAGGAGGCTGGTGAAGGGCCAAGGAATAAGAAAGGACTTATAAATTCTAGCATCTAAAAAAGTCCAAGAAGCTGGAATGTAAAATATGGAGAAGGAAAAGATAAGGAGTCAGGTTGTAGGAATAGCCAAGGGCTAGATCTTGTGTAGCATAGCCAGGAATTTGGACTTTGCCCTTTTAAGCTGGGGCATAACATGTCCCACCTTCTGTTCCCTAACCTTTTACCTATAATTTCCTATATTTACCTATAAATTGCTTAAAATATTTTACCTATAAATTGCTTAAAATACTTGCTAAATATATGTTACATATTATTAGATGTCTATCAAAGAATGCAAAGCAATGGAAAAAAACTGAGACAGTATTGACATCAGGGGAAAAAAATTGTAGATGATGATGTCATGAGTATGCTAGATGGCTCGGCTATGAGCCATGGTAAACACTAAAAAGGATTTAATTAAATATGCTATATTTGAAAGATTTGTAGACAGTCAATAGATAGTATCTAAAATTAAAAACTCAAATATTTGTAGAAACACATTACTGAGAAATAAAAAATACATATTCGAACAAAAATTGAAAGATGTGCAGTTACTTCTGAGTCAATGAGCAAAGGGAGATGGAATGGAGTAAGCTGAGGCTGGGGATTGTTTTTGATTATAATTTTTGTATATGTATTATTTTGTTATTTTTACTATTGAATATGTGGGGTTTTGACAGAAGCATAAATTGAATGTGTGTGCATGCATGGACTCACACACCCACACACCCTGCAAATCTAAACTTAGAAAGGAACAGTGGGAGGCAGCCATGGCACCCCCTACTGGCCTTCTCATGGATGGTCTATTGATGGGTCTCACTACCCTGTCCAGACCTGCCCCCATTGCTGAACCAGTCATGTCTCCACAGGAAAACAGCAGCCTCTGACCTTCCATTTCTTAGAGGTTTCATGAACTGGACTGCCAAGCAACATTTGGATTTTCAGTACTAGGGACAACTCATAGGTACCTGCTTAGATTCTGAGTTGGCTCCATCTAATGAGATCCTGAGGACACATCAGGGCCCAAGAGGAGCTGATTCACTGGAAGTTCAGGGCACTCTGGTTTTTCCAAGCAGGCTAGGACAGCATGGAAGTTTAAACTCTCAGTACAGTGAAGCATGAGCCAGAGATGGAGTGCCTACTCTCTTTGATTTGAGTGAAACATTTACTTATGAGAAGTAGATTCAGCATCTGAGTCACCAGACACTGAAATATTACAGCAAAGATCTTTACGTGTTTCCTACCTCATCACTACATACCCACTCATCTGAGATGTGTGATGCTTGACACGGACAGAACTCAAACTGTCTTTTACTACCTATGAAGGAAGAAATGATGATAGATCATAATTGAAACAACCTACTGAGGAGAGGAAGCTGTTTTCAAGCACCTTCAAGAACTTTAAAAGGGCTCGTTTTATCAACAATGTTAATTAAAAATCATTCTTATTAAAGCAATTCCTCTAATTTTCTCTACCAGATAAAATTGTATTAGGCCACTTTCAGTGACAAGATATGCTTGACAGAAGAAAAAAGTGTTAAAATGTTTTACGAATGAGATTTTAACTCTTCAGAATAAGTTTTACATGCATTGATTTTTTTTTTAAGTAAAGTGTTACATATTCTAACACAATTTCACCCCACCCACCCCCTTAAAGTCAATGAGGATATTTATCTCCTCTCAATATAAGGTTGTTTTGTTTTGTTGTTTTGGGGGTTGGGTTTTTTTGTAAAAACTTTTGGATATTTTTCCAAAACTAATGCCAAACATTTCTTCATTATATCCTAAAAGAATCACTTTCATCAAAGTAAATGTTCATGATAAATGTTATTAAGTATAACCAGAATAATAACTAAAAATAGCTCAAATTGTCTAGCTACATTTTGTCAACAATCTTGCTCTAGCCAAGTTCCCCATTCATTGCACAATCTATATTTTGGGAAGGACAGAACATAATTGCTTCCAAACAAAATTTCAAGCCTGTGTACATTTCCTTCCCACCATCAGTTTCAGTTAAATGAATTAATCTTTGAAAAGGGGGAAATGCAGAAAGCAGGACTTCTCCCAAAAACACATTTAATGTGTATTTTATCAAGGGCTTTAATTATAAAGTTGTAATGGGTGATTTTTGTTATAATCATCACTGGAGAGATTTCAGTGTTTTAGAGCAGAGATCCCCAACTCCTGGGCCACAGACCAGTACCAGTCTATGGCCTGTTAGGAACTGGGCTGCACAGCAGGAGGTGAGCAGCAGGTGATCAAGTGAAGCTTCATCTGTATTTACAGTTGCTCCTCATCGCTTGCATTACTGCCTGAGCTTTGTCTCCTGTTAGATCAGCAACGGCAATGAGTGGCAGCATTAGATTCTCACGGGAGCACATACCCCATTGTGAACTGCCCACATGCAAGGGATCTAGGTTGCACACTCCTTATGAGAATCTAATGCCTGATGATCTGTCACTGACTCCCATTACCCCCACATGGGGCCATCTAGTTGCAGGAAAATGAGCTCAGGGCTCCCACTGATTCTACATTATGGTGAGTTGTATAGTTATTTCATTAAATGTAATAATAATAGAAATAAAGTACACCATAAATGTATTGTGCTTCAATCATCCCAGAACCATCCCCTGCTCTCCTGGTCTGTGGAAAAATTGTCTTCCACTAAACCAGTCCCTAGTTCCACAAAGGTTGGGGTTTGCTGTTTTACGATGTTACTTTCATCTTTCGCCTTAGCATACCTTGTTCAGACAAGCAGCAAACAGCAAATGCTAACCTGATGAAAAGATACTTAATCGTACTAAGGCATAAAAGCAAACCCAAAAAATATTTCTAATATACTTGAGGCAATGCTACATAAAAATTTTTGTTAGCTTATTCAATTGCCTCTTCTAAAGTACAAGTATGTGAATTACTCAGCTAGGACACAAGGCACATTTTTTCTGAGTTGGCAAATCTTATTTTATGGACTATTCTAGTACCCTTTTAAAATTCATCAAATTTTAACATTCAAAGCATAGTATATGGATATTTAGGGAATATGAACAAGTATAAAATACAGTTCTTACTCTCAATCTGATTACATCCTATCATGGAAAATAATCTTCCTGTGGGTGCATTTTGTCTCAGCTGAAGCCAGACTTCTCCAATAATAAATCACCTACAATTCAGAGCCAACACTAGACATGTGAAGAATTAAAGGCCTGGCAAATAGAGGTGGCAGAGAGAGGAGTGGTAACAGTGATAGATCTGAACTTCTTACCAGATCCTGACTTGTTACCAGTGAAAAGGTCCTTGAAATGGAATCCTTAAAAGATAAGTCCATGTATCCCAGAACTTAAAGTAAAATTTTTTTAAAAAAAGTTAAAAAAAAGATATGTCCTACACAGTGATTTCTGTAATAAAGTACACTACATTTTACATAAAGTCTTATTTCTCACAACACTTTGGTGGAGCTCTTTGCAAACAAATTAACACATGAAAGAGGTCAGTAATTTGCTTGAGGTCATGTAGTTTATTGAGTGACAAGTTCAGCAATTAAGGAATTATACAAAACATGTATGAGTTTTTAATACTATTTTGGCTTAAATGTGATTATTTTTGCATCCTAGAGATATATATAGGCATGGGAAAAAAGCCATGTGTGTATCAATGTCATTATAGATCTTCTCTGGATAAGACTTGGAATGATATTTTCTTCTTGTTTATGTGTATTTATAATTTATAATGATTGCGTTTTGCTTATGTCATAAGAAATTTTAAGAATAAAATTAAATAGTAACAATTAATTCAGGTTGACTTATTTAATGGCTAAGTGAAGACAGTGGGTTTTATTCTACTGTTTTTAATAATAAAAATAGCCAACTGTTTGGGGGCATTTGTTTGGGGAAGAGCATTGTCCCAAGTTCTGTACCCACATTATCTTATTTAATCCATAGAGTTTTCTTACAATGTAGATGTTATTAGTTATCCTTCCTTTACAAACAGTAAAATCCAGGCACAGAAAGTTTCTGTAATTTGCCCTAGGTCACATAACTGCAGGTCACAAAACTCTAATCTGAAGCCAGTCTCCAGAGTTTAAACTCCTAACCACCAGGGTGGCAGCCTCTCCCATGAGACAGACGTTCTCGCTGGGAATAAAAAGCTCTTTCAAGAATGAAGGCTTTCTGGATTTTGAGGCTGATTGATATTTCCTCCACAATTGGGGTCAGTCTCAATTCAAGGCTAGACAGCTAGAGTCTTTCTTTCAACTCATGTCCCAAGCAGAAAAGTATAAAGCTATTTTAGAGGTCTCTTTAGCAGAAAGAGTGTTCTACTAGCCTTTAGTATTTCGTATATGTAAACACTTTGTTAAATACTTAACAGCATGCTAACTTTTATTTGGCTTTCATATAATCAAATATAAAACCCAAAGTCAAAACAATTCTGATTTAAATTGTTCTAAATCCCAAATTACAAATTTCTGAATTTCATGCTGAAACAGAATTTAGTGTACAGTTACACTAAGTTCTTGTATTTGAAACACTCATTTAAGTTACCTAAGTATCCAATAAGAGGATGCAAGACTAATCAACCAAAGAAAAGACTTAAATGGAGAAAATGTATTATTATCCCAGAAGAGAGAATTATGGAAGTTTAGATGTGCAATTCCATATGGGTTTTTAATAAATTATTGTAAGACATTAATCCTGAAATCTAAGAAATTACTCAAGAGACCTGTTCATCTACTTTTGACATCATATGTATAAAATATTTTTTTTCCAATTAACCTAACACTAACAGATTCTCAGGTTGTGCAGATAATATTCTTCTGAGATGTTGTTAGAAGGATTTCCTATATTGTAGAGGCAATGGTATATATGGTTATAGAATGAGCATTTATATATTTGTTTTACTTAACATACATTCAATTAAATAAATATCTCCTGAAGCTAATTGTTAGAAGATGGCAAAAAATTCTGCAGTATTCACCATCTAGTTCTCAAAACTAGGATGGAAATGTAGCTTGAGACAATTCTTTCCATGTGAGTGTTTTGTGAATAATCTCATAGATTTCCTAACAGCAATTTAAAATATTTCAAAGCTAGCTTATTAAGACAGACTTCCACTTTCCCTTGCATAGCCCTAATTTTATTAAGCTCTTCATTTCACATTTTTATCCCCCAGTGGGATACTTAGGCTGGTTTCTGTCCCACTCCACAGGAGGAATTGTTCATTTTATCTATCCTTTACTATTTGACAGCACTGTGGTACAATTCAAGCCCTAAGCATACATGCACATTAAAAATAATTATATACTGCCTATCACCCCCATAGTACTACTGTCTGGTGGTCCCATTAGATTGTTACTAGGGCTTCCTGTGTCACGGACTATATCGACTTCTTTGCTTCCTGCTGGAAAGATCTGAAAAAAACAAGTGACATTTTCCTCTCTTTTTCCTCTCCCCACTCTCAATCATCTTTCCTACACTTAGCTGAGTTCTTACTTCCTTTCCTTTCTTTAGGAGAAAAGGCAAAATGACTGTCACAGGCAAAAAAAAAAAAAAAAAAAATGTTCTTTCTTGCCCTTTCATCTCCAGGCAGATGAATCAATAAACCATGGAGACTAAAGTGCTCCATCTTCTGGTCAAGGATGCATGTTAACCCGCAGCTATTCCCGATTGTAAAAGGAAGCATTTTATCTCTGGGACAAGATCCCGAAGACAACTATTGATGAGTCTTCCAGTATCATCAAGAATAAAACATCCTTCTTCTAGTCTCCTAGGCTTACAAGACTGAAGTAATTTTCTTCCAATCTTCCTCTCTTATTTCCTTCGTTCACACCTGCCAATCTAAGGCTGATAATATTTCAAGCCTTGGTGTGGCATCAAAGCCGAGACTCCTCTCTGCCCCTTCATGTCTGGCACAAGTTACTTAACCTTTTTTACCCCCAATGCCTCATCTGTAACATAAATATAATAACGGTTTACAATTTGTAAAATACATAGAAAGCACCCAACAAATGTTAGCCACTCTGATTGTAACTATGGTCATTTTTTTTAATCTTTTTTTTTTTTTTTTTTTTTTTTTTTGAGATGGAGTCTCACTTCATCACCCAGGCTGGAGTGCAATGGCCTGATCTCAGCACATGGCAGCCTCTGCCTCCTGAGTTCAAGTGATTCTCATGCCTCAGCCTCCCAAGTAGCTGGAATTACAGGCATGTGCCACCACACCCAGCTAATTTTTATATTTTTTTTAGTAGAGACAGGGTTTCACTATATTGGCCAGGTTGATCTTGAACTCCTGATCAGTTCGAGGAGCTCCTCAGGTGATCTGCCCACCTCCGCCTCCCAAAGTGCTGGGATTACAGGTGTGAGCCACCACACCTGGCCCTAAAATCATTTTTAATTCAATTAAATACAAATTTTTTAATCCTTACTATGGCCAAGATGCTAAGCACTTTAGTAGGATTTTTTACGTAGCCTCTGCCCTCAAGAAACTAATAGTCTACTAGGAATGACAAATAATTACTTACTAATTTTAATGCAAGATTATGGTAGATGATGACAAAGTGAGCTACAAAGTCTTCCAGGACAGCACTTCTTAACCTGTAATATGCGTATTAATCACTTGGAGACCCTGTTAAGATGCAGATTTTTACCCCATAAGTGTGCAGTGGGACCTGGGATTCTGTATTTCTCATAAGCACCCGGGTGATGCTGATGCTGCTGGTCTGAGGTCTACCCTCTGAGTAACAAAATTCTATGACATTAAAAGAATGATAGAAACAGATCTTGTATTTTGCTGTTGTATATAAGCATATCTTTACTATTGTTTTAAAGGCTGTATCTGCTCTGATGGGCCATTATCCATGACAAACCTACTGTTAAATTTCTTGTTGAGTATTATTCCAAATATAAATATTTGTTTCAGTACTCTCTGAAGCTGTGGTGGACAGCATAGACGTCATATGATTTTAAAGCAAATGGATTGTGGAGTACGTGGTGTTTAAGAATGGCCTTGAAAGATGAGCGGGATTTTATCCATTTCCACTTGCTTGTCTAGTCTACTCTTTTGGGGACACCACTGTTACTGCGTACTTAAAGAATAAAGTGCCTCCCTATAACTTCCATCTAAAACAGTGTTTCTTTTAATCTTTGAGTACAGACAACTCCTTTGGAAAAATTATGTCTCATTGGTTGTTCCCATGTTCTTAGGCCTTCAATGTTGTCCTTTCTGGTTTTGAAATAAAATTAAATGATAAAAATGTGTAGGGGTCTCCACTGTCTTATAAGCAAAACCCAGCCCTTCCCAAGCTGAAGTTAGTCATTATGTGTGCTCTGCTGGCCAGACACCAACCCCTGAAGTGAATATCAGCCTATAATTGGGGGCTTTCACATGCAAATCTAGGTGCCCAGGTTGAAAAATCAGGAAATGCAGCCACCCAGGTACCAAATTCTTACTTGGTAGAAATCAGCTGGAGCAATATAGCCAAACAGCCTTTGGGTGGGGCACGGGCCCTCCAAGATTCCAGTTCCATGCAAATCTCCATAATCTCTTAGACCTGACCCACTTCATGCTCTTCCCTAACTCAGCAGCCTACATAAGCATTTGAGTTTATTATACTGTCTACCTAAAGGCCATGAGTCATTTTGTCTTGGAAAAAATATATATCCTTTGTCTTCAATCATATATAACATCGTGGTTTTTAGAATGCAAGGAGATAACCTTTTTCCCTGCAAATTAATATCATATCATAATCAGGTCACAGTTAAAGCTGGTATACATTAGCTTTCTTGGTTTGCAGTCTTTGCTTTTCTACATCATTTAAGTATTTGATTCCAGAAGTTCATTTCTTCCTTTTCCAACTGTGGAAGTAAAAGGAAATTTGAGTCAGGAGGAGAAAAAGAAAAAAAAACAAAGAATCAATACCTCATTTCATGAGTGAGACTTTGTAAGAGCTATGCTAGCAACTTTATGAACCAGTAGAGAATTCATGTGAAGAAAAAAAAAAAAAAGCAGAGAAAAGTGTGTGACTTTTCCCAACCTAGTTCTCCAAACCCAGGTTTTATTACCAACTCAGTAAAACCTGAATAAATCACTTAGGTTTCCCATGCCTCATCCATTCCTCATGAGCATTCACAAAATAAGAGAGAGAGAGAAAATAATAAATAGCTTTTGAGTCATTTTTAAAGACTTTTCAGTTTGCTAGTAGTAGATATAAATTTTTAAATTAAGGCCCCACTTATTCACTTAAAATATCATAGTTTAGCTTTTTTTCATTCATATTTAAAGGGAGTCAAAACTACCAAACATTGATACCAGGAAAAATGGGGAGGGGGGAGGGGATCTAATTGCCTTTCTTAAAATACAAAAAAAAAAAAATTCACTTTTTAAAAAGTTTGATAAATAGGTGATTATTCTCCAGTATAACTGTCAATCTGAAAGACCAGGAGGCTACTAGCAGAAGATAGGATTATTACAGGTTTCTGAAGATCCCTAAACATAGCTCCAAAATGAATATACCACTACCCCACTATATAACTTATCAACCGACATGGTGGGAGAATCTGGCTTGTTTTTAAGTTGGAAGGTAACATGTTACCTAGGCCCATAATGGGCAAATTTATAAATTCATGATGTTGCTCAAATGAGACAAGAGCACAAGAAATTGGAGTCTACAGCCCTCCGAATGTGCCTGGCTCTGCCCCACTTGCTGGGAATGACCACACAGGGCCTCCCTTGCCTTATCTGAAGGCCAGAGGTAATAAAAACTATGTCCCAACATAGTTATAAAGATCACAGTCAGGGCTGTTGATGGAAGCATCTGTACACTGTAAAGTGCAAGACTCAGGCAAGACATCAAGCAATTGTGTGTTTGATAGTCTAGGTACAATTCCAATAGGATGAGCACAAGAAAGGAATCAGTATTGCAATCCACTAAACCAAAAAGCAAGAGATAGTACCTAAGTACTCTCTTCATCATCACCACAATACTGCCTCTGCTCATGAGGTGGTTAACGGCATGGTCAAGGGCTGAGATTTTAGTGTGGGCACCCCCATGTACAACCACCTGATCTTGGCCAAGTTCCTAATCTCTCCATTCCCTTTTTTCCCCATTTGTAAAATAAACATAACAAAAAATCTAGCTTATAGGTTGGGTTAACATAAGACACTTAGAATAGTGCATGGTACATTGTAAATTCTACATATGTCCTGTTCATGTGAAAAACTGTTTCTAAGATCTGTGATGCTACACCCTATCACAAATTTCTTAGTAATTAGTTATACAGGATACTCCCATTGTTGGCCTACCTCTCACTGCCTTACTATCCCACCCTAACACTTCTGGAAACAGCTGAAATACTGATCTTTTGGTCTTCCTAGCCCTCTGGTCTTGCTAGCACTCTTACCAAAAGTTTATCAAAAAAAAATGCTTAATTAATGGGAAATGGTGTTTAACATTAAATACCATGTAAGATAATTAATGCAGTAAAATAAAGGGTACCAAATGAAAGCTAAAAACTCAGTGTGCCATTCAAAACCACAGACTTTGAGAGTCCTCAGACTCACTCAAGGGGGCTGAGAAGGAGGGACCTTTATTAGTTTAGCATCAACAACGATGCCTATAATGGTCCACTGATGTGGCCACTAGGCTCTCCTTTTCCTCCTTCTTTATCCTGCCCAGCACACTCTCAGCTGTGTGCCTACCTCTTTGGATCAGTTCCTCTAACCTCTGCCACTGACACACTTCCAGCCTTGGAAGATTGATTTCTGTCCTTCGTAGTCATTTCTTGCTCCCCAGTTAATTGGCAAGTCTTGACATGACTTGCACCATATGACACTAACATGTATTGACAGTGCTGTGGATAAACCATCAGCTTCCTGTGTGCTGCTGATGTCATGTCATTCCCATTGATTATATGCCTGTTGTATACAAGGCACTGGTGAATGCAAAGCTACATAACTTCCTATCTACATGTAGCTTACAACACAAGACATTTATGTCATTTCCTCATGTATGAAAAGGTATGTAGTTATATGCTATAGAAGTACAAAAGGGAGAATAATTATATTCTTCTCTCTGGTCTTCCCCCACCACTTTTTAGCCCATGACTCTCCTTTATTTTACCTAATTGTACTTATAACACCTGACATGTTATATATCTACTTTTTTTGGTTATTGAACAATGGCTATCTCCAACTCTTAGCATGTAAATTCTATGTGAGCCTTGTTCACTGCATGTCCCCAGCCCTTAGAATACTACTTGGCATGAAGACGGCCCTCCATTAATATCTGTTGAAAGAAGCCCTTCCAGAAGAAGTGACATTTGAGTTAGGCTTCGACCAACACTAAGGATTTCAGTAAGTGAGAAATGGGATAAAGAATATTCTAGAATATTCTAGAAAGAGGAATTGACACTAGCAGAAACATGAAGGCTTCTAAGCAGGGTATAACTGAGGTAACAAAGTGGCTCTAAGATGGAAAATGAAAAAATATGGTGGAATTTAACTATTTTTAAATTAATTTTATGAAAGAAAATAATTTTTGCCCCAACAGTATTATACTTTAGATATTTCAATGACACTGATGAGTCAATCTAAGTACTTTTAAAGTGATTCAGGTCCCAAATGAATAAACCGCAAAGGAAAAGATGCATTGGTTGAATGCAAAAAGTAGGGAAGCTGAGGGAGAAAAGGCAAAAGGAAAGAAATGAGGAAGGTAAGCAGAGAGAAGAAAGCCATGGTCCTTGTCACAGTTGTGCTTAGTACCCTTTTATTTTATGTATACATTTCTAAGAAACCCATGTTTCCCATTCTTGTCCATCCTACTTCAATGATACCATCTGTAATTGACTCTCATTCTGGATTTTGATTCTTTGTGGCAGTTCTGCACTAGAGGGTAGTTTCAGGGAAGATTTTCATTTCTGCTAACTTGTTTTACAAAGAGAAGTTATGACATTATAGCAACTTTCTATCATCTATAGAAATCTCTTTTAAAAAAATTCAATAACATTTCCAATGTGAGTCATGAGTGGGTTTGAATGAATACCATTTTATTTTGTCTCTTCATTTTCAAATGTCTCCTCCAAAATGTGCTCACGTAATGATATTTTTAAAATAATGTTTATAGATTTTTTAAATAGCATTTTTAGATGGCTCATATGTCAACCATTCCTCTGGAAATTTATTGGCTTATAGGGAATGTTTGTCTGACACACTGTTTCTAACCGCCCTGCACAGACTGAAACTTCATGCACTTGCCTCAGGTCCAAGAGAAGTCTTTCTCCAAAAACCAGGAAGGATGTAGCCCAGGTGAAGTGTGCTACAGAGGGAGATGATGAGTTGCATCATAGCTGCCTCAAGTAAGGAACTCTGTTGAGGGACAATTTATCCAAGCTCACCAGGTCTTAACATTGAGAGTATACATAGTTGGCTGTTGAAATTCACAGCCAACTAGAAATGCCCACATGGCCTCTGAAACTCTAAGACAATAAAAGCCCTTGGGGAAGGATGTATTGCTCCTTCATTGCCTTAAAATACAGATTAATATGACAGTTCCAGGAATTTGGAAATTGAGCTTCCCAACCAGCCACTCCCAGAGGATGCCAACCCACAGCTTTGCCTGCAACTGGGCAATGTGGTTTTGACCAATTCTGGGAACACGCTCAATGTTTTGAAAGAGCCGAAGGGGACCAAACAGAAAATGTGGTAAAAGGGCCCAGTGGCATACATTTTTTGTGTGTGTCCGTCATCCTCTTGAAATAAAAATGGATTTTTTTTCAAATGCAAGCTAGAGAATAACCATTTCCATTCTTGCAATCCAGCCAGGTCTGGGACGAAAGCAAGTACTGCAGAAAGAGGATGAAACAGCAGCAGCACACAAACCATGGGGTGGAGAAAGGGAAGATAAAAAACGCTCCTAATGTCCTCAAAACAAAAATTTGATCGAAGCACACACCTCTCAGTCTTGAAACACAGTATAAAAACTATTTTAGAGAACAAAAGACCCTTGAAGGAAGAATAAAAACAAAGGAATGGCCAAAAGAAAGAGAGAGGGGGTGAAACAATGACATTCTTCAAGACCAGGAAAGAAATTCATCCTAAAATAAAGAGCACTAAAAGATAACTACAAAATAGAAATATAAAATGACTATGAAATGTTGGGCCAGGAAGCCAGTATGACAATATTTTCTCATAAAATGATATACTATTTCATCACCATATGCTTTAGGAAAATCCAATATGTTCCTGACAGACTTCTAACATTTTTTCCCCAAGATGGTTAAAGCTTTAAGGAATGTGTCAAAGATACTTAGCACCCACTGCATTTTTGAATATTACACATTGGTAATTCTCTGGTTCATGAATTTTAATAATACTACTGCAATTCAGTTTTCCAATCATTCTCCCCAGCACTAGCTGATAAAAACATCCAATAGCAGATCCTGTTTTGGTTTTGTTCCAGTATACTGCTAAATCTGCAAATGGAAATATATATACACATACAGACACATATATATTATATATATTTGAAATTTTATGTATATTTTGTATTTATATATAAAAGAAAAAAGTATGGTAAGACTTGGGATAAAAACATTATTTGAAGAATTATTTCAAAACACTGGTTGGTATTTCAAAATACAGCTCACTAGTTATTGAGGAAAAGAAATGAACATTAAGGATTTAATGGATTCAATTATAGATATACTACTTTAAGTAACACAAATAAGAGTTAAACAAGAGTATGAAATGAGTTATTGTGTGCTATTTGCTCAATATACTTCCATGTGGAGGAGTTTCTAAGCTATTGTTGCTACATCTCTCCCCTCTCTTTCCAACTGTATTTGCATTCTTCTAACCACCTATGGCTTTCTATTGTGCTATTCTAGCTTCATCACAAATGATGTATCATACCTGGGAATGTGCCCGGTGAACTATAAGGTATTACGTAAATAGAGAATTAGGAGCTGTGCCATTAATAATAATGTCTTATATTAGTATAAAATTAAAATAATTGATTTTTCCTTTTTATCTGGCTTCTCTTTCTTTATTCTTCTATTTTATTTGTTACTTATCTTTGTTATATTATCAAAGTTACTTTATTCTTTCAGCCACACAAGCTTCAAATGTACTTGTCTTTCATTCTTCCTTTTCCCCACCTTACTCTCTCCAATAACCAAGCTCTATTAGTTCTCTACTGTTTCCTCCACTAACTGGCCTTTACAATGGTCTGTCCTATTTTCACCAATACTTCCTCAAACCAGGCTCTCAATATCTCACACCTTGACTATGCTGAAAATATCTTAATAGTATCCTGCTTCCAATTTGGGTCCTCTCCAATTCATTGCTTTTGTTGACACCAAGTAGATCTTTCTTAAGTGCTGCTTTAAACTTGTTACTCCTCTGCATAACCACAAAGACAGCCACTATTGATAAGACAAAGAATAAAGTTCCCATGTCATAGCTCAGGGCCAAAGTAGAGGCCCCAGACTTCTTGTAGGTGCACCTTCCATTATTTCTCAACACAAGCCCTTTTCTCCAGGTGGATGGTTCCACTTCCACAAACTGTGAGAGATCCAGTGGCTATATACCCTGCCTGAAGCACCTTCTTTTCTTTCCATATATTCTCTGTAAGTCCCATGAAGCTCTGAAGCCACCATTGCCCAAGAGATTCTCTTGGCTTGAGCAACCTACTGGGTGTTCATTGAAAATCAACTGTGCAACAAATGGCTGCAGGACTGCCATGCCACTATTGAGTCTGTCAAGTTGTCTTTTAGTTTCCTCAAATAGATTTTAAGCTTTGTGAAAAATGGGGCCTTCAAGTAACACTTATTAAGTACCTGCTGTGTGCAGGGTCCTGCTTGAAGTGCCTCAAAAAATAGGGGTAGATTATACATTTTGGGCATTTAATGACAACAAATATGGTACTGTGCATATCATGGCTGTCCAATGCACATCCTGAGTGAATGGATTTCCATTATTTTTATACTGTAAAACTATAATTTTAGACTTCCACTGCCAAAATTAAGTTCCACAAATGCCTTTTTCTTTGTATGGTAGGGAAACTATGGTGAAGAAAAATGAAATATCATATTAAATCAATGCATTTTGTAATAAAATTAGTATCATAATGCCCATTTCTGCTTTCTAGTCTGCTGTTCTAACTGCCAAGCCCTTCCATGTGTCTTCAAGAGAATGTTGGAGACAATATATTTCTCATTTAAGAAATGAGAAGGCTGAGCACGGTGGCTCACGCCTGTAATCCCAGCACTTTGGGAGGCCGAGGTGGGTGGATCATGAGGTCAGACTGACACCATCCTGGCTAACGCGGTGAAACTCTGTCTCTACTAAAAATACAAAACATTAGCCGGGTGTGGTGGCATGCGCCTGTAGTCCCAGCTACTCAGGAGGCTAAGGCAGGAGAATCACTTAAACACAGGAGGTGGAGGTTGCAGTGAGCCAAGATTGTGCCACTGCACTCCAGCGTGGGTGACAGAGCAAGACTCCGTCTCAAAAAAAAAAAAAAAAGAAAAGAGAAATGGTACATTACTCCAGCCCACTTACCACGTGACCCAAAATGCTGTTAGTTTTGAGTGGCGCCTAGAATAAAAGAAGATTCTGCAACAGGTCCAGGCTGCTATGCAAGCTGCCCCTCCACTTGGGCCATGGAATCTAGTAGATCTAATGGTGCTCGAAGTGTCCATGGAAGATGGGGATGCTGTTTGGAGCCTTCTTCAGGCCCCCATAGGTTAATTGCAGCTTAGACTGTTAGAATTTTGGAACAAGGCCCCACCACCATCCACAGCTAACTACTTTTCTTTCAAGAAACAGCTTTTGGCCTGTTATTAGGCCTCGGTAGAAACTGAACACTTGACCAGGGGCTGAGTTACCCTGTCACCTGAGATGCCCATCATGAACTGGCATTTGTCTGACCCTCCACATCACAAAGATGGGTGCATACAGCAGCACTTCATCATCAAGTGGAAGTGGCATACATGTGATTGGGCCCAAGCAGGACCTGAAGGCACAAGTTATAAGAAGTGGCTCAAATGCCCTTGGACCCCACTCCTGCTACATTGCCTTCTCTCTCCCAGCCTGCACCTATGGCCTCAGAGGGAGTGACCTATGATCAGTTGACAGAGAAAGACTCAGGCCTGGTTTACAGATGGTTCTGCATAATACGCACTTCTCTGCTAGTTCTTCCACTAACTAGCCTTTACAACTGTCTGTCCTCTTCCCATTGCTATGTCCCCAAACCAGGCTCTCAATGTCTTACACCACCACCCAAAAGTTAACAGCTATAGCACTACTACTCCTTTCTGGAACATCCCTGAAGGAGAGTGATGAAGGGAATTCCTCCCAGTGGATAGAACACCAGGAAATGCACCTGGCTGTTCATTTGGCTTAGAAGGAGAAATGGCCAGATATGTAATTATATACTGATTAATGGGCTTTAGCCAATGGTTTGGCTGGATGGTCAGGGATTTAGAAGGAACATGATTAGAAAATTGGTGACAAGGACATTTCAGGAAGAGGTATGTGGATAAACCTCTCTGGGTAAAATATATGAAGATATTTCTTTCATGTGAATGTTCACCAAATGGTAAACTTAGCAGAGGAGAATTTTAATAACTAAGTGGATAGGATGATCTGCTCTATGGATACAAGTCAACCTCTTTCCCCAACCACCCTTGTCACCACCTAACTGGCCATGGTGGCAGGGATGGAGGTTACACATGGGCTCAGCAGTGTGGACTTCCACTTACCAAGGCTGACCTGGCTGCAACCACTGCTGAGGGCCCAATCGGCTGCAGCAGAGACCAACACTGAGCTCCCAACATGGGACCATTCTCCACAGTGATCAGCCAGTTCTTACTGGTAGATTGATTATATTGAACTACTTCTACCATGAAAGGAACATCATTTTGCTCTTACTGGAAGAGACACATACTTTGGACATGGATTTACCCTCCCTGCATACAATGTTTCTGCCAAAACTACCATTTGAAGACTTACAGAATGCCTTATCCTGATAATGGTATTCCACTCAGCATTGCTCCCAATCTGGGAATTCACTTCACTGCAAAAGAAGTGCAGCAACAGGCCCATGTTCATGGAATTCACATCTTACCACATTGCCCACCATCCTGAAGCAGCTGTCTTCCTAGAACAGTGGAATTGCCTTTTAAATACTCACAGTACCAGCTAGGTGGCAATACCTTGCAGGGCTGGCACAAAGTTCTCCAGGAGGCTGTATATGCTGTGAGTCAATGTCAAACATATCGTGCTCCCATAGCCCATATATTGGATCTCACGGCCAAAATTCATGGGTCCAGGAATAAAGGAAATGGGAGTGGCACCACTTACTGCTACCCTTAATGAACCACTAGCAAATTTTTGCTTCTTGTTCCTGCAACTTTATCCTCTGCTGGCCTAGAGGTCTTTGCTCCAAAGGAAATATGAACCATTTTCACTCACAACACTTCTGACACCAAATGTGTGTGGGGATTCTCCCACTCCAAATAATTCTCCAACCAGCTGAGTGTTCAATAATTCAATTCAATTCTGACACTATCTACCTGGAGTTAGTGTTAGATTCCACAAGTTAAAAGGCTCAGTTCCCTAAGACTGCCCCCACTTTAGACACCAATCACAAGTCCTTGCTCTCCCATACTTGTTATCACCTGGCTATAAATGGGGGAGAGGGTCCCTAGACTCACTCCTCAGGTTTAATGATTTGGTAGAATGTCTCACAGAACTCAGGAAGGCCTTTTACTCACTATCATTGAATTATTATTAAGGATACAACACAGGAACAGCCAAATAAAAGAGATGCATAGGGCAAGGTATGGGGTGAAGGGTTGTGGCAGACTGCCACAGTTACTACTTGAGACTGTCACTATGAGACTGCAAGAAGGAGGACGAACGCAGAAATGAAACTATTTTAAAGAAGGGGGCCAAGGGAACAAGAGGGCTCTCTGCTTCTAGTGAGCAAAGGCAGCAGCCGGCTGAGCCTCTACAGCCCTTCATATTTATTGGGTAGAAAGAACAGGGAGCAGGAGGTAATGAATGGTCAGCTGCTTAATTGGTCACAGGTTCACATTATTGCTAACAGGCTTCAGATGTGCCTAATTACAAGAAACACTTGTGCCTGTGTCGTGACTGCCCTCAGCATTCCTTCTGGGTGGCAGACGCAGTTTGTCAGTTTGCCAACATCCTGCTTTCATGAGAAACAGTTTGCTGTTTACTCATATAGCTTCCAGTGATATACTGAGTTGATCACGACCCTCATTCTTTTGGCCTTCAACATCTCCCTTCTTCTGTTTTTGAATTAATTGAGAAAGGCAATTGCAAAATGTGCAGCCTTCAATTGCCGGTTGGTGGTTCATTCTGGCTTTGCATTCAGCTGGTGCTGAGGGAACCAGGCCCATGGCTGGGATCCATGAGTCCCTCCAGTCTCCTGTTCCTGTATCCATAAGCCCACAAAACTTACTTCCTTCAATTTACACTGCACAAGTGGGTCTATTAGATGCTATGGGTTGTGACAGATAAATTTCCCTCCTAGTTGTACTTCCAAATCCCTGATTCCCTCGTTTCTCCTTCTGTGGAGAAAGGTGTAATTTACAGGGAATAAGCAACAGTTGAGCAATATATTCTCCCTGGTTCAAAAACCCAAAGATCTTGTAACATTACCACTAACTGAATTTCTCCTTCACAATCGGAATCAACAACTCGTGGGACTACAGTAATGTCCTGTATGTTAAGATGACTTTTATCCAGAATTAATGCCATGTATCCTGTTGGCAAAGGTCCCCAAATACCAGTGGGAATCTTAGTGAATTTGTTTCCTCCAATTAATGTAACCCATTCTGTGACTGGGAGATCTAATCCTGCGCTTCCAGGTGTTCCTAAGCCTTTTGTACATCTCACAGGTGCCAGTGCACGTTTACAATCTGTTTGCATTCCCAAAAGCCAAAGCCAAAGCTAGCATTTCTGCAGCCACAAAAGAAGATGGTACAAGCCAATTTTCATCCTCCTTCTCCTGTTTACCACTTTTGATAGGTGCTGTAGGTGGGGCAAAAAATTCTCTCAAACCCTGAAATAATAGCAAAAAGACAGTACAAACCAAACTTCAAACAAAAAAAAGAAAAGAAATAGCCAAATTCTTCCCCATGTTACCCTGATTTAAAAACTTCCCATTTTTTATACCTCTAGGGCACTGACCAGTACCTTTTTAGAGCACTGACCTTATATTGCTGCCAGCACACTTGTAACGGGGTTTCTCGTTTGTCTGGTTGGTTTTAGTTTTTTTCTGGGCTTTTAGTTTCTTCTACTCCAGCAGACCTTCCTCTTTCAAGTCCCTATAGGACCCTATCTTTCCCTGTCTGTCCCTGCAAGTTTCTGCTAGCTTCTGCTAGTCTCTGCTAGTCTCTGCTAGTCTTTGCTAGTCTTTATCCTTATCTGCCCCTGTCTGTCCCTATGGTCCCTGTTGGTTCCTGTAAGTTCCTGCAAGTCTCTATCTTTCCCTACCTATCTCTGTTTGTCTCTATTTATCCCTACTTATCTCTATTTGTCCCTTTGTCCCTGCAGGCCTCTTCAGGTCCCTTCAGGTCTCTGTTTGTCCCTGATTGTCCCTGTTCCAGCGCCACTTGTGGCAGGCTGCCTCGGTTACTACTTGAGACCATCACTACGAGACTGAACAAAGGAGGACAAACACAGAAATGAAAACTTAACACAAAAGGAACTATTTTAAAGAAAGCAGCCAGGGGAAGAAGAAGAGGGCTCCCTGCTTCTAGTGAGCAAAGGCAGCAGCCGGCTGAGCCTCTATAGCCCTTCATATTTATTGGGTAGAAAGAGCAAGGAGCAGGAGGTAATGAATGGTCAGCTGCTTAATTGATCACAGGTTCACATTATTGCTAACAGGCTTCAGCTGTGCCTAATTACAAGAAATACTTGTGCCTGGGTCATGACTGCCCTCAGCATTCCTTCTGGGTGGCAGATGCAGTTTGTCAATTTGCCAACATCCTGCTTTCATGAGAAACAGTTTGCTGTTTACTCATATAGCTTCCAGTGGTATACTGAGTTGATCACGATCCTCATTCTTTCGGCCTTCAACAAAGGGTGCATGGAGTTGCATGCCATTTTTGTACCTCCCAGAACCCCAAGTGTTAACCAACCCTGAAATTCTCTAAACTTTATAGATTAGGGGGTTTTATGGTGGTCTGTTTATGTAGACATGACTGACTAAATCACTGGCCATTGGTGAGTAACTCAGTTTTTAGTGATTATCTCAATCTCAAATCTCTTTCTTTCAAACCTCTAGTCATGCCTTGGTCTTTCTAGCAAGCAGCCCTCATTCCAAAGCTATCTAGAAGTTCTCAGCCACCAGCCATCTTATTTGCATACAAAAGACATTCATCAACATATATGGTATGGTACATATCATAGCTGTCAATACACATCTTGAGTGAATTGATTTTTGTAATTTTTATATTGTAAAACTATAATTTTATAATTTAACCATCAAAACTAAATTCCATAAATGTCTTTTTAGAGTAGGGAAACTATGGTAAACAAAGATGAAACACCTTATTACCCAATGCATTTGGTAGCAAAATTAGTGTCATAATGCCAATTTCTGTTTTCTAGTCTGCTGCTCTAACTGCCAAGCCCTTCTATATCTTCTCAAGAGGATTTTGAATGCAATATGTTTCTCATTTGGGTAGATTACTTCCTGTCTTATTTTCCTTCATAGCACGTAACACTGTCTATTCTGTGTAGACATTCTATATGTTACCACTATGGTCTGAATGTGTCCTCCATAAAGCATTTGTTGGAAACTTAATATCCAGTGCAACAGTGTTGAGAGGTGGGACCTGATGGGAGGTGTTTAGGTCATGAGGGCTCCATCCTCATGAATAGATTAATGCTGACTCTAAAAGGGCTTGAGACTGCAAGTCTGATCTCTTGCTGTCTGTTTTCCCTTCTGCCATGGGGTGACACAGCAAGGAGGCCCTCATCAGATACAACTCGATCTTGGATTTCTCAGCCCCACCAAATCATGACCCAAATACATTTTATTATAAATTATCCAGTCTGTGGTATTCTGTTATAGGAACACAAAGTGGACAAAGACATTTACTTATTTACCATTTTATTGTCTGTTTCCTCCAACTAAAATGAAAGCATAGGTGGTACAGGGCAGATATTTATATCTGTTGTGCTCATTGGTATATTCCCAGAGTCTAAGACAATGCCTGAAAGAGAAGGCACTCAACGAGTATTTGTTGGATAATAAATAGTAGGTGTTTGATATATCATCTATTAATTAGTGAATAAATGAATGAATAGCATAGTACATGGAATTTAGTTTTCCAGAGATATCATGTGCATTTCACAGTAATCTTCCCTCTTAAATAGAAGCTATAGGTGCTATTTAACTCTTTATGACTCTGGATCATTGATATAACCTAAGTCACTGCAAAGTAATGCCTTCACTGCCTATCAAAGCTTTTAAAACTGGCTATTCCTCAAGCATATTTTGTGTGTGCAGTCATTTCTCTCTACCACTCCTCACTGCTTTCTTTGTAGTTATTTTGGTCAAGTCCTTTTCTAATTTGCATGTTCAAACTCAGGCTTATTAAGCTCCTTAGAAATTAATCTGTTGCCTTTGATTGACAACTAAGGGATTTTCTTATAACTCAAATTCTATTATTTGAGTACTCAAACAGTTCTTAATGTACATTTTTGCTCCCCAGAAGTCACTCTGCCAACTTTCACATTTTACTGTGCAGTCAATTGAAGTAACAAAGCAAATGATTTCTGAAAGCCTGGGAAAATGGGCTATTAATGAAATTTTGGCTACTATATATGAATATATATATATTGGTATATATATATATGTATAAACTATGAATTGTGATGTACTTCACACGCAGAAAGCAAAAGTCTTTGTGTACATAAAAGGGAATGCAAAAATCTGGATTTTATGATCACTAAATTACTTTTCAAAGAAAAGTATATACTAAAATCCCCTAAAAATTCTTCAGTTAAAAGACTCATTCATACTTATTAAATTCACTATTTGCCTTTTCCCAGATTCAAATGTAACATCAAAATTCACTGATTTACTTTTCAAAGGTCCGAATTATTTTAATTGCTTTTTAGAATATGATGCCCTTAGCTCAATCAAGTAGTATTAATTCCATCTCTCTGTGCAACTAACTTAATAACCCTTTTAGCCTGTGGATGCAGAAAGTAGTTCAGAGCTTTGAAGATTTGTAACCAGACCCCTTTAAGTCCCACAGATGACCTGATTAGGTTGATTAAAGTTCTCTGAACACCTTAGTCATTTTGCAGTGAGGCAGCTGCTGTATTACTCAGAGCAGTAATATGTGCCTGACCTAATTCTTCAAACTTTACACTGGGGTCAAGCCGCTTAAAGCCAAAAGAGTTTTTGTTGTTTTGTTTTGTTTTATTGTATCAATAGAAAAGTAAAACATAATGATTTAGGGAAAAAAAATTCACCTTTCAGGGCTGATTTCTATCTTTGGCATTCTGAATCACTTTTTCCTATATTGGTCCTCCAATTATGAGTTTCTTTTTTGCCATCTTCTCTCTGTCCTAATTCCTCAAGATAAGTTCTTCTCTTCTTGAAAAAAAAAAAAAAAGATGAGTTTACAGTCACTAGCTTTGAATCATGTCATAATATTATGGGCTAAATTGTGTCCCTCTCTCCTAAATTTTAGAAGTTGAATCCTAACCCCTAGGACCCCAGAATGTGACTGGATTTAGAAATAGAACCTTTAAAGAGGTAATTAAGGTAACATGGGCTCCTATAGGTGGGCCCTAATCCAATATGGTGGTATCCCTATTGAAGGAGATTATAAGAGATATGTGGGCACACAGAGGAAAGACCATCTGAAGACACAGGGAGAAGGCAACCATTTGCAAGCCAAGGGGAGAGGCCTTAAAAGAAGCCAAACTTAATGACACTTTGATCTTGAACTTCTACCTTCCATAATTATGAAAAAGTAAATTGTTGTTTAAGCCACTGACTCTGTGGTGCTTTGTTATAGGAGTCCTAACAAACTAATAATGCAGCTTTGCCACTTCCTAAGCATATGACTTCTCTGTAACGGTGAAATCTACGTCTACTTTGAAGAATTTGGAGAATTAAGCAAAACATACGAAGTTCTCAATTTTCCTACATAATGCATTGCTGAAAATTTTCAAATTGGTTAAACTTGAACATCACGATTATGTATTCAGTAAATGGGACTCCATGTTCAGTGTGCTATAAAAAAATTCCTAATTTCATCCAATTCTAAATATAATCTTTGACCATTGATTTTTAGAGTTTTGCACATGTTCTATAATTTTGTTCTTTGCTTTGACAATTAAACCACAGTCGACTGGCTTAAGATCAATGAATGTCCAATTAAGGATAAATTGTCCCAATTTTTGGCACCCTGATGCTTTCCAACTTTTTCTAAATTGAATTAAATGCATGAGACCACATTACTCATTATTAAAATCAGTACTCTTATACTTTCATTTTTTCCTTTCCATGCATATTATAAAATAAGTACAAAAGTATGAAAAAATCCAAATTATTAAATAAACCACTGCTACAAAGATTAAAATGGAGGATGCTGCCAGAATTGAACTATCAGCCGAGAGGCAACTCTACCAGGCTAAAAAAAAAAAAATGAATTCGTTATTTCAGGTCCACAGGTCTAAATTCAACCTGGAAAAGATGATGAAGGAGGTCAAATGTATAACAGTACAGTTGTGGTTTATGTGCAAGCAATGACTCTGTTAGCTGAGTGCCTTGTTCTCAATAAGCAGTAGCTATTATGATTCTTATTGTTGTTGGTTTTGTTATAATTGCTGATGTTAATATCTAAATGTATTCTAATTGTGTCATATGTCTAAGTAGATTGGTCTAAATAGATTGCAAGGACTTGCAGTCTACCAACAAACATCCATCAAGCACTGACTTTGTGCCAGGCATAGGACTAGAAGGTAGTGATGTGAGCCCCTGAGTCGCTCACATTCTAATGGATGAGGCACACACATGAGCAGATCAACCCCAGTGTAGTGTGGCAAATGAGACAAGGCAAATGAGACAACCAAGGTGTGTATAGAGTCTTCAACCACAACCCAACTGTCTCTCTTTTATGGGGAAGGGCCACAAGAGTAGAATCAGGGGGGACATCAAGAAGGATCTTAAAACCTGCACAGGAGAGAGGTACTATTGAATACTCCTCTGCCATCACAGTAACAGGCAAATAATATGTGCTTCAGTGATCATTTGTTCTGTGACCAACATGTTTGTTGTCCATTTTGTACTCTTCTCTTGGTCGCTGCTTATCAATGGTCTTTCAATAATTCTGCTCATAATTATGTTAAGGCATTCATATGCTGTACTTTATTTCTTTCAATCCAAAGACATTGAATATAAGATACACTCTGTTAAGTTTCAGCTGAAAAAAAGCAAAGCTCAGAACTGTCGTGTAGTCTGATAAAGCTTATGTAGCTGGGATGTGGTTAAACCTGCTATAGTCTGAATGTTTGTGTCCCCTCAAAATTCCTATGCTGAAACCCAATCCCTAGTGTGATAGTATTAGGAGGTAGATAGTATTGGGAGGTGATAAAGTCATGAGGGTGGAGACCTCATGAATGGGATTAGTGCTTTTATCAGACTGTAAAGAGACCAGAGTTCTCCTCTTCCACCACATGTGGATTCAGCAAGAAGATGCTGTTTATGAATCATGAAATGGGCCCTCACTAGACCTCAAATCTGCCAGCACTTTGATCTTGGACTTCCCAGCCTCCAGAACTGTGAGACATAAACTTTTATGCCATAGCCACCCAGTCTATGGCATTTTGTTGTATTAATAGCAGCCCAGATGAACTGGTACTACCTAGATATTCTGACCTCCTTCCAGAAAGTCACCAGATGACTAGTGCACGGTGCTTGCTCTTATACTGCGTTACCCTGTGCTATTGTGAAACAACTGTCCTTGTCCTTTATAAAATGTAGGTCTGTAAAAGGGATCACAACAGCCACTGCTATTCGCAAATTATCGAGACCACCCAAATTAATAAGTCATATTAATCACAGACTCACCCAATATGATGACAAAGGGAATCTTAAAAACCATCTAGTTAAACTCTCCATATTTGACTGATAAGGAAACCAACGCCAAAGAATAAATAACATGCCCAAGGTCACCTAGGAAATAGGCTGGAGAGCTAGGGCTGAAACACCAGCTGCCATCCTTCTGTACTGCTAATAATTAGGTAACTTAGGTAACTATCAATTAGATCTTTGAGGAACAATATGTGTGGCAGTTTAGAAAAGAGACCCCACAGCCAGAGACCCTCTGATTAGAATCTGCTCCACAACACATACCAGCTGTCACTTAAACTTTCTGGACCTTAGTTTCTTGTCTGTAAAATGGGAATAATAATCATATCAACTCAGAGAGTTAAATGAGATAACATGGCTGAAGCACTTCGAGTCATACCTAACAGAGTAAGTATTCAATGAAAGGAAGATGGCATGCTTATCTTCACTACTCATGCTACAGACACTAGGTAGATACTATTGTAAAAGCTATGTTATGGTCAAAATGCTAGAAATGTTGATTTGCCAGTCCCAGTGCAGGATTGTGCAAGAGAATTTCACAGGCCACAGAGGGCTGCCTACCGTGGCCACCTTTGAGGTTACTACTCCAATCTAGAACACCTAAAGATAGAAATTTGCAAAATCCTGGGAAATGCCTCATGTTCAAAACAGAGTAGTCTACTATGCAAGCCAATATCTCTCTTCTATGGATATTGGTCATTAAAACCTTTCTAACTTAATATCTATGGACTATTAAATCTAAATATTTTTAACAGCATTAAGCACCCTGGATTGCTGTGTATAAATCTACTCCATTTTTACCAGTTAAAACGTTCCGCACTAGACACATTTTTGCTAGTACATTAGAACCACACAGTTAGTACCTTTTTTTTCCCCTGAGAGAAAGAGTCTACATTTCTGACACTGCTAGAGGAAACAAAGCTACTTTGTTATTAAACTACCATTGTTTTTAGTTCCTTTGTCCACAAAACCATAATGAGACACATACAGAGTATCCACATTTAGATCTGGTGTGCTAACAGAATGCTTTCTTTCGGGGAAAAAAAGTATATATAAAGAAAATTACTGTACAAATAAACATGTCCACCTGTTGACAGTGCTGGTAACCACTGGGCAATATACTTTGTCTCTCTGAGACTTTGTCACAGAAACCACTATATCTAAGGTGACTTCTAAAGAAGGTACGCATTTCTCATGACCTTCTCAGATGGACAAATCTGCATTGAATGAGTTAGAAAGACAAGAATAATTTGCTCAGAAATCATAGACGTTATAAGTGAAGTTACTACGCTTTTTAATTCAGAAATTTGGCACAAGAGACCAAATAAGCATTTAGAGAATTTTATAGAAAGAAAAATCTCTAGCAGTGATTAGGTTCAGCTAAGTGGAAGCTCAGTTTCTCAGTATAAAGGTAGCAAAGCTGGGAAACCCCAATATATATTCAACGGCTAAATCATTCCTGACTCTTGACCATGAATCCCACAACTCCCTGTTTTGTTTTTACTTGCATGAATCACTGGTGCAATGCCTCATTAATTTGCAAAAGTAAGGATTTTTTTTAAGTGACATACTCTATACTTTTAAATTCTATATACACATTACATATTAGGTGAAAAGATTAGAGGTTACAAAACCATTCCTGATTTGATTGCTTTAGGTAAAAATAAATTTAAAAAATATAAAAAGTAAAATTCAGGAAGAAAATTATTAATAAACAGAAATAAATTCAATTATTTCTTCCCTCTTTTGTTTGGTAAAATAGTAGATTGGGCCTCCCTTCTCTCTGAGTCCTTAGAATATACACATGCTCATACATCTACAAGAGTTTTTCAAATAGAGTAGTCCCCTGTTACTCACAGGGGATACGTACCAAGACCCCCAGTGGAGTCTAAAACCACAAATAGTAGTGAACCCTATATATACTAGGTTTTTTTTTTCTGTACATACATACCTGTGATGAAGTTAATTTACAAATTAGGTACAGTAAGAGATTAACAATAACAACTAATAATAAAATAGAGCAATATACTCTAACAAAAGTTACGTGAATGTGGTCTCTTTCTCTTCTCTCAAAATATTTTATTCTACTATACTCACTTATTTTAGGACTCTGGTTGATTGCAGGTAATTGAAAGCTTGGAAAGCAAAACCCTGGATAAGAGGGACCTACTGCTCACAGTCTCTCCAGGGACCTTATGTCAAATCTGAGAGGGGAGAAGAAATGTATGAAGACAGAACCATTTTATGGAGCATGGGGCTCTGCCAGGCGCAGCTATAGATGTTATCACATCCATCTTCTCAGCCACCCTGTGAAGGAGTTATCAGCAGGCCCATGCAGACAAAGAAATTGAGGAAGATTCAGTGATTCGCTCCAGGTCAGCAGCTGGTAAGTGTAGAGTCAGTACTAAAGCAGGGTCTGTGGGGATATTGTCACACCAAAGGGTTAGGGCCTGGAAGACCTGGATATACCCCCGACCTGCTACCACCTCAGGTCTGGGAAAGATCACACTTTAAGCTTTTTTTTTCCTTTTTTTTTTTTTAACTGCAATGAGACAGAAATTTCAGAAGAGGAAAAGAATCTGGAAACAGAATCTCTGAATCTCTGACCGTCTAATGCTGCAGGTTTTGGAAGGCTGCCAACGTGCTCAAGGAGCCATGGAGAAAATAAGTGCTGTCCCTTCAAAGAAACGTCTTTCAGAAAGGAAAAAAAAAAAAAAAAAAAAAAAATCCCATGAACGGCCTTCTTTCTCTAGAAGACTGGAGGGATTTTTCCCTCAGGTCAATGACCATCACATAACTGATCATATTTTCGTTTTTGTTTTGGCCCGTGGCAAGCATAGAATCAAATTTACAGCTCAATTTTATTAACCTCATAGGACACTCTAGTCTAAATATTTATTCTAGCTTTTGACATGGCCTTTCCTTTTTATGTTTATATATTCCTAGGTACCAATTTTCAACTGTTTTATACTGTACTAGCTTGTAGATTATGTATGCTTGCTGACAAACTCAGTTCCTATGTAACCAATAGACAAAATAAATAATTACTTCAATAAATAAATAATTTGGTCACTCTCTTTAGTACCTGATACAGTTGTTAGTCTATATTAGTTTTTATTAACTATTCAATATATTTACTTCACATTACAAGTTTTACTAATTGTATTCAAGTTATTTTCTTATTCAGACAAAACACAATTGTCAAGTATACACCATATGCCAGGCACTGAGCTATGGGTTGGGCTTCCAAGGGAAGCAGCACACACACGGCCTTTGCTTTCAGGAAAACAATGTTCTTGTCTCACATACAGAAAAATAAGTGCTGTTGCTATCTGTGATAAGTGCAAGGATGAACTACAGGGAGCCCATAACAAATAGACTTGAGCTAAACCCAAGGGTGGGCAGGATTTCCCCAGGCATGTAGCGTCTGAACTAAGCTCCAGCAGCATTATGTAAGAGAAGAGGGGAGTGGAGCAAGATTGGAGTTGCGGGTGCATTTCAAGCAGAGAAAACATGTGCAAGGACCTAAGGGTAGACAGGAAGGTGGCTTCCTTCAAACCCAAAAGAAGGCAAGTATGTCCAGAACTTGGAGACCCAGGGAAGGAATTGGCCTTACGGTTGACAGACAAGCCGTGTTAAAGATTTTGGTCTTTGTCTTAAGAACAATGATGAGGATATTAAATGACTTGCTCGAAGTAATCTATCCAGTAAATAAAGATGGGTATAGAGAATATAAATAAAACAAAATGTTAACATCTTCTAACCAGTAATCAATGCTAAGGGGAAATCTAAAATAATCATTGCGTTAGCACTTTCGCATATAGGATGTCATCAAAATCTCACAAGAATTCTATTTAAATAGTTATTACTAAATGTATCATTACATCTCCTAGGTTACAGATGAGAAAACTGATGCTCAGGAGAGTTAAGTGATTTGCTTTGAGATTACAGTCAGAAAGGTGGTAAAACTGGGACGAGAAATCGCAGCTAGTTAATTGAAATCTTACATTCTCTCCATGAAGCATGCCCCACGTGGTGGTTAGCTGGTCCTTTAAATTCACTTTCAGAACTGGGTACCAGGGAACAAATCGGCAGATGCAAACCTGTCTGTAAAACTGACCTTGAGGTCCATTCTTGAGGCATGTAATTGACAGCAGAGGAGAATATATGAGGCAGAGTTTGTAAGTTATTCTAATAAATGGAAAGTCATTATCTAGATTATTCATGCACATGCATGATCAATCTTGGATTTTTACAAGGGAAAGAAAACAAAACATATTTCACCATTGAAAGGTAATTTGAAATTTGTAACACTTAAGATATTAAAAACCTAGATGACCCTTACCTTTACATGCTTTGATTTTAAGAAGCTAGAATTCAGGTAGAATTGAATGTTGTTATTTCCATCCCTAATGAGGGGGAAATAAAAATTTGAAGAGGATCTGAAGAAACTGTTCCATTTGTTACATAAACAGTGTTCTTTGCTGTTGTTTTTGCCAAAAACAAACTTTTTGCCATTTTGGTTGAAATGGTACTCATGCCAACAAAGAAGAAAATCTCATGAGAAAAAAAAGGAGCCATAGAAGAGAGGCAAACTCCCTGGAAAGTCATTCGGCTCCAGGGGCAGAGCAATCTCATCAGGTCCTCAGCAGCAAACGCTCTTGAATTGCCCTCAGGAGTGCTGCCATTCCCAGGACCCCACAGTCCTTCTGCGAGTCATCTTCCTTCTATTCACAATGTGGCAGCATTTGTTAGGAATCCCCTGGTTGTCATAGAATAGGAGCATGAGCTTGGACAGGGTCTCTGTCTTCTTAGCTGTGAGAATTCACTAAATCTCTGTCACATCCCAATCCCTCTCCTCCCCTGACTATCCACTTTCTCCTCTCCTCTGTGTCATTTCCCTACATGACACCTCTGCTTGCTAACACTTGTGGGTGATCATTGCTTTGGTTCATTCACAACCCCTATAGGCCTCTGTGATCTTAGGGCCTCAGTGCACCCGAGTTCTTGCCATGTGAGTTTTGGTGGCTGCCCCTCCCTCTGTGTTCCTCCATCTGTATTCCTCAGTACATATTCACAAGAGAAAACCTGATTGCTCTCATTAATGACCCCTGTTCCAGTTTTGGTATAGCTGCTTCTATGAGGCCACTTTGTGGACTGCCGGCATGGGCCACCCTTGGCCCAGGCAATCACCACTCTCTTGGTAAGATGGAGCTGAGAGAGGTCACATGGAGAATCACTTGGTACCAATGTGAGAGCAAGCTCTGTGATCTGACCACTTGGGTTCAAATCCCGGCTCTGCCAATTACCACTGTGGGACTTTGGGCAGATTCCTCAATGTCCTCTCTAAAAAAGGAGGGTAACTGTAACACATACCTCACTGGGCTGTGAAGATTAAATGAAACAACACACGAAAAGAATTTAGGGCTGTATTTAGTACTAATAAGGACTCCATAAGAGTTAGCTATTATTATGCACATCCATGTAGCCGTGAGCATACTAATTGCCCTTGACTGGGAACTGAAGGCCCAGAGGAACCCATCAATAATTTGTTCAGTCACAAGTGTGAATTTCATCAGCTTCAGCTCTGCCTGTCAAAGCTCACTAACAAGGTCTTGGATTTTTGGATTTTTTTCCTCTCTAAATTATTTTCACCTCACCAGTTTCCATCTGAAAAATTAATATACACAAGTGTGGGGAACTTCTGGAATAGGCTATCGAAAATCCACTTCTTTGTTGGAGCAAGTGAAGTATTATGGTTGAGTTTAGACAGCTTTTTGTGGTTGTTTAGGTGAAGACTTTCACGTTTCTGTGTGTATTTAAGAAGAATTTCCTCATCACTGCAGGACCTGTTAAGATCTAGAGGAATTATCTGGCAGGCTGGAAAATTAGCTTATTTAAATCTGGTTTAATCAAGCCAAATAAGTCATAGGAGAAGAACTAACTAAATTTTCATATTTAAATCCGCACGTTTAACTGTTATGTGACAATACAGAAACAGCTTTAGTCCAAGGTGGCATAATCTCTGACCCCACCTGAACTGATCTGTCTATGAAATGGCTGTTACAGCCTAATCCTGAGATGACGTGAAGTCACCACATCCCCACTGTGCAACCCTGGGGAGCACCATTCACACCATATTCTAGAATACCTTGAAAAAGCCCTATCCGAAGTCTAGACCTTCCAGAAAATCTCATCAGAGTAGGATGAAGAAAAGACTACAGATGTTGAAAAGTTTCCAAATTCACAGACTGATATTTGTTCCGTGGTTGCAGCATCGTTATCTGTCATTAACATAAAACTCAGAAAACCGTAAATTGGACCGTGTTACCTCCCATTTTCAATCCCTCTAATAGCACAGAACAAGAGCACTTCAGTGTGTATGAGTGCTGCTGCCTCTCTCTGCAGCCTCATCTCATGACAGCTTCCTCAACCCTGCCCTGGCTCAAAACACTTCAGCTCCTTTGCCTCCTTTCTGAGCCCAGCACATGCCAAGGTCTCTCCCAGCTTATGGGGCCCAGGCCCACATGAGCCCCCTCTCTCATCACCTACCTGAGACTGCTCCTGCAGCCCCAACCCAGCATTTCCAATCTCAGCACACTATTTGTTTCCCACATAGCACTTATGGCTTTTAATTATTCTATTCAAGATCTCACTTGAATTCTGAGATCTCTGCTCTTCAACTAAAGCTGCATGAAAGTGGGAACTACCTCTATTTTACTTACCATTAGGGCTCCAATATTTAGCAAAGTGTCTGGCCCACAGGAGGTACTCAATAAATATTTTTTGAATGAATTAAGGAAAGGAGGGAAACCTAAGGGCAATTCACATGCTGCAGAGGAAGAAATAAGTGTCTTGTCCCTTAATGCAAGTAGATGGACAAAAGCTGAGAGAAAATACAGCAGACTAAAAACTTCTGTCCACACAAAAACCTGCACACAAATGTTTATATTAATGATGCAGGATTTTTTGCTCCTTAGTTCAGCTAAAATCCGGGTTCTTGTCACATGACCAGGAAAATTTAGGCACATGGACATATTGAAAGGTAAGGAGAGTGGAATTTATTAAAAGAAAACTCTCAGTGAAAAAAAGGGGTCCTACCAACAGGCTCCCAGCTCACAAATTGAGTACCAAGCCACCACACAGGAGCTGAAGAGGCCAGGCTCCTCCCTCTGCATAAGGTGTGAACTCCCAATGGCTCCGCTGCACTCTCCCAGTGTGCAGGCGGGCTCTTAATCTGAGCCGCTCCACATTGATTTATTTCCCTTACTGCGCATGTGTTAAGGAAGGGACGGAACTTTTCAGCATGGGCATATTTAGGCAAGCCCCCTGTGCACAATGACCTGGGTGGCATTTGACTGTCTCCTGTCTCTGTCAATAACATTATTCATAATCGTCAAAAACTGCAAACAACCAATAAATCCTTCAATAGGCGAATGAATAAACAAACTATGCTACATCTGTACAATGAAATACCATTCTAGCCATTAAAAGAAAGAAGCTATCAAGCCACAAAAATAAAGGAGGAACTCTGGATATATATTCAGAGTGAAAGAAACATCTGAAAAGGCTACATAATGTTTGATTCCAATGTATTTGTTTCTGAGGGCTGCCTCAACAAATTACCACATACCAAGTGGCTTACAACAATAGAAATGTAATCTCTAGCAGCTCTGGAGGCTGAAAGTCCAAAAATAAAGATGACGGCCAGACTATGCTCTCTTGAAGGCTCAGGGGAGAAACTGTCCATGCCTTTCTGTTAGAATCTGGAGTTGCCGGCAATCCTTGGCATTCCTTGGCTTGAAGCTGCATAACTCCAACCTCTACCTCCATTATTACATAGTGTTCTTCCTGTGTCTGCATCTGTGTCCAAATTTTTCTCTTCTTATAAGAAAACCATTCATATTGGATTAAGGGCCTACTCTACTTCAGTGTGACCTCATCTTAAATAATTGCATGTGCAATTCCCCAGTAGAATCTTGTTTCAGGGTACTAGAGGTTAGAATTTCAACATATCTTTTTGGAGGTGTCTTGTTCACAATTCAGCTCATAACATTCAACTCTATGCCATTTTGGAAAATGCGAAATTATTGAGAGAGTAAAAAGGATTCGCAGTTGCCTGGAGATTAGGGGATGAGGAGGAGAGGGTGAATAGGTAAAGCACAGGAGATTTTTAGGGCATCGGACATACTCTTCTGTGTGATGCTACAATGGTGCATACATGGCAGCCTGCATTTTTCCAAATACTTAGAACCCTGCAACATAGTGAGTCAACCCTAATATAAACTATGGACTTTAGTTAATAAGAATGGATCAGTAGTGGTTTATAATTATAACAAATGTACCACACTAACGCAAGACATTAATCACAGGGAAAACTGGGATGGGGAAGTAATATAAGAACTCTTTCTTTCTGTTCAACTTTTTTGTAAGCCTAAAACAATTCTTGGCCGGGCACGGTGGCTCACGCCTGTAATCCCAACACTTTGGTAGGCTGAGGCGGGTGGATCATGAGGTCAGGAGACCGAGACCATCTTGGACAACATGGTGAAACCCCATCTCTACTAAAAATACAAAAATTAGCTGGGCATGGTGGTGGGTGCCTGTAATCCCAGTTACTCAGGAGGCTGAGGCAGGAGAATCGCTTGAACTCAGGAGGTGGAGGTTGCAGTGAGCCAGGATCATGCCACTGCACTCCAGCTTGGCGACAGAGTGAGACTCTGTCTCCAAAAAAAGAAAAAAAAATCATTAAAAATGAAGTCTATTAATAAAAAATGAAAAAAAAAACAGGCCACAGTTCAGATTTGGTTTCTTCTAAGAGTAGATGGTACAGTAGTCCCCCTTTATCTGTAGTTTTGAGATTTATGATTTCAGTTATTCTTGGTTAACTGTAGCTCAAGGAAAATACCAGAAATAAACAATTTATAAGTTTTAAATGCTGTGTCACAATGCCTACATTATTCATCTCACCTCTTACTACTTAGGCATTTCATCATCTCACATCATTAAAGAAGGGTAAGTAAAGAACAATAAAATATTTTGAGAGATCATATTCACATAACTTTTATGACAATATATCATTATAACTGTTCTATTTTGTTATTAGTTATTGCTTTTCATCTCTTAATGTGTCTATTTTACAAATTAAACTTTATCATAAGTATGTACATAATTAAAAAAAATATAGTACATATAGGGTTCAATACCATCCATGGTTTCAAGCATTCACTGGGGGTCTTGAAAGGTATTCCTCATGAATAAGGAGGGACTGCAGTATATAGTCTTGTCTTTCTGCAGTTTTAAGAAAGGCATTTATCCATAAAGTATTCTTTACTCCTTTCATGTAGTTTTTTCTTCTTTTCATTTGCCAATTATCATGACTACAAACCTCAATGTTCCAATTACTCTGTGGGAAGCTGTTAGATATCAAAAATTCTGTCCCAGAAACCAGTCTTGGATTTTAGTGCTCTTTCACCAAAGTTTAACATTCAAAGTTGCTGGTTTTCTTTGGTCTTGGCAAGTTGTGTGTCATGGAAAAAAATAAAAAATTTTTTAAAAACCCGACAGGACAAAGAGGACAAAGAGGACAAAGAGGACAAAGAGTCAGTAGTATGGAAATATAATCTACCATACATACCAGAACATTTTGGATAGTAAAAGGGGAAAAGGGGAGCTGTTAAGTGTAAAATAAACAGTCCCAGGAAGACTGGGACATGAAATCACCCAAACCAAAGAGTCCATATTGGAGCTCCAGCCCTGCTACATATCATTTGGCTATATCATTTATCCAAGTCCCATTTGCACAATGGAAGCCTGTAGGCTGAAATACTGTTCAGGGACACCAGACACTGATCTGTTTCTCTTTTTCTTCCCTGCTACAGATAAAGATAAAGCCTTCTTAGTTTCAAGGACAAAGAGATCCAGATGTTTGTAACAGTCCTTCACATAAGATAATATAAAGAATCTTCCAGAAAAGAGATGTAAGCCCTACATTTAAAGAGTGATGCTACTGTAAGAATTGAGCTTTCCAGTTCTAGCAAGACCATACCTGGCACAGTCAGGTGCCTGTTAGGGATGGGGGAGGGAGGCAACAGATATTTTGCTGAGATGTAAGTATTTGCTCTTGTTTTTGGTCCACATTCCATTTCATATTCTTAATGCACTGGGTTTAATAGTGTCTCCTAATAATCCATGCTTACCCAGAACCTCAGAATGTGACCTTATTTAGAAATAGGGTATTTGTAGATGTAATCAAATTAAGATGAGGTTATATTGGAAGTAGTGTGGGTCCTAATTTCAGTATCAATGGTATCCTTATAAGAAGAGAAGAGCCACAGACACACAGGGGACAAGCCTCCAAAAAGACGGAGGCAGAGATTGGAGTGACGTATCTACCAGCCAAGGAACCCAGGAATTGCTGGAAACCACCAGGGGCTAGGAGAGAGGCATGGAACTGATTCTTCTCAGAACCTGAAGAAGGAACTGACCCTGCCAACCCCTAGATTTCAGATTTTTGATTTCCAGAACTGTGAAAGAGTAAGTTTCTGCTGTTTTAAGCCATCCAGTCTGTACCAATTTGTTAAGGCATCTCTAGGAAACTAATATACTTGTCTAAATAAATGTGGAATTAATCTAATCTTAGAGTAGTTTTTGTGTTTGTTCTTACCCTATCATTTTATAACCTACCTGAAATGCTACATCCCTTCATCACGTCCCCCAAGTCTAGTCAGCCACCAAGTGTTTTAGCTTTCTTCATCTTTTCTGTTGTAGATCCAATCCTCATGACATCCTTCTTGGACTATGGTAATGGTCTAACTTCTCTCTCTACCTCCTACCTTAACCTACTCTTATCCCTCCTCCAGCAAAGCAATATTTTTAAAAACTAAATTTGGCTGGGCACAACGGCTCACGCCTGTAATCCCAACACTTTGGAAGGCCAAAGCGGGCAGATTGCTTGAGCTCAGGAGTTTGAGACCAGTCTGGGCAACATGGTGATACCCTGTCTCTACAAAAATATACAAAAATATAGCTAGGCATGATGGCATGCACCTGTAGTCCCAGCTACTCGGGAGGCTGAGTTGAGAGAATCACCTGAGCCTGGGAAGTTGAGGCTGCAGTGAGCCGTGATCACGCCACTGCACTCCAGCCTGGGTGACAGAGTGAGAACCGGTCTCAAAAAAGATAAAAAGAAAAACTAAATTTAATCAAATCTCTTCTTGCTTAAACCTTCTTAATGGCTCTCAGAGCCTACAGAAAAAAAAAACTCAAAGTCATTTTGCATAATGTCCTAGTAAGCTCTGGTTGCTGTAACAAGATATAGATTGGATATAGGTATAGATTAGATAGTTTAAACAACAAAAAAACATTTTTCACAGCACTGGAGTCTAGAAGTCCGAGATCCAGGGGCCAGTAGATCTAGTGTCTGTGAAGGATCTCTCCCTAGTTTGCAGATGGCTGTCTTCTTGTAATATTCTCATGTGATGGAGATCAGAAAAAGAAGCAAGCTTTCAAGTGTTTCTTCTTTTAAGGACGCTAATCCCTATCATAAAGGCTCTGCTGTCATGACACAATTACTTCCCAAAGGCCCTACTTCCTAATACCATTACATCAAGGGTTAGGATTTTAACATATGAATTTGAGAGAACACAAACACTCAGTCCATAACACATGACATACAGAACGTTTTATAATATGACCCCCAACTTACCTTTCAAGTATTTTACCTCTTGTATAATACTGCTGGAGTTTTAGAAAATTAGTAATAGTTATTCAAAAAACTAAGCAAGCACACGAGAACAATAACCTAAACAAAGCAATTATTAACTGTAGGGGAAACAAAAAGTCACAAAGAAAGGAGATGTAATCATATTACTTGGATGTAATCAGATTGCTTGACACAGGTATGAAAAATCTTTATAAAAACCATTGTGCAGGAAAAAAAGTCAGCATAGCAGGCCTGACTGCTATGCTTTAAAAGCTTTGCTTACAAGGTTAACTCTTCTGCCCTTGGCTGTCATCATTTCAGGATAAGTGATTTACTGTGCCTAAACTGTCTGTGCAAACAATATGGCTTGTGCTGAGCACCTGCTTTTCTTTTAGCAGTCTAGAATTTTGTATATGACAAACAGAGAATGCCCAGGTGACAAGCCTTCAATTAAAAAAAAATAAAAACTATGGGCACTGATTCTCTGCTGAGCTTCCCTGTGTGACAATATGTCTCACTTTTTGTCACAACTTGAGGAATTATGTGTGTACTGTGTGACTCCACTAAGAGAAGACTCTGGGAGCTTGCTCCTATCTCCTGTGGACTTCACCCATATCCCTTTTACTGTTGCTGATCTTATTCTGTATCCTTTTGCTGTTAAAAAAAAAAAAAAAATCTTAGCCATGATGATACCAATTGAATGTATCCCCCAAGGTTCATGTGTTAGAAACTTAATCCCTATTGTGACAGTGTTTCAAGGTAAGACCTTGAAGAGGTAATTAGATCATGAGGACTCTGCCCTCATAAATGTATTAATGACATTATCTGAAGAGTCAGTTTGTTATCTTAGGAGTAGGTTTTTTATAAAGTATGTGTTCTTCCCCTCTTACGTGCACTCTCTCTCCCGCTCTCTCACTCTCTCTCACAAGCTCTCTTGTCCTTCCACCTTCTGCCATGGGATGACACAGCATGAAGACCCTCAGAAGATGCCAGCCCTTTGATCCTGGACTTTCCAATCTCCAGAATCATAAGCCAATAAATTTCTGCTCATTACTAATTACCTAGTCTTCTATATTTTGTTATAGAAACACAAAACAGACTAAGACACATAAGTACAACTATATACTGAGTCCTGTGAATTCTAATGAATCATCAAACCTAGACGTGATGTTGGGGACCATCAACACAATAATACTGCAAACACTGATTATGTTGGGGACCCTCAACACAATAATACAATAAACATTGATTATTGATTTAACAAAATAATGATATTATCTAAACTTGATAAATGAAGAAATATAAGCATATTGCCTATTAATAAAAATGTAAATCACAGAAAAAATAACTAGAAGTAGAAAGAGGTTTCCTCTGAGCAGTGGACTTGAGATAGGAAATGGTAGATCCAGAGATGGCTGTTTTTTGTAGGTTTGTAGTCATTTTAAAACCATATATATAAAAACATTATATACATAAGCTATATTATATATATTTTTTATAAAAATTAAAATAAGTATAGAAATTTTTGCTAGAAAAATCTCTTTAAATTTGCGTTGCTATTATTACTAACTCTTTGTGCCAGGTATTTGGCTTTTTCTGTTACATAGTCAACCGTATTTAATTTTTTCACTCCCTCTCTCTCACTCTGACAGATACACAAACTTAATACTCTACATAGGTTATATCACTTAATCTTCACAATATAAGAATTCTTATTTAGATGAGTTTCCAGATAGCTGATGATGAAAATAGTCCCCTAAATCCAAATCTTCCTAAATTTCCTCCAAAAGCAATATGAAATAAAAACAAATAAAACTATTCAAAACCCACACCTTCAGCAAATAGAAGATAGAAAATGCCCAAACCTCAAATTACCTATACATAGAAAAAGCAACACCAAATCCCAAGGAATTATCTCTCAACCTCCTGCAAGTCCTAGTAGAGAGCAAGAGCTGACTAGAAAAAGTGCACAGAAAAGTGGAACTGGCAGAAAGCCTAAGACTGATGTAACTCACCTCCAGAAAGAGCAAATCTACTCTAAGGGCATCAATCCTGAAAGATATCTGGAAGCTCAGAGCAGTGGTCACAGGGAGGGACATTAAGAGTGTGTGCCATTCTAGGTGGCAGTGCTCAAAAGATATCACTTACAGTGGAGAAAAAGCAAATTTGAGTAAATAAATAAGTAGAATGCAAATAAAGGAAGCCAGGTTTCTCACTGTCCAAAAAAGGAGGTACAAATCCAAAATGAACCTTGCGGAATTGGACTGGAATTGGAGGTACTATGACTTTGCATATACGTGGATAGAAAGATATAGAAAATGATATGGAAGTGTGTGTGTGTGTATATATACATATACACACACATATATGTACGTGTGTGTATATATATATCAGTCTATGTATATATAATCATATATATATATATCATCAGTGTGTATATATATAAATATACTTTTGCACCAGAAAGTAAGAAAATGCTTAAAGAATGACAGCAACGTGCCAAAACAACACAGGACTCAGACTGAGAAGACATCACTGGCCAAATCTGAGAATAATTTGAGCAAAAATAAATAATGACATAATAATGGTTATAATGGAAAAGATCTGCCTTGCATTAGAATGCAAATAATAAATCTGGAAAGAATAATAGAAGTTATAAAATCAACATGTGGCAACCATCAGAGTAATAATTGATTGCCACAGATTGTCAATGGATGCTAAAACTTGTGAAAGCTTGATGAGAATAGGATATTTTGGTAAATGTTCTCAAAGTATCTCCCCACAAGACAATTATTGCAAAGGAAAAAAGTGGTAGTTTCATAGTGGAGAAACCTGGCAGATACCATCTTGATACATCAGAGTTATCAACAGTTGTGGGACAAACTGACTTATATGGAAGGGCTAAAAAGAATTTAATGCAAAAATGCATAACCTCAAAAACATCAGAAAAAGCCAAATTGGGAGGTATTCTATAAAATAAGTGGTCAATTCTCTTCAGAATGTCAAGGTCATAAAAGCAAATAATTCCTAAGAAATTGTCATAGATTAAAAATCACTAAAGCTAGCAGGTGATCCTCAACATTATTGGGGCAATTGACAACATTTAATTAGATAATAGTATTACATCAATGTTAATTTCCTAATTTTGATAACTCTTCTGTGGTTATATACCAAAAAAAAGTGTATTTATCAGAAATACACACTAACATACTTAGGGGTAAAGAAAATTCTGTAATTTACTTTCAAATGGTTTGAAAAATATATAAACACAGATACAGAGAGACTGAGAGAATGACAAAGTAAATGTAAGTATTATTAACAACTGGAACATATGGGGTGCAGTACACAAGGATTCTTTGCACCATTCTTGCAACTTTTCTATAAGTTTGAAATGATCGCAAAATTAAAACATTTTTTAAATAAAGGAAAATTATTTAAAAATCTTCATTTGGCAAGAAAGAAAGCTTTAAATTAGGTTGGGTTCTGCACGTGGTTGCACAGGTAGTAGGCCAGAAAGCAAGGAGTTGAAACCAAATCTGCCCCTTGCTCTTAGCCACCACAGCATACTGCCTACTCACAGACAGCCAAGTCCACATATTAGAAAGTTTCATTCATATTAAATGTCCATAATAGGCAAATATATAGAGACAGAAACTAGATTAGTGGTTGCCTAAGGCTGGGAGCAAGAGAGGAAATGGGAAGATGAGAGAGTGATAACTAAAGGATGCAGGATTTCTTTTCAGAGTGATAAAAATATTCTACAATCGATTATGGTGATGGTTGCAAACTCTATGAGTATATTAAAAACCATTGAATTGTACACTTTAGGTAGATGAATTACATGGTATGTAAATTATATGCAATATGAATCACATCTTAATAAAGCTGTTACCAAAAAAAAACCCAAAATTTACAAACGCTGAGAACTTTGTATTTCTGAATAACATTGTGACATTCAACTCTATTTCATACACAAGTAACTTCTTCGGAACAAGAAAGAATCATGCTGATGAAACCAACCCAATAGTCCCATAGGCAGTTTTTTTCTTGGAAAAACATAAAAATTGACCCTTTGGGTCTTCATGTTTGAAATTTCATTTGTTTTATCTGAGTTCCTTCTTCAGGAAAGGACTCCCAGACCTCTCAAAAAGTATCAAAAAATTAAAACTCACCAGATCATCGTATCCAGACAATGAGACACCAGACCCCTCATTCATCATGATTGCTTCCTTGCCCCTCCCTAGTTCCTGTTTTCCCATACATTTCTTCCCTGCTATATAAACCCCTAATTTTAGTCAGTCAGGGAGACGGATTTGAGACTGATCTCCCAACTCCTTGGCTGGAGCACCCAATTAAAGCCTTCTTTCCTGGCTATGTTCATCGTCTCAATTATTGGTTTTCTGTGTGGTGGGCAGCAGGACCTAGGCCAAATCCCTGGTGTTTTGGTAACACTGGCACCAAAAATAACGGTGAACTGCTGCACCATTCATCATTAAAGCACAGAGCAGCCCTTGACTGAAGCTTGAGATCAACAAACCACATATAGAAGGTGACTGACAATATGTCTGCCTAGAAGGTGAGTCCCATGGCACCTGCTCAGCCTTTTGAGGATCATTCTACATAAAGCTAAAGAGGAAAGCAAGTGGACTTTGTTTCCATTACAATAAAATCCAGTAAGTGCTTGGTTGAAGAGGAGAAATTCATATTATATTCTCCTCATCAACCTTGTTCAATGTTTGATCTCCTGAACCACTGAGATGCTAAAATCCAATTGTAGAAAAGCTTTGATTTCATTTTTGCTTTATGTATTTCTATACCATTTGAATGTTGTCAAAACAATTTGTAACATTTTGCTCTTATTCAGAGTAATTTTTTGTGTTGAAGAAGTAGGAAGATGTCTCAAACTGGGACTGCACCAGGGCCTTTTGTATGATAAGAATAACAGAATGCAGAATGTCCCAATTAACTTAAAATTATCTACTTAGAGGCTGGCTTCTTAGGAAAGGCCTGCCTTTCCTATGGATATAAAACTACTTATGGGATTATGTGAGATCTCCTATAGGCCCTTATAGCTTCCTAAAATCCTTTCTGGAAATAATAGGGCATTGCAAAATAAATCTTCAATAGCAATTGATATGACAAATAGGATATAAGTAACTCTTATTCTACAGAAAAAAAATCACAGAGACACTTGGGTTGAAGGATTCAAGCCTTCAGTGGAGTCTTTTTTGCTGTTTCTTTCTGTGTTTTTGCTGAGTACAGAAACTAGGTAGCCAAAGGCAAAAATTCCCTTCTCTGAAGGGTTCAGATACTGCTCAGATGCACCATCTCCAAAGATCATGTCCACACAGACTAAGAACAAGTGCTCTCAGATTGAAACCAATCTGGATCTGAATCCTAGCTCCATTATACCTTAAAATTAAGTGTGACTTAGTCAAGTTATTTACCCTCGGTAAGATTGTCTTTCCATTTGCACAAGGGGAATAGTAATATTTACTACCTCTTCAGGATGTTTTGTAGATCAAGTAAAACATAGAACACACCATTATAAAGCATGGCACATAGAAAGCACCCAATATGCATTAGTTATTGTTAGTCCAAGAGAAAGTTCCATCTAAAATCATATAGTGTCTCCTGTCCCCTAAAAACCTATAAGGTACCTATCACAAAAGTGTAATCTTCTGAACCTCAGTTTTCCTATTTTGCAAATGAGAATAATACCTATAGCAAAGGTAAAAATTAAATAAGAAAATACATGTGACAGTAATTTGTAAATTACATGGCTCTATTTGCCTTGTTTAATATACTAGTTTTGGCAGCAAGAAAAAACTGACAAGTTACATATAAGAAACTCTCCATTAGATTATCAGAGTTCTCAGCAGAAACCTTGCAGGCCAAAAGAGAATGGGATGATGGATTCAAAGTGCTGGAAGGAGAAAAAAAGCTAGTAACCAAAAATACTATACTAATACTTCAGAAATGAAAAAGAAATAAAATATTTTCCATACAAGCAAAAGCTGAGGGAATTCATCACTACTAGACCAGCCTTACAAGAAATTCTTGTGCTACAATTAGAAGGAAAAGGATAATTACTATAATAAAAACATGTGAAGGTATAAAAGTCACTAGTAGAGGTAAATTCATAATCAAACTCAGAACACTCTAGTACTAGAATAGTATTATGGAACTCTTTCAAGCCTCTAGTATGAAGGTTAAAAGTCAAAATGGTCAAAAATAACAATAGCTACAATCAGTCTAAAGTAACACAATAGATAAAGATGTAAATTAAGACAATAAAAATATAAACTGGGTGGGGGGCGGGGGCCTCGAGTATTTTTTGTGACCAAAGCTAAACTGTTATCACCTTAAAATAGTCTATTATAACTACAAGACTTTATGTCAACCCCACAATAATCACAAAGAAAGAAATTCCAAAAGATACACAAATTAGAAAGAGAAAGGAATCAAAGCTTAGCACCACAGAAAAGCATGAAACCAAAATGGTAAAGAGAGGAAGAAAAGGGCAAAGGATCTATGACACAACCAGAAAACAATTAACAAAATAGGAGTAAGTTCTTACCTATCAATAATAACCTTAGTTATTTGTTTAGCTAGAGTTTAAGTCAAGTTATTTATTTAGATAGAGATTAAGTCAAAAACCATACAAAGAAAGAAAAAATTGTAAAAAAGAAACAAAGTAGTAATCTGTCATGGGAGTAGAGAAAAAAATGAAGAGATTAAAACAGTCATTATGTAATGGTAAAGGGATTGATTCAGCAAGAGGATATTACAATCAGAAATGTATATATACCCAACACAAGAGCACCCAAATATATAAAGCAAATACTATTAAATCTACAAAAAGAGACCAGCCACAATGCAATAATATTAAGGGACTTTAACAACCCACTTTCAACAATAGAAAGATCATCTAGACAGAAAAGAACAAAGAAGCATTGGACTTAAAGTGCACCCTAGACACAGACATTTACAAAACATTCTATCCAGCAGCTTCATAATACACAATTCTTCTCAACTGCATGTGGAACATTCTCCAGGATAGATTATATGTCACAAAACAAGTCTTAACAAATTTAAGAAGATAGAGGTCATGTCAAGTATCTTTTCTGACCACAACGATATTAAACTAGAAATCAATAACAGGAGGAACTTCAGAAAATTTACAAATATATGGAAATTAAACAGCATGTTTTTGAATGAACAATAGATCAATGAAGAAATTAAAAGAGAAATTTAAAAAAAAATTAAGACAAACAAGAAAGCAAAGACAACATACTAAAACCTATGGGATACAAAAATAAAAGCAATTCTAAAGGGAGGTTTATAGCAATAAACATCTACATCAAAAAGATAAGAGATTTCTGATAAATAACCTAATGTTGCACCTCGAGGAACTAGAAAACAAGAACAAACTAAATTAAAAATTGGTAGAAGGAAGAGCATAGTGAAGCTCAGAACAGGCAACACAATAAGACCCAGTCTCTACAAAAATAAAGAATTTAGCAAGGCATGGTTCTGTGCACCTGAGATTCTAGCTACTTGGGAAGCTGAGGTGGAGAAAACCCTTGAGTCCAGGAGTTAAAATCTACAGTGAGCTATGATTGCACTGCTACACTCCCGCCTGGGTAACAGAGTGAGACCCCCATCTCTGAAGAAGAAAAAAGAAAAAACCTGAGCAGAAATAGAGACTAGAAAAGTAATACAAAAGATCAACAAAACAAATCGTGGTGTTTTGACAATATAGAATTTAAAAGCCTTTACTTAGACTAAGAAAAAAAAGAGAGAAGACTCAAATAAATAAAATCAGAGTGAAAAAGGAGACACAACAATTAATACATAGAAGTACAAAGGATCATGAAATAATATAATAAACTAGTATATATACCAACAAATTTGATAGCCTAAAAGAAATAGGTAAATTCGTTGACATATACAACATACCAAGATTGACTTATGAAGAAATAGAAAATCTGAACAGACCAATAATGAGTGAAGAAATTGAACCAGTAATAAGAAATCTTACATCAAAGAAAAGACTAGGACCTGATGGCTTCATTGTTGAATTCTACTGGATATTTAAAGAGTAACAAATACCAACTCTTCTCAAACTATTCTAGAAAATCAAAGAAGAGGGAATACTTCCAAGGTCATTCTACAAGTCCTAGATTGCCCTGATATGTGTGTGTATAATATGTGTGTATGTATTTTTATAATGTGTGTATATAATATGTGTGTAATATCACCTCAAACATTTATCATTTCTTTGTGTATAATATGTCTTATACACATATACACACACAGTGTACTAATACATACACACATATTATACACAAACACACACACACACATACAATGGAATGCTATCTAGCCTTAAAATGAACAAAATCCTGTCATTTGCAACAACATGGATGAAACTGGAGGACACTGCATTTGGTGAAATAAGCTGGACACAGAAAGACAAATACAGCATGTTCTCACTCACATGTGAAATATAAAAATGTTGATCTCATACAAGTAGTGAATAGAACAGTGGTTATCAGAAACTGTGGAAGGTGGGGAAAAGAAGGGTTTGAGAGAGGTTGGTCAACAGGTATAAAGTTACAACAGGGAAGGAATTTTAAGTTCTGGTGTCCTATTGCACCTCAGGTGACTACAGTCAACAAAAAGATATCGTATATCCAAAAATAGCTGCAAGAGAGGATTTTGAACATTGCCACCACAAAGACATGATAAATGTTCGAGGTGATAGATCTGCTAATTACCCTGATTTGATCATTACACTATGCATACATGTATTAAAACATTACATTGTACCCCATAAAAATGTACAATTTTGCATCAATTAAAAATTTTAAAAATGTATGAATTTTGTCATTAGTGTTATTCATGCTATAATACTCCAAGCAGTCATTACTATTGCCATATACCCACAAAAAAAATCCACAACCAGTTCTCAATTTTCAGCCTTAGGATTAAAGATGAAGATAGATTGCTTTTTTTCTAATAAGAGGAGAAAAAAAAAAGAAAAAGGAATGAAATAACATGTGTTACCATTAATTTTTTTAAGTGCTAATTCAGTTTGTTTTTAACTCATGGTTTGGAATAATGAGTAATAGAGAAAAAAAGTCAAATATTTACACATGCAGGCAGAATAAGAGAATAAGAGAGCTGGATCAGTTTTAAGAAGGGTTCCAAATCCTGTTAGTTTTTTGACAGGCAAAATGCAGACATAATATGATGAAGTATGGATAAGACCTTCAAAACAACATCATGAATCTGATCTCAATGACTGAGTTCTTGGAGACAAACACCAAAGTATACCTATGGTACAGTAATGACCTGTCTTTAAGGCTAGAGGAAAAAAAGCCTCAAACTAGAGCAAGCATCTCACATGGAAGGCTTGTTAGGAGGCAAATGGTTAGATGCCACCATTTCAGAGTCTTTTCTTCAGCAGGTCTGAGGTGGGGCCTGAGATCTGCTTTTCTAAAAGTTCCCAGGTGATGCTGATACTGTACGTCTAGTGACCACACTGAAAATCGCTGACCTAGACAATATGGGTATTTCTGTAACAATGTGCAATTCTCCAAAAATGGTTGGGAGGAGAACATAGTAGTATTTTATTTCAAATAGGAACATCACTGAATGGGAAGTAAGGGGATTGAAATTATGGTCAAGAAGTGCCATGACTCCTAGAGACCTCTGTTCTGTGAACCAGTGGAAACCGGGGACACTTCTGACCCCACTGCCTTGCTGGCGTCTCTAGTTCAAAGCAGCTATGGGCACCCAACTGGTCCCCAAGAATGCATTGTAAGTGCAAAGGGGAGTCAATTTGGCCTGATGGAGACACCACGATCCCAGAGAAGAGATCTGGGCACTGCTGCAAGTGGTCTGAAAGGATGTGAGTCAACTTTCAACACAGAGCTGCAAAAAAACAGCTTTTTGTTCTCTTTATTGTTCCTTAAGCAATTTCAAGTATTACCTGATTTCCAGCTGTGACTGAATTCCAGGCCGTTGAAAAGCACTATTGTTACTGTAACTGGGCAAGGTTATTAACAAGCTCCAGCATTTATTGAGAGCCTACTGTATGCTGGACACTTTACACACATCATCCTATATAATCCTTGTATCCTGTATAATCAGCCTGTAAAGTAGGAGCTACTATAATTTTCCTCATTTTCCAAATGAACAAACTGAGGTTAGGGAATTGGTCCTAAATCATAAAGCCAGTAAATAAGAGCCAGGTTTCCAACCAGAGCACATAGACTGCTCATCCTGGGCTATTTTCAGACAATACAGACACATACGAAGAATGATCTGTGAAAGGTACATCTGTAAAACGTAATTGATCCCTAAAAACCTTTAGAAACCAAACACACTTCTATATGCATATCTTGTCACTTCCCTTGGAAAGCATGATTATTTCTTGTTGCTACTAAACAACAAACTAAAAAACGATGCAGAAAGATACAGAGATGATTCCCTGCATTCTGTCAGCTTCATAAACGGTTTTTATGTTATTTGATCAACAGGAATCCTCTTTGTCCATAAACTATGTGTTGACTTCTACCCTTGCTGTGTTGTCCTCTTCCTTCTCTAACATGAATCTTATTCTCTCTCTTAGCTATCCTACTTCTCCAGGCTAAGGAAAGCAACATCTGAAGAAAGCACATAATTTCCATGATTAAGCACCTAGAAATCCTGCATGCCTTTGCCTTATTTACTATTCTCAACTGCAAAGCCGACACTGTTTTCCCCATTTCATGCATAAGGAAATGAGTCTGGAGATGCGGGGTGTGGTTGTTAATATTATGCAACCAGAAACAGGCTGAGGAGCTCCTTCAGTCTATGCCCTTTGACGCCAAAGCCGTTCTCTATTCCTTTCCCCTTATCTTCCTTGCTCTTTCCACCACTTCTGTACTTTTCACACACAGATTTCATAAAGCCTAAATAGAGAGAGGAGAGTGAAGGGTCGGCATGCAAAATATTTAAAAACGTATTGCATTCCCTGTGATATTAGGGCCACCGTTGTCATTCAGCTGAGGTCTCTGGGATCGATTCTCCTCAGATTAGCCCATGAGGAATGCGTTCTGTGTGTTTGCAACAGGATGAACTAAAGCCAGTTGGTCAGTGGTTTGTCTGCCTAAGAGTTGAGTCTGACCTGGTTGGTGCACTTGGGATGATGCAGTCTCATGCCCTCTTGTTTGAACTGTGCAATGTTACACTGCCACCCTGTGGTTCCTTCATTGTGAGTTCAGAAACAAAACTGGCTGACAAAATCCGTCTCATAAACCATCCGGGGTGAGTTTGGAACAGGGTCTGAAGGAGAAACCAGGTTTGGGAAAGGATATGAAAGAGAGGCCTTAACTTGCCAAGGAAAACGTAGGTCATTTTTGATATAAAGTAATTGACTGGTTATGAACACAGGACTTGGAGTCAGGCTGACCAGAGTTTAAACTTACCAACTGATAGAAGGAATGAGTTCTAATGTTTGTCAGCAGAGTAGGGTGGCTATAGTTAACAATAATGTATTGTATATTTCAAAATAGCTAGAAGACAGGATTTTAAATGTTCCTAACATATAGAAATGACAAATATTCGAGATGATGTATACCCTAAATACCCTGATCATTTCACATTCTACACGTGTTTAAAAAAAATCAGCCACATTAAATTTAAAGGAGTTTAATTGTGCAATGAACAATTCATGAATCGGGCAGCCCCTAGAATCACAGCAGATTCAGAGAGACTTCAGCACAGCCACGTGGTAGAAGAAGATTTATAGACAAAAAAAGGGAGGTGACGTACAGAAATTGGAAGTGAGGTACAGAAACAACTGGCTTGGTTAAAGCTCAGCATTTGCCTTATTTGAACACAGTTTGAACACGCAACAGCATATGAGTGGCTGAGGCACGGCTGCTGGGATTGGCCAAGACCCAGCCACTGTTACCGGCATACACTCCCAAGTTAGGGTCTCACTCTTGTCTACCTACTGCGTTAGGTTGCAGTTCATCCACAAGGACTTAAACACAGAAGTTCAGAGTCCTTCTCAGGTCATATTTAGTTCACTTTAAAAACTCCCCCCTTTTGGTCATTTTCTCAATTTTGAGAGTGACCAAAACTTTAGTCATTGATGTCACTATTACCATTGTAAATGTACTTATTTGGTCTTGAAAGCCACTGGAAAACAGTAGAACAGTGAGTTTTGCAAAGGTAGGAACAAGGACTGAGTAGAGGGTACCTGCTTATGCTGGAACACCCTGTTTATACATATAACATAATATCACCTGTACCCTATAAATATGTACAAATATATATTTTTTGAGACAGTTTCACTCTTGTCACCCAGGCTGAAGTGCAATGGCATGATCTTGGCTCACTGCAACCTCCACCTCCCAAGTTCAAGCGATTCTCCTGCCTTAGCCTCCCCAGTAGCTGGGATTATAGGTGCCCGCCACCATGCCCAGCTAATTTTTGTATTTTTAGTAGAGATGATGTTTCACCAGGTTGGCCAGGCTGGTCTCGAACTCCTGACCTCAGGTGATCCACCCGCCTTGGCCACCCAAAGTGCTGGGATTACAGGTGTGAGCCACCTCACCCGGTCTACTATGTACAAATATTATGTATCAATTTAAAAAAAAAAATTTTAATAAACTTAGCAACAGAATAATTCCTTCTCTGGGCCCCAGATTCCTTGTCTGTACAATGTGAATAGTAATAATTTCTCAGGGCTGTTGTGAGAATTAAATAAGACAATACATGCAAAGTGCTTAGCCTTGATTGTGACACATAATAAGATTTTGCTGTTATTATGGAGCTGAGATTAGAACAGTGCTCTCCTTTCCAAAGCCCCAGTGAGGCCAGCCCTTCCTTGTCACTTTCTAGGACTCCCCTTTTCCACTTTGCCCCTCTTTGGTTTGAGGCTTAACATTGCATCTTTTGCTACCTTTGAAGTGTAAACTTTGGGAGAATCCAACAGAGCACATTTCCAGTCTCATCTTCATCATCTAGTAGTTTTGTGACTTTTTGCAGATTCATACTAACTTCCTGAACCTTAGTTTCCTCATTTGTAAAATAGGACTAATAACACCCAGGTCTTCAGATTATAGAAAGAATTGGAAATAACATATACGAAGCATTGGACATGGTGTCTTGCAGGTAATCATTATTCTATATGGTAATCCTTATTATTGTCATTATCACACTTGTTCATTCCAATTCTTCAATCCTTCCTTTGTCTTTCAAGAAGCAACAAGATTTTTAAGCTCACCAGCCATTAAATATCCTTTGGGTAATTGGGATGGGAAAAAAAATCAGCCCCAATAAAACATTATTTTTCCAGGATTTCACAACATATTTATTTTCTCAAGGTTGTGAAAATACATTTTCACATTTTGATGTTTCTAATATTGAAGCATAATTTAAAATCAATATGTACTTCTATGTTTTGGTTTTGTATGTTTTGGTTTATTCTTTCTAGTTCCCAACTTCCTCCAAAAAAAGAAAATCATTAAATCAAAGTATATCTTAGAATTTAGAATTAAGATAAGCAGATTTTGCTTTCATCTACTTCCAAATCGAAAAGACTAGATTTTTGGTAACCTCCTGAATATTCTTAGCCTGAATTCCCCAAATCATAGTACTCTTAGCTTTCAGCCTTACTGTTAAAAGATACATCCTTAAAGTTCTCTCCTAACTATTTTTTGGGGTCCCCAGAGAGTATCTCACATGTGCCCATATTCTTTGACTGTGAAGCTCTGCCCTCTGGTTTCTCTCTCTGGGGGGCTGCTGCTGCTCCCCAGAGACTTGCCCTCCAGGACCAGGGAATCCCAGTGCACTGAGGTTGCGACAGAGAAGCCACAATCCCCAACCACCACCCGCCAGTCTCTCATGGCCACCTCCTTGGCCTCTGGCACTAACCCTCTGCACTTTCCCCATCAGGCCTCAGGCCAGCCCCTTCCCCAATGAGAGGGACAGGCAGACACCCTGCCATCCTCGTGCCAACCCCCTTCTCTCCATTTCTCTCCTTAGGTATTTCTCCACTTGCCAACATTCCCCTCTACTCTTTCCACTAAAATATTAAAAATAAAGAGCCTGGCGAGGTGCGGTGGCTCACTCCTATAATCCAAGCACTTTGAGAGGCCGAGGCGGGCATATCACGAGGTCAGGAGTTCGAGATCAGCCTGGCCAACATGGTGAAATCCCATCTCTACTCAAAATAGAAAAAAATTAGCCGGTCATGGTGGCACATGCCTATAGTCCCAGCTACTCGGGAGGCTGAGGCAGGAGAATCACTTGAACCTGGGAGGCAGAGGTTGCAGTGAGCCGAGACTGTGCCACTGCACTCCAGCCTGGGCAACAGAGCAAGACTCCATCTCTAAATAAATAAATAAATAAAAGTAAAGAGTCCCCATGAGCATTTGGTGCTTAGAGAGGTGGTCAGCCTTCCAGTTCCTCTAAGCATCAAATTAGATTCCCAGGTTGGGTTCAACCAGTACAATCTGGCCGGGCGCGGTGGCTCACGCCTGTAATCCCAGCACTTTGAGGGCCGAGGTGGGTTGATCACGAGGTCAGGAGATTGAGACCATCTTGGCTAACATGGTGAAACCCCGTCTCTACTAAAAATACAAAAACTTAGCCAGGTGTGGTGGCAGGCGCCTGTAGTCTCAGCTATTTGGGAGGCTGAGGCAGGAGAATGGTGTGAACCTGGGAGGAGGAGCTTGCAGTGAGCTGAGATCGCGCCACTGCACTCCAGCCTGGGAGACAGAGCAAGACTCCATCTCAAAAAAAAAAAAAAAAAAAAAACTAGTACAATCTATACCAAAAACATAATAAAGAGAAAAATCATTCCTTTTTTCCAAAAGGATATCTCATAAGATTTTAAAAATATATTTGTATGATATAAAAATATCATTTAACAAAAATTTTCATTACAACCTCATATATATAAACATATAAATGCATATTTTTACATGATAATAAAATATGTATATGTAATAAAATTATATTACATAAATACATTTATACAATTTGTATGATGTTGATAGTTTCACAATGTGAATAGTTAGTATTAATCATGCAGTTACTGTGCAACAATCATGAATGCATTTAACCGCAACAAATCTTTGAAGCAAATACTGTTATGAGTTCAGTTTCACAGCTGAGAAAACAGAGGCACAAAGTGTTCGATATTATGTTCAGAATTTCTCCAGGTAGTATGGAGCTGAGTCTGGATTTGAACCCAGGCAGCTTGGAGCAACATCCTAACTACAGAGCAATTCTATCATTCTTATCATCTGAGCCAGACTGCAGATAAAAGGAGTTCCCTGAGCATGTTTTGACTGATGCCTATGGTATTAGTCCATTCTCATGCTGCTATGAAGAAATAACTGAGACTGGGTAATTTATAAAGAAAGGAGATTTCATTGACTCTCAGTTCTGCATGGCTGGGGATGCCTCAAGAAACTTACAATCATGGTGGAAGGCACCTCTTCAAAGGGCAGCAGGAAAGAGAATGAGTGCCAGCAGGGGAAATGCCAGACGCTTATAAAACCATCAGATCTCGTGAGAACTCACTCACTACCACGAGAACAGCATAGGGGAAACTGCCCCGTGATCCAATCACTTCCCACCAGGTCCCCCCAACAGCACATGGGGATTATGGGAACTACAATTCAAGATGAGATTTAGGTGGGGACACAGCCAAACCATATCAGCTAAAAATGATAAGCTGCCACTATGAAGAAATATCCTCCCATCCACTCCAACCCCCACAACACACAAACACACTCATACAAGTAATATTCATGTTCACTTCAAGGCAAGCATCAATTTTCTTTTGGAAAATTTTTAAAAATCAAAATCACCCACCTTAATTTTCAAGGGAGGAGGATGAAAAGCTAGAGGCATGAGATAGATGGGCCCCTGGTTGTATTCAGTGAAACACGTGCTTCTTTGAAGTGATCACTGTACGAGGACAGTGAGTTGAGCCATTCAAGGGTCCAACACAAGTGACTATATGACAAGCTCCTTCCCTTGCAATACAGAATGAGGTTAGAACTCTTCTATTTTCCATTTCTCTATATCCCAGAAACAGATGACAAGCCCTGAACCCTCTTGACTCAAGTGAAAAAGATTTGTCTCTGTTTCCTGAATATGCAATATGCATTCCCAGGATACGTGAGCTGGCAGCACTGATGCTGAATAGCAAAACTGCTCAACCTTAGGCCAAGTAGGGAGCTGCCCTTTCCAGGTCACTGAAGTATAGTTAGGATGGCTCCCTTGGTTTCTAATGAATGGAAACTTGTTACATAATTGAAAACAAGCCTAACATGTTTTGTTCATTACTGTCAGAAGGGAAAAAAAGGAGAAACAGTCCTGTTGCTAACCCTTTCTAAGTCCCTCTGGCCAATTTGCCTGCTTAAAAACTAGCCCATCATCCCCAGCCACTCCAAGTCCTGGCAGCATCTTCTCTAGCCCACCCCTTGGCACTGAAGATAAAATGATCTTTGTAGCTGCTTCTTTAGGAAGGTAACTTCGGTGCAGTGGAACAACTCATGAGGATGGAGGAATAACTGACCAATTCACTCTGGCCTAAATAGGCTGTTTCAGCCACAGGGTACAGCTGGTAGGTGAGCCAACCAACACCTTTTTCTAATTCTTCCAAAGAAAAACAAAGTGAACTTGGACACCTCAGGGCCCTAGAGAATGTGCTGGCAGCGCGACTGAGCTATACAGCCTGCAATTCTGATATCTGAAGAGCTGATGGCTTACTCTTTCTTATCTCCTTTCAATTCTCATTGCCTATTGCCCAGGACACCTGGGAGGGAGCAGAACCTATTAAGACACAGGTGGAAGTTATCAAACAAATCGCCTTAGTTGCGATCTTGACCTGAGCTAAATGGAAACTGTGACACCAACACACAGATCTTGTGCACAAGCCCCCTTCTCAAGACAAGCCATTAAGAGACAATTACAGTGAGTGTTCACAGCTGAATTATTATGTCCAGGTGCTGCCTCTGTTATCTCTTTATGGCAAAGTGAAAGCTGAAGCGGGCTTGGATTAAATGAATAAAGATTTTCCCAGGAGATGCCACTGCTAAGATTCCATCAACTCGGCTTGTGCATCTGTGAAAAGAGATCCAATTCACGATTTCCATAGCCAAAGTCAAGCCCAATAGATAAAGCTTATAAAAGAGCTGGTCTTTAAAAATGGCATGTGTTCTGGGCTATTCAAAGACAGGAAGACCAAAAAGAACTTAATCCCAAACAAATGAAAACTCTCTGGCTGAGGAGTACCAAACTTAAAAGGTATAAGGAAAGGATCATGTAAGGCTTAAAGAGATAAAAAAAAAAAAAAAAGTAAATCAATTATCTTCAAGACACTAACCACGCTTCCTGGAGAAGAGAATCTTAGAAGTTGAATTAACCATACTCCTCACATCTTTTAACTCCATTTTATTCCCTGAAAGCATCAAGTTCAGCCAGTGTATGACACTGTATTTCATTTAGTCAACAAATATTTATTGAAAGCCTACTGCATGCCAACTATTCTACAGCAGTGAAGATGCGTAACCCAATCTCTATCTTCACAGAGTTTATAGTCTACTGGAGCCAAGTACCCCTCCAACTATGTAATATACAGTAAGGTAAATTGGAAAGGACACTGAACTAAGACTCAAGAAAATTGAAGTCAAGACTCAGCTTCGTCTTTGACTTATAAAAGACCATTCACAAATCATTACATGGGTGTCCCCATGCCTTAGTAAAATGAGGAATGTTTGTGAGCTGCAACCTAGTTTACTTTCTGCTTGTGTTCCTTGGAGCTCAGAGCTCAGAGCATCTTGAAGGTGAGGTAGAGATTCATGACACCAGGTTCCAGGTTCCTCTACCCTGTATTTTAACTACAGAAGCCGTCTGCTTCTGTTTTCATACATCAGAGTTTAGAGTACGATCTCATTTGAAGAGGAAAAAATAACAGCTAAAATAAAGTTTGAAAACTACTGCCTTAAACAACTTTAAGATCCATTCCTGTTCTGTGGTTTGGTTTCCCAAATTTCATAGTTTCTCCCTCTTAGAGCATAAACCAGTCTTTCATCTCTGGCAGATAAATCACTAGGGGAAATCTCTGAGAAAAGTTTCTCTCCTGATCATACATACTTCTTGGCTCAATATTATCCTACCACAACCCCAGATGATTTCCATCTCTACTCATCCCCAGCAGCATTCTACATTGTTTCTTCTTCTCATCTTTCAAATGTAAGGTCACCAGTGTAAAGTTGATATGGGCATCTCATATTCCCTCTAAGTTACTATCCTTGAGTGTTTTTTCTTGTATAAACCACTGTGTTTCCTATTTCAGGCACCACTATACGCAACTTGTTCTCCTTAGGAAAGATTTTTGGTTTTGTTTGTTTGCTTGTTTACATTCCACCTTGTTCTCAGAATGCATAAAATATGGGATTGCATAATATCTTTAAATGAATTGAAATAATACATGCACACATTTTAAAAAAATAAATAGCCCAAACGGCAGAATGGGGAAAAAAATAGGCCTACTTCTCAGAGGCAACTTCTTTAAATCATTCAGCTATTTTTTTAAAATCCTGGCAACCGCCTTCATATCCCCTAAATAATATGCTGATATTTAATTTTTACATTTTCTACCTATTGATTTCTCTCTTTTTTAGACAGAGTCTCGCTGTCACCCAGCCTGGAGTGCAATGGCAGGATCTCGGCTCACTGCAACCTCCGCCTCCCGGGTTCAAGTGATTCACCTGCCTCAGCCTCCCAAGTAGCTGGGATTACAGACACGTGCCACCAAGTCTGGCCAATTTTTGTATTTTTAGTAGAAAGGGGGTTTCACCATGTTGGCCAGGCTGGTCTTGAACTCCTGACCTCAGGCGATCCACCCACCTCGGCCTCCCAAAATTCTGGGATTGCAGGCGTGTGCCACCACGCCCAGCCCTGGTTTCTGCTATTACAGATGGGAGTTAGTGCTCACCTACCCCATGCTCCCATTGTAAGTGTGTCACTATTTTAAGCAAATGCATTTTTCTAGTATGATGATTATTTAAATACTGTTCCTGGAAAGGCCAATCTGTTTGCTAAGAATAAAGCCTAAATGGGAACCTAAAAGTGGAAAAACAAAGGCTGGGAAATAACATGGAGCTATGAATAAGATTAAAGTACATACTCTACCAAAAAAAAAAAAAAAAGAGTATTTCTCTGGTTCCATGAATAAACCATTGCTTAAATCATTCTCAAACTATAATGTGTATAAAATTCACCTGGAATCTTGTCAAAATGCAGATTCTGATGCAATAGTTCTGGGTAGGGCCTAAGATTTTGCGTTTCTGACAAACTCCCAGGTGACACCAATGCTGCTATTCTATGAACTACAGTTTCAACAAGGTCTTACCCGACGGCTTCCAAATTTCCTTCTCCTTTTCCTTCTCCATGGAGAGCCCTCTTCAGAGGGACTCTTAAGAATTATCTCATCCTATTCCATTTATTACTCTACAGGGAGAGGCAACCTAACCTGGCTTTAACCATAACTACTTGCACAATGAGGAGGAGCAGATTTCCCATCTCTGATTCGCAGATGGGAAACACTGTGGCAGGTAAGGGATTTCATCAGGGCTGCATGGCAAGTAGCTGAATTCCGTAACATATGAAGAATTGCTTCCATTTCTACATTTCTTGTTAAAAGACTCAGAGGATGTTGAGCACTTAGAAACAAGCTGAAGAGCATGTCTGGCCTGAGCCCGATGAAAGTCAGAGTCAATAGCGTAAGCAAAGGACCAGGCACATTCCCTGTTCCTTTCCCTGGTCTCTGCTTCTCATTTCTTAATCTTTGCTCATACTCAACCAGGCTACCAGCAATCTGGAGACACATATGGATGGAAAAGATGCCAAGGGAAGCCCTCCCCTCCTTCCATGATTACTGTCCTTCATTGCAAAAGAAACTCTTTTTAAATATGCCTGGAAAGCAGTACCTGTTGTTTTTTATGTGGGTAAAGGCCAGTGGTATGCTACAAATGTTTAACAACTGACCATCAAAAAAAAAAACAAAACAAAAAGAGGCCCTCTTTTGTAGCATTTGCCAGTTTCCATGGTGTAAATACTCTCACTCTGGCCAATATCAAGCTTCCAACATGACTTTACTGAACATGGAATTAGAAAGATATGAGGCCAGTGACTCTCACAAGCTAGTATGAGCCGGCCGCAGTTCATCATGATAAAGCCTATAATTTTATCATCAGGCAAAATTAAAACTGTAGATTCAGAAAAGATTTACACCTGTTTGATCAACCTTCTCATCATCACGTCCCTTTACTACCAAAGTAAGTTGACCTGCCATTGCTCTTTAACAGTTGGTAGTTTTTCTTTAATGCAAGGTATTTAGCAGAAACCACCACATAAATTAAGCCCTTGTCCTATAGATAGCTTTTACAAAGAGCTTTCCTTGATCCCTATTGAATTATTGCCCTGGACCAGAGAAATACAATGCCCTTCCCAACAGTTTAATGTATTTAGTAACCCTCTGGAAAGAGAAAAATAACAAAACAAAACATTACAATTTTACATGTTGAAATTAAAATGAATCAAAACTTTTTTTTTTTTTTTGAAACAGGGTCTCACTCTGTTGCCCAGACTGGAGTGTAATGGCCCATTCATGCCTCACTGCAGTTTCAACCTCCTGGGCTCAAGCAATCCTCCCGCCTCAGCCTCTTGAGTAGCTGGGACTACAGGCACATGCCACCATGCTCAGCTAATTTTTTGTCTTTTTAGTAGAGACAAGGTTTCACCATATTGCCCAGCCTGGTCTTGAACTCCTGGGTTCATGTGATCTTCCCACCTTGGCCTCTCAAAGTGCTGGGATTACAGGCATAAGCCATCACACCTGGCCCTCGAACTTTTTATTATGTTCTAGTTATACATTGTATGAAACTTTTTCAGGCATTGAAATAAATGCCTTTATACCACTTAAAGGAAATGAGAAAATTTTTTGTACAAGAACAAAAAGATCATATGGCTGTGTTGAATGACAATATTTCTTAAAAATTTATTAGTGATCAATTTCTATTCATTTAAGAATAGTTTGAAGTTAAAATGTAAGCTTTAGGAGATATGTATTCTTTGACAGATTTTAAGGGTTATGGAAATCAAAACAAGTTTGGTAAGTGGCTATAGTAGATTGCCAAAATTTTCACAAATTATTCCCTTCCTTAACAGCTACGTCCTTTGCAATATAGCTTTGCAATTTCTCCCATCAACAGGTGGAGTTGGTCTTGTGCCTTCTTTGGCCAATGGAATGTGACAAAGCAGCATTGCAGTTCAAGCCTAGGCTTTAAGAGACCTTTTGGGATTTCCTAATTGCTACAAAAAAAACCTGACACCAGGTGAGTAAACCCAGGGTAGCCTACTGGGGGATGAGAGACCACCTGGGACAAAGATGAACCATCCCAGGTAAGCTTTGTACCCCAACCACCACGACACACCAGCCAGGCTCCAGCTGACCTAGCACCTTCTCACACCTGAGCCCAGCTCAAATCGCCAAACCACAAATTCTTCCAAAATGGGATGTTGATTTACACCAGGGGTATCCTATCTTTTGGCTTCCCTGGACCACAAGGGAAGAATTGCCTTTGGCCACACATAAAATACACTAAGGATAGCTGATGAGCTTTAAAAAAATTGCAAAAAAAATCTCATAATGTTTTAAGAAAGTTTGCAAATTTGTGTTGGGCCACATCCAAAGCCATGCTGGGCTGCATGTGGTCCCGTAGGCCATGGGTTGGACAAGCTTGATTTATGCCATTGAGCTTTGTAGTGCTTTAATAGCTAAAACTAATTGATATAGTCACCTATATCAGGAAATACTCAAAATACACCCCAACCATATGCTGTATGTAGACCTTTTTGGAGGCTGATTGAAACCAAACCAACTTCTTAAGATAACTGAGGAAATTTAAAATGGTATGAGTATTAGACAATATTGAGGAATTATTGCCCCTTTTGTGAGATGTGGTAATGATATTGTACTTATGTTTTTAAAAAGTCCTCATCTGTTAGGGACATACAAAATTTATACATGCATATATGAAATAAATATGTACCTACACACATACATAAACACATACACGCTGAAATATTTAGGGGTGAAATAACTTTATGCTTGGAATTTGCTTTAAAATACTCCAGCAATTAAAAAAAAAAAGAGCAGGAAGCAGGGCATAGAAGAGAGGAAAATAGGCGAAATGTAACGGTGATAATGTTAGAAGGTTGACAATGGCTGCATGGCAGTTTGCCATGATATTTTCTCTACTTTTGTGTATGTTTGAAATTTTCCAAAATAACTTTTCATGTTTTTGCCTTCAAAGAGGTTCTTAAGATTATTTCTGAGGCTTTCCCAAATACCTGGAAAGAAAACAATCATTAAATGGAAACACCGCGTAATACTATCATTGGCCTGATGGTTCAAATAACCAATACATTTCATAGCGCCACTGTGGAAGTGGGAGGAATCAAGTAGTGACAGTAGAGATTAGATTAGCTGGAAGTCATAGTAAAAGTCAAACCCAAAGCATGCTTAATGGAAATTACAAAATTAGTAAGACAACAACAAGGAACCTGGCTAGTCTCATTTTAAGTCCAGTATTTTTCCGCTGTAATGCTGCCACTCCCTCACGTTGATTACATTCAAGTGGCCAAATGTTATAAGCAGGACTCTTCTGGTTGCCGGTGACAGAAGCGCAACTTAAATTGCCTTTAGCAATAAAAGGTTAATTTTTAGATTGATCAGTTAAGGTATTAATCGACAGTTGCTTAAACAGTTACCCCCCAGATCTCAGCATCTTAACACAATAAACATTTCTTTTTAGCTCTTGCCACTGATCTATGGTGGCATACCTGCCCAGATGGCTGCAGGATGCACTCTTCTCCAAGCCTTCAGCCTCCTAGCCAATGGGTAGGGAAAGGAAATGAATGATCCCTCATGGGATGTGATCATGGGCTTCGGCCACATAAGGTGAGAACTCACAGGCCACACCTAACTACAAGAGTCTGAGAACTGTGGTCTAGCTGTGTGCATAAAAGGAAGAAAAAAATGGATTTTGACAAACACACTGCAATTTCTGCCATGGCTAGACTTTCTGCTGGAGAAGGCTGCAATGGTACATCTTGCACAGCGGGATCCAGGGTTACACCATCATGTGAGATCTCTTTCACATTCTTTCTTCCTCTCTCTTTTCTCTATTATGTTCTGCCTCAGCTCTGCCTCATTCTGTCTGCTGGCTTTTCCCGCCCTCAACTGAAGAATCTTTAGGCATCCATACTGTTTGGAAACATGGCTAGTGTGCATTATGTAAATACTGGTTTTTCCTGCATATCACAGTATTCAGTTTTAGCCATTCATTGAAATATCACAGTTTCCAGTGGAGTCACATAAGGAAGAAATTGCAAAGGTGGTAAAATAAATACTGACATTTAGGAAAAGCTGGAATAACACCTTCCCTTTTCCCTTTTCTTCTTTTTCTTTCTTCTTTTTTTTTTTTTTTTTTTTATACAGAGTCTTGCTTTGTTGCCCAGGCTGGAGTGCAGTGGCACAATCTCGACTCATTGCAAACTCTGCCTCCCAGGTTGAAGCAATTCTTGTGCCTCAGCCTCCCAAGTAGCTGGGATTACAGGTGTATGCCACCATACCCAGCTAATTTTTGTATTTTTAGTAGAGATGGGGTTTCGCCATGTTGGCCAGGCTGGTCTCAAACTCCTGGCCTCAAGCAATCCACCTGCATCAGCCTCCCAAAGTGCTGGGATTATAGGCTTGAGCCACTGTGCCCAGCCATCATGTTTCTTCCCTCTTAATGCTCAGTTTTATGGGAAAGAAGGACATACAAATAAACATAGACAAAACAAGAAAAGTTTAAATGTGCCAAGCCAGAATTATAACCAAAGTGCCCTTAGCATCCAGAGGAGAGTGGATGACTGTCTCAAGAGTTAGAAGGGTTTTGCAGAAGGATGATTTCTCTTTCCTCTTGGGAAGGAGGGATATTCAGGAAGACAAGTCAGGACATGCAAAAGTACAGATTTGAGAGAGTCCATGCACTGAGGGAAGAAGGCCAACCTGGTTGGAGCACAAAGGCCATGGAGTGAGTGGGCAATAAGATATGAGAAGAAGGAGGAAGTTATAGTCTAAATACAAAGTCTTATCTACCAAGTTCAAGATTTTGAATTGGTTTCCATATTGGTAACGGAGGCTTTGTAATCAGAAAGTCGTTCAATATGGGGTTGTTTGGGTGGCGGTGGTTGTTTTATGTCAAAAGATGGATAATCTAATGGAGTGTAGTGGATGACTTGGAGCAAGATGATACCAAAGAAATGAAGTCCAGAGAGGAAGCTGATGGAAATAGTGCAGGCAATAGAAAGTGAGGCCTGAGCTGAGACTTTGGCAGTGGGAAAGCAAAGAAGAAACATTTCTGAATTAGAATTTGTAAGATTTGGTCACTAACTTGATGCAGACAATAAGAGACATAGGGAAACAGGTAAAGCATCTGAAATTTCCAGATGGCATGTGGATGAACAACCCCATTGATTGGTTGCTTCAAAAAAAATACAATCCATTTGAGCCATATTTCTATATGTTTAAGCTATAGGAAAAAAAGTTCTAGAAAAGGAGATTTTGGCTTGAGGTTTTCAGGGCAATCAGAGAGCACAAAAGCTGAGTTAAAATAGTAGAAATTGGCTGGGCACGGTGGCTCATGCCTGGAATCTCGGCACTTTGAGAGGCCAAGGCAGGTGGATCACTTATGCCCAAGAGTTAGAGACCAGCATGGGCAACATGAAAAAACCCAGTCTTTACAAAAAAAAGAAAACACAAAAACTAGCCAGATTTGGTGGCGCATACCTGTAGTACCAGCTACTCAAGAGGCTGAGATAGAAAGGATTGCTTGAACCCAGGAGGCTGAGGCTGCAGTGAACCATAATTGTGCCACTGCACTCCAGCCTGAGTGACAGAGCAAGACCTTATCTCAAAAAAAAATAAATAAAAGTAGAAATTACATTATGTAAAGTTTGATTGCTAGATAGTATATACAGTGTTTCCAAATGAAAACCAAAGTCAGAAACCAAAGTCAACACACACACACACACAATGTTATACTTTTTTGAAAATGTGTATTTCCTTTTTGTGTTTAAAATCCAGATAAAAATTATGTTGTCTATTACCTGTAGTAGTTTTAGCTGGTAAATGTTTAATGGGAAATAAATCACGAGACTATTTTAATGGAGAATTTCTACGTGACATTACCTAGAATAATGCACAAGGACTGGCTAGTGATGTTTTAAAAGACTCAGAAAAGATTTTAGAAAAGTAAGGGTGGAGATAGAATATCTACAATAAATTTTGGGAACTAGAATTGAGAAAAGTATCCAAAGACACAATTATTCTTAAAGTCCTTTTGGAAAATGATGTAGAATGCTTGATGTTTCCCCAGAGCCAACACAATTTATTTGTCAGAATTGAGCCATGAGAAGAGAGTTAGAAAATTCTTTAAGATGATTCTAAAAAAGTAATTATGTCCTCACTTGTCCTGAATATAGCATTTTATATACTTTAATGAGGACAGGATACTCACACCATTAACCCATTTCACTTAGTTACCAACTCCAAGTGTTGAATGTTAAAAACACTGTAGAAAAATTCCAACCCTGGGGAGCTCCAAGTTCCCTCGCTGTGGCCAGCACTGCACATCCTTCACAGTAGATAATGAAGGAGGAATTAAACACGGTTCCTGCCAGCTTTGAAAAATCATCTTACACCATATAGGCAAAAGCCAATGACATATTGCCCTGGAGAGCCACAGGGCAGCAGTGGAAGGCAGGGCAGCCCCAGGAAAGCTGTGCCTCTCTCCTCCCAAGGAACAAATGAATGATCCTTCTTCCACCACCCACTGTCTTCGGTACTCAGAGCAAGTCACTGAAAGTCTCCACACCTCTAAGATGGAGAATTGTTAAAGCTTGTCTTTGTTAGCTCTTTGGTTTTGTGTGTGTGGGTGAGGATTATATAAGATAAAGTGATGGACGTGCAACATAAAAGCAGAACGGATTCTTCTGTTGACGTTACTGTCACTATAATACTACTTATATTACAAAGCTTGGAGAGAAGTTGAGAGTATGATATTCAAACAACTTACTGGCTACCATCTGACTCTTTTATAAGCCCCAGAATTCCACAGTGATATCTCTCAATGTAATGTGCTTATTCAATTTACAAGATAAAAGAGTACTGAAAGATTATCTTGGAATTGTATTTCTTCCTTTCAAATGTGGGTTTCTTTTTTTTATGTAATACTGGCTCAAGATCTCCATCCTAAAAAGCATACAGTCCTATGGCTATGACCTATCAAACTAAGGGAAGAGTTAAAATAATCTGTATTCTCAGGATCCTCTCTACTGAGAGGCAAAGGCATGTGGGAAAAAGAATTTGGATTCAGACTTTGTTTAAATTCTGATTGATCACTTGCTAACTGTGTGCCCTAGGATGGTGATTTTCTGGGCCTCAGTTTTCCCATCTTTAAAATGAGGGAAGGGAATGGGTAGAAATAATACCTACCTTGCAGGGCTGTTATGAGTATTTAGGCAAAGTGTAAAATGTGCCTAGCAGAGCGCGTGGCCAGCAGGCATGTGCTCCTTAAACAGTGACAATTATTCCTAGTATCACCCAGTAGCAGTCATCTTGCTCCTTCTACCTGAGTCTGCAGAGATTTCTAGATTGCATCATAGTGTCAGTTTGCTGTTCAAACATGGGAAATGCATATTTTTCTTGTATTGATCAATGTTTATATTATGTGTATATTTTGTTCTTATTACTCATAAGAATGGGATAAGAGTAAATGAAATATAGACCATAAAGCCCTGGAAATTAGCACAATGTGTAGTTTTTTATAATTAGCTCTGTTAGACATGGAAATCAAGAAAGGAACTCATAAAACTTTCTTGAGAATGATCTAGGAGATACACCTATTTTACAACTCGCAGAATGCCGGTAATTACTATATCCTTATTAATACAAGCATAACATCTATATAACATAAATTCAGTTTCATTTCCTCCCCTTCCATCTAAATTTGCATTCACTATATCCATTAATTACATGAATTAATTGATTTTAATAATTTTTTAAAGTTGACACCTTTATAGTTAGAAAAACAAATGCCTATTCATTTGCCTTTCATTAAAGAACACAAAAAAAAGACATATGGAAAATGAATTTAACATCAATTTTTTTATACCAAACAACAAGCTTTATCTAATTTCTAGTTGGGAGACAAAATTGTTGGGACAGTATGGACATATGCAAAATCTCTTTAGTTTCTTCTGAATCTGGCACTTGCAAAAGTGCTAACAGACAGCAGCAGGTACCAGCAGAATATCATGGACTTGTTGGCCTTGACTGATGCTGTTTGCTTGAGATTTCAATAATCAGATGTGCAACTCTGATGTCTTTCATTGTTCTATAACCACTCACTGAACTTGGCCAAAGTAATGATCCTGCAGAAAATAATAACAAAACATTCCACCCCACCTGGCTTATGAACCTCTCAAAGATCATTGCCTCCCTCTTTCCCCTCTCCCCAGTCCCTCCCTTCTCTCAGACGGTGACTTCCCTTGCAGGTCTAAGCCTTCTGTTTATTTCCCTCTACCTCTTTTATCCTATTAAAGCCGTATCTCCATCCCTCTGCCACCCACCTTCCATCTCTGGTTCTCTATTTTCTCTCTTCAAAACAGATTTGACCTATGTAAACATCTGGCTGCTAGAAACTCCTAGACTGGTAAATTCAGCTTTACTTGGTCACCTATGATTTTGAGTTGTAGGCCCTCCTAGTTGGGTGAGGGTCACTACCTCTTCATAGCTGTTCATTCCCAGGCTGACCATCTCTTTACATAGGATCCATGGGCAAGGATAGGACCGCAGCAACAAAGCTGGAAGGAGGATTGGTTGGGAACAGAAGGAGGAGTTGTCTGCCTTGAGCACCTTCTCCAAACTGATGCCTTCTCAAAATATTTTAAACAAATATGTTGACATAATAGTTGTTAAGATGCATTAAAAATCATCACAGGAAGGAATGTAAACGGACATCTGTAGGAAGTTAGATGGGGGCGATTGCAGTAGCTCATGCCTGTAATTCCAGCAGTTTGGGAGGCCAAGGTGAGCAGATCTCTTGAGTCCAGGAGTTTGAGACCAGTCTGGGCAACATAGTAAGACCTCTGTCTCTACAAAAGAAGTATATAAAAAATTAGCCAGGCATGATGATGAGCAACTGTAGTCCCAGTTGCTCAGGAGGCTGAGGCAGGAGGATTACTTGAGCCCGGAAGTTCAAGGTTATAGTGAGCTATGATCCTGCACCCTGTACTTTAGCCTGGGTGACAGACAGAGACAGACAGAAAGACAGATAGGCAGACCACAAGAAGAAAAAGAAAGAAAAGAGAAGGAAGGAAGGAAGGAGAAAGGAAGAAAGGAAGGAAGGAAAGAAGGAAAGAAGGAAGGAAGGGAAGGAAGGGAAATTAGATGGTAGTTAAAGGGGCCTTTATATGTCCTTGGTACCCTGTCAATCATCAACCATCAGCAGAGGCTCCTCTAATACACCCACAGTCTCCCCTCCCAGGTCCCTGGGATATGTGCATTTTCTGTGTGCTTCCTCTCCTACAGTAAGAACCTCAGTTTATGTTTGATATTGGAGTAAATTTTTTAGATTAAAAACATTTTTCTCAGGATAAAGCAAGAAAGGACAGTGATTCACACATATATGTGGGTTTTTATCCCTGCTATAGTACTTTTAGCATCAACACTGTGTGCAGTAGGTATAAAAAATAAATATGTTCCCTTATATTGGTGAGGAAAATGAGATACATGGTGGTGAATGAATTATATCTAAGTTCACATCATGATTAGAATATAGTCCTTGGACCCCACTTCCAGATTACTTGCAAATAAAAGAAGTTGGCTCTCAATTTAAGTTGGGATTAACATAAACTAATGGATCTTAAATTATGAAAGATATGAAAGAGTCTAAAAGAAACCAGGCTAAATATTGAAGAGCCTGGTTTCAGTGAATATTTTAGTGCTTTTCTATTATTATTGTCATTATTATTAATGACCCCCTAGTGGTATATTTTAGAATATTGATGAGCTTTGACCTTAGATGCCATACCATCATGACATTATTAAGTGTCAGAAGAATTGATAGCTTTTAGAAAGTAACAGCAAGGCTGAAATTAACTCCCAACCAGTATGCAGTTGACAGCAGCAGATGAATGAGAGTAAGTGCAGAAAAGATGTGGTTGCAAAGGAAATCACATGTTTCTGCCCCTTGAATCTCTCAAATCTGATTAACATCTGTGCTTTCCCAAAGACCACTGTGAATTCTGATGGTAGAAGAAGGTGAAGGCCTCCCCTTTTACTTCCATTGACCAGGGAGCTGGAGGATACTGATTTATGGATTCCCTTGTTAAATGAAAAGCAATCCTTGGTCTTGGGAAATAAAATTATTGGAAAAATATAGGCATTTGCCAACTCTTTATTTTCTGTTGAATCAAGCACTTGCAAAGGTGCTAACAGGCTGCAGATTTTGGAAGAGGTTTACAGCCTACTGGAGCTTCAGAATTCAGAAGGCTCTTCTGTGTTACAGTTTTGTCAACATGATCTGCATGCAGGTTAGAAGCACAGTAGCCAGCTAATAAAATAAAAATTTGGAAAGGGAAAATATGAGAAAATTTTAATTTTTTAAAATCTAAAGTAAAAACAATTTCTGAAAGAGTGTTTTTTTTGTATCAAAAGTCTCTTTGGCTTTAATGGCACATTTCTTCTGAGGGCTGTTTGAAATGGAACCTCTACCACTGTTGGGTGACTCTGAGCCCCAGAGGACTTGGGTAGAAATCAAGAACACTAGTCTCTGGCTCTTGGCACTTGGGCCAGTGCTCCATTTTCATCTGAGTTGGCAATACTGGGCTGGATCTAACCTCTTTCTCAAAGCCAAAACCCCAAGGAGGCTTTAGAACTTACAACATCAATCTTTCAAAGGGCACTGTGTTGCTGTAAGTGCTGGCCAGGACACAAACAGAGCCTGAAGATATTTAGGCAGAACATCTCAACCATATGATCATGAAGATGATTAATAGGAACTTTTCAGTAGGCTGTAAATTTCCTCTTCTTTGGAGAGACCCTCCAAAAACTCTGGAGGAAGTGAAGGTGCACATCATGTGGAAGCTGTAATTCATCAAAGCATGTTTTCACCGCAATACTGTTGAGGGAGTGAGAGAGAGGGAGGGGAAAAGGAGAATGGGGAGGAGGCATGGAGAACAAGAGTGAGAAAAGTTTTCAGAGTAGCAACTATGAACAAGTCATCTTGCAGTTTAGTGACATGGCTTCTTGAAGAAGTGTTCCGTGTGAGAAACCAAACTGCAAGCCAGACAGAAAATAAGAATAAAAAGATGGAAATCGATGCCCTTCCAATGCTGCTGCTCCCCTAAGTACCTGGCCCTTGTTTCTATTGGGAAGCTATCATCCCCACTCTCTCAACAGCTCCTCCTTGTGCACTGTGGTCAGTCTCATAGATCATAGCGGAACTTCCACGGGCAAAGTAGGGAAGTGAATTCTCAGCAAGCTTATCTGGGGGCCTGGGTTCCACAGGGAGTTTGGGGAATGTTAAGAGAGAGACTTAGAGCAATTCTAGAGCTGGGAAGAAAATTTGGCTGTGAACTTTACTGTAAATAGGGGTTTTCCAGAAATTTAGCTCCTTCTTCACCCTCTGCCCCACCCAGACCCACGCTTTAGGAGCTCCTCCATGTTCTACTCTGGGCCCTCTTTTTTTCTACTGTATTTTCAGCAACCTCAACAAACCTTCTTCTTCCCATTTCTCTGTATTGTTTATCCCTTATCTCTAGTTTGAATGGTTTGAGCTTTGCTGTTCATTGTCTTAAGCACCCTAAACACATTTTTCTAAGTAGTGGAAGTAAATAGAGAAACACACAAATAAATAAAACACAGGGACCTTGTTCTAGAGCACTCTCATGGTTTTAACCACTTCTGTAAGATGATCCCTGAACCTGAGTCTTCAGTCCTGAGAGTCTTCTCCCATAGCCCAAGTTCACTGGGTCGGCTTTCTTTTTAATATCTTCACCTGATTCTCCTGTGAGCAACTTACACACAGACCCAAGAGCCATTTTCCTCTCATTCATCCCAGATGAATTATATTACAAGGATAATATATTATCCTTGTAATATAACTTATATTATATTACTAACTTATATTACAAGGATTACTCACCACCTGCTCAGCCACACAGAAACCCCCAATCACCTGTGATTCCTCAGTCTCCCTTGTTCCTAAATATCCAAATATTTGTTACATACCATCACCCTGTTGCTGCCATATTTCCTGAACCCATCTTTTTCTCTTTCTATAAAGCCCTCCCTTAGTCCAAAATTCTCTGTCTGCCACTTAGGCATTACAACAACCTTCCTTCCTAGCCTGTAGTCTTTGCCCACCTCCAACCCTTCCTATGTAGGGTAACCATTTAATTTCTCATCCAAGCCAGGACACCTTTAACAGTGAAAGCAGCCACTATTAATAATTACTTCAGAACTATAGGTATGATTCATATCTATCCTGGATATATATGGTCATGCCCATTCCACATCCATCTAATGTAGTAAAGCGGAACTCTGATTCTATACAGCCCTGAAATAAAATCTTTACTAACTCATTGCAGCTTGTCAAACAGATTTGATACTTCCTTAACACAGCATTTAAGAACTCAAGGCTCTGGCTGCAGCCTGCCATCCTAGCATGGTTTCTTTCCACCCTTCTTCCTGCCTCTCCACTCCAGCCAAACTCAGGGACCTATGCCCTATCTCTTCCAAAATTTGACCTTTGCCTTCACCTTCCATATATTCCACTCCCAACCACCGCTGGTCTCCCAATATCCAAATCCTATCTAATTATCAAGCTCTACCTTAAAGGCCACCTCTTCTGGAAGCCATTCTTACTCTCAACATGGCAGGCTCTGAAATCAAGCTGCCTGGATTAAGTTCCTGGCTGTTCCACTCACAGGAAGTGCACCCTCAGACGTTTTACCCTTGTCTTAGTTTCCTCATTTGTAAAGCCTCATCAGTTGCTCTGAGCATGAACTCACTAAATACTTAAAACTGCTTACAGCACTGTCTAGCCTAAGGAGAGTACCCTAGAAGTGCGGTGATCCAGAAATCCTGTTATTGGGTATATACCCAAAGGATTATAAATCATTCTACTATAAAGACATATGCACATGTATGTTTATTGTGGCACTATTTACAATAGCAAAGACTTGGAACCAACCCAAATGCCCATCAATGATAGACTGGATAAAGAAAATGTGGCACATATACACCATGGAATACTATGCAGCCATAAAAAGGATGAGTTCATGTCCTTTGCAGGGACATGGATGAAGCTGAAAACCATCATTCTCAGCCAACACAGGAACAGAAAACCAAACACAGCATGTCCTCACTCATAAGTGGGTACTGAACAGTGAGAACACATGGACACAGGGAGGGGAACATCACACACCAGGGCCTGTTGGGGGTTGAGAGTCTAGGGGAGGGATAGCATTAGGAGAAATACCTAATGTAGACGATGCGTTGATGGGTGCAGCAAACTACCATGGCACGTGTATACCTATGTAACAAACCTGCACGTTCTGCACATATACCCCAGAACTTAAAAAAAAAAGAAGTGTGGTTGATCATGATTATTTTGAGACACCTCTCTTTCCTGTATGCACCTAAACCCTTCCTCTTTTTTTTTTTTTTTTTTTTTTTGAGATAGGGTCTTGCTCTGTTGCCTAGGCTGGAGAGTGCAGTGGCGCGATCTCGGCTCACTGCAAGCCCCGCCTCCTGGGTTCACGCCGTTCTCCTGCCTCAGCTTCCCGAGTAATTGGGACTACAGGTGCCCACCACCACACCTGGCTAATTTTGTTTTTGTATTTTTAGTAGAGACGGGGTTTCACCGTGTTAGCCAGGATGGTCTCGATCTCCTGACCTCGTGATCTGCCCACCTCAGCCTCCCAAAGTGCTGGGATTACAGGCGTGAGCCACCGCGCCCGGCCACCTCCTCTTTTTTTTCTTATAGCTTCCACAGGACCCTTATTGCAGTCTACTTTGTACTTCAGTATTTCCCAGGATGAAAATATTTTGAAAATAATGTCTTGATAACAGCAAACAAAACGAAAAGAAGAGAAATAGAGCTTCCCTGGTCCACCTACCTGCTGGGTAGGCGTTCTGGCAGCCCATGTTTCCCCAGAATCATTGTCAGGACTTTGGAGGAGAGGTTGTCCTCATCAATGTTAGGTTTTGGGGTGGGGGAAGCAGTAAGTAAGCAATCTCTCAGTAAACCTTCAGACCATGAGCTCTGGGAAGGCCCAACACTGTTGTGACTGGAGGCCTGAGGAGGGGACAACAGAGCAGGACAAGGGGGAGGAGGGGTCATAGGTCAACGTGAAAAGGGGGACAAGGAAAATGCTCCATACCAAGGGGACAAGTTGTTTAAAGCCCTGTGGCAGGCCAGGCGTGGTGGCTCACGCCTGTAATCCCAGCACTTTGGGAGGCTGAGGTGGGCGGATCACTTGAGGTCAGGAGTTTGAGACTAGCCTGGCCAACATGGTGAAACCCCATCTCCACTAAAAATACAAAAATTAGCTGGATGTAGTGGTGCGGACCTGTAATCCCAGCTACTCAGGAGACTGAAGCACAAGAATCGCTTGAACCTAGGAGGAGGAGGTTGCAGTGAGCCGAGATTGCACCACTGCACTCCAGCCTGGGTGACAGAGCTGGATCCCTCTCAAAATAAATAAATAAATAAATAAATAAATAAATAAATAAATAAATAAATAAATAAAAATAAATTAAAAAATAATAATAAAGCCCTGTGGCAGGAAGGACCAGGGTCCATTCACGATGTGAACAGCAGTACCGAGAGAGAGACTATGCCCAGTGAGGTAAGGCTGACATCTGGGGCCCGGGCCACACAAACCAACCAAACCTAGGTCGTGAGGACCAGATTGTACTTTATCCTGAGAGCAATGGGGAGCCATCAAGCGGCTGCAAGCAAGAAGGTGGGAAGATCATGTTTGTCTTTTGCAGAGATCTCTCTGGTAACAGCGTAGAGAATGGAGAGTCCGGGTGCTAAAGTAGTTTGAGAAGTGGAGTTAAACCAAGGGAATCCACGTGCTTTCCTACAGGGCTTGTCGCAGGCTGTAGAAACGGAACATGCCCTGTGAATCTCCCAAGAAAGGGAGCCGCCGGGGCACACATTTTCACAAACTTGTTTGACCGTAGAATGCTTTCATTTCTTTCTGCAAGCCATCCACTATCATATCCTAAAATACTGTTTTCTGGAACACTATCTTGGGAAACACTGATTAGGCTTAATTTAGAATCTTTGCTACTCAGTTGTTTATGGATATGAAATTCACCCCTAATGGCACCTTCAGCACAGGTTTCCTCATTGAATTTCTCTACATCCCCCAGCAGGCTGCCTTCCTTGTAACATTTGTAAATGATCATCCTATCATTTACTGTAACAACCTTGACCGTGTTGTTGTTATCAACATTGATTGAAAACTTGCTAGGGATGCCTGACACTGTGCTTCTCATATTTTATCTCATTTTATCCTCATAAAGTCCCTCTAAATTTCATGGATCTTTAGGAGGTAAAAATAAATTTTCATGTGGTTTTAGCAAAGACATGGTAAAGCCATCCAATGTGAATCTTAAGTTCTTAATAATTAATTCCACTGTTTTTATTCTCCTTTCCTAGCTCAGAGGAAGGGATATTTTAAAGCCATCAGGGGAATCTCTGCCCATGTCAGGTGTGGCTTTTGGGTAATGCTGTAATTATAATTAGGATAAACTTGAATGGCTAATTTTAGAAAATGTTTTCCCCACAAAGTGAGAGTAAAATGACAGCTTGTTCACAGATGATGAGATGACTCAGTATGCAAAGGACTCGTATTCAAGAAACCAGGAGCTAGAAGATTTAATGATCAACTACTTTTGGCCACCTGGCCCAGCCATGCCTCCTAATGAAGCTCCTCTCAGCAGGGCATCAGGCACATCCACACCAGCTGGAAGGAGCGAGTGAAGGGACAGAGAGAAGCTAATAAAAATGATCCTCCCGTCTTTTTATCCCTGGGAATTAGAATAAAAATCCCATTCCTTCTGCCAAAACATGAGGAATGGAAAACGCATTTCTCACAGTCACATTCATTATCATCATAACCAACATAGTGAGGCTTAACCCTTTACCTAGATCTCACAGTTGACACCAAAGTTTGCATCAAACCTGGGAGGGCAAATCTGATGTCCCCATTTTACAGGCGAGAAAAGAGAGATGCTGTGAGGTTAACTGACTTATCTAAATTTACCCAGTCAATAAGTTAACACTCAAACCCAACTCATTTTCAAGCACTCTGTTATGCTGCCTTAAAATGGTACCAGTAAGTAAATCCAAGGGTCTGGTCTCCATAAGAGTTAGTCAGTTTTATGAAGAAAAACATTTTATCTGCCATTAGAGGCTATAATGATAACATTCTCTACAAGTGAGTGCTTCTGCTTTTCAGGAGCCAGGAAGGGCTTTCACTGGCTTGGCCCTATGTTTGGATTTGTGTGGCCTGTTCCCAGTGACGGCCATTGAGAGTACAGTGCATCTGGCCTGACCCCCTGCCAAGCTGACTGCCTCAAATTGCTGTTGACCTGACCTTCAGAGTTGGAATAAGCCAAGGGCTGGAGACGTGAGTGGCAGTAGCTGGAGATAAATCTCATGTTTGCTTCATTTGGAATGTCTCAGAGGCCAATGGTATGAGGAGCCCACAAGGCAGGATCCGACAATGGTTCTAGACCCCCAGTTCCCTCCTTGAGCTCCCCTCCTATGTGATTTAGCAGGGATCGGTTCCCTCCTCCATCACATTAAGTAAGAGGTGTGTCCATAGGTGTCGTATATGGCTTCTGAGTGTCCTCCAGGGATCTCCACCTCCTGATCTTCATGCCCCTCTGTGATCCCCTCCGCTTGAGTTTGGATTGGACCTGGTAACTCAATTCTAGGAAGGGAATACAGCAAACGTGATGAGATGCCACATCTGAGATTAGGTGACACAAAGACTGTGGCTTCTCACCTGGACACTTGGCCTCTCCTGGCTTGTTCACTGGCTGTAGGTGAGGGTAGCCACCATGATGTGATCTGCCCTATGGCAAGGCCCCGTTCATGGGAACTGATGACTCTGTCCAACAATCAGGAAGGACCTGTGTGTGGCCTGACCACAGCCATGTGGGTGAGCATGGAAGCAGAGCCTCTTCTCTTCAAGCCTTGAGGTTCCCTGGCCAAGACTTCAATTGCATCCTTGTAGAGACCTTGAGTCAGAGGGGCACTTAGCTAAGCTGCATGTGGATTTTGCACCCACAGAAACCGCAAGATAACACGTTTGTTGTTTGAAGTTATTAAGGTTTAGAATAATTTTTTGTGTGTGTGCAGCAATAGATAACTAATACAATAAGAGGAAATCCCATGGTTGGGTACAAAGTGGGGACCTCAAGTTCTTCTCAGCAAATGTACCTTTTAATGCTCTTCTCCTTACATATTTGGTGGAGGAATAATGAAACTTTTGTGGGTCCCTGACGCAGTGGTGAGTCAGGAGTGTTGTGTGCTGAGCATGTAAGATTTTAAATCTAAGGAACTCTGCATTTGCTGCCCTGACATGTCCTCTGTCTAGCTCAGCACCTGCCTCTTCTAGAACAGCAAAACTGACGTCTTATACTGCCATCTTCATATCTAAGGACCTCTACTTAATTATTAAGTAACTTTTGTGTGTGATTCTGTCTTTAAATCTGTACATCTACACATAAACATATATAGAGTATATCTTCCTTTATATATTGACACAAACTGTTGACTCAATGATAAGATTAAATGAACAGTATGTCATTCAAATGTACTTCATACTTAATATAGATGTGTCTTTATTCACAGAGAGACTTCAAGGTCATTGTGTTAAGCAGTAAGGGCTATAGCAGAAAAGAAATGAGAACTGGCTTTGCTTTACTGTCAACAGAGCAAATTCGCAGCATATAGAACAATTTATCTTCTAACAGAATATGAAAACAGAAATCATTGGGAGTTATTTTATTAAAAGTTATTTATTAATTAGTTAATCACTGAGTTATTTTCAGTATCTGTCACTCCCCCATTATAACTGCCTCTCCATTAATTTTATTTTCTTCATATAGAGAAATATTCTTTTCAGATAAGTACTCTCTTTCTTGTCTGTTCAAACTTAACTCTGAAGCTCTGAAAAGCACATGACCACATTTGGCACTGAAAAAGAGAATAAATGATCCTCTATAAATTACCGTACTATAAAAAGGCAATTCACCAGTCTTCTATAGGGAGTCAGAAGGATGACCACTATGAATAAAGAATAGTATATCCCTTTTCTCAGACAGACAGGCACACACACACACACACACACACACACACACACACACACACACACAGTCTGTCTTTTCCCTTAGAGTAGCTATATTTGTTCCAATTAATATTTGAACAGTGGTAAGGATTTGGATCTCAGGACTTACTTGATTACTATGGTGATGCTTAAGGCCTCCTGGAATACAAATGATTTTCTGAATCTAGAGAGACTTTGCAATGCTAAGGGTAGCACCAGATTAACTTCATTGGAGGAGAAAGCAGGTATAGTATCCAGATTGATAAGGCAAATGAGGCACTGACTTTCATGCCTTGCAGATCATGTTTGCACATCCCCGAAGGTATTTTTTATGAAACGATCACCAGATTGACCCTTTGCTCAAAATGCATCACTTGGTACAATTTCAGTCTCTTTAGGGCCATCTATGCAAATGAGATGGAAAAACAGTCAGCCAGGTTACCATTAACAACAAGGCAATGCAGTACAGATGAGCGTTGTGCCTGCTTATGCACAGCTGCTAAATGAGGAGACTGGGAACAGGTGATCTGCACAGCTTTGCCAGCTCTGCAATTACTCTGCTTCACACCAAGTAAAATAAAGTGATGAAACTACTCCAAGAGGGCTTTGTAACCACACAGAACTGCAACCCCACACAATTAGCGTGGCCTTGCCCACTTTGCTGCAGGATCAAAGAGCTCATCAAAACCCTGGATCTAGCCCCCAACATTCAAGTGAAATAACTGGGGAGTCAACAAGCCCAAGAGGTTGGAAGCTATTGTAAAAGGTCCATGCCAAGCAACTCTGGGTGTTTTAAGGGCCTGCTTGAATTGTCTCAAAGTCCTCATAGAACTTTCTGATTTTTTTCTGTCTCTCTACAACACTCCCTTGGAAGAGAATGAAGTTCTTGGACATGTCAAAGATAAAACTGTCATCACAATGATGCTTTCAAGTCCGACTACCTTAGGCCCATCCTTCAACTTAAAGCTGGGGGTGAAGGGCCACATGAAGAATAGCATAACAGTTAAAGAGCTCTGGATTCAAAGGACATGTCCATTCTTTGCTGTGTGGCCTTGGGCAATAACTGAACTTCTCTAGGCTTCTGTTACCCCTGGTAAAATATGGAGAGTAAGAGTACTTCTGCCTCCAAGACTGACTGCTAAATAAGTAAAGAGTCAAAGACTCCAATGTGGAAACTTTGGAACACTGTACCAGGTAGGGAAGGCACTCACCCCATGAGACAAGAGCACCTGAGCCATTCCAAGAACATGAGGTGCTTGTCAGAGCTTTGAGTCCAACACCACAGAACTTATCTCTCCACTCAGCTTAGCCAGACATTGTGCTGAGTATTAACAATTGACAGAACACAAGGATTATCTTTTTTTTTAATTTTATTATTATTATACTTTAAGTTTTAGGGTACATGCACACAATGTGCAGGTTAGTTACATATGTATACATGTGCCATGCTGTTGTGCTGCACCCATTAACTCATCATTTAGCATTAGGTATATCTCCTAATGCTATCCCTCCCCCCTCCCCCCACCCCACAACAGTCCCCGGAGTGTGATGTTCCCCTTCCTGTGTCCATGTGTTCTCATTGTTCAATTCCCACCTATGAGTGAGAACATGTGGTGTTTGGTTTTTTGTCCTTGCGATAGTTTGCTGAGAATGATGGTTTCCAGTTTCATCCATGTCCCTACAAAGGACATGAACTCATCATTTTTTATGGCTGCATAGTATTCCATGGTGTATATATGCCATATTTTCTTTTTTCTTTAATATTATACTTTAAGTTTTAGGGTACATGTGCACAATGTGCAGGTTAGTTACATACGTATACATGTGCCATGCTGGTGCGCTGCACCCACTAACTTGTCATCTAGCATTAGGTGTATCTCCCAATGCTATCCCTCCCCCCTCCCCCCACCCCACAACAGGCCCCAGAGTGTGATGTTCCCCTTCCTGTGTCCATGTGTTCTCATTGTTCAATTCCCACCTATGAGTGAGAATATGCGGTGTTTGGTTTTTTGTTCTTGCGATAGTTTACTGAGAATGATGATTTCCAATTTCATCCATGTCCCTACAAAGGACATGAACTCATCATTTTTTATGGCTGCATAGTATTCCATGGTGTATATGTGCCACGTTTTCTTAATCCAGTCTATCATTGTTGGACATTTGGGTTAGTTCCAAGTCTTTGCTATTGTGAATTATGCCGCAATAAACATACATGTGCATGTGTCTTTATAGCAGTATGATTTATAGTCCTTTGGGTATATACCCAGTAATGGGATGGCTGGGTCCAATGGTATTTCTAGTTCTAGATCCCTGAGGAATCGCCACACTGACTTACACAATGGTTGAACTAGTTTAGAGTCCCACCAACAGTGTAAAAGTGTTCCTATTTCTCCACATCCTCTCTAGCACCTGTTGTTTCCTGACTTTTTAATGATTGCCATTCTAACTGGTGTGAGATGGTATCTCATTGTGGTTTTGATTTGCATTTCTCTGATGGCCAGTGATGGTGAGCATTTTTTCATGTGTTTTTTTGCAGCATAAATGTCTTCTTTTTACTAGTGTCTGTTCATGTCCTTTGCCCACTTTTTGATGGGGTTGTTTGTTTTTTCTTGTAAATTTGTTTGAATTCATCGTAGATTCTGGATATTAGCCCTTTGTCAGATGAGTAGGTTGCGAAAATTTTCTCCCATTTTGTAGGTTGCCTGTTCACTCTGATGGTAGTTTCTTTTGCTGTGCAGAAGCTCTTTAGTTTAATTAGATCCCCTTTGTCAATTTTGGCTTTTGTTGCCATTGCTTTTGGTGTTTTAGACATGAAGTCTTTGCCCATGCCTATGTCCTGAATGGTAAAGCCTAGGTTTTCTTCTAGGGTTTTTATGGTTTTAGGGCTAACGTTTAAGTCTTTAATCCATCTTGAATTGATTTTTGTATAAGGTGTAAGGAAGGGATCCAGTTTCAGCTTTCTACATATGGCTAGCCAGTTTTCCCAGCACCATTTATTAAATAGGGAATCCTTTCCCCATTGCTTGTTTTTCTCAGGTTTGTCAAAGATCAGATAGTTGTAGATATGCGGCGTTATTTCTGAGGGCTCTGTTCTGTTCCATTGATCTATATCTCTGTTTTGGTACCAGTACCATGATGTTTTGGTTACTGTAGCCTTGTAGTATAGTTTGAAGTCAGGTAGCGTGATGCCTCCAGCTTTGTTCTTTTGGCTTAGGATTGACTTGGCAATGCGGGCTCTTTTTTGGTTCCATATGAACTTTAAAGTAGTTCTTTCCAATTCTGTGAAGAAAGTCATTGGGAGCTTTATGGGGATGGCATTGAATCTGTAAATTACCTTGGGCAGTATGGCCATTTTCACGATATTGATTCTTCCTACCCATGAGCATGGAATGTTCTTCCATTTGTTTGTATCCTCTTTTATTTCCTTGAGCAGTGCTTTGTAGTTCTCCTTGAAGAGGTCCTTCACATCCCTTGTAAGTTGGATTCCTAGGTATTTTATTCTCTTTGAAGCAATTGTGAATGGGAGTTCACTCATGATTTGGCTCTCTGTCTGTTATTGGTGTATAAGAATGCTTGTGATTTTTGTACATTGATTTTGTATCCTGAGACTTTGCTGAAGTTGCTTATCAGCTTAAGGAGATTTTGGGCTGAGAAAATGGGGTTTTCTAGATATACAATCATGTCATCTGCAAACAGGGACAATTTGACTTCCTCTTTTCCTAATTGAATACCCTTTATTTCCTTCTCCTGCCTAATTGCCCTGGCCAGAACTTCCAACACTATGTTGAATAGGAGTGGTGAGAGAGGGCATCCCTGTCTTGTGCCAGTTTTCAAAGGGAATGCTTCCAGTTTTTGCCCATTCAGTATGATATTGGCTGTGGGTTTGTCATAGATAGCTCTTATTATTTTGAAATACGTCCCATCAATACCTAATTTATTGAGAGTTTTTAGCATGAAGGTTGTTGAATTTTGTCAAAGGCCTTTTCTGCATCTATTGAGATAATCATGTGGTTTTTGTCTTTGGTTCTGTTTATATGCTGCATTACATTTATTGATTTGTGTATATTGAACCAGCCTTGCATCCCAGGGATGAAGCCCACTTGATCATGGTGGATAAGCTTTTTGATGTGCTGCTGGATTCAGTTTGCCAGTATTTTATTGAGGATTTTTGCATCAATGTTCATCAAGGATATTGGTCTAAAATTATCTTTTTTGGTTGTGTCTCTGCCCAGCTTTGGTATCAGGATGATGCTGGCCTCATAAAATGAGTTAGGGAGGATTCCCTCTTTTTCTATTGATTGGAATAGTTTCAGAAGGAATGGTACCAGTTCCTCCTTGTACCTCTGGTAGAATTCGGCTGTGAATCCATCTGGTCCTGGACCCTTTTTGGTTGGTAAGCTATTGATTATTGCCACAATTTCAGATCCTGTTATTGGTCTATTCAGAGATTCAACTTCTTCCTGGTTTAGTCTTGGGAGAGTGCATGTGTCGAGGAATTTTTCCATTTCTTCTAGATTTTCTAGTTTATTTGCATAGAGGTGTTTGTAGTATTCTCTGATGGTAGTTTGTATTTCTGTGGGATCGGTGGTGATATCCCCTTTATCATTTTTTATTGCGTCTATTTGATTCTTCTCTCTTTTTTTCTTTATTAGTCTTGCTAGTGGTTTATCAATTTTGTTGATCCTTTCAAAAAACCAGCTCCTGGATTCATTAATTTTTTGAAGGGTTTTTTGTGTCTCTATTTCCTTCAGTTCTGCTCTGATTTTAGTTATTTCTTGCCTTCTGCTAGCTTTTGAATGTGTTTGCTCTTGCTTTTCTAGTTCTTTTAATTGTGATGTTAGGGTGTCAATTTTGGATCTTTCCTGCTTTCTCTTGTGGGCATTTAGTGCTATAGATTTCCCTCTACACACTGCTTTGAATGCGTCCCAGAGATTCTGGTATGTTGTGTCTTTGTTCTCGTTGGTTTCAAAGAGCATCTTTATTTCTGCCTTCATTTCATTATGTACCAAGTAGTCATTCAGGAGCAGGTTGTTCAGTTTCCATGTAGTTGAGTGGTTTTGAGTGAGATTCTTAATCCTGAGTTCTAGTTTGATTGCACTGTGGTCTGAGAGATAGTTTGTTATAATTTCTGTTCTTTTACATTTGCTGAGGAGAGCTTTACTTCCAAGTATGTGGTCAATTTTGGAATAGGTATGGTGTGGTGCTGAAAAAAAATGTATATTCTGTAGAATTGGGGTGGAGAGTTCTGTAGATGTCTATTAGGTCCACTTGGTGCAGAGCTGAGTTCAATTCCTGGGTATCCTTGTTGACTTTCTGTCTCGTTGATCTGTCTAATGTTGACAGTGGGGTGTTAAAGTCTCCCATTATTAATGTGTGGGAGTCTAAGTCTCTTTGTAGGTCACTCAGGACTTGCTTTATGAATGTGGGTGCTCCTGTATTGGGTGCATATATATTTAGGATAGTTAGCTCTTCTTGTTGAATTGATCCCTTTACCATTATGTAATGGCCTTCTTTGTCTCTTTTGATCTTTGTTGGTTTAAAGTCTGTTTTATCAGAGACTAGGATTGCAACCCCTGCCTTTTTTTGTTTTCCATTTGCTTGGTAGATCTTCCTCCATCCTTTTATTTTGAGCCTATGTGTGTCTCTGCACGTGAGATGGGTTTCCTGAATACAGCACACTGATGGGTCTTGACTCTTTATCCAATTTGCCAGTCTGTGTCTTTTAATTGGAGCATTTAGTCCATTTACATTTAAAGTTAATAGTTTTATGTGTGAATTTGATCCTGTCATTATGATGTTAGCTGGTTATTTTGCTCATTAGTTGATGCAGTTTCTTGCTAGCCTCGATGGTCTTTACATTTTGGCATGATTTTGCAGTGGCTGGTACCGGTTGTTCCTTTCCATGTTTAGTGCTTCCTTCAGGAGCTCTTTTAGGGCAGGCCTGTGGTGACAAAATCTCTCAGCATTTGCTTGTCTGTATTTTATTTCTCCTTCACTTATGAAGCTTAGTTTGGCTGGATATGAAATTCTGGGTTGAAAATTCTTTTCTTTAAGAATATTAAATATTGGCCCCCACTCTCTTCTGGCTTGTAGAGTTTCTGCTGAGAGATCTGCTGTTAGTCTGATGGGCTTCCCTTTGTGGGTAACTTGACCTTTCTCTCTGGCTGCCCTTAACATTTTTTCCTTCATTTCAACTTTGCTGAATCTGACAATTATATGTCTTGGAGTTGCTCTTCTCGAGGAGTACCTTTGTGGCGTTCTCTGTATTTCCTGAATGTGAATGTTGGCCTGCCTTGCTAGATTGGGGAAGTTCTCCTGGATAATATCCTGCAGAGTGTTTTCCAATTTGGTTCCATTCTCCCCATCACTTTCAGGTACACCAATCAGACGTAGATTTGGTCTTTTCACATAGTCCCATATTTCTTGGAGGCTTTGCTCGTTTCTTTTTATTCTTTTTTCTCTAAACTTCCCTTCTCACTTCATTTCATTCATTTCATCTTCCATCGCTGATACCCTTTCTTCCAGTTTATCGCATTGGCTCCTGAGGCTTCTGCATTCTTCACGTAGTTCTCGAGCCTTGGTTTTCAGCTCCATCAAATCCTTTAAGCACTTCTCTGTATTGGTTATTCTAGTTATACATTCTTCTAAATTTTTTTCAAAGTTTTCAACTTCTTTGCCTTTAGTTTGAATGTCCTCCCGTAGCTCGGAGTAATTTGATCGTCTGAAGCCTTCTTCTCTCAGCTTGTCAAAGTCATTCTCCGTCCAGCTTTGTTCCATTGCTAGTGAGGAACTGCGTTCCTTTGGAGGAGGAGAGGCGCTCTGCTTTTTAGAGTTTCCAGTTTTTCTGCTCTGTTTTTTCCCCATCTTTGTGGTTTTATCTACTTTTGGTCTTTGATGATGGTGATGTACAGGTTGGTTTTTGGTGTGGATGTCCTTTCTGTTTGTTAGTTTTCCTTCTAAGAGACAGGACCCTCAGCTGCAGGTCTGTTGGAGTTTGCTAGAGGTCCACTCCAGACTCTGTTTGCCTGGGTATCAGCAGCGGTGGCTGCAGAACAGCGGATTTTCATGAACCACAAATGCTGCTGTCTGATCGTTCCTCTGGAAGTTTTGTCTCAGAGGAGTACCCGGCTGTGTGAGGTGGCAGTCTGCCCCTACTGGAGGGTGCCTCCCAGTTAGGCTGCTTGGGGGTCAGGGGTCAAGGGCCCACTTGAGGAGGCAGTCTGCACGTTCTCAGATCTCCAGCTGCGTGCTGGGAGAACCACTGCTCTCTTCAAAGCTGTCAGACAGGGCCATTTAAGTCTGCAGAGGTTACTGCTGTCTTTTTGTTTGTCTGTGCCCTGCCCCCAGAGGTGGAGCCTACAGAGGCAGGCAGGCCTCCTTGAGCTGTGGTGGGCTCCACCCAGTTCGAGCTTCCCAGCTGCTTTGTTTACCTAAGCAAGCCTGGGCAATGGCGGGCTCCCCTCCCCCAGCCTTGCTGCCACCTTGCAGTTTGATCTCAGACTGCTGTGCTAGCAATCAGCGAGACTCCGTGGGCGTAGGACCCTCCGAGCCATGTGCGGGACATAATCTCCTGGTGCACCCTTTTTTAAGCCCGTAGGAAAAGCGCAGTATTCGGGTGGGAGTGACTCGATTTTCCAGATGCCATCTGTCACCCCTTTCTTTGACTAGGGAAGGGACCTCCCTGACCCCTTGCACTTCCCGAGTGAGGCAATGCCTCACCCTGCTTCAGCTCACACACGGTGCACTGCACCCACTGTCCTGCGCCCACTGTCTGGCACTCCCTAGTGAGATGAACCCGGTACCTCAGATGGAAATGCAGAAATCACCCGTCTTCTGCGTCACTCACACTGGGAGCTGTAGACCAGAGCTGTTCCTATTCAGCCATCTTGGCTGTCTCTATGTGCCACATTTTCTTAATCCAGTCTATCGTTTTTGGACATTTGGGTTGGTTCCAAGTCTTTGCTATTGTGAATAGTGTTGCAATAAACATACGTGTGCATGTGTCTTTATAGCAGCATGATTTATAATTCTTTGGGTATATACCCAGTAATGGGATGGCTGGGCCAAATGGTATTTCTAGTTCTAGATCCCTGAGAAATCGCCACACTGACTTCCACAATAGGTGAACTAGTTTACAGTCCCACCAACAGTGTAAAAGTGTTCCTATTTCTCCACATCCTCTCCAGCACCTGTTGTTTCCTGACTTTTTAATGATTGCCATTCTAACTGGTGTGAGATGGTATCTCATTGTGGTTTTGATTTGTATTTCTCTGATGGCCAGTGATGATGAACATTTTTTCATGTGTTTTTTGGCTGCATAAATGTCTTCTTTTGAGAAGTGTTTGTTCATACCCTTCGCCCACTTTTTGATGGGGTTGTTTGTTTTTTTCTTGTAAATTTGTTTGAGTTCATCGTAGATTCTGGATATTAGCCCTTTGTCAGACGAGTAGGTTGCGAAAATTTTCTCCCATTTTGTAGGTTGCCTGTTCACTCTGATGGTAGTTTCTTTTGCTGTGCAGAAGCTCTTTGGTTTAATTAGATCCCCTTTGTCAATTTTGTCTTTTGTTGCCATTGCTTTTGGTGTTTTAGACATGAAGTCCTTGCCCATGCCTATGTCCTGAATGGTATTGCCTAGGTTTTCTTCTAGGGTTTTTATGGTTTTAGGTCTAACATGTAAGTCTTTAATCCATCTTGAATTAATTTTTGTATAAGGTATAAGGAAGGGATCCAGTTTCAGCTTTCTACATATGGCTAGCCAGTTTTCCCAGCACCAGCACCATTTATTAAATAGGGAATCCTTTCCGCATTGCTTGTTTTTCTCAGGATTGTCAAAGATCAGATGGTTGTAGATACGTGGCATTATTTCTGAGGGCTCTGTTCTCTTCCATTGATCTATATCTCTGTTTTGGTACCAGTACCATGCTGTTTTGGTTACTGTAGCCTTGTAGTATAGTTTGAAGTCAGGTAGCGTGATGCCTCCGGCTTTGATCTTTTGGCTTAGGATTGACTTGGCAATGCGGGCTCTTTTTTGGTTCCCTATGAACTTTAAAGTAGTTTTTTCCAATTCTGTGAAGAAAGTCATTAGTAGCTTGATGGGGATGGCATTGAATCTATAAATTACCTTGGGCAGTATGGCCATTTTCACGATATTGATTCTTCCTACCCATGAGTGTGGAATGTTCTTCCATTTCTTTGTATCCTCTTTTATTTCATTGAGCAGTGGTTTGTGGTTCTCCTTGAAGAGGTCCTTCACGTCCCTTGTAAGTTGGATTCCTAGGTATTTTATTCTCTTTGAAGCAATTGTGAATGGGAGTTCACTCATGATTTGGCTCTCTGTTTGTCTGTTATTGGTGTATAAGAATGCTTGTGATTTTTGTACATTGATTTTGTATCCTGAGACTTTGCTGAACTTGCTTATCAGCTTAAGGAGATTTTGGACTGAGAAAATGGGGTTTTCTAGATATACAATCATGTCATCTGCAAACAGGGACAATTTGACTTCCTCTTTTCCTAATTGAATACCCTTTATTTCCTTCTCCTGCCTAATTGCCCTGGCCAGAACTTCCAACACTATGTTGAATAGGAGTGGTGAGAGAGGGCATCCCTGTCTTGTGCCAGTTTTCAAAGGGAATGCTTCCAGTTTTTGCCCATTCAGTATGATATTGGCTGTGGGTTTGTCATAGATAGCTCTTATTATTTTGAGATATGTCCCATCAATAGCTAATTTATTGAGAGCTTTTAGCATGAAGGGTTGTTGAATTTTGTCAAAGGCCTTTTCTGCATCTATTGAGATATTCATGTGGTTTTTGTCTTTGGTTCTGTTTATATGCTGGATTACGTTTATTGATTTTCGTATGTTGAACCAGCCTTGCATCCCAGGGATGAAGCCCACTTGATCATGGTGGATAAGCTTTTTGATGTGCTGCTGGATTCAGTTTGCCAGTATTTTATTGAGGATTTTTGCATCAATGTTCATCAAGGATATTGGTCTAAAATTATCTTTTTTTGGTTGTGTCTCTGCCCAGCTTTGGTATCAGGATGATGCTGGCCTCATAAAATGAGTTAGGGAGGATTCCCTCTTTTTCTATTGATTGGAATAGTTTCAGAAGGAATGGTACCAGCTCCTCCTAGAACACAAGGATTATCATTTTAAGAGCATAGCAAGAAAGTCAGCATGTACTGTCTTGTTTAGAGGCTTAAGAAAAAACATTTCAATACTTTTTAAATGAAAGACTTTACCCTCGCCATAGTGGGACAACCATTGGAATAGAGAGCAGTCCAGATCAAATCTAGACAACCAAGTCATCCAGAGTGATGTCAAGGGGAACAACAGCATGACTCAACGTTAGGAAAAAAAACAGCAGAGTTACTACAGTGGAGACCCAGAAGGGTCTCTGTACACAGCAGGTGCTCAATACATGCTAGCTGAGTGAACTACTAAATTTGATTTGCACAGCCAGCCTCTGAGTTAGAGCAAATACTTTCCATTTTGCAGATGTAAAACCAGAGATTCCAAGAAAAAAATGCATAAAATTATGTAACGAGGAAACAGAAAATCTAGAAATCAAATCCTGATTCTTATACTTTTGAGTTCATGTCTCTTCCTATCATATGGAAATGCTCAGTAGATGGAATCTGCTGTATCTACAATGATGCAATGGCATCATTGTTTTTATTACTTTTGTTATTATTATTACTATTGCATCAAAATATCTTTTAGATGAACAACATTATCTATGAGCTCTGCCTTCCAGGAGCACATCATTGAGTAAATAAAATAAGACAAGTACACAAGTAACAATCTCTTGCAACCCAAGTAACATTGGGCTTAAGCCACCTTCCAAGACTTCTGCCAATCCCAATGGGTCATTCGTGTGGTCATGTCTGGCTCCAGGCTCTTGTGTTGCTGTCTGTGCTGACTCAATTTGCTACCAATTTCAACAGGGACATGAAATTCAGCCCCCTCTTAGATATCACACAAATATACACAAACATCAAAATATGCATAAATTACAACTCAAAAAGACTTCCAATTATTGTAGAGTTTACTGAAAATTTATGAAGGAGAGATCTATGTCTAGTAGTTCATCCCACTTTAAACTGAACTTTAGATTCAGGTTACACAGTAGATTTTTCTAAAGATACTGCATCAAGAAATTTTTACACGACACTTCGCCCCCACCAGTAAAGCCAGCCATGTCATATATAGCTGGCTTCTTTCTACCTTCATACACACTCCCTCCCTCTTTTGTGTCCTCCCTCTCTTTCTATATTTCTTCTTAAAAGCACAAAGGCATTAGCCTTACTGTCCCATTCAAACGAGTATAATCATCACCTTTGGTCTCTTGGGTCTTATTGAAGCCAGTACTGTCTTCTACTTATGAGTAGCTCATCAGTGTGGTTTTCTAATCAAAGACAGCTTTCTCCCTAAGAGTCATTCCACTGCCAGCTGTTGAAATAATCTAATTAATGTCTTGCTACCACTGCATTAGTACAAGGCTGATCTGTAATAATCAACCTTGTAATTGATTAAGCATCCACTCAAACACAATCATGGCTAATTATAAGCTCTTTTTTTTTCCTTTGTTTATTTCCTGTGCATGGTATAAATAAGATTTTGTAGACTTTTCTTTTCTACTTAATTTTATATAACAAATATCTTCTATATAACTACATAGTCATTATATGTGTCATTTTTCATGGCTATGTAGTAGGGTTTTGAATGTATATACCATATCGTTTACTTAACCATTCCCCTATTGTTGGACTTTTAGGCTCTTCATAAATTTTTTCTGCTATAAATTAGGGTATATCTTTGTGTATAGAGATCTTCTTTTGCCCTTAAAAACAGAAATTTGGGAAGAATTTTCTGTGAAACTTTCACAAAAATCTAAATGAAATTATTGGTCTATAGATATATTAGCAACTGAGATTGCAAGTATTCTATCAGTTTATTTTCATTTAGAAAAATGCTTTTATAGAATCAAAGACATGTCTATAGAGAGCAATCAAATTCTTATTAAGTGACTATCATATATCAGGTATTTTTAATTAAGTGTTGATGGAGAGAGAGAAGAACAATTTTAACTTTTACAAATCCCCTTTATGAAAATGTTGCCATTCCCTATATGCCTGATCGGCATTATCATTCATTCAGTAACACTCAGGGTAAGTTTAACAAAAAGATGGCAACATATCTTTCATATTTTATTATTTAAAGTTATGTCCATGCCATTGTATATTGGCTTGTTTCCTGGAATGCCCTTCCATACTTATGACGAATTCATGATTTTTTGAATTAAATGATGAATTCCTATTTTTTTCCAAATCCTGTTCAATTATCACCTCCTCTATGGAACATTCTCTGGCCACCCCAATGATGTGTTGGAGCCAGCTTACATGAGCAGCAGAAAGCCAGTTGTATGCATCTCTTCTCATATCTGCTTTCTATGACTTTAGGTAGTTAGCTTGAAATCAGCCATCACAGTAACATTTACACAACAAGAATTGGTAAACTTACAAACTGGGACTTTTCCCTAGAAAGCTGATTGTTTAACATTTCCTGAACCACCTCCACACCAAGGTAATCACATGTTTCTCTGAAGTACTTTTATTTATTACTACTTTTAGATTAAAATTTTAATTTTTTTTTTTTTGAGATGAAGTCTTGCTCTGTAACCCAGGCTGGAGTACAGTAGCACTATCCTCACTGCAACCTCTGCCTCCTGTGTTCAAGCAATTCTCCTGCCTCAGCCTCCCAAGCAGCTGAGACCACAGGCGTGTGACACTATGCCCGGCTAATTTTTTTGTATTTTTAATGGAGATGGGGTTTCACCATGTTGGCCAGGCTGGTCTCGAACTCATGACCTGACATGATCCACCCACCTCAGCCTCCCAAAGTGCTGGGATTATAGGCCTGGGCCACTGCACCTGGCCTAAGTGTTAAGTCTTATACTTACTATGTTGGTTATCACACCATCTCTATTTGCACATCTTTCACTGTCAGTCTGGAACTTCTTGAGCCTAGGGACTGTGTCTTAATCATCTTTTTGCTGCTTCAGTCTTGTACAAAGTAAGAACTCTATGAACTATAGTGCTTATTGTTGTCATTGTCATCATTGTTATTTAAATGGTTGTTTAACTGAACTGGTAAGTTAGTATGTTAACTTTAGGGCAACGTTAACTGCAACATGGACTCTTGGCAGATAGGCAAAGTATAAACTAAGCATGTTTTAAATTGGCTTTTTAATATCCAAAAAAGTCAATTTAAATTTTACTGGTATATTTTAGGGGCTTGATTTCATTAAGAAATATTGTAGTTAATAAGCCAAGTGTCAGACTCAGACAAACTATGGTAAATTTTTTGGAGCCAAATCTCAGTGATTAAAGAAGAATTAAAACTGACTTGATAAAATGGAGATATTATATAACCACACATTCATTTTTCTCTCCCAAGCCAAAAGCTAGTGTTTTTCACATTTTTTTTTTAGCCCCACAGGGACTAAAAAGGGACTTACACAGACTGGACACTCTGGCAAGTCTCTGGGACTGATTAGAATGGGCCCTCTTCTTCATGGTCTGTTGACCTTGTCATTCAAACCTCCATACATGATGTAAAATCCTTTTAAAATATTCAAAGACACAAGTTCTGGGAACAAATTTTTGCCACTAAGGCCCCTGGTATCACAGATAATGCTTATCAGTTTTGGGATGTCTTGCCATGGCCTGAAAGAGGTAAAAATGAGGATTCCTGAAACATTAATTTATGAATAAGCAAATCACAAAACACAAATGGTGGTGTCATCTTCCTCAGCATTACTTCGAGTGGCTTCATAACAAAGGCTTGTCCAGTGATGGGTTTTAGAAAGAGCACTGAACCAGGAGTCAGAATTCCTGGGTTTTAAGGCCAGCATCGCACTAGAGGCAAAATGATCTTGGGCAAATTGTTTAATCTTTCTTGGTTTTGTTTCTGTAACTGAAAAATGAGGGGATTTGATAGGTGCCTCCTTGCTTTCCTCCCAATTTTTAATTCTCTGACATCTGTGGGGGCTAAGAGATTAGTTCCCTTGAGAAGCTTGTGCCAGGAGGAGCAGATATTGTCACCTTCACATTTTCAGTGATTTTTCTTTCTTGTCTTCTAGTTAGAAATTTCTGAGACTGATTTTGCTGCAGGCAGAGAACTGTGAGAAAGGAAAGAAACATTCTTGGGAGTTTTGACCAACGGCATCTTGAAACTAAAAAATTAAAGTATGAGAAAACATACACAGATAATGAGCCCAGAATAACATAGTCATGGACCTTCTAGTGAGACAATTGCATCTAAAAAACAATGAAGTAAAAATGCATTTCACAGCCAAGAAAAACATGTAGAAACAATGAGTGGAGGATGTTTCTACTTCCCTATTCTCTTTGTGATGCTAATATCAGGAAAGAATCATTAAATCTAATGGCAAATTTAGAAAAGCTAGCCTTACTATATGGATACCCTGAATTAAAATTGCTTTTAAGTCTTTTCTGCAAAACTCAAAAATACTTCCACTGATAAGAAAGTATGATGAAAATCAAACTGATGCTTAAACATTGGGCCTTAAATATTTTGAAATCTAATCAATTGGGGAAATAGAGGAGTTCATTTGAAATAATACCAGAAATAAATAATATAAAGAATCTGTGCCAACAAATGTTGTGACATTATTCATATGTTATTCACTGTATGTCCTTAAGTGAGAGTTATATGTGATAGTAAGTGGTCATTGTAGTACATCTGCTTCTCTGTATGAACAGGTGTTATATATGCCAGAGGCACCATTTGTGTGCCTTCTGACCTGTAACTACTAGTGTCCTTCTCTTGACAAGTATTTATAGTATAATAGCTAAGCATAACAGACATCAGAAAGACACGGTTCAAGCTATAGTTCTGTCATTTATTATTTGAACAGTTCACTTTACCTCTTGAAACTTCAATTTCTGTATCTGTAAGACAAGGTTATAGTAATACCATCCTTACAGGGTTATAAAGAAAGGGCTTAGAACATTGCCTAAAATATAGTACATGCTCAATAAATTATTTTGTCTTGTTTTATAACCTTCAATGTGCATGGTCCTGGGGATTTTAAAAGGTTGCAAACAGTAATCTGCATATCCATTTGTTTGTTAAGTTCCAAATGACCTAGAGGGTTCTAAGAATGTTGGCCCTGCATGAATTCAAAGTACAGGTGGAAGCTGCTATGGATTATAGATGTGAAAACATCCCTTTCGTAGAGGCAGGAAATCAGAGGCAGCAGCAAGCCATCATTCCAGCTGCAATTCTAGAAAAATTTAAAGATTTTCCTATGTGGACTGAGATTGTTAGCTGTTATCTTCCCTGGAGACACAGGCTAATTCTGGTACGAGCAGAGGACTGGCTTGGCATAAGTAGTGGTACACTGCTAGGGACAAGAGAAACCAGCATAGCTTTTGATAGCTACACGGGCTGACGTGGGAGGTGAAATCTAGAGGAGACCCAAACGCATGGCTATTTTTCCCAGAAGGCCACTGCTGAGTGCTGAGGCAGTGGGAAGCAAGAGTGGGCTGAGAAGACAGACTGAACTCTCCCGCAGTCCCACAGTGCTTAGGCAACAAAATCCCACTAGAAGTGCTCTGTAACAAGCATGCCACAGGTTTCATCCTTGAGACATTTGACCACAGAGATGGACTGAATATAACCAAAGCTTCTACCGAATCCTAAAACCAATAAAAATCTGATTAGATTGAGAGGATTAACACTTTGACCCAGTTACCAAACAGAGGAATGGATAAGAGCCCCTGACAAAAATATCACTTATTTTATGTACAATGTGTGTGTAACACTCAATCAAAATTACATAGCATGTGAACAGACATGAAACAGTGGCTAGTAATCAAGATAAAAAACAGACAATAGAACTGGGCCCAAATGTAATCCAGATATTGGAGTTAGCAGATAAAAACTTTTAAGCAAATATAATAAATGCGCTTATAAAAAATTGTAGAAAGATGAGGAAAATAAACGAGAACATAAAGACTTTCAACATAGAATTACAGTCTACCAAAAAAACACATTAAAATGGATATTCTAGAACTGAGCAAATAAAATATCTGAAATTAAGAACTCAACAGATGGATTTAATAGTAGACTGTAAGTCAAAGACAGAATTAGAAAAACAAAAGAGAGGCCTACGAAAAGGTTCCAAACCAAAGCCTTACAATGAAATAAAAAAGTGGGGAAGGGAAAAATGGAAGGAATAGAACAGAGTATAACAGACGTGTATGACACATAATTGAAGTCTGAGAAGGAGATAGAGAAAATGGAACAGGAACAATACTGGCAACAAACAATTGCAGAATATCATCTGATTCTTCTCCTTTGTTGTTTATGTTGTTCAATGTGTGAATTACATTACTTTTTTAATGTTAAAACAGCATTGTGTTCTTAGAATAGACCCCATTGCAGTAGATCAGCAACTCTCCAGTCTCTTCAGCCCAGCTCTTTCCTCTTGTAGTTCTTTTCCTAGGTCAACACATTGGAACTATCATCCCTCAGCTGTTTCCCAAGCTGGAGTCCCTGATCTTTCAACATGGGCCTCCCCATCCCATTACTGCCTCTCTGATGATCTAAAAACCAGGGACTTGGCCACACTCACTAGGTATCTTCTGTAATGAGTAGAATTTTTCTGTTGTCATGTTACTGCTCTGGGATGTGGCCTTTTGAATACCTACCTACAAAGCAGCTCTTCATTTTCAGACAGCCCTAAGTACTATACGTTTTTATTTATTTAGGGCTAAAATTTGGTTATCTCTAGATGACAACCTAATTTGGGGCTGAAGCTATTCAGAATAGTCTATTACTTTAAATTTCACATGATTCTTTTTGTAATGAATTAATTTATTTTTATTGATACATAATAGCTGCACATATTTTTGCAGTATATGTGATCATCAATACATTCATATAATTAAGTCAGTGTAGTTGGAATATGCATCACCTTAAATACTTTTCTTTATGCTAGGGACATTCAAATTATTCTCTTCTAGCTATTTTGAAACGTACAATTGATTTACATTAACTATAGTTACACTACTGATCTATCAAACACCAGGTCTTATTTTTTCTAAGTGTATATTTGTACTCATTAACCATACATGACAACTCCTTCAATGTGGAAGATAATTCTTATATAACCCCAGTTTTCTCTTACACAAGCTAAACATCTCAACTTCTGTTAACTTTATCTTACTTCCATATTAATTGGGACTCTTGGTTACTAGTGATAGAAACCTAGCTGATACAGGCTTTGAAAGGGAGGATCTAGAACATAGCTGGGAAATTTAAGAGATTAGAACTGGCTTTGGGCATCCACATGCTTTCCTTTCCTGGAGCTGACTTCACTTTAAGGCAAGCACTCCTGCATGGTAACTATATTAGCTCTGAAGCTCTCTGACATACCCTGGAGACATTTTCCTCATTGTCTTGATGATCAACATTGGGCTCCTCATTACTTATGCAGATTTCTGCAGCTGGCTTGAATTTCTCCCCAGAAAATGGGGTTTTCTTTTCTATCTCATTGTCAGGCTGCAAATTTTCTGCATGGCTGGGGAGGCCTCAGGAAACTTACAATCATGGTGGAAGGCACCTCTTCACAGAAGGGCAGGAGAGAGAATGAGTGCCCAGACAAGGGGGAAGCCCCTTATAAAACCATCAGATCTCATGAGAATTAACTCACTATCACAAGAGCATGATAGGGGAAACTGCCTGCCGTGATTCAATTACCTCCACCTGGTCCCTCTCACTACACGTGGGGATTATGGCAACTACAATTCAAGATGAGATTTGGGTGGGGACACAGCCAAATCATACCAGTAATAAACATGACTATGAGCAAATCCCAGTTGACATCATCTTTGCAGTATGTAATCAAAGAGCAAAGATCTTTCAACTTCTTTGAATGCCAGCTTCTTTCAACCCGCTTCTTTGAATGCCAGCAAAAGTCTTGATTGGCCCAGCTTGTGATGCCTGTCAACTCCTAACCAATCACATGCAGATAGAGTGATAAACTGTTCTGATTGAGCAGGCCTGGTTCTGTGTTGGGGGAAGGGAAAAGGAAAATCAGCCCTACCCAAACCAAGGGAAAAAGGATCCAACCACTGGGAGAAGGAGGGGAGGAAAACCACTCTAGTTGAGCAATGTCCTACTGTAGATTAGATGACAGTGCTATCAATACAGGCATGATTACATAATTGTAATTCCATCCTGCAGGATAGTATATAGCTCTTAAATTTTATGTATATTCAATGACACAGAAGAATGCCCATGATATATTGTTAAATGAAAAAAAAAGCATGATGGTATATAAACTATTTTGCCATTTTTATAAATAATACTCAATACCCTGCCCTCCACACTTACCCTCATAAACCTCTTTGGAATATATTTGGTCCCTCTTAACCTATCTAAACTCATTTCCTCATCTTGCCGTGAAAGATAGCAGGAGAGTTATTGTTAGATACAACGTTAAAGTATCCTACGTGTGACAAAAGTTATCCTTATCTATGAGAAGAAGAAAATAATAATAAAGTTGTTGGTTTTTCAGACAACGCGAAGTGGATCCATAGAATCCTTACTAAGTTAATTTGACCGAACTTATGAGCTGTGACATCGTAAACCATGCACAAGGGCTCTTCCAGGGTTAAACAAAATGCATAACAATCAAATACAGCAACATCTGCCAAAAGAAGTAACACCAATAAATTGCAAGTGATTGTTTAACTATCTAATGTGGTATAATCAGCCATGCACACAGATCATTCCCCAATAAATGCTCTCACCATGCATGGGATATGAGGCATAAATCAATTTCTGATTACTATAATCCTTTAAACAATAATCTGAGAAATATTTCTGCCCGCAAAGAAAACAAAAAATAAAATCAGGTAAAGTGCTCTGTGGTCAGGAAAGTTTAAAGATAACTCTGTCTTGATAGAATGACTCTAGGTTGTATAGGAAATACGAAATAATAGGCATTGCATTTTGAAAAAACTTTACATTCATCGCATTATTTATATAAAATGTGATAGTAATTTGATCATTCTCATAGAGCCGCCTTGCTTGAGAAGACTTCATGAGTGTCATTTGACAAAATTGAATCAACCTTCCTTTCATTCAGAAATAATTCTTGCTTTATGTAACAAGCCATGTTTTCTTTCTTCTCTCTCCACTCTTTGCTGTCCTCAGGAGCATTTTCAGAAGAACAGAAGGTTTATGGCTCTCAGTTTCTAGGGTTCCTGCTGTTTCTGTTTATTCACCACCTGAAGTCTTAATTCGCTGTGTGTAGCCTGCAATTGACTACTGTGGAGATAATTTTGACATAATCATGCTAGAATTATGACTTAGGGACAGAAATCACAGGAAAGTGAATGAAGTCTTACAATGGGTCCTAAATCACCAAGAAGAACCAGCAATAGGATAATTTTCAGCCTAATTATCTGTTCTATCTTTACTACATATAAAAATAAAATCCGCAGGCTTATTTTTCCCCCATTGGCTCTTAAAACTCATTTCCAAGGCTGTTTTTGCAGTTATTAACTTCTTCACATCTAGAATTCTGACAAGGGTACCACTTTAGAAATGTCAGAACTAAAAGTTGGTTTGAGTTGAGCTGAGTGAAATGTACCAGGTAAATCAGCAGCCACTTGGGACTTCGACACAATTTGGAAATGAATTTCACACTTAAATCCCATCTCCTTACTTTCCAAGGTAGATGATTTGCTGCTGGTTCAGTCAACATCAAAACAAATTCATTCATGTAAGTCTAAGCATTACTGTGAGCCCCTGTTGATTGTCAAAGCAAAATTCAAAGCAGCCCACACTAAAATTAAACAGAAGAAATAAACCCCACAGTGCCTTTGCTGGGTCTTGGCAAACAGATGGGCTGGTGCAGAGCCAGGGGCAGCCTTAGGAATTGTGAAACCTCAGCTGTGCCTGCTTCCTGAGTTTCTCTGATGCACACTTGCTTGGTTTACTTTCATTTTTCCACACTTGCCTCTATCCCTCAGAAACACTTAAAGCCATTCTTCAAGCCAATCTGATGTCAAAAACAGAGTAAAAGAAAGGCATGGTGCTAGAAGTTGGGACATATCTTAGCCTAGCTACATATTAATTAGAAAACAAATCTCAATTAATATTGAAATGGCTGTGAGAGACACAGCCTTATGTTACCTCCAAGTCACACACTTGGGTAACTCCCTCCCTTCAAGTGTGGGTGAGTAGAACCTGGGATTTGCTTCTAACCAATAGAATATGGCAAAGGCGATGGGCTATTACTCCTGTGATTATATTACAATATATTTATAAGACTCCATCTTGCCAGACTGGAGGGAAAAAATGTCCCACTGGCCTTCAAAAAGCAAGTTGTGGTGTGAACTGCCTATGGAGAGGATCACATATCAGGGAACTAGGGGTGGCCTCTGTGGACTGAGAGCCTCAATCCTACAACCACAAGGACTTGAATTCTTCCAACAACCACATGAGATTGGAAGAGGACCTTGAGTTCCAGAAAGGAATGCAGCCTAGCCAATGCCTTGATTGTAGCCTTCTCACAAGGCCACAATAAAAAAAATTCAGATAAGCTGTGTCTAGTCTCCTCACCCACAAAAACTGTGAGATAATCAATGTGTGCTATATGTTAAGCCACTAAATATATGGTCATTTGTTATCCAGCAATAGAAAACTAATACAGTAACCATCAAAATATTCACATTGGAAACACTTTTGCATGACCATTGGAAATCAAGGAATTGGTGCTATCTGTAATCTAGAAATCTAGAAGAGTTAATTCTTCAGATACAGTCTGATATGGTTTAGCTGTGTCCCCACCCAAATCTCATCTTGAATTGTAGTTCCCATAATCCCCATGTATTGTGGTAGGGACTTGACGGAAGATAATTTAATCATGGAAGCTGTTATCTTCATGCTGTTCTCATGATAGTGAGTTAGTTCTCATAATCTGATAGTTTTATAAGTGGCTTTTCCCTCTTTTGCTTGGCACTTCTCCTTGCTGCCGCCATGTGAAGAAGGACATGTTTGCTTCCCCCCCACCATGATTTTAAGTTTCCTGAGGCCTCCCCATCCATGATGAACTGTGAATCAATTAAACCTCTTTCCTTTCTAAATTACCCAGTCTTGGGAGTGTCTTTATTAGCAGCATGAGAATGAATCACGGACACAGTCTAAGTGGTCCTGGATCAAAAGAAGATGCTGAAAGCTGCCCTCTTTCTGACAGCAATCTTTCTGGAAGGGAGGAAGAGGAACTAATAAACTCCCACAGATGCCTCTCTATCTGTGAGGATGCATTTGGATGTAAGCAAAGAAAGCATGACTCCACATTGCTTAAAAACAAAAGAAATTTAATGACTTGGGGAAACAAATGTAGAGGAATCTCTTTCTAGCATTGGAGGAGGACTGATTTGGCTACTCAGGATGTCATGAAAGCCCAGTTTTGTTTTGTTCTTTCTAACTCCACTCTGCCTGTCATGGTGTCAGATATATCCTAAGACTGGCTCCTAAACCCCATAGATTCAAGGTGTCTGCCAACAGTTCCCATTGCTGGCTGCCTCCTCTTCCACATCCATCAGGAAACAGTCTTTGTCCCAGGATTCTCAGCAAAATTTCTGAAAGTCACACTGATTGGACTGGCTTGGGTCACATGCTGATCTCCTAAACCAGTCCTTGCAGCCTGGGGGTTGAAATGCAAATTTGACTGAGCCAAGGTCCAGTGTTCCACCCCTCAAGCTGGGAATGAAATAAGCATGGAGAAACACATGGAACCTAAATGGAAATCACGACTCTGGAAAGGAGAGTGGATCACGGGTGCAGGGAGGCTGCTAACAAATGTCTACTAAAACTCCAATTCCAAGAGGTGAGTTGGCACTGTTCCAAGACTCAAAAGGCAGGAAAGCATAGGGAACTCATGGGAAGCCCGGCCCATTGGGTCCTTTCACTTGAGCTCTAGGAATGCACATCTGAGGGAAGGCCTCAGATGTGGCTCCTGGTCATAAGTCTGAAAGCAAGCAGAGGACTGGCCATGCTGGGGAGCCCTTCATTCCTGAATGAGTGTGATGGCACCCAGCTTATGCTCTGATTGTGGCTGCAGCTGTCACTCTAGGTCCCTGCCCCTTAAACTGCAAAATTGCTGAGCAAGCAATCAGAACCTAGTGAAATCCTTTGTCAACCCCAAATCAACACTGGCCAAGCAAAGATACCCTTCTCTAAGGAATGGCAAATGGAATAACTACTGAGCATAGTAAAAGAGCTTACAGGTCATAAGAATAAAGCAAAAAAATTCTAGGATGGCTCAGTAGAACTACTTTTTTTGAAACAGAGTTATTTCAAAAAACAGAAAAAATTAGAAATTATAATTCATGATTCTTTGACTTTAATTTTTAGACCACATATAGTTGAGTTAATCATAACCCTCAGTTCATGACACACTAAATAATCCATATTTTTGACATGAATCAAGAACCTACAGTCTGCCACCATGAAAACATTTTGTAATAAAAAAGAATTGCAAAGCCAGGAGCGGTGGCTCACACCTGTAATCCCAGCACTTTGGGAGGCTGAGATGGATGGATTACCTGAGGTCAGGAATTCAAGACCAGCCTGACCAACATGGTGAAATCCCGTCTCTACTAAAAATACAAAATCAGCCGGGTATGGTGGCACATGCCTGTAATCCCAGCTATTTGGGAGGCCGAGGCAGGAGAATCACTTGAACCCAGGAGGTGGAGGTTGCAGTGAGCCAAGATGGCACCACTGCACTCCAGCCTGGGCAACAAGAGCAAAAGTCCATCTAAAAAAGAATTGAGCTGAAATACTCCTATTTATCTTGAAAGGAAAATTGATGTTAAAGTCATTATGGAAACAGTTAAAGGCAATTTGGACTATGCAGAAAATGGAACAAGCAAAATAGCCAAATAGAAAACAGTATCAAGAAATTATCCCTAAGGTAAAAGCAATAGCAATAATGTAGAGAAAAGATAAAATATCAGAGTGAAGCGATAACTTCACTCTGAAGAGTGAAGAAAGAGAATGAGGAAAGTGAAGAGTGAAGTGAAGACAAAGAAGAATGGGGACTGAAGGAAAAGAATCAGTGGAAGAGAGATAAATGTCAAATAGCACAGAAAATATTTCTTATTTAGAAAAAATATTTTAAATAACAGAGAGTACACACCAGATATTTGGTAAACAGAACCCACCATGACATATGCTAGGTAAACCTCTCTACCTTCAAATATAAAAGAAAAAACTTAAGCCTGGACAACATACCAAGAACGTATCTCTTTTTTTTTTTTTTTTTTTGAGATAGAGTCTCACTCGGTCGCCCAGGCTGGAGTGCAGTGGCGTGATCTCAGCTCACTGCAGGCTCCATCCCCTGGGGTTCAGGCCATTCTCCTGCCTCAGCCTCCCGAGTAGCCAGGACTACAGGCACCCGCCACCTCGCCCGGCTAATTTTTTGTATTTTTAGTAGAGACGGGGTTTCACCGTGTTAGCCAGGATGGTCTCGATCTCCTGACCTCGTGATCTGCCCGCCTCTGCCTCCCAAAGTGCTGGGATTACAGGCGTGAGCCACCATGCCCGGCCAACCCTATCTTTTAAAAAAATTCAAAATAAAAAATTAGCAGCATTCCCTGTAGTCCCAGCTACTGGGGAGGCTAAGGCAAGAGGACCACTTGAGCCCAGGAGTTTGAGATCAGCTTGATATAGCAAGACCTAATCCCAATAAAATTATATATATATAATGTTCTATTGTATTGTGTGTGTATATATATATTTCACACTTCAATAGAACATACACAATCTCACAAAGAAGTAAAAAAAAATTTAAGAGTATGGTACCCAGCAAAGAGTAAATATTCTATTGACCTCCTATTTCAACTATTAATGACTGAAATCATGCAAAAATGTCTACAGACCTTTAAAGGAAAATACCATGTTGCAAGAATTCCATGCCCTGCACATGTGATAGCAAAATAAAGTCATTTTGGGGTATGAAACAGCTCAGAATATGTACTACCTAGAAACTTTTCCTAAATAAATACCTCAGAAATATTGAAAGATATCAAGATGCATTGATATTAATCTGATAGTCACCTTTTTTTGTTTTGGTTTGTTTTTGAGAGACAGGATCTTTCTCTGTCACCCAGACTGCAGTACAGTGGCATGATCACGGCTCACTGCAACCTCAGCCCAAGCATTCCTCCCACTTCAGCCTCCCAAGTAGCTGGGACTACAGGTGCCCAACACCACACCCAACTAATTTTTGTATTTTTTGTGGAGACGGGGTTTCAGCATGTTGCCCAGGCTGGTCCCAAACTCCTGGGCTCAATCAGTCTGCCCACCTTGGCCTTCCAAAGTGCTGGGATTACAGGCATCAGCCACTGTGCCCAGCTATATTAATCATTGTAAATATGGTACAACTGAATTTTTGTAGCCCTAAAACCTAAAAGGAAGCTCAAATAAATCTCATACCTCTTTTCAACAACTAGAAAGAAAATATCTTTTAGGAATTTGCCAATTCAAAGCCATAAAGTAAGCAAACCAGGATGTCATCTTTTAGCATAGACATACTTTTTAAGGTATACTTTTTATTGAAGCAAAGCATACATAAACGTAAAACTACACACAGGCAAAAAATGCTGAGGCGAGCTGCTCCCTCTGCGATATTGGAGAGCACCTCCATGTGTCATCTGAGAAAGGGCCACAGTGAGGTTGCCCCAGGTTCTTAAAGGAAAAGCTGACTCTGGGGTGTCCCTTCCCCACCCAAAATGCCTCCCTGTTGCCATCTCCTTGACAAATCAGATGGAGGTGGCACATTTTTTTCCGTGATAATCTTTTGTGACCTTTCTATAAGACTCTTAATTTCCTTCTTGAAGTTACAACCAGAGGTTGGAAGTTTTTGCATTGGGATCAAGTATTCCATTATCATTATCCCCTAGGAGAGACAGCTTTACAATCCCATGTGCGTGAGGGGATTGGTAGAAAAGAGTATGACCTTCCTTCCACAAACTAAAAGCTAAAAGACTTTATTCATTTTTTTCCTTCCCAAATTGAAGCAATTCACTTCTAGACATCCTTGGCAGGAGCTCAGAACTGTTTATGCAGGCTCCATGCAGGCAAAATATTTTTTGATATCCTGCTTTTGGTTGAGTCATGGTAATGTTGGCAATGGTGGTGAGGGCAGGAGATCAAGTCATTTTTCAAAGTTCTAAGTAAATGATGTTCTAGTAAGATCAATATGAGAGAATTAAAGACTAATATAAAGTTTATCACAAGGCCAACATCTATAAGTTAGACCTTTTTTTCTTTTCCTCTAAGGGCAGTGGTTCTCAAATTTTAACCCATGTAAGAATCACCTGGAAGTCTTGTTAAACACAGACTTCTGGCTGGGCACAGTGGCTCACACCTGTAATCCCAGCACTTTGGGAGGCCGAAGTGGGTGGACCACCTGAGGTCAGGAGTTCGGACAGCCTGGCCAATATGGTGAAACCCCGTCTGTACTAAAAATACAAAAGTTAGCCGGGCCCTGGTGGTGTGCACCTGTAATCTCAGCTACACAGGAAGCTGAGGTAGGAGAATCGCTTGAACCCAGGAGGTGGAGGTTGCAGTGAGCTGAGATCGTGCCACTGCACTCCAGCCTGAGTGACAGAGTGAGACCCTGTCTCAAAAAAAAACCACGGACTTCTGACCCCATCCCAGAGTTCCAGGGGTTGGAGAGCATGGAGGGGGAAGATTTTTCCTTTCTAACAAGTTCTCAAGTCATAGTGATACTGCTGGTCCAGGGACCCTACTTTAAGAACTACCGACCTCAGGGAACCTTCACAGTAAGTATCTGTAATGAGTCCAATCAATGAAAACTTCAGTGAATTAGACTTCATTAGAATTACTTCAACTTTGTTTTGGGAAAGTCTATAGACATTTTTGTTTAATGCTGCATACATATGCATTATCTCCACCTAGGCATCAAATAAATATTCTTTGGGGTACTGATCTAATGAGAATACTGGTAGATATAAATGCTCTTCCATTTGCATTTTAATTATTTGAAAACTAATGTTCACAAATTCACTCCCTGGTGCTCTAATCATTTCCTCTACTATTCAATGCTTATCAAAGCAAGTCATTAATAAAATAGATCAACACAAAATGTTTTATGATGTGAAGAAAGTAGAGTCCCAAAGAATGCATCTCACAACCTTAGAGAAAATAAATGAAATAGAAACCTAGAACTGCTTCACTGAACTATGAGTGATGATTTGTTGAATGCCTCAAGAGGAAGTAAAAAGTTACATTTGCATCATTTCTGTATTTGATCAGCCGTTGTTTACCTGACTTGTTCTTAGGCTGCCTTAGATTCTGAGCTGGCTTCCCTTTAGGCTTTTTCATAAACAAATAACTGGAAATGTCTCTAAGGAGGGGAGAGACCAGTTCCTCATTGCAGCTGGTAGCAAGGTTGCTTTCACTCAGCCAGGAGGACGCATTGTTACAGGTGTGGAACTTGTTGCTCCGAGCCCTCGCCTGGCAGCTCACTCTGGATCTGCGGGTTCTGAGGAGCCTCGGGACCCACCTGGGTGCAGTTGCCTTCAGGGACAGACCATCTTACAGGTATTAAAGGCAACATTCAGCTGCTTTCTGGGTTTCTCTCTTGCACTTTCCTTTTGTCCTATTGCTATCAGTTTCGCTTGTTTTGCTGATCTCTCCAGGTCTCATTAGAATTAGTGAATCATTAACCTGCAATGGTTTCATTTCTAGTACAGTGAGATGGCTTCCCCAACAGTGTGGGTGGGTGTTTGCTGGATTCTCAAAGCTTGGAAGGTCAAAGGTTGGTGAATTTTCTTTATGGTGACCATGTATTAATTTCCTCTTTTAAACATAAAGAAGAGTTAGCATGAATGGATTGACTTGTTAACTTTTGATTCTACCAGATCCACTGGGTGTAGTCATTTAGGGAAAGCTTCCCAGGAGCCTTAGCCATTATCTCATTTAATTTCTGCAACAGGCCTGTGAGGGAGGTTCTTTGATGTCCTCTTGGTAAATGCTGCATGGCAGTTGGCAGAGGAGAAGTGGCTTGTCCTAGGTCACACAGCCAATTGGCGGTGATACTGGAAGAGAAACCAGACCCATTTCTTCTGGTGCTTGAGCTCTTCCTGCCTTTCTGCAAACCACCTCCCTAAGCCCTGCTGTTTTTAAAGTTTCTCCATTTCCGCAGTGCATCATGTCGGCAGTTACTATTGCCTTGGTTCCAATATTTAAGACAGTGGCTAATAAATAATTCTTACCGATGTGAATCCTATTGGCCATAAATAACTTCCTACCAGCAGCTACACCCCTGTGTCTGAACGACTACAAAGGAAACCCAAAGCCGTATCCTAACCCCTCAAAAGAGGAGAGGAAAAGGCCAGAAGGACAGAGGGGAAACCCAAAGACTAAGAAATCTGATCTAACTATTATGCAAGTGCCTATGCAAATATACTGAATTCCTTTAACATTGTTGCTGCCTAGAACTTGGACAGTCTTCTAAAGGAGAAAAATAATAGAACGGCCCTGATTGTATGTATGTGTGAAAGTACCTATTGATTCAAAATTAGCTGGGTGGGGTGGTAAGCATCCATAGCCCCAACTACTCAGGAGCACTGCAGCATGAGGATTCTGTGAGGCTAGGAGTTTGAGGTTACAGTGCGATATGATCACACCTCTGCACTCAGCCTGGGCGACAGAGCCAGACTCCATCTCTAAAAAGAAAAAAAAAAAGAAAGAAAGTACCTATAGATTTGATGCTCAGCTCAGCATTTGTTTGTTGGGAGAATGAGGAACTGGCCTCTCCATGTAGCAACAATGTACCTTATTTTATCAATGGTAGGGAGGGACCATTTCATACCTCTCCAGCAATGTTGGTATCAACCTTCAGAGCAGCCTCCAGGAATTACCAATCTAAAACCAAAACTAGTACAATCTCACCTTAACTGAACATAAGTTTCCTAAACTGGCATTGCCCTCTTTCCTCCACTCTGCAAAAAAGGGTACCTCATGGGTTTTAGTTCTACATGTGAAGTTCTATAACAATTGAGTCCTCAGCTCAAAATAAAGCAAACACAACATTAAGAATTTTAGATTTCTTTTGTGAATAAGAGTTGAATTGACGTTAGTTTGCATCTAAGTTGTTCCTCAAACAACTCACCAGTCTGAAATCCAGTACCTGTTAGTTTCATTTGGCATTTTAAAAAGGTTTTTATAGAGATGGGGTCTCACTATGTTGCCCAGGCTGGTCTTGAACTTCTAGGCTCAAGGGATCCTCCCGCCTTTGCCTCCCAAAGTGCTCGGATTACAGGCATGAGCCTCTGTGCCTGGACTTACTTGACCTTAAACAAGGTAAGAGTCAGGGAGTAAAATAAGAGACCACAAAGTCCCCAAAATCAATGTCAAGTCACAACATTGTCATGACAATGTCATAACATTGAGCTCCTCCTCTACTGATAGGAATAGATCTAACAACCTATTAATTATCTATTCACAAGGTTGTTGGACTTCTATGACTGACACAGATTAAAAGAAACAAAGAGGAGAGAGTGGTTGCCATAGGCAAGTACAAAAAGCATAGTGAGAAGTAAGGAATAAAAATTAGGGAGTACATTGGTGTGGGGCCATTTGGTGTGGGAGTGAATATTCAGATGCTATAGAAGCCTGTAACAATTATTGTATTCTCCACAGAACTATAGTAAACATAGTAGTAATCACTGTATTTTGGCAAAGTACTAGAATGATAGTCAACAGAATGAGGTCAGGTTATAAGGAAAAGGTTTATTGGTTTTCAGCCTTCTCTATATCAAGTTAAAGAAGCAAATAATACACCCTAGAAAAGTTCTACTAAAAAGTATTGCCCATGCAATTAAAATTATAAGAAGTAAATTATTAGCCATTCTTAAATTTTGGCTATCCAAATGTGGGCAAAGGGTTTCAGATTGCTGAGTTCTGCTTTAGAATGATAAACTTACTAAAACTATTATTGATGATCTTGGAATATACGGTCAACTACTAATGTTCCATCCACAAACAATCCACGCACAGTCTGAAGCCACCTCCCATGCCATCTGCGGCCAGGGAAGATGGGTCTCTCGCCTGTCCCACAGTCCCACACCTGGTCTGCAAATCATCAAGCATCAACTCTCATGCCATAAGGGATGTGTAAGGATTGATGTTTTCCCACACATACCTTCTTCATGTGGGAAAGTACAGAATAACGAAACTGCAATAAGCCACTCCCATGAATCAAGCTGTGAAATGGAAGGGTCAGCTTTTCTTGAGCATGAGAAGAGATAATTCTGCATGCATAGATTGCAAAAAACACCTCCAATCATGAACAGTAGGGTACCTGGTGATGTCTGGGTTTTTCTTTTCAAACCTGCAAGTCCTTTTTCCAAAATGTAAAGATTGATAGAATCTAAGATAAAAGACGTTGTCAGATACTTTACATCAGTTACCTTCAAAGCCTGTCTCATTCTGTAATTTAAACCTTGAGGGAAGGAGGCTTGTTTTCCTTGTTCTTGCATCCCCAGAATGCACCACAATATGTACATACATACATAAATGTAGATGATAAGGAGGATTTAATGTATATTTGATTCTCTTAAAATGGAATAATCACAAGGGGAGGAGCTATGTGGTTTCCAGGAAGTACCTTAAGTTACCAAAGTTTTTAAAGGCTTTTTTGTTTGAACCTAGAAGGAATATTAAGTAGACAGTAAACAGACTTCAATACGCTATTTAGATGAGAAGGCTGGAGTCACGTATATTAATTATCTTCTGAACGTAAAGGATGCTGATGTGAACTGAGCTCTATTGCCTATGAAGAATTAGAAGTTTTCCTTTGAAATTTTAGACCTTTTTTCTCACTGCAGTCTCCCTCATTTGCTACATATTTCACAGTCTGCTCTTCCTCACTACAGATGCAATAACCTGCTTGACATTCTCCTCTGGAAAAGGAAAAGAACTACGAGAGGAAGCATGGCACTTGGATGCAGAAATTGAGCACCCTCCATGTGATCCAGAGAACAGCAACTCATACGTCTTCTGGAACCTTCTACCAACAGTAGAACCTCTTAGCTTTATGGAGAAAACAGAGTCATTCTGTCCAGAGGTGCCACCCCAAGACTGTGGAGCCTCTCCTCGGCCCTCGCTGAGGAGCCTGCCAAAGAACCAGGGGAGTCTCCTCCAGTTTGACCGGCAAGCCCCAGGCCGCATCTCCACCTCGCCCACTTTGAGGAGATTAAGGACCCGTGGCTGTGGGACAAGGCAGGATGCCTGGCAGGTGACCACCTGGGGAAGCTGGGGAGCTCCTGTGGGCTTCCCATGTTACCTTTCGAAGAGCCTGCCAGGAAGCCCAAAGGATTCTTCACACTTGCTGTCACCCTTGAGACTCCACTCAAGATTGACCTCTGAACCTGAAAGGGCCCTGAATGCAGCTGACTCACTGGAGCCCCAAACCCGGCCCACTGACAAGTATCTCCCTCCTGAGCTTCAGCCTGTCAATGAAGGGTCCCTTCACCAGGCCTCTCTTCGGCAGCAAGAAGGCCACTTCCTGCCCAGCCCCACCCTACGACACCCTAGTCCTCAGGTAACACAGCTCTAAGCCTCCGGCCTCTCAGTTGCTGAACCACAAAGCAAAATAGATCTCAGAGTTGCTTAGTTCCCCCAAGGGCCAGTAGATCCTAAAAAGGAGACAGCACAGGAAGTCACACTGAGGGGACACATTCTCTTTAGGAAGCATTGGCTCTTAAGTGAAAGGAGGGCAGCAATCTGGGGAGGAAAGAAAATGATCTCGCTCACTTTCTTCTGTCCTTAGAGGCACTTTGAGAAAGGATGCACCAAGGCCAGGCTTACCGATGGTCTGTCAGGTACCCGAGAGCAATGGGGGCCCTCTTGCAAATGCACACTATTTAAAGACAACGTCGTGTCACTGATTTAAAAGGGGAGAAAGAGCCAGTTATTCAAATTTCCAATCCCACCAAAATGTAAAACATGTTTTAACTAGGAGGGCTCATTGTTTCTCCTTTCAACATGTTTGCTTTGGAGTTTGGGATGGGTTTGAGCAAGACTAAAACATATGTTCTTAAAATTTATTTCAGGGAGAAGAATTGCACCCATCCAGGTGTGTATGCATTTATTTTCTCCGGTGCTATGACATCTGTTGACTATTTACTATTAGATTTTTATTTCTGTCCTGACATAACAAAGCTGACGGTGTGTTAACCAGTGCACTTTGTTTTATAGCACTCAAGTCACTCTTCGCATTTATAGGTGCACGAGTTTTCATTTCAAGAGTCTCCCTTTAAGAGCACAGCATTTGGGGGCAGGATACAATGCCATATGCAGTCATAGTTTTCATTTTGAATTGTCAATGTCTTGGCCCTGTGGCTTAATTAACATCCACTTAGTAATAGGTTTTGTCTGGTAGAGAAAATAGAAAGGCCAGAGATATGCAACAGCTTTTCAAAGAAAAATTTGGAGGATAAAAGAAAGGAACAAGATGTCCTGGTTAAATCTAGGGTGACCTTTAAAATAACCTGTTATGACAGACTGTGCCCTTATCCAGAATGAAGTAGACTGTGTCATTTCCAAAACCAGCTCTGAACTTTCAGCACGGCCCCCTGGTTGTAGCAATGGATCTGCCATCTCTGACAGGGATGAAGAGTTTCTGCAGCAGCAAGGGAAAGATCCATGCCCAATTTTATCTTCCTGACTTGTGGGATTGGCAGGAAAGCCCTCATTTCATTTGAAAAGTCACAGAGGATTTTTTTGGAGAAATAGCTGCTGTTTTATTACTGGACCTCAATCCTCAAGCAATAGTTTGATATTCATAGCAGTAAGGATAACATCCATGTACACATTCTTTGTTGATTTTAATCCTTGTTGGCCTAATTGTACCAACAAAGGTAGAAGATACTTACCAAGCCATAGGGAAATGCAAATTGTTATGTCTGTGTATCAGCTAGCTGTTGCTAGATAAAAAACCACTTAAAGTAACAGACAGTTATTGTTTCTTATAAATCTCTGTGTTCCCTGGGGGTGACTTGGTCTAGGCTGGGTTTAGCTGAGCAGTTCCACTCCAAATGTTCCTTATCCTGCTCATGGGATCAAAGGGCTCCCATGGGTCCATGGGATCAATTAAGCAGATTCTTTATACAGTGAAGGGAGAGGTTCAAGAGGACAAGTAGAAACATGCAAGGCCTCTTGGAGCCTGGGCTCTGAATCTGGTCTAATTTTATTGACCAAAGCAAGTCACTCAGTTGAACTCAGCGTCAGGGAATTACATGTTACCAACAGTGGGAGAGCATTGAAATGTTACATGGCAAAGTGTATGGATGTAAGGAATGGGGAAGAGTGGGGCTGTTAATGTAAATCTTCCATACATGTGAAACAGAATAAAGCTCTCAGATGAGATCTAGTTCAGTTGTGTCAAAGAAAGTGGAAAAGGGTAGTCTTAGAAAAAAAAATTATGTTTAGAGTCGAATTATTTTAATAAGATTTTGAGAAATTTTATTCCTTACCCTAAGAGCAGTGTGAAACCATTTGATGAATTGATATGATCAGATGGATGTCAGATATACCTGGGATTTAGATGCAAGTAGACTTGAGTCAAATAATTCGAATGTTCAGGTATGAGAAGTTGTTAAGTTAGATTATGATGAAGGCAGTGGGGTTAAAAAGAAGTATCTCAATGCAAGAGATATTTAGGAGATACAATCCCCCAGACTTTGTGAATGGTAGCCTATCAGGGTGAGGGAAAGGAATCTTCAAGAATGACCTCCAAGCTTCTGGCTTGTTCAACTGGGTAACCAAGGTGTCCATTCACTGACCTAGATAAACTTGGGTAAAGAAATTAAATATGAGTGGTTAGAGTGTAGGTCTTGTGTTCAGGTTTGGACATGTTGAGTTTGAGGAACTATGAAACATCTAAGTGGAGATTTTGAGTAAATAATTGGTTAGAGAAGGCACCAGGGGTGGATGTACTATATGTATATTTGTGAGTCTTAAATCAAGGAATGTTTCCTAGAGCAGGTAAAGTCTGGGTCCAGCTCTGATTATTAGATGGAGCCGGCAGACATAAAGGCAGATCAATGGGATGCATGAAGCCATTTGCAAAAAAATGATGTGAAGGTAATTTCCATTGCCATATGAAATCTGTGAGGAAATAACAAAAATAGTCTTGGTAAATTTTAAAAGAACAGCTAGGTCAGGCTGGGCACAATGGCTCATGCCTATAATCCCAGCACTGTGGAAGGGCCAGGCAGGCGGATCACTTGAGGTCAGGAGTTTGAGATCAGCCTGGCCAACATAGTGAAACCTCATCTCTACTAAAAATATTTTTTCTTTAAATAAGCTGGGTGTGGTGGTGGGCACCTATAACTCCCTTCTTAGCCTGTTGACTTAAAGGTAGGAGGAGCCCAAAGTGTCCAGGTGGCAATTTTAACTTCAGTTTAATGGAAACTTTCTTGCGTCTCCTGGTGGCAGTGTTCCTCCCTCTGGAACTAAGACCTCTAGGCCAGCAGAACGTAATGTCACAGGAACAGGAGGCAAAAATTTGGCTAGTGGATCACTAGGGGTGATGATGAGTAGTGCCACTTTGACTTCCACCCCTTGATTCCTGAACCTGTGAATCCTGGCTATGGGAGAAACAGTACCATATATTGGATGCTGATTCAGAGCATTACATGGCCATCCAGAAAACTTTGTCCCAGCCCTGCAAAGTATTGTCACCTAGTTGGCACTACGATTGTGACTTCAAAAGGCCATTCCACCATTCTGTCAATCTAGCTGCTTCAGGATAATGGGGAACATGGTAAGACCAGTGAATTCCATGAGCATGAACCCACTGTCGCACTGCTTTGTCCATAAAGTGAGTGCCTTGGTCAGAGGCAATGCTGTGTGGAATACCATGATGGTGGATAAGGCATTCCATGAGCCCACAGATGGTAGTTTTGCCAGAAGCACTGCATACAGGATAGGCAAACCCATATTCGGAGTAAGTATCTATCCCAGTGAGGACAAACCTCTGCCCTTTTCATGATGGAAGAAGTTCAGTATAATCAACCTGCCACCAGGTAGCTGTCTGATCACCCCAAGGAATGGTGCCATATCGAGGGCTCAGTGTTGATCTATGCTGCTGGCAAACTGGGCACTCAGAAGTGGCTGTAGCCAGGTCAGCCTTGGTGAGTGGAAGTCCACTTTACTGAGCTTATGAGTAACCTCCATCCCTACCACCATGGCTACTTTGTTCATGGGCCCATCGGGCAATGACAGGGGCAGCTGGGGAAAGAGGCTGAGTGGTGTCCACAGAACGGGTCATCCTATCCACTTGATTATTAAAATCCTCCTCTGCTGAGGTCACCCATTCATGAGCACCTACGTGGGGTACAAATATCTTCACAGTTTTTGACCACTCAGAGAGGTCTATCCACATACCCCTTCCCCAAATTTCTTTGTCACCAATTTTCCAATCATACTTCTTCCAAGCCCCTGACCATCCAGCCAATCCATTGGCTGCAGCCCATAAATCAGTATATAATCGCACATCTGGCCATTTCTCCCTCCATGCAAAGTACACAACCAGGTGTACTCCTCGAAGTTCTGCCCACTGGGAAGATTTCCTTTCACCGTTATCCTTCAGGGATGTCCCAGAAAAGGCTTGTAGTGCTACAGCTGTCCACTTTTGGGTGGTGCCTGCATATTGTGCAGAATAATCTGTGAATCAGACCCTAGTCTTCTCTTCCTCTGTCAGTTGGTCATAGGGAACTCCCCATGAGGCCATTGGTGCAGACTGGGGGAGAGAAGGCAGGGTGGCAGGAGTGGAGACCATGAGCATTTGAGCCACTTCCTCATATAACCTACTTGTGCCTTCAGGACCCGCTTGAGCCCAATCACATATATACCACTTCCATTTGATGATGAAATGCTGCTATGCATGACCCACTTTATGGCTAGATGGGTCAGAAAGCACCCAGTTCATGATAGGCAGTTCAGGTCGCATGGTGACTTGATGACCCATAGTCAAATGTTCAGTTTCCACCAAAGCCCAGTAACAGGCCAAGAGCTGTCTCTCAAAAGGAGAGTAGTTATCTGCAGAAGATGGCAGGGTCTTGCTCCAAAATCCTAGAGGTCTCTGCTGTGATTCACCTATAGGGGACTGCCAAAGGCTCCAAACAGCATCTCTGTCTGCCACTGACACCTTAAGCACCATTGGATCTGCTGGGTCATATGGCCCAAGTGGCAGAGCAGCTTGCACAGCAGCCTGGACCTGTTGCAGAGCCTTCTGTTCTGGACCCCACTCAAAACTGGCCACCTTTCAGGTCACTCGATAAATGGGCCAGAGTAACACACCCAAATGAGGAATGTGTTGCCTCCAAAATCCAAATAGGCCTACTAGGCATTGTACCTCTTTCTTGGTTTGAGGAGGGGCCAAATGTAGCAACTTATCTTTCACTTTAGAAGGAATATCTTGAAAGGTCCCACACCACTGGACCCCTAGAAATTTTACTGAGGTGGAAGTTTTCTGAATTTTAATCAAATTTATGTCCCATCCTCTGGCATGCAAATGTGTCACCAATAAGTCCAATGTATTTGCTACTTCTTGCTCACTGGATCCAATCAGCATAATGTCATCAGTGTAATGGACCAGTGTGATATCTTGCGGAGGCGAAAAGCGATCAAGGTCTCTCCGAATAAGATTATGACACAAAGCTAGAGAGTTGATATACCCCTGAGGCAGGACAGTAATGGTATATTGCTGGCCTTGCTAGCTGAAGGCAAATTGCTTCTGGTGGGCCTTATGGACAAGAATGGAGAAAAAGGCATTCGCCAAGTCACTGGCTGCATACCGGTACCAGGAGATGTGTTCATTGGCTCAAGCAATGAAACCACATCTGGTACAGCAGCTGCAATTGGAGTCACCACTTGGTTAAGCTTACAATAATTCACTGTCATTCTCCAAGATCCATTTGTCTTCTGCACAGGCCAAATGGGAGAGTTGAACAGGGATGTGGTGGGAATCACCACCCCTGCGTCTTTCGAGTCCTTGATGGTAGCATTAATTTCCACAATCCCTCCAGGGATGCGATTTTTTTTTATTTACTATTTTTCTAGCTAGAGGTAGCTCTAAATGGCTTCCATTTTGCCTTTCCCTCCGTAATAGCCCTCACCCTACCAGTCAGGAAGCCAATGTGGGGGTTCTGCCAGCTGCTAAGTATGTCTATGCCAATTATATACTCTGGTCCTGGAAAAATGACCACAAGATGAGTCTGGGGACCCACTGGACTCACTGTAAGTCAGACCTGAGCTAAAACTCCATTAATTACCTGACCTCCATAAGCCCCTACTTTAACTGGAGGACCACAATGATGTTTTGGGTTCCCTGGAATCAACCTCAGCTCAAAGCCAGTGTCCAGTAGTCCCCAAAATGTCTGATCATTTCCCTTTCCCCAGTACACAGTTACCTTGGTAAAAGGCCAGAGGTCTCCATAGGGAAGGATGGGAAAAAGATTCACGGCATAGTGAATTGAGATCGCACCACTGCACTCCAGCCTGGACGGCAGAGCAAGGCTGCATATCAAAAAAAGATTCACTACATAAATTGTCAGTAATGTAGTGGGGTCCTTCCTCAAGGGGACCTGGCCTTCCCTTTATTCAAGGGGTTCTGGGTTTGTAAACTGGCTCAAGTCTGGAAATTGATTGAGGGGCCGTGATTCTGTTTTTACAATTCAAATTAGTCTTGTCCATTCAACCTAGAAGTTTTCTGCTTATGAAAATTAGGTAGGAATGTAGTAGGCTTCCTATCAATTTTAATTCTAGGAACACTGTAATTAATTAGCCAGTGCCAGCACTCTACAGGAGTCAGTCTATTCTGATTGCCGCTTTGCCTCTTCCGTCCATTATGGTAGCTACACCCACCTTGCCTTTGATGGTTGAGTGCTGCCACCTGGCCTCTGCCACCTTGGGATCCAATTATTCCCATTGTATTTAAATTTTGTAGTTGAGTGACTGCAGTTCCCACTGTTAGATCTGACATACAGAGAAGAGCAATTACAGGGCTCTTCAAAAATGCAGGTCCTGCCCTCACAAATCTATTTCACAAGGCATTGGTCAAGGGTGTATCTTCTGACCCTCTCTACTGGGATGAGTAGGTCTAAAGTGACTAATCCACTCCACCATCCCAATCTCCCTAAGCCTTTGGATCCCTTCCTCTACATTAAACTGAGGGAGATGAGGCATTTCCAGCTCACTCACAGTGGGCTATCTTTTAATCCATATTTTAGCTAACCAAGAAATAAACTCTTGGACCCTTTTTTAACTCCCCAAGCTGAGACATTAAATGCAGAGTCCCTATTTAGTGGGCCCAAATCAATAAATTCAGCCTGATCCAACTCTATGTTCCTTCCACCATTATCCCACACCCTTAATATCAATTCCCATGCCTGTTCTCCAGATTTCTGTTTATATAAATTAGAAAACTCAAGCAGTTATTTTCAAGTGTAGGACCCCTCCTCATGGGTCACACTCTCAACCTTACCTCTAGGTGCCTGCCGGGACTTTAGTCCAGTTACAGGTCTAGAGGCAAACAAGGTTGTTGGGGGTGGCTCCTGAGAAGAATCAACATTATCTTGCCTGCCAACTGCCTCAAGGGAGGCCATCACTATTGCCTCAGGCAGTGCAGGGTTTATCTCCCCAGACAAAGGTGGAAAGGCTGATGGCAGCATGGGTCAGGGTGGGGATGTTGCCACTACTGGGGATGGGGAAGCTGTTTTTTTCTAGCAAAAAGCATTGTCAGAATTTACAAACTCAGTGTCCCCAGCTTCATCAGCGTCCTCCCGGGCATCCTATTCCAAGTTGCAGGGTCTCATTCTTTTCCAATCAATGCCCTCACTTTAACAGTAGGCACCTGGTGGGGCTGTGCATGCACCTTTCATTGCAGGTCAGCTACTCACATAATAAGAGCTTGTGTCTATTTTTCAACAATTTCAGCTCTTTCTCTACAAGAGATAAGACTGTCACTCAGGGCAATCTTAGCAAATTTTGAGGCTCAGTGTCTGCTTCTGAAGCCAGGAGTTAGAATCCCTGAGTTCATCATTTTCTCTCAACACTTTGTCTACTGAACTTAGGAGCACCCAACCAGCTTTGTTATGTTCCTTGGTTCTCCACATATGTCAAAGGTATTATGTATAGAGTCACTAAACTTGCCTGTCACAAGCAGTGAATCAGGAGTGTCAAATGCATTTATGTTGCATAACTCTCCAAACGGTTCACACCAAGGACTATCAGTGTTCTCCATACTATTAGAAGTAGAGTCCTTAGCATTTTTCGGTCTAATCATATGAAGCAGCCAACTCCAGAAGCCCCAAAACCAATGAAAGAACTCCATCCTTAATACTCTGTTCCTCTAGAACCACTCCTTGTACCAAAATCTGTATTAGTCAGAGTTCTCTAGAGGAACAGAACTAATGGGATAGATAGATAGATAGATAGATAGATAGATAGATAGATAGATAGATAAAGAGTTTATTAAGTATTAACTCACATGATCACGAGGTCCCACAATAGGCTGTCTGCCAGCTGCGGAGCAAGGAGAGCCAGTCAGAGTTCCAAAGCTGAAGAACTTGGAGTCCAATGTTCGAGGGCAGGAAGCATCCAGCATGGGAGAAAGACGTAGGCTGGGAGGCTAAGCCAATCTCAGATCTTCACGTTTTTCTGCCTGCTTTAGATTTGCTGGCAGCTGATTAGATGGTGCCCACCCAGATTAAGGGTGGGTCTGCCTTCCCCCGCCCACTGACTGATATGTTAATCTCTTTTGGCAACACCTTCACAGATACACCCAGGATCAATACTTTGCATCCTTCAATCCAATCAAGTTGATACTCAGTATTAACCATCACAAGATTCTTACATTACTACTAATAAACAAGAACTGAAAACAAAAACAAAAACAAAAACAAACCGAGACAGATCCCCCATTTGTCTCTCTTCACTCCCTCTTCTCTTCTTCCACATGTCTCTGCAGTCTTTTCTGCAGCAGCCATTTGTTCAAAGAGCCCACTTCCTTGAACAGCTGCTTGCCAGGCTGCATGGTCATATAATGTTAGGTGAAGAGTGAAGAGCTCTGCATGAGGCCCCACTGTCTATCTAAGAGCAAGGGTTCTTGCCTCAAAAAAAAAAAAAAAAAAAAAAGGCCTATCAAATGGTATAAACTAGGATTTAGCAAACTATGGCCCATAACCTGTTTCTGTTAATAAAGCTTTATTGGAACACACCAACGCCCACTCATTTGTGCATTGCCTGTGGCTGTTTCAACATTGTAATGGCAGAATTGCAAGAGACTGCATGGCCCACAAAGCCTAAAATGTTTACTATCTGTCTCTTTACAGAAAAGGTGTGCTGACCCCTGGCCTATACAATTAAGAAATGCTTGCCTCTGTGGCTTCCAATCACAGCAAAATTTTTTGTCTTGCAGAATAGATATGAAACCTTTTTCAAAAATACTGATTCTTCTATTACAGTGGTTTTGGGGTTTTTTTGTTTTGTTTTGTTTTGTTTTGTTTTTTTTGAGACAGAGTCTTGCTCTGTCACTCAGGCTGGAGTGCATTGGTACAATCTCAGCTCACTGAAATCTCTGCCTCCTGGGTTCAAGTGATTCTCTTGTCTCAGCCTCCCGAGTAGGTGGGATTACAGGTGTGCACCACCACACCCGGCTAATTTTTGTGTTTTTAGTAGAGACAGGATTTCGTCATTGTTGGCCAGGCTGGCCTCAAACTCCTGACCTCAAGTCGTCCACCCTCCTTGGCCTCCCAAAGTGCTGGGATTACAGGTATTACAGTGTTTTAACCTGTAATATATGTAACCTGACAATGTGTAAGTGAGAAGTGCCCAATATACTCTTAGTTCTGAAATTGGCTAACTGGAAAACCCTTGCTCTCACGTTTTTCTTTGTGAACTCGTTCTTCCTGCCATTCCCTCTCTCATTCTGTAATATTTAAGTGAACTCATACTCACTTCAAACCTTCCTCTGTTATCACTAGAATATGGCCTCTGGAAAAAAAATCTTCACAATTCATTCTTACACAAGTGTGAGGGAATTTAGGCTTAAGGGATATACACTCTCATCTTTCCAAGTACAGCCAGTACATTTCTCCCTTTTGGGTTTCCCCGCATCTTATAAATGTCTCCATCATAATTTCTAAAACACTATATTGTGTTTCTTTTAAATTCATCTGCCCCCAAGAATCAAAACCTTCCTGAGAGCAGAGACTGCTTCTTATTTATCTTTGAACCTCTAGCATCCAGTACCCAGAAAGAGTCTACTTCCAAAAAGATGAATGGAAGAAGGAAGACAGGCAGGTTGGCAGGCTTCTTGGATTACCGTTCCACTTATCTATCCCCAATGCATTTGCATTTTAACAAAAGACAGCTTGAAGCCAAGCAGTGAAACTGTGTTGGTGGAAATTTTAAACATCAGAAGCAAGTGAGGGAGATGCTTTTGTGGATAGGGAAACATTCCTAGCATCCCTTCAATTTTATATTCATAGGAAGCATCCATCTTACCTAATTTTCAGGTCAGCCCTGAAAGAGAGAAGAGAAACGTACATGCTACATTTCTATAAGACTATAGACTAACCTTCCAATGCTCAAATAGAAAGTAGGAGAAAAATTAAATACATCCATATTAGCCACTGGGGCAACACTAACATGAAAGCCAACTGATGAGATATTTGAAAGTTTGTCTTGAGGAAAAAACAAACAAAGAAAGTATTAAATGCCAGTAAAACTTCCCCCAAAGTCAGAGTCATCTGGGGTTACCAATAGGGGGCAGCAGGACCTGGAGTTAAAATCTACTGGAGTCAAACTCCCTGAATTTAAATCCTAGCTCCACTTCTCTGTGGCAACAAGATCTTGCACAATTTCCTTAACCACTTGAAACTTCGATGTTTTTAATCCACAAAGTGGAGACACAAATACAGTCAGGCACTGTATTAATGATGCTTTTGTCAACAATGGGCCTCATATACAATAGTGGTCCCGTAAGATTATCATAACGTAGTTTTGCTCTACCTAGTTTATGTTTAGATACACAAATACTTCCCATTGTGTTACTGCTGCCTACATTATTCAGTACCATAACACGGTGTACAGGTTTGTAGCCTGGGAACCCCCAGTGACACCTTACAGCCTAGGTGTGTAGTAGGCTACACACCATTGAGGTTTGTGTAAGTTCACTCTGTGATGTTCACACAATGACAAAATTGCCTGAGGATGCATTTCTCAGAACGTATCCCCATCATTAAGCAATGCACACCTGTAGTGTTCCTCTCACAGGTCTTTCTTTTGAACTGGTTAATAATATAACTCAAATAGTAGCTATGGTTATTCTTAGAGAAACCATTCATTCAGCACCTCCCACATGTAAGTCATTGACTTATCCTTTCTAAAATTTTCTAACCCCAGAGCTAAATATTCTAACATCAGGCACATCAAATGTAATGTATCTGACCTTTAGGTTCAATACAATATTATACCCCACAGGCTTTTATTTAAAACCCCTTATGTCCCTAGCACTGTCTGTTAACTGTAGAACATACTAGAGGAGAAGACTCTGTCAGCTTCTTCGGGGCTTTAAGGCTTGTTGGACAGGATTCAGAGACTACTAGGCAGTGTACTGCTCATTACTCAAAAGAGAAGACTGCAGCCTTGGGGAGCCTTCCTGATATGGGCATGGTGCAAGGGGAACCACGTGCCACTCTTCCAGCAGCATCAGCTCATCTGTTAGGCTGGTGCAAAAGTAATTACGGGTTTTGCCATTACTTTTAATTGCGTCAAAAACTGCAATTACATTTGCACCAACCTAATAGAATGTAAGTTCCAGGAAAGTGGGATTTTCATCTGTTTTGTTTATTGCCTTATCCCCGGTACCTAGAACACTGCCTGGCACTTAGTAGGTGTCCAATAAATGTTTAAGGAAAGAAAAAGAAAAGAAAAAGGAAATTGATTGGTAGTTGGGTTTGGACATGCCTTTTAGGGAAAAATTGTATGGTCCCCTTTTGTTTCGTGTATTTTCTCCTCCAACTATTTATCTGACTCCCTCCAGCTCCTCTTGACCTCCTCGATCTTCCTTATAGTTTTGTGCTTGTCTCTGAGTGTACTTTGGGTTTGTGGGGATTTGTACAAATATTGCTTAATCCCACAAGGGAGTATGTTGAGTGTTTTCCATAAAAAACAGTAACCTAGAAAGAAGGTGAGATTTCTGGGCAGTTGCCAGCAGTTACCATGGTGCTCTGAACACATGTCCTCAAAAAATATTACTGATTTGACCCCACAGCCACAGTACATGGCATTTCTCACACATGATGAGACTCTTAAGAGGCATCTCTGTTCTGTGTTCAAACTGATGTATAGGGTACAAGTCTTCCATTTGTTCACTCTGCATTTATGAGAAATCGCCATCATAGTACCGGATTCCAGGCGGTAAACTAGAAGCTCATCATCCTATCTGCTTCTCATTTGCGTTTCCAACAAATGGAATACTTTGATAGAAAGTTGAATTGGAAACCATAGTCGAACATACAAAAGCGCATTCCCAACAATTTTTTGAAACTCATAATGGAAAAATATATCCCAGATTTAACCAAGAGAACTGTAGTTCAATAATTGGCAGTACAGTTGTCATTTCTCTTTTGATTATTTTAAAAAGAGATTTTTAGAAAAAGTTTGTTACTGATGCTTAATTTGTTCTTCCTGTGTAATCAACCCATAGTTATAAGCAAGCATTCCAAATTGCACTATATTTCTTGCATAGGGTAAAACATTATGATTCTTAAAATGGAATGCCAACTTTTTCTAGTCACACAATTGCTGAAAAGCTGCCTGCTGAAAAAGACTACATTTACCATGAACTCTTACTACCAGACAAGGACTATAGTTTCTGATGAATAGGGCCTGATAAGGCTGCCTGATTAAAAAACAAAAATCACTGGGCAACATTCGTAGCAAAGGAAAAGATAAGACTATGCTTTATCCAAGTTGCAGTGCCTTCAATAAGATTTTTATTCCTTTTAGACACACATATCACTAAAGGGCAGTTGTACTTCCCATATTCTCTAGCCTTTGTTATTATTTTTTCTTAAAATTTGCACCTGGGAATTAAAGGCTAGGAGTCCTTGGCTTAAGTCTGCTGCACAGAAGGAATCTTTTAAAAATGTAAGTGATCTATTAGTCATATTTCTAAAAGGGGAGCTTTGAATTAATCATCTTCAAACGTTTCTGCCAAGATAAAGGTCACCACACAATTACTGTCCTCACCCACTGGCCACAGAAGGAGAGAAGGAGAATGATGCTCCTGGATCTCACACTAGAGCATGCAGGATGCAGGCAGCCTCACGTGGCACACTTGCTTTCCACATAAGGAAACGGTGGCCCGGGGAAGCGACAGGCCAAGGTCACAGTTGGGAATCTGGGTCCTAAGTTGGGTGCCCTTGCCACTCAATAGGACTGCCCCATATTCGTTTCCTGTGGCTGCTATGATAAATTACCATAAATCAGGTGACTTTAAAAAACAGAAATTTATCCTCTTTCCATTCTGGAAATCAGAAGTCTGAAATCACAGTTTGGGCAGAGCCACACTTCCCCTGAAGGCTCTAGGGGAGGACTTTCGCTTGCTTTTTCATCCAGGCGTTCATTGGCTTGTGGCTGCCTCCCTTTAATCTCTGCCTCTGTTCGTCTTCACATACCCTTCTCTCTTCGCTGTGTCTCTTCTCTTAGTGTCTTTTTTTTTTTCTTTTTTTTGAGATGGAGTCTCACCCTGTCACCCAGGCTGGAGTGTAGTGGCGTAATCTCAGCTCACTGCAACCTCTGCCTCTCAGATTCAAGCTATTCTCATGCCCCAGTCTCCTGAGTAGCTGGGACTACAGGCGTGCGCCACCACATCGGGCTAATTTTTTGTATTTTTAGTAGAGACAGGGTCCCACCATCTTGGCCAGCTGGTCTCGAACTTCTGACTTCAGGTGATCCGCCCACCTTGGTCTCCCGAAGTACTGGGATTACAGGCGTGAGCTACTGAGCCTGGACTCTTAAGTGTCTTTTATAAGGACATTTGTCGTTGGATTTAGGGCCCACTCAGACAATCCCGAATAATCTCATCTCTAGATCATTAATTTAATCATATCTACTAAGACCCTTTTTACAAATAAGGCCATATGCACATGTTCCAGGGGTTAGGATGTGGACATATCACTTTTGGGGGGGCCACCATTCAAACCATTATACCCCATTCTTTTTCCTAAAGTAGTAGCCATCATCACATCATTTTAAAAGTTTTGTAGTGCATTAAAATAGTTGGTAGTCTCTTTTTCTCTTCTTCCCATTCACAAGTCTTCTTGGAGTCAGACCTGCATATTTGAATTTCTAATTCTAGCTCTGTCATTCACTACAACATTGCGACCTTAGGTAAGTTCCTTATGCATCCCTCTAAGCCTCAGTTTCCTCTGGTCTAAAATAAGAACAGTAATATCCACTACATAGGGTGCTTGTGAAAATCAATATGATAATGCATGTAAAGCACGTAACAAAGTGTCTAAGAAGAATCAGTTCTCAGTAAACGCCAGCTGATTTTAAATTAGAATAATATTCACCAAGATCAGTCTATTGCTTACAAAATGTAGACATTTGAGGTCTACTGGGGGACCCATTTCCAGCAGCCAGAGACATTTCTGGCACCAGCACGTGACAGCTGCCTCATTGTTGAGTGCTGACACATGGGTGCACGGCCTGCTCAGCAGTGGGGTTGGGGGGGAATTCCCGGGATGCTCTGAATTGTTGCTTTCTCAGCCCACACCATGGACCTTCAGATCTTCAGCAGAGCATAGAATAAGGAGACGTTCTGGTACCAGAAGGGAGACGAGACTATTCCAGCAGCCATGGGACTAGTCCCTTCGGATCTGACCAGCTTGGGGCAACGCAACTCAGGGTTAGTGAAAGAGTGGCTATATTGGGGTTTCTACATGGTGGGTGGGGGTGGGGAAAGCCAGTGGAAGGGTGTCCTGCTCTAGAGAGCTGCAAAGTCTGGGTCAGACACCCAGTTATACAACCTTCTGGGTTCCAAAGCTTGTCCTGAAGCAAAGAACCAGAATAGCCAAGCATAAAACCAAAAAAAAAAAAAAAAAAAAAAAAAAGCATTTATCAAGGATATTTGTTTAGTTGTATTTTTCTAAACAAATAAAGGGTGGCATGGAGTTATACTGTACTTACACGGTGACAATGGGTTGCCAGCCACACCCCAAATAGTTTGCATTTATTATTAGTTTATTCACCAGCTTAGTCCTCCTGTGAGGAAATCCAATCTCTAAAAATATTCTTCCCTGTCCTCTTCACACTGGGCACCCCTACCCCACACAGACACCACTTTGCTTAGGGGAGGGAGATAAGAATTCTGAATTCACTACAGTGATTGCTTCCAGTGGATGGTCAATCCAGAATTGGAGACAATCCTGCATGAATGCCACATTTATTAAAAAAAAAAAAACCCTAATATTTAGAACAGCCAAAAGAAGATACCAGTTCGGATACACACTGCACCCACCGTGAGACCTAAATTCAGTCATGCTGAACTCATTACAGCTATTTGAGTTAATTTCATTCATCCAACGATCCGAGCAACCCCAGCTGACACAGACCCGGGTCTTTTCTAGAGTGCCCAGAAATCCAGTCCACTGCCAGGCATGGAATTGACATAGAGGCACATTTTCCGCACCAATCCATGTCTCTTCATGTTACTGGTGCAGATGTTCTGATTGCTTTCCTAGGTCTCTGCATGGCTACAATGGTGGTTCTTGATATTTTTATTAACTCATGCTGTCTTTTGATGAACAAAATATATTTCATGCCACAGAAATTTTGTTATGCCCTTCCAGAGGCATATTCACCTTTCCAGAATTAGCATTAGTGGGTTTTGAACACCAAGGCAAAAAGTCAAGGTCATGGATCAAGCCGTTCACAAGCCGGTTATCTTCTCCCTGCTCCCTATGTGCAAATTCAACTCCAAATTTGACCTTTGTGCTCCCAAATGGATGCATGATGTCAGAAGGTATCCCAGATGAGCAAAATGGATGTGGGTAACGTAACCAACCACTTTTAACTGGGGGAGGGTGAGCACTCAAACTGTATTCTGCTTTTGTATATACATACAATTATTCATTTATGTTCCAGAACGGAAAAACAAATGCAATTGAGGACTGTCAGTATTTCGATCTATAGGTCAACATGTCTATTTATTCAACAAGCTTATCTGAATACTTGTTCTATGTCAGATTCCATGCTAACAGATTAGATTCGGTGATATATAAGATCCAGTATGAATCTTCAACGTGTTTATTATAAAGAGACAAGGTAGGAGTAGGGAAGGGAAGGGAAGAGAGAGAATTGTCCCTCCCTGAGTGGGTCGGAAAAGATTTATGGAGGAGGAGTGTCTAAGCTAGAATTTAAAGATGAATACAAGTTTTTCAGGCAGACAAAGTACAGCTAGGCAGGCAGATGGGAACTACCTGAGCCAAGGCATGGAGGCGTAAAGTGCACAGTGTGTTTAAAGAACAGTACACAGCTAGCTATTCTTGGAGTACACATTCTGCAGGAGTTTGTGTAGGGAAATGGCAATGATCAATCACTCTGAGTATATGTGGATTGGGTTATTGTTCCATTTACTTAACAAATGTTTACTGAGCCCTTGCTAAACAGAGGAATTCAGACCAGGAGCTGGACCTAAGGGTGATAAGGAAAATATGACATGAATCTACAAAACATAAGATACTTTTCATGAGAGAAGATGGTTTCATTCATTCATATTCATCAGCAACAATGGATTAAGTTCTAAATTAGCACCTACCAACACAAATGATTATAAGACATGTTTTTTGTACTTAAAGAGTGTCAGTCTAATGGAAAAAACACATAAATAAAACATGATATTATAATATATTCAATAATCAGTCTAATAGCATTTATTGGCTGCTTACCAAGTTCTGGACACTGATCTAAGTGCTTTATATTGATTAATTTAGCCCATCCTCACACAATATTATTATTGTCTGCATTTCCCAAATGGCAAAGTAAGGACTGGAGAGGTTACTCAAGTTGTTCAACCAAGGGTCACACTGCTAAGATTAAAATCCACGAAATTTGACCCCACATTCTTAACCACCACTCCAGAGGACTATAGAAGCATGGAACAGAAACACAGAAGCCATCCAAGAAGGGGTTGGGGAAGATGAATCCTTCCACCCCAACAGTAGTTACACGCTCTCTGAGGTCTCCGGGGAATAGAAAACCAGTTTATAGAATCTTGGGAAACTACCAAACTTAATGATACTAGAGTGTATACATCTAGAGTTCAAGCTCACAATAGTCCATTTTTTTCCCAAAAATTCCCCTACATTACATTTCTCATTCAAATTATTGTAACTTTTTCAATCCCCGCCCTCTTTAAATGCTAAAATCTCATTATATGCTTCTTAGATTTTTATCAAGAGACCTATATAGTTGATGGGGAAGCTTCTGACATTTCTCTTCAGGGTCTTCTTTTTCGGAGCACTCAGCATTTTATGTTATGTAATACCTTCTGAAGACCATTATAAAACTTTCTGGCTGGATTTGTACACTGCTAATCCATTATGTGTCAATCCCAGTGTCCTGTATGCAATATGATGAAGGTAGAATTATGTTTCTCATTCAAATTATTTTAACTTTCTCAACTCCCACCTAATTCAGTTCCCTCCATCCTTATAACTATCATTGACATGGAGTTGGCAAACAAAAAAGGAAAGTTGTAAGAACTCACAGCCCTAATGATCTTCTTATAAAATCAAATCATAAAGTAGAGAAAAAGTCAAACAGGACCGTAGAATGCTGAAAGATGGCCTCATCCTTGGAGGAGGAATCCAGGATGAGAGATCTGTGTCAGTAAGGATAGCATTTGCCTGGATGTCACAGAACCCAACTAGAATGACTTTAGCAAGGAAAGAGAGGGTTTTGGGTAACATAACAAGATCCCAGGCACCTGTTTTTCTATTCTGCTGTTGTCTTTGCAAGAGTTGTGATATATGTTCAGGTTTCAAGATCTATTCCGAACAGCAAGAAGGCAAAGGACAAGGAGTAAACAGAAGAAGCTAGCTAAGTCTGTCCCCTTTGAAAAACTTTTTCCAGGATTCACATGCTTGAGCCTCCATTTAAATCTCATCAGCCAGGTTTGGGTCACATGGCCTTCAGTAGCTGCAAGAGAGTCAGAGCAGGTCAGCCTATGACCTCAGCACATACCATCCCAGACAAAGCAGGGTTTTAATAGCAAGAAAAGGAAAGAGCATGCACATTGAGTTGGCACATTATCTATTATTACAATAACAGTGATGACTACATTCTCCTAAAGTTTCCTGATTAAAAAAAAAAATAGAAGAGCAGAGAAAAGGCAGGTGAAACAGATTACAAAACCCCAGGGAATATAGACAATTGACTAAAGCTGAGCCCAGTGTTACTTAAGTACTTGCCCCTTTGTGATTATCTCCTTAACACAGATAATCCATGGGCCTGAATCTCATAGTATGACTAGGAGTTAGACAGACTTGGGGAAGGCACCTAGGGGATAAAACATTCCCAGCCAAAGCACCAAGCTGGGAAGCACCATTTTGTATGGGGAATTACAATGCATTCCCTATTTCCAGAGATCAAATTGCAAAGTAAGGAATATCAGGCAGGTAAATGGAGCCAGATCACGGAAGGCTTGTGTTTGTGCTTTAAAAATGTGTTTATCTGGTATGAGAATCCTCTGAGGTGTCTTAAGCCAGGGAGGGAAGGTTCAGACTTAAATTTTAGATAACTCACCTTTAGTGACCATTATAGGATGGAATCAAGGAGATAAAAAGGAGGGCGGAGAAACAAGGTAAGAGGCGACCATGTTAATACAATTGGAAGATGTTGAGGCCCTGATCTGGTGGAGACATGGAGGAGTGCACAAATATGAAGAATTATTTCCTTTGAGTATCATGGAAGACTTCTTGGAGGAAGCAGCCTTTTATAACTGAAAATGAACTTTATTTTGTGTCTACACTCTGTATCTGAACAGTCTGAGGCATCCTTGCTTCATATATTTTGTAAAAAATTATGGGATATAAGTTAACCACTAATTATAAATTCCTAAACAACTTGTTCTACTATTCATAAGTAAAACGATTTGAAAAAAATTTTGGCAAAGGCTAAAAACGTGAAATAATACTCAAAACCTAAAAGTAGGAAAAGCCTATATCAAGTTACTTATAACCTCAAAAGTAATTGTTCTCTAGTTGTGGTGAGTATCCAGGGAGCAGGGTGAAAATACAGATACAGAAGCCCACTTCAGATCTACTAAATCAGAATCTCCACGGTGGGACTTGGGGATGAGTATTTATAATTAATTCCACAGGATATGCTAATATACACTGGTTTTCATCAGCAGCATGATGAACCTAATAGGGCATGATACACTCCACCATTACACATATTGACAAGAAAGAGGGCATGGGATCCGAGAATGTGCAATTAAGAGGCAAGAGACGAAAGTGCAGGCAGAAAGGCTGACACTCATATAGAATGTCAGAACCATGGAACTTGGCTGCAGAGCCTGGTAGGACTTGAGCAGCAGCTAGGTAGGAAAATGGAAAGAGCAGAGGAAGGACTGGGATAGGGAGACTAACAGGGATCCAAGCACAGCCACTTTGGGGGTGGGAGAGTGCTAGATGGCAATAGACAAAATCACCCTATCCAAAAGGGTGTGACAAACCTGGTCTCTCAACTTTCCAGGCAATTCATAGCTATGCTTTTGTTGGTAAATCAAGACAAATTTCTTTCTATGTAAAGTATATATGCTAACTATTATTTGTTGGTGAAAATATAGAGATTACATTGGTCAGTAAACAGAAGAAATTGCATCTCTGTCCCTTAGAATAGACCAAAGGAATATCTGAACAATTCTGATGAGAAAACTGTGAGTCCCTACAGTTCCATGTTATTAGGCAGGTCCCCAGCACGACAGACCCCTTACCAGCCTGACCAATTTTGCTCCTTAGAGATCACTGAGCAAATACCTGGTGGCTTTGGCACTGTTCCCTACTGTGTCTGTGACATCACCCATTTATTTTGTGAACATCCTACAGACACATTTCATGAAATGGGCCAAGGGAAAGAAGAAGGTAGGAGAAAGGAGAAGGGCAGAGGAAAGGAGAAGGTAGATAGTCCTGTGTGATGAACTTTTCTAACACTATTTCTCATTTTTCTCTGGGAAAAATAAAAGTAGCTGACTTTAAACAACCAGCTTCAGATCATCGGGGAACCATGATCACCCCCATGGATCCTGCTGCCTTCTGAGGCAGTATGCATGATTTGCAAAGACTTCTGTGTTTGAGGTCTTTTTCCTAGTATCCTGAGTCAGAACAAGCAGGGTGCATTTGCGTTGACATGTCTACGTGAGCTCTTCTGCTTTGGATTAGTCAAAACCATAAACAGCAAGTAAGGCTGGAAGAGGTGGTGAGTAGATGTATGGGGAGTTTTTGTCATCACAGCCCTCCCCTGCCTCCCAGTCCTTCCTAACAGAGTGGCAGCAGGCAGCTCGCAGCCATTCTGCATGACCAGAGGTGGTCTGAACCATGAACCTGCCTAATTCAGCTCTAAGATCTCTCCTTGCATCTTTTTAAAAACTTATTTTAATTCAGAGAGTACATGTGCATATTTGTTCCACGGGTATATTGCATCATGGAGGAGATCAGACTTCTAGTGTACCCATAACCCAAATATTGAATGTTGTACCCAATAGTTAATTTTGCAACACTTACTTCCCTCCCACCTCACCCCTCCCCACTTTTGGAGTCTATTGTTTCCATCTTTATGTCTATGGGTACCCATTGTATAGTGCCCACTTATAAGCGAGAGAATGTGATATTTGATTTTCTGCATCTGGATTAGTTTACTTAGGATAATGGCCTCCAGCTCCATCCATGTTGCTGAAAAGAAAATAATTTCATGCTTTTTTTTTTCCAGACAGAGTTTCGCTCTTGTTGCCCAGGCTGGAGTGCAATGGCGTGATCTTGGCTCACTGCAACCTCCACCTCCAGGTTCAAGCGATTCTCCTGCCTCAGCCTCCCAAGTGGATGGGATTACAGGCATGCACCACCATGCCCAGCTAATTTTGTATTTTTTTTAGTGGAGACAGGGTTTCACCATATTGGTCAGGCTAGTCTCGAACTCCTGACCTCAGATGATACGCTCACCTTGGCCTCCCAAAGTGCTGGAATTATAGGCATGAGCCACTGCGCCTGGCCAATTTCATGCTTTTTTATGGCTGCATGGTATTCTATGGTGTGTGTGTGTGTGTGTGTGTGTGTGTGTGTGTGTATATATATATATACACATATATACACACACCACATTCCATGGTGTATATATAAATATATATACACACCACATTCCATGGTGTATATATAAATATATATACACACCACATTCCATGGTGTATATATAAATATATATACACACCACATTCCATGGTGTATATATAAATATATATACACACCACATTCCATGGTGTATATATAAATATATATACACACCACATTCCATGGTGTATATATAAATATATATACACACCACATTCCATGGTGTATATATAAATATATATACACACCACATTCCATGGTGTATATATAAATATATATACACACCACATTCCATGGTGTATATATAAATATATATACACACCACATTCCATGGTGTATATATAAATATATATACACACCACATTCCATGGTGTATATATAAATATATATACACACCACATTCCATGGTGTATATATAAATATATATACACACCACATTCCATGGTGGTGTATATATAAATATATATACACACCACATTCCATGGTGGTGTATATATAAATATATGTATATACCACATCCCATGGTGTATATATAAATATATATATACACCACATTCCATGGTGTGTGTATGTGTACACATACCACATTCCATGGTGTTTATATGTGTGTGTATATACCACATTTTCTTTATCTAATCAACCATTGATAGACACTTAGGTCAGTTTCATGACTTTGCTATGGTGAATAGTGCTGCAATAAACATGTGTACAGGTGTCTTTTTTATATTATGATTTCTTTTCCTTTGGGTAGATAGTCAGTAGTGGGATTGCTGGGTTGAATGGTAGTTCTATTTTTAGTTCTTTGAAATATCTCCATACTGTTTTCCATTGAGGTTGAACTAATTCACATTCCCACCAATGGACTATAAGCATCCCTTTCTCCACAACCACGCCAACATCTGTTGTTTTTTTACTTTTTAAAAATAGCCATTCTGAGTGGTCTAAGATGATATTTCGGTGTGGTTTTCCTTTTATCTCTTGAGCACAGGTTCTACGAGCACAGGCGGAGTTCTGTGGTGCTGAACTTACCTGGACTTGAGGTGTTCCCCGGGGACCTTCTGGTGTCAGATGGAGCTGCTGATTACCTATGCCATCCACTTCTGCTGCTGAATTCAGGTTCTGTTCATTCAGTATACTTTCATTCCATGCCCACTGTGGAACAGATATTGCCATAACCAGGGGGAATTTTCAAAATATTGAATAATTAGTAGAATATATGCACTGACCTGTTACAATCAGCCTCACCAATTACAACGGGCACCAGCTGTTACTGGAATTACGGGAACCAGCTGAGTACCAGTCTTGGTATTGGGCATTCCATTTACAGAGATGAATAAGGTATGGTTCTTCCCTTAAAATGTCTTCTGGCCAAATGTCTTATCCCAGGCCCAAGACCTGAGACAGGTGCAGCATCCTAGATCAGAGTGCCCTCTCTAGGCTGGTGAGTAGCTTCCCCATTATTGCTGTCATGTTCATCTCCCACCCCACTCCTGGGCTTCAGCCTCACACTGATATCTTCCAACCAGGGTGGTACCATGGGGAGGCAGAGGTGCCGGTGGCAGATGAGTGTCTGATAGACAGGCAGCTTTAGGGATAAAGCGTCTGCATCTTCATCTCATTTGTGAAATAAAAGAACAATTAGGGTCTTCAGAGTGTTTTCTTCAAGATTCTGGGGATAGGTAAATCAAAGCCTTTGAGAGCTAAGAGGAGACTTAAGGATTATCCATGCTGGTGGTTTTTAAACTGGTTTAGTTCTTAGCAGAGTCCTTTTTACAAAAGAATCCTTGCTTGGAAATCCAATGTATAAAACAAATCCAGGTGAAGTTGCAATGCTTGCAGCTGAGATGAGCCCCAAAGACTCACCTCCAAGGCATCCCCAGGAGTCTCAGACACCCAACAAAACAGTTTAAAAACCACCAGGGTCATCCCTCATTCACATATGTGTGAGTGAGACCCAGAAAGGAGAAGTGGCCTAGTCATGGGGTCAGCTGGTTTGTGCAGAGAAATGGAATCAAGGCTCCTGACTGTGAGTCCAGTGCCCTCTCTACCAGTCTGCATCTGTTATCATCTGTCATCTATTGTATGGGCAGCTGCAGTCTCCTGTACGTGGAGCCCAGGACCACCAGTGAATACATCATAACTAACATGTTTATAGCTCTTTATTTTTACAGAGCCTTTCACATCTACTTACTGTCTTATATGATACAGTAATCCAAGTGAACAAACCAAGAGGGATTAAGTGATCTGCTTGAGGACATGCCCCTAGAAATCTGAGCTAGTTCTAAACACAATGTGGCCTTAACAGAGGTTACTACATTTTAAGAGGCTTTAGAATGCTGTCAATTAGTTAACAACTACAACAGTGGTTCTCAAAGGCTGTCCCGAACTAGCAGCTTTGCCATCACCTGAGAAGTTGTTAGAAATGCAGATTCCAGGCTGCCCACCCCCAAGACCTTCTGAATCAGAAACTCTGGGGGTGGTGTCCAGCAGTCTGTTAGTCCATTTTGTTTGTTGTGGTGGTGGTGGTGGTTGTTGTTTGAGACAGAGTCTCACTCTGTGGCCACCACCACGCCTGGCTAATTTTTTTGTACTTTTAGTAGAGACGAAGTTTCAACATATTGGTCAGGGTGGTGTCGAACTCCTGACCTTAGGTAATCCACCTGCCTTGGCTTCCCAAGGTGCTGGGATTACAGGCGCAAGCCGCTGTGCCCAGCCAGCAGTCTTTTTTAACAAGTTCTGCAGGTGATTTTGATGCCGGCTACAGTTTGAGAACCACATGCTAAGGAACAAGTTCATCGCTGCTTCTACATCTCACTAGCTGTTATTTTTGTGTGTGCCTAGCATCGTGGTAGATACCACACAGCAAAAGATAAGCAGCCTCCTCCCTATACCCCTCTGCCCTCTTCTCAGGAGTTTAGAATAGAGGCCTCATGTTCCCAAGTCACGGTCTAAAGCAGTGCTGCTCACGCTTTGCTGTGCATATGAGTCACCTGCAGATATAGTTGAAATAAAGATTCTGGCTTAGCAAAATTGTATATTTAAGGCAGATAATGAAAGATTGTGGATTCAATAAGGACTCATGAATCTTCTGAATATTTACAAAGCTTTCCCAAGGCTCCAAAGCTAGAAAAGCACAGGAGAGAAATTGGCCAAGGATCAGGGACCCCAATTATTGCAGTTCAAATTGGATGTAATAATTTACTGCCAGGCATGTGAAATCTAAGTGTGGTGAAGCTGATTTGTGCCTAAGGGAGAGTCCACCTAATCTCTCTTTAATAAAGATCAATAAGCTGGTCAAAATGAATGAGAGGATAATCTGTTGGGCAGGTGCCTCCCAAGGTTACAGTGGGAAGGTGCCTTAAGCACATCCTTTGCAGTAAATGCTGCTCAGTTCATTGCTTCCCTTTGATTGAATTATTATGCACACTCTCCTGGGGGATCTGATAGAGAGAGAGATGGACGTATAAGACATCCATTTTGTATGCTGAATGGTCAGAACATGCCACCCACACCTAAGAGACAATTTTCAGCTTTGGCTAGGTAGCATTACAACTTTATGCAAACAGCATAAAATTCAAAAGGCTAGAATCCAATCGAATCTCTTTCCTTCCTGGTCTTCCAAATAATGAGGGATTGAATAACGGCTTCCTTCTCAAGTCAAAGCAACTCCTAGAAGATGGCCAGTAGCAAGAAGCCCCGACATGGGTGATGTTTTAATGTTCCCTATTTTGGGAGTCTTCATTTAACCACATCTGGGGATTATGAGTGAATGCAGTTTCCAAGTCTCCCATTTGCTCAAGCTATTGAAGTTTGCATGTGATGGGGGCGTTCTGGAAAGATGGTGTGAAAATGAAGGGCCTGTCCTTTTAGCCCCAGAGTGCTTTGGCTCCCTGTCTTAAATAAATTACTCAACATCTTCAGTACAGTTTATAGATTTCCTTTCAAGCAATGAGGAAAAAGAGTTTAAATAATACACCAGTAAAGAAACAGGACAGTACCACCTTAAGGCAGCAACAGAACACCAACTTTTAGGTTGCAACATTGTTTCATTCACTTGTCTGCAAAAATATAAATATTCATTTTGTGCATTCTCAAGAGAAAGAGAATTAAAGCAGGATGAATTCTGTTTGGCTAATTTTCAAAAAGCAGGTTTTGTAAAGCACTACGATGATCTGTCGCTAGTTACTCTAAGTACTCGTAATAATATATTGTCTTTAATTTCACCCAGAATCCAAAAAGCCAAGATGGCCTTTCTCCAAAAGAGGAGTGGTAAGTGTTGCAAATTGCCATTTTTGTTTTAATTAAGCTTCCTGTAGCTAAGAAAGTAAGAAATGGCTGAAGAGTCTCTTCATTCTGCTTTATCTTTGTATAAAGGCAGATGGCACGTGAAATATAAATGATATCATCACATCCGTAGTATTGGCTACGGAACATGCCAAGTGGTGCCAATTTGTGCAGCGAAACAGTGCTAATTGCCAGTGGTTAATTAGTTCTGCAAAAAAACACAAAGCAATCCTAATATAGTGATGCTTTACAACACTAAATTTATAACTTGCTGCTTAGAAAGCAGCTCACTCGATGAAGCAAACTTGCACAAATGTATGCCCCAGTTTGCAGTTAGTGTCGTGTATATTGGGAACATTGAAAAATGAATGAGATCTTACAGAAACAGATTCTGCAAATACACTTCTATTTCTGGGAAAGCCAATTGGATTAATCCTAGTGGGTTTAAATTCATTCTTGGCTCCATCAATAATTGACGAGTTATCCATCTCAATCAGCGGTCCCTGAGACTTTACTGCCTAAGACAAGGGTGGCCACAGTCAAGCCGTTCCTTCTGGCATGCTGTGGGAAGAGGGAGGGAATGTTCATGATGACAACCTGACTCCTGTTTTCTAGGGGGAGAAAAGGGACTGATTTGTGTTCTCCCAGCATTACTAGTTGCATTACTTACACACCACGACCAGCAGCAGCAGCGGGGCCTTATGGACTGTTACTATGCCTCATTCTGTTAAAAATCTGCCCACGTGGCCTTGCCAATCAGTTTGGCATCAGTTGCTGACATCTGCAGTGGTTCTATGGACACACACACCTTGCTATTTTTTAAGTCCCATCGCTAAATAAAAAGCCCTCTGAAGTTCTAATTCTAGCTGCTTCCCTTACTGCCCTATGACCTTGGCCAAATGGATTACTCTCCCTCAACTCAGATCTTCCCTATAAAAGGCAGAAGACCAGTGCCAGCCTCACAGGGTGATTGTAACGAATGCCGTATAATGCAAGTGGAGCCTACCCCAGAGCTGAGCACACACAGACGCTCAGTCAATCTTGGCCGTATCACTAGTAGTAGTATCTTTAATTAGGGTTTGGAAAACAACTTATTCTCATAGCCAAGTGTATGATTGACTTTCACTTTTTTTCCCAAAAATAAAACGTTTATATGGAACATACTGTAAACATTATGAGCTGCAAATCTTAAATTGTTAGTAAAATGGTAACACCATTGCCACCAGGGCTGTTGCTCATCAGTCATTTAGAGACGTGCTTTGTCTGTTTTTCTGACAGATCTGAGACAAGGCTTATGATGCAGCCCCTCCTGAGCTCTTTCTTCGAATAAACAGAGGCAGAGCTGGTCACCAATCACATCTGAGGTCTCAGGAGAAGGGGCATCTCCCCCCTAGCCCTCCCGAGGGCTTATCTAGGACAGGGAAGCTCTGAGGGCTGCCTGAGAGATAGAATATGCTTTCAGAAGGGAAGAACTTGGCCAAGGAAGGGACACTACTACAAGTTGTTGGGATTGATCCATTCTTTTCCCCAAAAAGAAGCAACTTGTTCTACACACATGTGTTGAGCAACTGGGCCAAGTACTGGGACAGATATCTAAGATGCCAAGATGTCCATTATCAGCTCACAATTGAGAAGATGGGACTGACAAGTAAACTGTGGGTGGCGGAGGAAAACATGCTAAATGGTTGGCACTATGTTGGAGGGAGGGAAGCAATGAGGGAGATACACAAAGGAAGAATAATTAGTGGACGTTTTCAGCAAATGTTTTCAGCAATGAAGAGAAAGTCATTTCTAGAAGCTTCACTTTCACAAGAACACAATATCTGTTTTCTTAAAATTAACGTCTTCTTCTTTCATTTATCCTCTTAGCCTTATTTATCATGTAATTCATATCTCTATAAATGGTAATCCACATCAATATAACAAACATACTTCTATGTTGTCATGTGCTTTTCCAATCTTTAGAGATTTTTCTTTTTCCTCCTTTTTTCCTTCCTTTCCTCCTTCCTTTCTTCCCTTCCTCCTTCCTTTCTTCCCAACCATCAATATAATATTAGTAATAAAAGCTAACACCTCTATAACGTTTAGCACATTACCAGGTACTGTTACTGTTTGCATGTATTCTTGTTTATGCATGTCAGTTAACACATGTGAACTCATAAATTCTACAACAATCCAACAAGGTAGGTAACATTATTACTTCTCATTTTGAAAATGGGGAAATGGATTCAGAGAGTTTGACTAGTTTGCCTGAGGACACACAGCTCATAAGCTATGGAGCATGCAGCAGTTCCAGGCAGTCTGGCTTTGAGTCTGTTCTACCCCTGATGTGGCCCTGTTCCTTCAACTGTAGGAGTCCCCATCACCAGACCTGGAAACTCCTCCCTCCATTCTCTCATTAGAGCTCTCCATAGATCTTGCCTTTTCTCATTGATTTGTCAACCACTCCAAAAATTTATATATTCAGTCTTAACCTTCAGTTTTGCTCCAGTTCCATGTCACCAATGACTACTGTACATCTTCATGCCACCTACCTCTTAGTTACTAAGTTTGAGACTCCAGAATTAACCTTGGCTTCTCGATTTCTTTACCCTGTGTATCCTCTCTCGTAACCTTCAAATGCTTCTCATTGCCTCTCCTAACCACTGCCACCACAATGGAGGCAAGAAGGTACTAAATGGGTGTGTCGTTTTCAAGAGTTAATGTGACCACTGGGAGAATGGTCTCCTCTCCCCTCACTGGAATACCCACCCAGCCATTTGGCCAGGAGGCTGGTCAAACCCATAGAAAGCCATGGTGAGTGCCCTTCAAAACACGGGGTTGGCACTCACTTTCCCACAACTCCAATGCTGCTTCCATTGTCTCAGCCTCTTTCTTTTCCAACTGGCTGCTGATTTTTTATTTCCACAACATGCAGTCACTATGGTTTCAGACATCAACAAAAGGCATATGTCCCAATTGCAGTAGGAGGTCTTTAACTGGTTCCAAGATTCCTTTGCTGCTGTGGAGGCTAATGAGTCTACAATAGGTTTCCTCTTTCAGTGCCATAACCCTACCAGAGAAACCAGCCACAGCCCATTAGCACATTCTGAAACTATGACACGGTCTCCTTTCAGCACACAGGGAGCCCCCTACCTGCAACAGCAGATAACCTGTGCCTTCTCTTGCTCCTGAAAAAAACATTGATTAACTTTCACAAAACTGTTTAGATCCATGCCAATATCGTGCACTCTGAGGCAATAGAACAAGTTGAAAAATTGTGATAAACATTCATTTGAAATGCAGCCAAGCTGACTTTTAAAAGCCTTGCACATTGTTATTTGATAGCTTCTTCCTGCTTTGGTTGGTAAAATGAACTCTTTAAGTGGGCAATTCATGATGTCGCAATAGAATAGTGAATGAACTAAAAAGAAAATGTTCACAATATAAGCTTAAAAAGCAAGTTGCAAAAGGATGTGTAAATATGGTACATTATACCATTTAAAAATTAATTATGAATATGATCAGAATACCATATTTCCAATGGGTATATAGGGGTGAAGACACATTTCATGCTTTTTTTTGTTTGTTTTTTCTCAAATTTTCTACAATAAACATATTATCTTAGAAATCAGATTTTTTAAACAAATATTATTAAGAAAAAATGACTATAACAAAAATAAGTGGGTGATTCCATTCTAAGGAAAATAGAGTTTCCAGCATATTCTGGTATTCTGTAGCAGAGAATTATTGTTTGGGGCAACTCGCTTGAACACTGGGCTTTATTTTGTCATCTGCTAAATTAAGGGTTGAACCAATATGTCTGAGGTACCTTCTGATGTTAATAAATCTTAGGGTCCAGAGTTTGGAAAAGTTAAGACTGTGAAGGCTATGTCACCCCAATGGGTAGGCATGATAAGACTGTTTGCTATATGACCATTCTGTGCCTAGGATTTTTTTTTTTTTAATTTGTAAAATGAGAGGTTTGGACAAGGTAGTCTCACGGGCCTGTGTCCCCCAGGTCTGACATTCTGTGGTTCTGCAGCTCCTACTAGAGCTCAGAAATGGCTTTGGAACTGTTAGTGGCTTAAAGACAAAATATGCCATCTCTTATCATGAATGTTAGGGAATGAACGAAAGATGCCAAGGCTACCGAAGTCATGTCATTAAAGAATCAATGTTTGAAAATCCTGTTTCTAACCATCTTCGAGCAGGGCAAAGACAAACACAAGCACATATCTGATCTGGAAAACTGCCTGTCCTCTGTGAAAATTACCAGCTTCAGGGGCTATGACTTCTACGGTCTTAAGGTATCTTTCAAACTGTTAACTATGGGGTTTGACTTTTTCTTTTCGTTTTTTGGTGGGGTGGGGAAGGTCGGGTCAGTATTTTAAGCTGCCAGATTACTGCCTTGTTTATAGTAAGAGCAAAATGCAAGAGAGGAACCCAGGACTGAGCAGGGCCTGCTCTCCTCAAACACACTGAAAGCTGGGGAAAGTCGTTTTATCTTAAATAAGGTAACAAATGTGAGAGCACTTCATAGGCCAGGAAGCCTCTACAAATGTTAAAAGTGGGTGTTACTACTCTTCGTCTCTCTGGGCCTGGATTTCCTCATTTGAAACGTTAAGTTGTTTTTGATAAGACAATTTCTAAAGGTCTCTTTGCACTCTAAAGCTCTCACTTCATGCTTCTTCAGTAGTTAATTTCAATAAGTTTTGCCAACGGAACCTGGAATCAGACTTCCCAGTCCTGGGTTTAGGGTTCTTTGAGTTTTTTTTGTCAATAAACTGAAAAAGACTCATGATATTCTCAAGCATAATTCAAAACATCATCAATCTGAATTGATTTGAATCTTAAACTAGAAATAATGCACATTGTGCATTTCATGCTGCATATTAGGAGGAATTGGCATCCCGGAGCCCCACAGAGAGAAGCTGTGGCTTGGGTCACTTGGGGAGTCACTGTCAAGAGGGATGCCCAGGGTCTGAAGCAGGAAATCATGATTTCGGGGGTTGCTTGGTCCTTTGGAACTGCAAGCCAAAGCAAATAGCCAACAGGTCAATCCACTGAGGTGGAAATGTTTTGTTCTCTCTTTTTCCCTCATGTACAGGATAAGACCTGGGATGAAGTCTTGGAAACACATCACAAACTCCCGACCGATCAATTAGACCTGAAAAAGCAGCAAGAGGCCGTGTGGGAACTTTTCACAAGTGAATGCACCTATTTTTTGGACCATTTATTAGTTCTTAAGATGGTAATGCCAGGCTTAATTTTTGTAGTAGATGGAAAATATTAATTTGTTTTTTTGGGCACTTGTTTTCCTCTTCTGAAAGAAATAAAGAAAAGAAAGAGAGAAAAGAAAGAAAGAGAAAGAGAGACAAAGAGAAAGAAAGGAAGGAAGGAAAGGAAGGAAGACAAGAAAAGAAAAAGAGAGAAAGAGAAGAAGAGGGAGGGAAGGAAGGAGGGAGGAAGGGAGGGAGGGAGGAAGGAAGGAAGGAAGGAAGGGAAAGAGAGGGAACGGGAGGCCAGGTGAGGCTTTTTTCTCCCTCTTTCAGGGGATCGTGAAAATTTTTATTTGTCATTTATTTTTGTTTACCTATTACTCTACTGTCTCTTTATACTTTAACATTGGATGAGATCGTCTAAGTGAACTAGTCCAGTGTCCCATCCGATGTTGAATGAATCTCTTCTGCCTTGTCTCACCAGTTTGCACACTCCTGAGCCAGGGAGCTTACACCCTTCTCAGGCAGTCCATTGCATCTTTGCTCGGCTTTCTCTCTCGGAGCTCTTGCTCCCTCGTGAACAGTACCAGGTGAATGCTTTTTATCAGCTGCAGGGCCACCATTGCAGATATAGGGGGCTACCACCCACATGCAATTTAGTACTGTTGAATTACATGGTATATTCATGATGTCTTTCATGTAAATAGCACCCCTATGGTCGCAGCCATGCTCTGGTGAGGCTCAGAACACAGAATTTTTTCTAGAAGAACAATAGAGCAAGGAAGAGAACCATAGAGCAGCTTCCTCCCAGGACCACAGGGGAGGATGGGCCACACAGCTCCCAAGGTTGCCTCTGCCCACCGCACTTTTGCATCCTGGTGACTGTCTTACACAGCCAAAAGGCACTGTGCTGGCAGATCTGAGTTCAAGCCCTGGCTCTGCCTCTGTTTTGCCTTGTGACCTTAGAAAAGTCTAGTCCTTCATACCCTAAACCAGGGGTTGACAAATCTTTTCTGCAGAGGTGCAGACAGTAAATATTTTGGGCTTTTCAGGCTATATAGTTTTTGTTGCAACCACTTAACTCTGCCATTGCAGTACAAAAGCAGCCTAAAGGAATGTGCATGACTGTCACCCAGAAAACATCATTTACAAAAACAGGTGGCAGGCCAGATTAAGCTCACAGGCTGCATACTTTGACAGTCCTTGTCCTAAGCTGTAAAAGAGAAATGACAATACCATCCCTGGCTATCTCATAAGACCATTATGATGATCAAATTAGTTTTCTTTGAAATCTATCAAGTGCTATACAAATGTCAGTTATTTTCTGTAAGTAATATTTTTTGTCAATCACAGTGCTAAATCCTTAACTTAGCAAAATGTGAACCGCAAAGACACTCTAGGAGAAAACTGAAATTTAGAGACAATATCAGTTAGGATGCTTACAAGAGCACGTAATAGAAAACTAGCTTAAATAATACAGGATTTTATTAGTCCATGTGACTGCAAAGTTCAGAGGTGGGAGAGAATTCAAGGCATGTTTGATCAAGGGCTCAAAACAAAACAAAACAAAACAAAACAACATTTCTTCCCATCTCTCACCCTGCCTTCCATGGCATTAGCCACATCCTATGGCTGGCTTCTCTTGTAGTCACAGCCTGGTTGCTATCCTTGAGCTAATGGCCAGAGAGAGAGAGAGATCTTCTCAGCATTCATAGCAGAAGTCTTGAGATTTATTCTGATTGGACTGGCTTAGATCACGTGCCCACCCGTGAGCCAAATCCTCTAGCTCTGTAAAGAAGGAATGTGCCAATTGGCTTAAGGCAGTCAAGGCCCACCCCTGGGAATGAGATCAGCTTGCCACATGGCACATGTGCAGCCTGGGGAAGAGTAGACACTGAGGTGAAAACCATGCTGTTTTTAGGGAAGGGGAGTATTGCAGGGGGTGGTAACAATAAATGTTCACCGCAGAGAACGAAGCCCCTGAGTTATGCCACCTTCCTTGTCCTAAGAAACTGCACAGAACTTTCTATCCCACTGTAAGCTGTCCAAGCTTTTCAAACTGACATTTCCTGTTTAAGAAAAGGCCAATTTGAGCTCACTGTCAAATACCTCAGTGTATTTAAAGTATATATGTACCTTCCTTTTACACAATCAATATGTTTTCCAAAAGTGCTTATGAATTAAAAATTTGTAACTCATATAATAAATATACTGGAAGACTCAGTATTTTTTTTAAATAGCAAAATTTCTGTAAAGCAAAGAATCTTATAGCAAAAGTAGTATTTCTTCCAAATTGTCCTAATCTATCTGTAGTAATGAGTTCTGTTTCTTACAATCATGTTTTAAATGCTTGGATATTGACAAATTTCCAGACAACCAATACTCCATGGATTTTAAAAGGTCTAAGTGGTTCTTGACAGGTGGCCTCTAGACCAGCAGCATCAGAATCCCTTGGTGACTTGTTGGAAATGCATGTTCTCAGACCCCGTCACAGATGAGGGTGGGGGCCCAGCAAGCTCTGGTGTAACAAAGTTGCCAGGTGATTCCGATGCAAGTTCAAGAACCACTCATTACACTAATGAAATAATACAGGAATAGGAATTGGAGAAGGTTATCTATCTAAAGCCCAGTCTTTTAACCCCTAAAATTCTTGAAATAATTTGTCCTTTTGTCCCTTTGAATGCTTCCTGTCTTATGTATACAAAGTATTTCTTTTTCAATAAATTGATCTCTCTTCAGTTTATAGAATGAAGGGCAGGCTATCTGTAAGTGAGGATTGTACTTTTTTTTGACTTGCTGTATAGTTCTCCAATTTGTGAAATCATCAAATTAAGTGAAAATAACATAAAAACTCCCTCAATGTTTTCATCCATGTTTAATGCCTCTAAACAAACTGAAACATTTTACCAGTTATCAGAGATTAACTCATTAAATATCTACTTTTAATTCCCTGAAAGTAAAGTATATTTGGGTCTTTTGCAGAAGAAAGAGCATATGAGAATACACCATGAATATTGTTTTGCTCTCAAGTTAGTAGTGTTGTTGGCAAGAAGAGAATCTTTGGGATTTCTTTGGCACTAGAAGTAGAGGAAGCCCATTTGGACAGATTATGTTCAATAGGAATGTTGTTAGAATTCACATAAGCAACCACAACTTTCATACTGAAAAGCTCATTTCCAATATGTTCTTTGAAGCTTAAATGTGACCATTTGTCTTGAGTATAACATTTAAACCTTGAGAGTGCTGATTTCTCCATTGTTTTGTAAAGTTACACCCAGGAGGTTTATGTTTAAAGTTCTTGCAAAAGGCATGTTGCAAAATTAAAAAACAGAAATTAATGTGTATATATTTTTTATTTCAAAGATCTTTATGAATACACTAAGATATCTGCAAACTCATGAATATCTCCTAGATGTGGATTTATGGAGACTTTTTGCAAACCTGGAGGAGTTAACTCAGGTGAGCCAAGTAGGAAGATTCATGTTTTAACATTCACTAGAGGACCATGAAAATTCATGCTTGGTCTGTTCTTATGGCTTGTATGCCATAATACATCTCCATATTCCATTCCCAGTCAGGACTTCAGGTTAATAAGAAAGAAGTTGAAATATCCATTATGCCTTTCCCATAAATTGTAGATATTAGTTACCCTTTATTTGTCATTTTTCCATGGCTATTTTAAAAAGTAAACACATTCCTAAGATCTCCATCATCTTCATAAATGTTTATTTTCAAATGAATATCCTCTTCTCGCATACATTATAAATAAATAATATTTTTCCTCTTAAAAGTAAAGGAAGAGAGATAACAAGAATTTATTTATAAGAAATACTTATAAGAAAATATATATTGGAGAGTGGAGGAAATAAATCTTTGAATTTTTCTAGGAGATATATTTGAAATGGGAAACACCTGTAAGAATGATACTTGAAGTTCAACAAATGTTTATTCCTTAACCCTGGGTGTGTGCCTATTTTTGTTTTCTTTCTCTCTGTCCCTAGACAAGCCTTGGTTTTGTGAACAGTCTCTTTGGCATCATCAAGGACTATGTAGACGCTTCTGAGATTTCCTCATCACTGGATTTTATTTCCGTGCTCACAAAGGTAAACTCCTTCTGGGAGACCTCAGCTTCATGTAGTAAAATCACCCACCTCCCAGGACAGTTGTTTATACCCTACTTGATTTTAATTCTCCCTGGGAAAGTTCTACCTCCACTCTCCTACAAAGGAACTGTCCCTTTCTCTGCCAGTCAACATTTTCAAAAATAACTTGCAGATTCTGTTTTCCCATTGCCACATCTCCTGTGTGGGTTTTATTAACACAGAAATCTGCATGCATAGAAAAGCCATTTCCAATTCTGTTTTTTAAGTGGCTTCAATTTAAAGCAACATTCACGGCAATAGTTTAGTGTTTGCTAATTACGTAATTCAGTTGTTTTAACGAAAGTACCAATTTCTCAGAAAGAAACAGAATAAACCTTCAAATCCATCAACACCCTTGATCATATTTCTGTGGGTGAAATGAGAAAAGAGGAAAACCTGTACCCCGGGTTTGATCAATGTTATTTATTTCTTGAGTAGACATTTGGACATCCTCCCCTACTTTTCTTACTTTGAGGTTTTTAATCTAATTTTAATCTAATTTCATTTAGCAAGATTTGAATTTTTACACTCCACTTTTTAAGAGAAAAAGATAGATTGAGATTTACTGAGAACCTCCCAAGTGCTATGTATGGAGCCAATACCCTGTACACAATAATATGAAAAATTAAACAAGCGCCTTGCTTTTAAGAAATTGTAAGTCTTGTAGGGGAGAAATTAATCCAATAATGACACTAATGATTATATAATCAAAGTAAGATAAATGCTGGGGAAAAGGAGTAACATAAATATAATGAGTGTCCAACAAAGGAAACCTTGTAAGTTGGGATGCATAGTAGGGCAGTCACAGATAGGAAATGCTTCCTGGGGATATGATGCTTGAGAAGATACATGAAGAAGGAAGAGTTTTAACAAGGCAAAAATAAGCTGCAAGATCCTTTAGTGAACATTGAAAATGGGCTTAAGTAAGAAAATCTTTGGATATTTTTGTTTGTTGTTTAGTTTTTTTTTTTTTTTAGACAGTCTCACTCTGTTGCCCAGGTTGGAGTGCAGTAGTGCGACTTCAGCTCACTGCAACCTCCACCTCCCAGGTTCAAGAGATTCTCATGCCTCAGCCTCCCAAGTAGCTGGGATTAAAAGCATGCACCACCACGCCGAGTTAATTTTTGTATTTTTAGTAGAGATGGGGTTTCACCATGTTGGTCAGGCTGGTCTCGAATTCCCTCCCAAAGTGCTGGGATTAGAGGAGTGAGCCACCATACCTGGCCCAAATTTAGTTTTTAGTAAATATTCTGGAGAAATGTCAGCTTCTCATCAAAACATGTAAGTATACTTAGAGGCCACTAAAGAATGGGGTATTATTAGGCTCTTTACTAAGGGTCTATAATAAACCCACATATGAATGCCCCACGCTATGCTACAGATGTGCAATGATGGGCTATAAAAACTTCTCCTAAATGTAAAATGTTCTAATCAGCCAGGTGAGAGTCAGTTGTGCCACGGTAGCAAATGACCTCCAAATCTCAGTGGCTTGGTTCATGTCTCACTATGCTCTGCTTCCAAGTTGTCTTGACCCTGGGACCTCTGCTGATGAAATGGCCACTACCTGGAACATTACCATTTGGAGACCATGGCAAAGCACTCACTGGCTCTTTGAGTTTCTGCCCGAAACAACACATGGCATGTCTGCTCACATTTCATCAGTACATGGCCAAGCTTACCTTCAGTGGAGCAGCTACATATCATCCTCCCCAAGAAGAGCAAAGAGATAAACAGGAAACAGTATACCTGTGCCTCACAAGAAGCTCACCAGCTGGAAGATAGGGACGTCTTGTTATTCACATGTGAGCCATCCAATGAGATAGAAACTGAGGCTTAGAGAGGTTACATAATTTAGCTAAGATCATATAGCCAATGGGTGATAGAACTGGATATCTAAGCCTGACCATTAATGACTCTATTTTTGGTGGGGGAGGGGGTGGTGGGGGTGATCAGAGTCTTGCTCTGTCACCCAGTCTGGAGTGCGGTGGCACGATCTCAGCTCATGGCAACTTCTGCCTCTCAGGTTCAAGCAATTCTCCTGCCTCAGCCCCCCGAGTAGCTGGGACCAGAGGTGTGCGCCACCATGCCCAACTAATTTTTGTATTCTTAGTAGAAACGGGGTTTCATCATATTGGCCAGGCTGCTCTCGAACTCCTGACCTCAGGTGATCCACCTGCCTCGGTCTCCCAAAGTGCTGGGATTACAGGCGCAAGTCACCGTGCCCAGCCCCATTAATGACTCTTAATCTTGGCTTCTAACCAGTTACCTCCTAGTTCCAACATTTCTCAAGCATCTCAGTGTCCATGAGAAGACCCTCTCTTTACCTCCAAGTCCTTTTCAAGGCCCAGCTATCAATATTCCCCTCCAAAATAAACTCACATCATCTTTCAAATTACTTCTTGCTGAAGCCAAAACTTGACATTGCTCCCTATAGTGTTTTGTCTTCTAAGGTCCTATAACAAAATATTTTTCTAGGTTTCACCATCTCTGACTTTGTTACTGTCACTTCTGCTAGTGGTTTTTCAGACTGGGTCTGCTTTCTCTACTCACGAGTAAGTGTGTTTTCCTTCTCCAATTTCACCACATTGGGATACGATTGGAAATTCCTTAATGCAGCCCATGAGTTATTATATTAATCAATAAACCTATCAATGGACACATAAGCTTAGCAACATGGTAGACACTATGGAATCCTGAAGAGAGTGCCTTCCAGTAACGAGCCAGAAGAATTGCTGAAGAGAAAAAGAATAACCATCATTCCCAAGAAAGACGCTTAATTGAGATGGTGGCATGTAGTTCAGTGTGCTCAGTTTACCCATTATATGTATGAATATATGTATATATAAATTAACAATTTGCCTTATTCTAAAAACAATTTTAGGTGGCTTACAAATGTGTAGTCATTATAGCAAGTTTAAGACATTAAATAAAAATAACGAAGAAAAGGGAAGACAAGCATTAGATTGAGTAAGATAAAGCGCATGCTACTAGATACAGTATGCTGAGTAGAGATGTCCCAAATTTCTTTTTTTTTTTTTTGTTTTTGGATATGGAGATGGAGTCTCCCTCTGTCACTCAGGCTGGAGTGCAATGGCGCGATCTCAGCTCACTGCAACTTCCACCTCCTGGGTTCAAGCAATTATCCTGCCTCAGCCTCCCAGATAGCTAGGACTACAGGCCCATGCTGCCATGCCCAGCTAATTTTTTGTATTTTTTATTAGAGACGGGGTTTCAATGTGTTGCACAGGCTAGTCTCGAACTCCTGAGCTCAGGCAATCCGCCTGCCTCACCTCTTAAAGTGCTAGGATTACAGGCGTGAGCCACTGCGCCCAGCCAAGATGTCCAAAATTTCTACATGTTTAGAAGCCAGCAAAATTAAATGCATGGAAATTTTTGAGACATATCAGATGAAAAGTTAAGTGTCCTTACTTTAATCACTTACTATCAATACAAGCTTAACATTAACCAACAGGGTCACCCAAATCAAAGGCAGTATTTGTTACTGGGTGTCCTGGAGGGTGTGGCACCTGAAGAAAGCTTAAACAGAAGTAAAAGGGTGAATTAAATCAAGACAGCCTAAATAGAATTTTCTTTAAGTATAGGGAGAAAAAGACTATTTATTCAGGTGTCAACTGTTTATTATGAGAGTACGATATTCTGTTAAAAGAATGTTTATGTGGAGATTACCTTTGTATTTCCATGCAGTTGTGGCGCCTGCTTGATCATGGCGACTCCTCCACTTTTCCCTGTTCTAGTTAATGATAAAAGTGAGGAGAAACACTCTTTCAGGGCTCAATGCTCTCCTTAACTTGTGTTCATCCTCCTTCTGCTCTTCCTTTCTTGCAGTATTTCCGAGGGAGTCTCTGTCAGAGCCACCAGACCTACTGCCTGAACTATTCAGCTGCTATCTTTTATCTTGAGAGCCTGAGGCAGAGAGATGACTTTGGAATTTATTTAAAAGTAAAGTATCATTTTCTTTTCTTTTGTATTTTTGCTGATGCTTTTTGGGTGTCACATGTACTGGGAATGATTATATCTAAATTAAATGGGAAAGAAGAAAACAAAATGATCAATAATATGTTTTAACTACAAATCTGCTTTCCTCATAAATACATTGTCCACTGCACACTTAGGAATATTAAATGGTGCACATCTGGAAAGATTATATTATCTAATATCCCTCCTGAAATGTTGGCTGGGGCTTAAAAATGTTTTCTTGGTTCATTATGCTATTTGCGGTAGAAATTGGTACATTGTAAGGAGAAAACTATATAGTAAGAACCTGAGCTTTGTGACTTAGAAGTTTGGCTCTTGCAGGAGTTAGTTCCAGCATAGAAACTTGGGACATCATTTACACTGTATTCTACATGAATGCTGCCCCCTTGATTAGAGTATAAAGCACAATGTCAATGTTGCCTCTGGAGCTGTGCCAATATGGCAGCTCTGGGTCCCACAGCATTAAAAGAAGAATTTTCTGCCAGGGTCCTTCAGCATTTTCTAGTAGCCAAGCCTAAAACCTATCTCCCCTGACTTCTCTAATTCTGTTGGTCCCTGCTTTGATATTTCTTTAGTCTGAACTGAACCTTTTCAGTCCTGTGCCAGAGCCCTTTTGGATCATCCAGAGAAAATGGTCCAAGCCTTTCCAGAAAACCAGCTCTTCCCTGCAGCTGCGAGAAGCCCCTGCCAGAGCATGACCTCAGAGGCTTGGGAGGAAAGGCTCCCATGGTTCCCAATGACTCAGCTGTGAATCAGTGGGCTTCCGCCCCAGCCTTGATATGCCAGGAAGCCTGGGTGTGCCAAGGACGAGAAAAGGGGAATAATCTTAGGGAAGAGACTTGGCCATATTTTTGTAGCTTCAGCCCTTTAGTGTTTTTTTTGCTACTCAAACTGAAAGGTGATAGCTCATTAGATTTCCAAATGCATGAATAATCATATTGCAAATGTTTCCCCTAGAAGCTGATGGATTACACTCTTAGCTAGGCCCCCAAACTGGGAGAATCCAGGTTCCTTTCTCTCCCTTCCAAGCTGGGAAAGAGATTAATTTAACAAGGTCCAACTATTGTTTTCAAATAACTTTGGAAAATCCTATATACATATATTCAAAGCCAGATGATTTTTGACAAAGGCACCAAAAACATACATTGGAGAAACAACACTCTCTTGAGTAAATAGCATTAGGAAAACTGAATATCTCGATGCAGAAGAATGAAAGTAGACCCCTATCTCTCACCATATGTAAAAATCAAATAAAAATGAATTAAAGATTTAAGTGTAAGGCCTGAAACTATAAAACTGGTAGAAGAAAACATAAAAGAAGCACTTGAGGACATTGGTCTACACAAATATTTTAGGGCTAAGACTTCAAAAGCATAGGCAACAAAAACAAAAATAGACAAATAGTACTATATTAAACTAAACGGCTCCTGCACAGCAGAAGAAACAACAGAGTAAAGAGGCAATCTGCAGAATGGGAGAAAATATTTGCAAACTATTCATTTGACAGGGGACTAATACCTAGAATATACAAGGAACTTGAAGATCAAAAAAATAAATCCCATTACAAAGTGAGAAAAGAATCTGAGTTGACATTTCCCAAAATGAAACATACAAATGGCCAACAGGTATATGAAAAAAAAAAAATCTCAACATCACTAATCGTCAAGGAAATGCAAATCAAAACCACAATGAGATATCATCTTACCCCAGTTAAAATGACTACTAAGATATCATCTTACCCCAGTTAAAATGGCTGCTATTTAAAAAGATAAAATAAAATAAGAGATGCTGGCAAGGATATAGAGAAAAGGGAACTTTTGTACACTGTTGGCAGGTATGTAAATTAGTGCAGTTGTTATAGTAAACAAAATGGAGGTTTCTCAGAAAACTAAAAATAAAACTACCATTATCCAGCAATCCCACCACTAGGTGTTTAGCCAAAAGAAATAAATCAGTGTATCAAAGGAATACCTGCTCCTCCCATGCTTATTGCAGCACTATTTACAGTAGCCAAAATATAGAATCAATCTAGTGTTCATCAACAGATGATTAGGTAAAGAAAATGTAACATATCTGTGCAGTAGACTATTATTCAGCCAGAAAAAAGAATGAAATCTTGTCACTTACAGATAAAACTAGAGGTCATTAAGTGAAATAAGCCAAGCACAGAAAGACAGATATTGCATGTTCTCACTTGTATGTGGGAGCTAAAAAAGTTAGTCTCATGGAGATAGAGAGTAGGATGATGGTTACCAGAGGCTGGGAAGAGGGGAGAAGGGGATGAAGAGAGGTCGGTTGATGGGTGCAAACATACAGTTATAGAAGGAGTAAGTTCTAGTGCATGATAACCCACTAGGGTGACTATAGTTAACAATAATTTATTGTGTGTTTCAAAATAACTAGAAGATTTGAAATGTTCTCAACATAAAGAAATGATGTTAATAATTATGGTTATGGCTATCCTAAATACCCTGATTTCATCATTACACATTGTACACATGTATCAAAATATCATGTGTGCCCCATAAATATGTACAATTGTATATGAATAAAAATGTGTGTGACATCCAGGGATATTTTGGGAAAGGTAGTAGAGGATAAGTGCTGTTATAACACATGATGCTTTTTTTTTTTTTTGAGACAGAGTTTTGTTTTCTCACCCAGGCTGGAGTGCGGTGGCACAATCTCAGCTCGCTGCAACCTCCGTCTCCCAGGTTCAAGCGATTCTTCTGCCTCAGTCTCCAGAGTAGCTGGAACTACAGGTGCCTGCCACCGTGCCTGGCAAATTTTTTATATTTTCGGTAGAGACGGGGCTTCACTATGTTGGCCAGGCTGGTCTTGAACTCCTAACCTCAAGTGATCCACCTGCCTCAGCCTCCCACAGTGCTGGGATTACAGACGTGAGCCACCGCACCCAGCTCACATGATGCTTTTATAACGCATAATACTTCACCAGACACTTTCTCAAACATCTCTTAATTCGGAACACAAACCTGTAAAGTTGATTACATTGTTCCTTTGTGTCCCTGAGGCTCAGAGAGGTTAGATGACATTTGCAAGGCCACATAGCCAATAGGTGGCAAAGAAAGAACCATAGCAAGATTTTCAGGCAAAAAAATCCAGTGCTCTTCATATCAGAACTATTTCCAATTCCTTGGGGCTATGACCCATCACCATGGAACTATTAGCCTCATGAAACAAAGGTGAGAGGTCAGGGAGAGACTCGCAGATACCCAAGGTGACTAGTGTTTGAGCCCTTGCTATGGCCTAGACACTGTGCTACATGCTGGTCATCCATCCTCTTCTTGTCTACACACTAACTCTGCAGAATTTGATATTGTTCCCGTTTTTCAGGAGTTTAGACAAATTAGGCAACATGCTGAAAGATATGGTTGTTCTAGGGCAGAGGTAGGATTGAATTCAGACCTGTCTGAACCCAATGTTGAATCTCCTACAATGTTCTGTTGTAAACAACGTTCTTGGAGAACGTAAACCTATGCCATGTTATGGGCTGCCTGAAATCGACCTATAAATGCAGTGGGATAAATTTACCCTCCACACCACATGAGGCTAAGCTTTATGAATGTATGTACTTTATCCTGGTGTACATTAATGGGATTAGAATTCTTCCTACTGTTTGTTTTTTAATTAATTAATTTATTTATGTATTTATTTATTTATTGAGACAGAGTCTGACTCTGTCACCCAGGCTAGAGTGCAGTGGTACAATCACAGCTCACTGCAACCTCAGACTCCTGGGCTCAGGTGACCCTCACACCTCAGCCTCCCACATAGCTGGGACTACAAACATGTGCCACCACACCTGACTAATTTTCTAATTTTTATGGAGATGGGGTCTCGCTAGGTTGCCCAGCTTGTCTCAAACTCCTAAGTTCAAGCAATCCTCCTGCTTACTATTTTAGAAACAAAACGATGCAGAGGAAGAAACTGGGAACTTCGTACCAAGTCTCTTCGTGTGGCACAACTAACAATGGCTAAGAACTCTAGCTGCCATGGACTGAGTGTTTGAGATGTGCCAGGCTCTGTTCTAAGCACTTTGTGAGAATTATCTCATTAAAACCTCTCACCAACCTAATGAGGTAGTTACTCTTGTTATCAACATTTTACTGATAATTTTTAGAAAGGGTAAGTAAATTTCCTGAGGTTCCAAGAATTCTGGTTGCCCCATCCTAATGCTGCATCCCACTAAGACAAATTTATTAGGATATTTTATTTTATTTTATTTTATTTTATTTTTTATTTTATTTTATTTTATTTCATTTATTTTATTTTATTTTATTTATTTTATTTTATATTTTATTTTATTTTATATTTTATTTTATATTTTATTTTATTTTATTATTTTATTTTATTATTTTATTTTATTTTATTTTATTTTATTATTTTATTTTATTATTTTGGAACAGGGTCTCACTCTGTCACCCAGGCTGGAATGCAGTGGCACCATCATGGCTCACTGCAGCCTCAACCTCCCTTGCTCAAGCGACAGGACATATTTTCATCTGGGGCCCTTGAATCCTTTCACAGTTCCCCTAAGCATATTGGATACTTATTATAAAGCAAAAGTAGCCTCTATTGATCTAGACTTATCAATAAAAAGGCCTTTTATGTCCAATCTCTCTCAATGGAAGTGTTATTTGCCTTCCCTAACGGACCTGAAAAATGAAGTCAATAGAGAGATGAAAGGAAAACTTACAGCTTTACTTTTATAATGTCAAGCCATTCTTTTTGTCTCTTCTGAAGTTTTCTGAAATACAAATGCTTCCAACATCCCTGCCTGGATCCTTCTCTAAATTATTTACCACGGATGCTTCTTGCCAATTGTTACCTGGAGGAGTTTGGTGTTTTCACTTTGACCCTGAATACCAGTGCACGCTGGCAGCCACAGCTGTTCCCCACAGCAGGGCAATTTGGGGCAGTGGCCTGGGGCAGTGAGTTTTTTGGGAGGACAGGGGCCTAACTGCTGCTGAGAAATCAGTTACAAGAACTCCCAGCCACCCAAGAGGTCCAGGACCTGAAGGTAGCACTGGAACGCTGCTGCCCGTGAGTCAACATGGAAATCAGCCGCTAAAGCATAGCCCTGCTCCCCTCCACTCCCAGCCTTATCTTCATCTGTCGTGCTCACTTCTGTCTCCATCCCTGCCAACCTCAATGAGAACCACAGTCATTTGGAGGAGACCTTGGAGATCATCTAGCCAAGAGCCATCTAGCCACACTGGAGTCTGAGGTTGCAGTCAGCCATGATTGGACCACTGCACTTAGCCTGGGTGACAAAGTCAGACCTACCCTGTCTCAATAAATAAATAAATAAATAAAAATAAAACAGTTGGAAAAATTCTAATCCCATTAATATACATCAAGATAAAGTACATACATTCATAAAGCTTAGCCTCATGTGGTATGAAGGGTAAATTTATCCCACTGCATTTATAGGTCGATTTCAGGCAGCCCATAACACAACATAGGCTTAAGTTCTACAAGAATGTTGTTTACAACAGAGCATTGTAGAAGATTGAACATCGGGTTCAGACAGGTCTGAATTCAAATCCTACCTCTGCCCTAGAACAACCATATCTTTCAGCACGTTGCCTAATTTGTCTAAGAAGAGAAATCGGAGGTCCAGAGAGAGAAGGTGGTCCTTGGAGCCTGGCTTCTGGAGCTCCATTCACCATGCACTGTGAGCTCACTCTCATGGCCAGCCACCTGTACACAGGGGAGAGGAGAAGATTGAATTGTAGACAGAGTCTTGCTCTGTTGCCCAGCCTGTAATGCAGTGGTGCTATCTTGGCTCACTGCAACCTCTGCCTACCGGGTTCAGGCAATTCTCCCACCTCAGCTTCCTGCGTAGCTGGGATTACAGGCGTGCGCCACCATGCCTGGCTAATTTTTTTTTTTTTGTATTTTTGGTAGAAACGGAGTTTCACCATGTTGGCCAGGCTGGTCTCGAACTCCTGACCTCCAGTGATCCTCCCACCTCGGCCTCCCAAAGTGCTGGGATTACAGGCATGAGCCACCACGCCCGGCCAAGAAGATTGAATTTGGCAGAATCCCCATGATGAAGAGCCCAGGATGTTTTCCAAAACATCCAGCTGAGCCAGGTACTATGGCTCACACCTGTAATCCCAGCACTTTGGGAGGTGTGCAGATTGCTGGAACCCAGGCGTTTGAGGCTAGCCTGGGCAACATAGTGATATCCAGTCTCTACAAAAAATTTAAAAATTAGCCAGGTGTGGTGGCCTGCACCTGTGGTGTCAGCTATGTGAAAGGCTGAGGTGGGAGGACTGCTTGAGACCAGGAGGTCAAGGCTGCAGTGAGCCATGATCATACCACTGCACTTCAGCCTGGGTGACAGGGCAAGATCCTGTTCCCCATCCCCCTTAAAAAAAAAAAACAGCTGATAGTGTGGGAGGAGAGTGAGACCCCACCTCACCCCACCAAGGACATGGTCAAGCTATGAAAGACAAATGCAAATTGCTAGGCAAGAGGCTAGGAGATAAAAGGGGAGGGTTTGTTTAAGGGGGAAGAGAGAAAGAACTCTCTCTTTCCAAAGAAGAGAATAGAGCCAGCAAAATAGTAGGGTCTCATGGGCTGTGTATTTGACCCCTCTTCACAACCCAAAATCTTCAGTAAAATAAATACGTATACTCACAAAACATGTCATGAGGGGGTTTACAGCAGAAACTAACATAGGAAACCAAGGGGATATGTTTGTTCCATGTTGTTCAGGGAAGAAACAGTATACATGGAAACAAGAGTCCAGGAGCCAGAGGAAGATGTTAGAATCTCAGTCCCATGAGTTGGTAAATATCTAGGGGAGGAGTTTAGACCTCCACAGGCCATTGGATTGGTGGGGGGTTGAGCTAATTGTACCTAGATCTTCAAAATGCAAGGACTGACACGTGGGCTTGAAGACATCTCTGGGGATGCAGCAGGAGTCTCCTGCAGTGTGCCTGGCCCACCTGAGGATGGCCCTGAAGGGTCTGGGTCACAAGGCAAAGGATTTAACCTGGAGAATGAAAGGAGAATGGAAGGTGGAAATGAGGCAACAGCCTGCAGCAGGAGAAATATTTAGTGTAAAGGCAGGATCCCTGTTGTAGTCAATTCAGGCTGCTAGAACAACACACCATAGACTGGGTGGCTTATAATCAACAGGAGTTTGTTGCTCACAGTTCTGGAGGCTGAAAGTCTCCTGGTGCCAGCATGGTTAGGGGCCGGTGATGGCCCTTTTGTGGGTTGCAGACAGCTGTCTTCTCGCTGTAGCCTCACATGGTGAAAAGAGAGCTAGAGAGCTCTCCGGGACCCCTTTTATAGGGACACTAATCCCATTCAAGAGGGCTCCATGCTCATGGCCTAATCACCTCCCAACAGCCCCACTTCCTAATGCCGCTCCACTGAAGGTTAGGATTTTATTAGGTTGGTGCAAAAGTAATTGCAGTTTTTGGCGTTAAAAGTAATATTAGGTGGATTTGAAGGAAAGCAAACATTCAGTTGATATTAATCCCTTTATCGCTGAACTCAGGGTCAATTTGGTGTGAGTGTTCAGGGTAAGAGAAGAGGAAGAGAACACACACACCCCTATACTCCTTCCTGATGTACCCATCTGCATGCTGGCCAGCAACCACGTCCATGCCTCATTTGCCACCTTCATTAAAGCCAGAGCCCCTTACGTTCAAGGAAGCTCACATTCAAAGAAACAGCACAGCAGATAAAACAAGCGTAAAAGCTATTCTCATGTTTACTCAGGTTTCTCAAACATCATTTATGGAACCCCAATGGATAACCCATGGCAATACTTACTACAATTACTAAATTACTAAAATTTCTTGTCTTCCCCGGTGCTGGCATACCCTAGAACTGCCTCTTCTTCCAAACCCCAACTCCAAACTCTCCCTATTGAAAATTGTCCGCATCTCTACCTCTCTCCTCTCCTCTCTTTGTTCTAGATCAACTGAGCCTCTTCAACTTCTATCTTCTATTTTCATTTCTCTTCATTTTCGATCATTACCCTGATCCTCCCCAACTAAGAGGAGTCAAGGAACTGACCCAACAAGCAAGAATCCTTCCTTTTCCCTTCTGCCTCTCCAGTCTCAATTCTCAATTGTCCTAACTGCATCACAACAAGGATGGGACCAAAGCTGATGAAACCAGAACTCTCCCCTGAAGGCCAGGGAAGAAAAGCCAATGGGCAAAACTAAATTCACTCTCCAATGAGAAGGGTAAACAAGGCTGGAACCCACCTATTACTACATCTTATCACTACTGCTAATGGAACATGCACTTTTCAGGGGATTTAATTTGTGGCTTATAAATTGTCCCAGCAAACTCACAAGTAGGTCCTGCAGTTACTGAGTAAAATCTCCAAGAACCTCTCATATCCAGGCTTCTTAGTGGCTCAGTGGGAGAGGTGATCATTCTGATATGGCTGCTTTTGCCTTCCCCAGTGGTGTGAGCAGAATGAACAATGCAGACGGCTCCACGTGCCAGAGCTGCTAGTGGCCCCACTACAGAGGCTCACTCGATATCCGTTGTTGCTGAAGAATATCTGGAAAAGGAGCATGGACTCTGCTGAGAAAATCATGATCTACTCCATCAAGGAAAAGGTGGAAAAGTCCATCCGTAAGTCCCTGAGATAAGTGAGCTTAATTACAGAATTGTGGCCTTGTGACTCCTGGAAACCTTCTGGGCTTCCATCCTAGGAGGTAATTCCACTGATTTGAGGTCATGGCTCTTGGAAATGTGGGTTCAAGTGTGAGTGCATTGTAAATCAAATGCGCACAGAACAATGGGCTCCAGTCACATCCTGGCGAACCCTATGAGAACTCTAGCACCAAGTTTACACAGGATGTGGCTCTGTCTCCAAGTGTTTCAGAAGTGAGTTCAGGCAGGAAAAGTTCTACTTCCCAGATAACTGAAGGCACTTTGTTTTTAACAGCCGTACTGACCCCACACACAAAGCAAATGGGAGTAAACACCATGGAAAGTGTGTCCAGAGGATAAATTACCATTCATCATTTCTTAAATCACCGAAAGCCAGGGTCAATATGGAACTACTGCCAACTGCAATCTTTAAACTGAAATTTGAGGATGGGAACTGAGCAGGCCCTATGATGACTTAAGTTTATTTGTGTAACTCTGTATAACTGAAATTCCCATAAAGAAGTTCATGATTTATGCCCAAAAACCAAGATTTTCCTCGTGGGCATCAGAAGGGAACAATTCAAATTGGTGATATTCAGCTATACATAATTTTTTTCTTTTACAAGTTTAAAAGTAAAATGATACTGCCTGAAACAGATGCTTTAAAAAAAAAAGTAAGACTGTTTAATTGGGTTTTTCTTCTGTTTTTAAATTTTTTATTCAAATTCTAAAATTATCTGAAGAGCTGGAATTAAGTTTATCAAGCAAGTAAGACAAAGAATCTCTTAAAGATGACTTCTTTAGCTTTAGAAGTAATCTTAAGGATTATTACTCATTTGGATGGGTTTGTGAGGAAAGATAAAGCAGCACCTCTGGAGATTTCTCAGTGAAAGATGGATTCTCATTGTTGAGGGAAGAGATTTGTGTGGCCTCCCTTTATGTCTATTACCTTAAAGATGGTGAATTCTGAAGGTTCCACTAACAATGTGATTCTTCAGGTCTCTTACTTGCCCTCCATGTTTTCAAAAAACATTTCAAACCCTCAATAGCAACATGTTATTAGAAAACATTGGAAAATGAATATAAACCTTCCAAAGAGAAATTGAGTTCCTACCAAAAAAGAAATAATCACCATGATCATGAAGTGAATATATACTTTTATGATTGGGACAAAAACATATGTTTGTCCTTGTTAGTCTGATTTTTTTTTTCCTCCTCTAATTATAGGCTGTGTGGTCTAGGGAATAAGAGAAAACTACCAAGGATTTTATTGGTATTATTGAAATAAGAATACACAATATACTTTCAAACTACTGAATTAAATTAGCTAAGCTTGATTTTTCTCTGCAAGAGACTGATTCCAAATTAGTGAGTTTTCTAAGACGCATGAACAGCAAGCAATATGTGAAATGAACTTTATATATTGTCTGGCTCCAGGGGCAGCCAGTGTTTCTAAATGATTCCTGTGGACCTTGGTTAAAATTTATACTGCAATGTCATATGCACCTAAAAATATACTGACTATGTCATGTCTTTCAGGGGACCTTGAAGGAAAAGTGAAGTGGCTGGACAATTTCCAAAAATTTAGATATCTACAGGAGATTATAGTGTGGCCACCGCTTTGGGATAGAGATAAAAGGTTTTTCATTCCAGAGGTACAAAAAAAAAATCAATTAGGACTTATGTCCATTTCTGGAATTTGGGCATTCAGATAGAAATACAATCATCTTAGATGTCCCCATCTGTCCACTTGAAGAATAAATCTAGTTTCATGAACAAGAAGTAAAGTCTTCATCTGTAGGGCATTGTATGCGGGGAGGCTGAGGTCGCTGTGCCATTCTTATGATGGTCCTTCTGAGAGGGTTTTTCATTGTTTCCCATTCCCATGTCCATCTGCTGGCATTTCCAAATGTCATGAACTTTCTAGATGGAGTTAATTGCCCCAGCTTTTTAAACATGTTCTCTTCCAATCACTAACAACATCTCTTTTATTTTCTCGCTTGTTTTACAAGTGTTTGAAACACATTTTTAAAGAACACATGGCAGAAAACATCTTGTCACCAACCAGCAGACACCTTCTCTATGAAGGAAAATTAACTCTTGCAGGTAAATAACTGCTTCCTTTAAAAAACCCAACATCTGTGCCGCCTTGTAACTTGTTTGACTGCCAGTAATTGAAGAGCAGGAGGACTTGTGTTTGCCTATGTTCCAGGTGATGGAGGGTGTGAATGAGAGAGTCCCTATGGAGTCACACAGACTCAGGCTTGAATGAAGACTTCGCAACATAACTAGCTAGGTGCTCTCTGTTTTCTCTCTGTAATGGGATAACTCTAACTATTCCATAGGATTGTTAAAACAACATACAAGAACAACTTCGCTCACGGTCTGGAATCTAGTAAATAGTCAATGGCAGCTGTTATCATCATAATCGTTGTACTCCCCCAATGAGCCAGACAATCAAGCTCTCAAATGTTTATGGAGACTCTATTATATTATATAGGACAAGTTGTGCTAGGTAGGTACTATTGGAAGATATAAAAACTCATTCTGTATAATTCTTTCCCTCTAGTTGGGAAGCTCTGCCTTATTACCAGACCTTCAGGATAAGTTCAGAAAAGAAGAGAGTCCTTGAGGCTGCAGTGCCCTGGAGAGGCTTCGTGCAGTCCATGGGACTGGAGGTGGGCTTGGAGGGGCAGGAAGGATGAGGTCAGTGGAAGGACAGGAGGGAGGTCATTCAGATAAATAGCACAGCTGGAGAAGTCTTGGAGGCAGAAGCCCCTGGAGAAACTTAGTTTCTAGCAGAGTACATAGGAAGCCAAGCCCCTGGGGCTGACTGCCTGGCTCACTCCCTGCTCAGCCTTTTCTGCCTGTACAACCTTGGGCCATTTACAGTGATCTCCTGTGCTTCAGTTTACCTTACTTTATTGTGAGGATTAAATGAACCAACGGATGTGTAAGCACTCAAAAGAATGATTGACACAAATTTCATGCCCAATAAATATCATGATGATCAGAAAGGCTGCCTGGCTGAAATAAGGTTTTAAATCATTTATTTATTCATTTCTGCACAAAATCTTGACCAGGCACTTACTGAGTGTGAAGTCCTGTGGGATGGGATGTTGCCTAACAGTGGTGATGTGATATCTGGTGGGGAGGGGCTGGGAAATAATCCCTTAATACATGTATATTGAAACTCTGCTCTATTTTAGAGGTAGTCTGGATGTCAGGTTAGGACATAATCCCCACCTGGCAGCTGTTAAATAAGGAAGATAGACATATCCAGCGTTTTATATCCAAGGGCTTTTTCATACATTGTCTCTTTCCAGTAAGTTAAATAGAGAAGTTGCTTTTAATCCCTTGTTATAGGTGAGAGATTTGGGGCTCAGGGAGGTTCTGTATCATGCCCAAGTTCACCTGGTGGGTAAATGACCGAGTACCAGCTGGAGCCTGGCTGCCTTGGTCCAGCTGGCTTCCAGAATCAGAGCAACTGCCTTGGAAACCAAACAGAAGGACCCAGCCAGGAAACTGCAGGCAACCAGAAGTCATTGAGCTCTCAGACAGGGAAGTGATAGGTTAAAAGGGTGTTGAAGAAAGCGTTGTTAATAAGCAGTGTTCAAAATGGCATAGAGGAGACCAAAGCAGAGTGGTGAAACCGGAAGTTCAGTGGTGAACACGGTGAGGTGAGAAGACTCGGGGCCTGTCTGTTGCTCTACCATTTTTAACATGTGGTCAACCCACCCCCCACTTTCATTTGAAAACATAACAATTTTAACTTTTCTTTAATGTTATTTACAACTTCAAAGTAATTATATTTTATGACAAGAACAAATCAAAGTAATAAAGCAAAACATTATCTGTGTTCCAGCATGTATCTTTACCTCCAAAATTAGCCCCACCTGAAATTATGTGAGGCTTTGGTTCACTCCTTCCCTCTTCCTACCTACCTCCCAATACTGCAAGATGCACCAGCTTCTCCTAACACATTAGAAATGGGCATGATAGAAAAGGATATGGGAGACATTGCAAAGGCAAAACCAGGAGGATTTTATGATCGACAAAGTGGATGAAGAGGAAATGAGTATCAAAAACTGTTCTAATCTATGTATCTGAAAGTTTTGTTGATAATGCCATGAGTGGTAGAGGGAGTGGGTCAAGGAGTCAATTTTAGGGTTCAGGTTTGGGCATAATGAGAACCCACATGGAAGCTGGAGGAGCAGCTCCTGGTGGGTGAAAGTCTAAGTCAGATGTGAATTCATGCATCGCATGGGTTCAAAGTGACTGTCATAGATGTATGGGTTGGAAGCTCACCTAAGAAAGACTCTTTACAAACAGACTCAACTTTTCCAGAAAATGCTTCTTGTACAGTCAAATGTGGTAGTATGGACATGAACTACATAATGTCACTAACACCAGGCACTTGTTTAATGGCATATGCTGTATTAGTCAAATTCCATCAGAGATGGAGACTCCATATGATGTAGTCTACATGGCATCAAGCCAAGTGCAAAGTCCTGAGACTGGACTCAGAGTTGAGCATCGAGATTTGATGGGGCAGGGTGATAGTGTTAGAAGAAACAGGACATTTCACTTCTTGGTCTTTTGGCTAAGATCAAGTGAGGAAACAGGACATCATTTTAAATGAAAAAAGCATTGAACCAACAGTCAGGGGATCTAGCACCAATTGTAGGCTTTGGGAAAATTTAAATTCTCTTATTCTCTTTTATAAATGTTATTGCTGCTGCTGATAATGATGATGACAATGAGGATGAAAATGATGTGATGAAACCTAACACATACTGTGTTTCCAAATTTCTCCCAGCCTTAAAAACTGTACTCTTATAATCAAATAAGTATATGTTCTCATTCCCAGAAGGTACACATTTTCATAATTTGTTTCATAACTTACTTGGTGGAAAACTAGGGCCTCAATAAATGGTAGATAAAATAATTACCACTTTCTAGAATAATGTCTGTAACATTATCTAGAATAACATCTGGAATACGTAGAAGGTGTGCTCCCTGCCTGTTTGTCAAAATAAAATAGTTGAAATTAGAAGGAGAAAACAAAACTATTTCATTTTGACAATGATCATTGAGCTGACGCATACATGAGTAGCAGAAGATGGGAATAGCAAATTTTACAGGTTTGAAGGTTGCTGTGGACTGAATTGTGTTCTTCCATTGCTGTGGACTGAATTGTGTTCTTCCACAAATCACATGTTGAAGCCTTAATGTCCAGTATGACTATACTTGGAATAAGGAAGAAATGCAGGTAAAATGAGGGACTCAGGCTGGAGCCTTGATCTGATAGGATTAGTATCCTAATCAGAGCAGACATCAGAGAGCTCACTCTCTCTGTTTGCCATGTAAGAACACATGCAGAAACCCAAAAAGAAAGCCCTTATCAGGAACTGAATCGACCAGCACCTTGATCTACTTCCCAGGCTCCAGAACTGTGAGAAATAAATTCCTATTGCTTAAGCCACCCTGTCTGTGGTATTTTGCTATGGCAGGCTCAGCTGGCTGTTCACAGGTCTAGTGCTGTACCATTCCTAGCCCTGTATATCAGTTGGCATATAGATTCAGCCACTGGAGACGGACAGGTTAAAAAAGATAGTTTATTTCTCTCTTGTTAAGTCTCAACCTATATGACAACTCCACTCCATGAAGTCATTAGGAATCCAGATTCCTGCTGTCTTATTCCCAAATCTAGGGAACTGCCTTCTTCTGTGTGGCCCAAGATGACTCACCAATATGTCTGTATTCTACCCAGTGAGAAGGAGAGACAGAGACAAGAGAGCTTAGCCCTGCCCTTCACGAATATGACTCAGAAGTTGCATGCTTTGGCTCACATTCCATTGGTCAGAATTTAGCTCCTTGGTCATATTCAGCAGCAAGGAAATGTAGTCTCTGTTCTCTGAGGATGGGTACTCACTAAAACTTGGGGATTCTACTGCTACAAGAGAAGGGGAGAATGGTTTTCAAGGGACAACCAGAAGTCTTTGCCACAACTTGATTTATGAAAAGTTAAGTTTTTAATATGATTTTTAAAAAAACTATTCAAGGACTATTTAATTTGAATAAAATACCAGATTTCTCCCCTATGCAAATATAGAAAAAATCTTTTCTCTAAACTTAAAGAATGAGAGGAGATAGAAATGAATCCTAAATGTTTTAGCTACTACTTTAAATCTTCTAGGGGTAAAAACATATAAGAAAGAACTTCTAGAACAATATATATATATAATCTAAATAGAACAAGCTGAAAAAAATTTACTGGGTTTTCCTATGATTACTCTAAGCACTTGTCACATCTCCCTCTAAAAACCTTTTCCTCTGAAATCACTTAAATTTAACCCTTTTTTCTAATTTCTAAGGGATAGAGTAAAATAAGGAAGGAGATGCCTTATTCTGATACTTGGTTTCTCTTCTACTACTATTCCCTTCTTAGGGAAAACTAAAGAAAAGCTATTTGCCTTAAGTAACTATTAAAACTAATATCAGAAAAGTTTGTAAATATGAAACAGATGGAGAATATCTAAACATTTATAGACACTTTCTAAAACTTGAGAAATAAGTAGTTTTAATGACTGTCAACCTAGGCCGCCATAACAAAATATCACAGACAGGCTGACTTAAACAGCAGAAATTTATGTCTTACAATCTGGAGGCTGAAAAGTCCCAGGCCAAGGTGATGGCAAATTCAGTTCCTGATGAGCGCTCTCTTCAAGACAAGGAGTGGGGGATAGGGTGGAGGTATCCGGTGTCTCAAAGAACACTAATGCTACTGGATCAGTGCACCAGCCTTATCACTTCATTTTACCCTAATTACTTTCTTACTCCAAATGCAGCCACCCTAGTGGTTTAGGGCTTCAACATATGAAATTTGAGTGACACAATAGCATAATTCATAGCAGTGAGAAAATGCCTTTTCTCTGGTTATGTGTGCCTTTGCCAATAACCACCCAGAGGAATCTAGAGGCAAAAATGCTGCAAGTTCAATCAGTTGATAGATTTACCCTCGGCTGAGTTGAAGCCACTACAAATAACATCTGAGTTATCTTAGATTCAAATGAGACGCATCATAAATTCAATGTCTTTAATGTTGGAAGCTTGGCCTCTCATCAAGTCTCTGCTTTAGGAAGAAATCAATTCAACATTGAGGCAGGCAGCTTTCTGACCTACATGATTGGAGCCCCTGGGGTGCCGTAATACTCACCCAGTTTTGTTTTCTAAGGAATTCATTGATTAAAAAAAAGAGAGAAAGAAAGAAAGAAGGAAGGAAGGAAGGAAGGAAAGAGAGAATGAAAAGAAAGAAAGAAAAAGAAAGAAAGAAAGAAGAAAGAAAGAAAGAAAGAAAGAAAGAAAGAAAGAAAGAAAGAAAGAAAGAAAGAAAGAAAGGGAAAGAAAAACTCTTCTACTTAACAGTTTCAGGTCCCCATTTCAGCTTCTCTTTTTTTCCTCAGAAAGCACGAGATTCCTAGATGTTTATCTGTTTCTCTTCAATGATTTCCTCTTAGTTACGAAAACTAAGTGCAACAAAAAGGTAAAATGCTGCTATTTCAAAGTACGTTTCTAAACAAGTTTGCTAAATGAGTTTAGAAATATTTCTAAATAAACTGTGGTAAAAATATAAAATATTCTTAAGCTGAATCTTTTCCTCTAAAAAATGAAGGCATTATAAACTATTGGCTTTTTTAGTCATAAAGCTCTGAAGTAAATAAATAAATAAATAAATAAATGAAACCAAAAAAATGCAAGTTGCATTTCTCAAGGATGTCAAAAGAGGAATACATTTTTAGAACAACTTAATCTATATACTTGCAAGCTAAGTCCCAGAAGCCACAGGACTTTGCCTGACCTGCCTAAGCAAAGGAACCCAAAACATCTTTGTCCATTTTGGCCTGTTCCTTTTCTGAATTGGCCACCACAACAAAAACAGCCAGAGTAGGGCCCCTCTGAACTGTCTACTGTCTTATGTCGAGGTGGTTTCAACACTCATTCTGATTTGAAAGCTCACATTATTTCTGAGAAATAATGATTTGGAGGTGGAGGAGAGAGGGAGCCCTGATCTCTCAGTGTCTACCTATATAAAAAGTGTAGAAGCCAAACATGTATGTAGCATCACAGACTAAATTAGTCAACTGGGAGCTAGAGCTACAAAATCTCTATAGGGAATAGGGATTTTTTTCACGTTACTTAAGTATTATTTGTTACTGTTATTGTTGTTGTTATTTTTACTACCCATTAAGCCACTGGTCTGCTGCTGGTCCCCAAAAGGCTTTCTGTCTAATTTACTATTTCACAATCTGTTTCCTGAATGGTGTGTTTGAGTGGTATCAAGTAGAGAAGTTTATCTAAGGCTCCCAGACACCTGCTCTAAGAGGTGGGAAGAGGAACGCAATGTCTTCAACAGTCAGAGATACCTAATGTTGCTTTATTCCATTCATTTCTTTACCAAATGACTAGCCTTACATAGATAAGATCATGAGACTAGCTATGTCATATCTTTTAATAAACTAAGCTTCTACATGGCATGTTGGTTAGTTGAGCTAAATCTTTAAGCAATAAAATAGATACCCATTAATCAATCTATGAATAGCTAATCGGTGGTTGGGGAGGGAATGGGTGTACGAGAATATTAAGAGTCATAGTTTCGGAATTTGTATGACCTCCCATTATAAGTTACTCAGACTAGCATGTCTGAACAAGCCAAATTCTGAAAAATCTCTACCCCCTTCAAAAAAAACCTTGATGCTTGCATAGTTGACCTTCACGTCAAATAGTGGTACAAATCAGAGTATATGAATTAATGGCAGCCCATGTTGATAATATAATAAGCTGATATTCCGGTTTTATGCATCACAAGTTGATTCCTAAAGTAAGGAATGGTATCAGTTTACATGCCTCTTTGCTATTTTATGTACAATTTATACCATGCAGGTCACAATTTTTAATTTTTACCCCCTTTTAAAAAAATCACCATCTTATGTGTTCAAAACAATTTCAATTATTCATAAATTCTAGAGCATGGAATCTATTAAGAATTCAGTATTAGATCCCAGGCATACAGTTGGCCAAAGTGAGGCCCCCTTTCTCATTCATCGAACTCAATACTATAGAGAGATTAAGATACTAGGAATGAAGAACTTCCCATTGACGTGAGGGTGATTTAAATGTTTCCCAGTTATGGACATCAACCATTATTTATTCAGGTAATGAAACTTGGAGATCAGAAACACTTTGCTGCTGGACATGGTAGCTCACTCCTGTAATCCCAGCACTTTAGGAGGCTGAGGTGGGAGGATCACTTGAGCCCAGGGGTTCAATACCAGCCTGGACAACATAGTGAGATCCCATCTCTACAAAAAAATTAAAAAATTAGCAGGGCATGGTGGTGTATGCCTGTAGTCCCAGCTACTTGAGAGGCTGAGATGATGGGAGGATCACTTGAGTGTAGGAGGTTGACACTGCAGTGAGCTGAGATCGCACCACTGTACTCCAGCCTGGGTGACAGAGTGAGACCCTGTCTCAAGAAAAAAAATTTTATTAATAATAATAAAATAAACACTTTGCTATAAATCACTATGCTTTGGGGAAATGCTTTTCAAGATCCAGAAAGAGTAGTAAGATTTTAGGCAATAATAGTTTTTAGGCAATTGTTTCTCAGAATCTATTTGCTTACAGATGCACTTTAGATAAGTGTGCCAATATTTATTTCTTGTTTATTGCATTATTTTTCTTGTTAATTTCAGAAACTTGGAGGCTCAGACCCTGGTTTAATGTGTCCTTCTCTTACTCCTGAGTTGCAAGCAGTAATAAAAGAGGGTGGTTCGTGTACAGTACTCGATCAGCCTATTCCACTAGATAGATTGGTAGTCAAAAGTATTGAACCACTCCATGTGTCAGGTATGTGTCTATTTTCATTATTCAGCTCATCTGTTTGCCATCACAGAGTTTTATATTGGCCTTTCTTGGTAGCAGGTCATAAATCCAATTCAAGTCTTCATAAAAACAAGACTGTGTTCCTATGTGTCTACATATCTTTCACTCTATGAATTAGTTATGGTGTCCGGTGCTTGAGTGATAGCTCTGTTACTTGCTAGCCGTATGACCTTAGACAAGAGACTCTTCAGTTTTCTAAGCCTTTGAGAAATAGGGATAATAATATCTATTTCAGTGAGAGTCTGTGAAAATTAAATAACAAATGTGATGCATTCAATAAATGATAGTTGCTACTGGTATTGTTATTATAGTATCATTAATACTATTGCTGTTATTAAAACACTGAGAAACCATAACCAGACGTGCAAGAGTAAGATATTTTATTACCCTCTATTAAAATAATTATGCCAGCAATATATATATATTCATATATATACACACATATATATGCATGTATCTACATGACACATGCATCAGAAATATATATCATTTTTAATCTTTTATTCAAGTATTTCTTGAGTTATCTCCTGAGACCCAGGAACTCAGCAGGCCCTACAGATACAAAGATGAATAAGAAACAGCCGTTGACCTTGGGGAGCTCTTAGAATAATGAAAGATCAGTAAATCCTCTGTCAGAAAAGCCCTGGGACTCTGAGTTACTCAAGGCTTGAGTGGGCGGCAGTGTTCAGGAGGACGCAGACACCACTCTGCCTTGGCTAGAGGCTCCTAGACCAGCTGAGGCCAGGCAGGTGGGGACTGACTTCCTGTCCCCATTGGAGGGGCCGGAAAAGAGAAAGCGCTCACCATCCCCCTCAATTCCCATCCCAGCAGCCAAGCCCAGAGCTTCAGTGAAGAGCATAGGACTGACTCATACATAATAGAGAAACCTTAAAGAGTGAATGAATGAATATACAAACAACAGTACCAAATACTTACATAGTTATGCTACATAACTAAGTTATATATTTAAATGCTGGCCGGGTGCAGTGGCTCATACTATAATCCCAGTACTTTGGGAGGCCAACATGGTAGGATTGCTTGAGGCCAGGAGTTTGAGACCAGCCTGGGCAACATAGTGAGACCCAGTCTCTTATTAAAAAAAAAAAAAAAAAAAATAGGCTGGGCGTGGTGGCTCACGCCTGTAATCCCAGCACCTTGGGAGCCCGAGTTGGGCAGATCACCTGAGGTCGGGAGCTCGAGACCAGCCTGACCAACATGGAGAAATCCTGTGTCTACTAAAAATACAAAATTAGCCAGGCATGGTGGCGCACACCTGTGACCCCAGCTACTCTGGAGGCTTAGGCAAGAGAATCGCTTGAACCCGGGAGGCGGAGGTTGTGGTGAGCCGAGACTGAGCCATTGCACTTCAGCCTGGGCAACAAGAGTGAAACTCCATCTCAAAAAAAAAAAAAAAATAGTGAGGTACAGCAGCACACACTTGTACTCCCAGCTACTCAGGAGGCTAAAGCTGGAGGATGGCTTGAGCTCAGGAGTTCGAGGCTGCAGTGAGCTATGATTGCCACTGCACTCCAGCCTGGGTGACAGAGTGAGACCCTGTCTCTAAAAATAAAAATAAATTGTAAAAATTTTAATGCCTTACATATATTAACCCATGAATTAATATAACCTCTCTCTCCAAGAGCAGAAGGGAAGCCTGTATCCAGAAAGATAGCCTCTGCCTCCTGTGTCCATTCTTTCTATTTTCAGTAAGATTTGCTGAAAGGTAACAGGGCAGACCTTAAAGCCTCTTGTATTTAACTTGACTGGGACCAAAGTCTATGTAGGGCAAAATCTGCCAAGCCAGACAGCAGTTCAGGAGCAAGCCACAAAAAGGGTATGTCAAAGTTGCAAAACCTTTGCTTGGTGAGTGCTCTCACTTTCAGTGTGAGCTTCTTACCTGCCCAAGGGATGGCAGAGGAATGTAGATAAAACAAAGCCTCAGTATGTGGCGGCTGGAAATCACTTCTTTTCTGTCATTTGTTTAGTTTACTTTTTCATGGGGAAAAATATCATAGTAGAGGGCATCCTGTGCTAGGAATTTATTCTCCTACTACAGTGGCTATAGTTATAGATTATGATACAGTTATACGCTATATAGTTATAGATTGTGGCCTGACACATAGACTTGAGTAAAGGAAGGTGCCAGAACACCCATGAGGAAGAGGATGCAGCTTGGCTGAGGGTTCAGTGTAGTCACAACCCTGCCAGCTTTAAGACTTGAACTTTATGGGAAATCTAATGTCACCGGATTACCTTGAAAGATGCATGTTTTTTCTCCTCTATTTCTTTTTTTTTTTAATTAAAAGATCTTTTTAAAAACATGCTTCTGGGAACATGCACAGTGGCTTACGCCTGTAATCCCAGTACTTTGGTAGGCTGAGGCGGGCAAATCACTTGAGGTCAGGAGTTCAAGACCAGCCTGGTCAACGTGGTGAAAAAATACAAAAAAAATAGCCAGGCGTGGTGGCACACACCTGTAATTCCAGCTACTGGGGAGACAAAGGCACGAGAATCACTTAAACCCAGAAGGCAGAGGTTGCAGTGAGCCAAGGTCGCACGACTGCACTCCAGCCTGGGTGATGGAGTGAGACTCTGTCTCAAAAAGCAAAAACAAAACAACTATGCTTCCACCTTTTTTATTTTCTGATTTGTAACTACCATCTCTTGTTCCTTTTAAAAATATTTTTCTCATTCCTCGGGCCTATTAACTTGACTAATTAGATACAGTACATGGGCAGAGCAGCTATAGAACAGGAAAGAGTAAATGAGGACAAGAGAGAGATTGAGCTCTGGAGTGACAGACCTAATTCCAAATCCTGGCTATATCATTTATAAGCTCTGTGACCTTGGAAAAATTAATATGTTTCCTCATTTACAAGTAGGAATTAGCTGACCTATCTCACAGGGTTGCTATATAGAGAAAAAACATAGTATGGTGCCCAATACATAGAAAATGCTTTTAAAATTGTGTCAGTTATTGTATTAGAATGTCAGTAAAAAAAGAGCTATTCTTGCCTGTATATTATACTCTCTCCAAATTGTATTTTACAGGCCTAGCTTAGCAGGTCCTTTTATTTATAAAGTCCCTTGTACCCATACTACAAACCAAATGAAGCAAGGATGCCTGGAATAACCTGGAAGTACAATTATAGTTTTTGAGGAAAATGAATTCCAAAAACCAGCCAAGAACAATGACCTGATCTTTAAAGCCTCACTTGCTACAGGGAATTTATAAGGCAAAGAATTAGAGAGTAAAACACAGCCAGCTTTTTTTTTTTTTCCCCAGAAAGTCATTTTAATAGGTTTAAGTCCTCTCGCTGCAGAGAAGCTGGACAGAATTTTATGGCCTCTCATTAACAGACTTTATTTTTTGTAGTAGAATTTGGGAATTATGATGTTTAGATTGTTATGAGTATAATCTGTGATACTGGGGTAGTTCTTGCAGTTAAGAAAATAAGTATTGTATTCACCTGGATTCTGAAAGAAGCCCAACAGCCCCTCAGATAAGCCTGAGTTAAACTAACTTCAACAAATACAAATAGTGACAGCAGACAAGCATCAGCTTAATGATCAGCAAGAATATGTCACTTGCTCACTTTTTCTCTTTCCTGAAGTACTTGATGTGGGCAGGAGACAGCCCTGGCCTGTTTTTGTTTGTTTGTTTCTAAACACTGACTATAGAAAGAATGTATAGGGCGGGCGCGGTGGCTCATGCCTATAATCCTAGCACTTTGGGACGCCGAGGTTGGGTGGATCATGAGGTTAGGAGTTCGAGACCAGCCTGGCCAACAAAGTGAAACCCCCGTCTCGACTAAAAACACAAAAAAATTAGCCAGGCGTGGTGGCGGGCGCCTGTAATCCCAGCTACTCAGGAGGCTGAAGCAGGAGAACCATGTGAACCTGGGAGGCAGAGGTACAGTGAGCCGAGATCCCGCCACTGCACTCCAGCCCGGGCGACAGTGAGAGACTTCGTCTCAAGAAAAAAAAAAAAAGAGAGAAAAAAGAATGTGTAAGCTTCAGGACTGTGTTGTATTAATAATTCAAAGAAGAGACTTTCATTTTAAGCGCTCCTGCTATATTAGAAAAAGAAGTCTGCTCTCCCACTATCTTTTCTTTGAGGCCAGCTAGGAAATGACAGAACAGGCTTTCTTTTGCAAACACAGAAACCATGCCAATGTCTCTTTTTGTTTTGTTTTACATTTCACCCAGTTTGGTGGATGCTGGATTTTGAGTGGTTTTTGGCTTTTCTTGGCCTGAAGTATTCAGGTGGTTTTGTATTTTTGCCACATCTTAATTTGTTTATAAACCTTGGTTGGATGTGACTTCCCTTTAAACACAAAAATAAAATTTTTTAAAGGAGTGGTGAAGAACAAAGAAGAAAATATTATATTGTTTTGTATATTTTTATTATCTATATTTTCATACACAAAAAAATCTACCGCATATGTTTAGCTTGTTCTACGAGCAGGGGCCCCATTACCTAAGCCTTAGTTGCATTTCATCAAGTATCAGAAGTCATTAGCTAAGGAAGAAAGGGTTTTTATAGTAGAGTAGGCTTTATTTGGACATAGTGGTGGGGTCTTGGCATTGAAATAAAATTTAAAAAAAAATTATAAGCTAGATAAACCTCCCACCCTCGTTAAAACAGAAACAAGCCAAATAGAAAACAAACCCCAGATTCTTGTACTAAGAAATTGTTTGGATTTCATATGAAATGATTTGGCTTTTTGTCTTTGTAATATCTTTTTCTAGTCTTTGGGCTGAGAAATGCTTTTCTTATACAACACGAAAACAGATATCGACAGTGTATAGCAGCATTCTTATTACAAGCCCAAACGGAAAACATCAAAGTATGTATTTTAATTTTGTAGGTCTTTGATTCTTCAGAGTTTACATAAGCTCCCCCCAAGTGTCTTAAGTAACAGTGAATGGAAAGTTTTGTGTTTTTCTCTCACCCACTTGGGAAGGGCAGATTTGGGAGGAGGGGAGGGGTACATCTAGTCCATATAATGCTCAAAAGCCTCAGTATTGACAATTTCCTCACACTTGTGGGGTTGAGGAACAATTTCCTCACACTTGCGGGGTTGAGGAACAATTTCCTCACGCTTGCAGAGTTCTCCTGCAGAAGCTCAAGAACTGCCTGCGTTCTACAGTTTCTGTAGGAAATGGGGGAAGAATTGATTTGGATTGCATGATGAACCTTTAAGATGCTCCAATCAGTTTCCAAAGTGCATATAATAGGATATTAGCTTAAGGAGGGCCTGGCGCAATAATGATCCCTGTCAAGTCAGCTTGTCAACCTTTGAAAAACTGCCATTGTTTTTACAGCTATGGAGTTGAAAGAGCAGCTGCCTGACTCTGGTTTCTCTGTCTTAGAAGTTTCTATTTTTGTATTTCCCCTGGTAGGCTTTCATCATATCTACAATGTGGCCAGACAACAAATGCAATATTCAATTTCCTGGGTCACTGCCCTCAGTCTCTTTCAAGTTATACTACAGGTTAAGAACTTGTTTCCACAGAGAATAGAAATTCCAGCAATGCCACTTTCAAACTACATATATTCTCAGTGCTCATTTTTCTAATGAGTTATCATTGACTATTGTTTCTTGATTACTCATAACTGTTATCCAACATGCATACCATACTCATTTAGCCCATCTGCATTTTCCTGTAAGATTAGAAGTATTTATATTAGATGTAAGAAAGAAAATGGGAAACATATGCAAATGTTTCATTAGTCTTCAGTTTTAAAGAGCTGGTCAATAAATATAGCAGAAAATATTAGCCCAAATATGTGAGAAATTGTCAGCTTAACATTCTAATCTCTATTTATGTATTTTTTTCTTTTTTTCAACAGAAAACATGGATGGCACAAATAACAACTGCAATTTCTTGCTTTACCAAGAGTCAGGAAACCAAGAAAATATCTTTATTCACATTGCCCGCAGAATCCTCTGAAATTTAGGGACCTAAAACAAGTGGCATGTCTTTTTAGAAGATTATGGTTTAAGGTATAATTTCATTCAAAGTTTTGTAACACTTAGCTAGTGATAAGCTAGAAGGAAATTTGCATTTTAAAGAAGTTTCAGAATTTGAAATTTTGAGCTAGGAAAATCCTCAGTATAGAGGAATAATGACTGCAACAAATTTGAACTCTGAGGAATTTCTTGACAAATATATACTGACATCCAGATTACCTTCTAATGCTTCCGTCAGGTTTGTAAGAGGTGTGAGTGAAGAAAGGTGCTAATTTGTAAAGGGTGAATGATCAGATAAATGGAGTATCAGAAGGAAAACAATGTCCACTGCTTATGTCCAATATGAACTCCAGCATCTTACTCTGTATCCATAAAATAATGAAACCAATTTTCCTTCATGGCCTGTCAATCAGTCTTAACCGCTTTATAGTCCTACCTCAAACATAATGATAAATCTTTAGATACAAAGCTTGATTGTTCTTTTAATATACAAAGCAATAAATAGGGACTACATTTAAGTAGCAGTTTTAAAATTCCTATTCTCAAACTCATCTCAGGTATATAGTACTCTAACGTGGAAGTAGAAAATCCCAAAGACTAAATTCCATTACTTTAAGATAGGAAGAAAAAAAAAATCTGGCTTTCACCAGTTAACACTTTTGCATGGCTTTTCTTGGCCTGTTGTGAAGTGTACAGATTTTCATAGACATAGTAAGGTATCTGTCTCTTAACTTTATTTTTTGAAGAATGATGGTGTTTGCCATAAAAATACTTTCTGGTTTTGATTGGTGTGTGTGTGTGTGTGTGTGTGTGTTAGCACAGTACAGTCACTTAATTTTATTTGGCAGGACTTCAAATTTCTTCAGAATTTTTATCATGAAAGGCAGTTTGAATAATTATTATCATGGCAGGATATATACTATTAACTACATTCAAGGAACTAGTTCTTAGGGTCAGATTATTGCATCAAAGGGAAGTCCACAAACTTCCATTTCAGAATCGTACCTTTTGCAATTTGCAAAGTGAAAGTAGTAAATTTATCAAATTTGGCTGCAAGACAACTGAAGCCTTAGCTGATTTTGTTAAGCTGAAGAATGGGGTAGAGAGGATAATGTTTGGGCAAGTCATGTGCCCAGTAATTCCTTGAGGAAGGTGAAATTTCACTATGCAAACAAAGCAGTAAAGACAAGTGCAGCAGAAAGGCTTTTGTACAAGGCAAGCACTATTAGAATGGAGACTAATAACCTCTTTATAATAATGTCAGAAATTTAATAGAAGAAAAAAAGGAAAATCTGGAGGACAGTAACTATTGTTAATAGCTAAGAATAAATGAGGTGGAGGGGAGAAAAAGGGGAGAATAGACTTCAAGCTTCAAGTGAATTCCTAGAGATGGCATCTGGATGGGACTGAAAGCAGTTATGTCCAGGAGAATACAATATAGATTATGCAAGAGAAGATTTTATAAAGAAATTTCTGGTTAAAAAAAATTTTTACATTAACAATCATCTTGCAAATGTTTAGATATAAACTAACCTCGGAGGTGAGCAGTGGACTAGGATGAGGTGGCCTCTCAAATTCCTTTAGTCCCATGAATCCAGCAACCACAGACTTACATGTATAAAGGTAGTTTTCTCCCTCTGAATCTCATTAAAGGGAGAGACAGACTGACTAAATTAACAAAATATATAAAACAGCTCAAGAATATGCTGTACATAAACTGGAATTCTATAAAGCTCACAAAGTAACATGTCTAATATACAATATATTAGATGTTTGAGGATATGCACATTAAACTCTTTGGAGGGTTTAGAATGAAGCACATTCGAATGAAGGGATCACGGGGGTCAGAACAAAAACCATTCTAGAACCGTGGCTCCCAGGAAGAAAAAATAGCAAAAAACAATGGCACATTGGGCCTTCCAAAAAGTATCTTTGGGGAGGGGAGGGAGAAAAATAAATAAATAAATAAATAAATAATGTTTTAAGTATCTTTAAATGGTCATCTGGGTATTAAATGCAGACACACAATGAAATAAGGGGTTAATTACATATTTTTTATATTTGTTTTTAGTTTTGTTAATTCTCTACAATATTAAATGGAATGTCTAAGGCAAAATGGCATTAATAATTTCTCTTGAGATCAGGAATTTAATTACTATTCGAAATTGAACAACATTAAAACACCACTGTCTATATCCAAGTGCAAAGTCCTAATATTCTGTAAATAAATTAATGCAAAATGGTTAATACAGTGTTCTCTCTTTTGTTAGACAAAACAATTTATAGTCACAGAATACAACTAGTTTAGAAAGAAATGTTTTTAATATAATATTTAAACATATTAAAAAAAAGCAACAATTCAATAAGGATCCTTCCATTGTTCTTTATACAGATTTAAATGCTGTCACGTACTTTATCAGTTACATTTATAATTAATAACCTTCCAATCACTGAGTTTAGAAATTGCAGTATTTACTGAGCTAACCTTTCTCACAAAGTAAGGCACAACTACATGATCACAAGTAGTAAACACAATACAAATAATGAACCCAAAAACTAAATGAGAAAATGTTCATGCATAAGTATCTACAGAACTTATGAATATATGATCCAGTTCAAGGAATTACAGAATGTCATATACACAACTGCATTGTGTTACAATAAATTTATTACTTCTACACAGAAAGAACTTAGTGACTTCTAATTCTATTTTATACAATTTTACATAAATTTAGTAAGTTTATGCACAATATTCACATCTGCAACAATAACAAATTGATCATTAAAATTCAGGCTAAGGGCAATTAAGACACAATAATGTGTGGCACGTTATAATTACAGAATACCATTCATCAAGCTCATGTCTAGGAATACTATAATGGTGGCACATTTAAATCTTATGGATCAAATCATCCATGGTTTTATAGCCAAAGTGCATTTTTTTAAAAAAACTCCTATAGTCAAACAGGTCATGAATATCAAAATATATGATCATAATTTGCTCTCTACTTAAAAGCTAAACATTTTTATGCAAATGTAAGGTTAAAAAAAAGTGGCTTTAAAGTTCTCAAAACTATATAAAATAATCATAAAGACTTTTTTAAGAGAGATGGGAAAATAACAAATTTGGCAGTTACTATTTAACATTACTGTCAGGAAACTATTAAAGTAGATAATTCCACATTAAGAGGTAGTTGAACAAAATGTTATTTATACACTGCATTGAGGTTTTTGTGTTTGTTTCCCTCATTTTTTCTTCAAAGGAACAAATCCTATACCAGCAGCTTTGTCTTCTTTCTATTAAAAAAAAGTCTGTAGGTATAGTTTATTGTACACTAACCCAGCAAGACTTAATTTTAACTCACATTCTGTGCCGGGGTTTGGAATTTACTAACATTATGTCAATGTGCTTTTCATTAAAGCCAAGAGCTGTACATGCCAGCTTTAACTGACTGACAAAATAATAGTACCAGCAAACATGTAAAATGTACAGCCAATAAGGACTTCAAAGATGACTTTTTAATTAAAAGGAAAAAAATTTAAATTTTTATTTCGAAAACACATTAAATTGGGGAGAGTTAGTAGCAAAAAATGTTCGGTTTCATTTATATTATCAGTATAGTAGCCTATGGTAGGTAAATTACTCGGGACTTATGAAATGAAATTAGATAAAAATGAGAAAATCATTCAAACACCTATATATGGTTACTTGTTGTCTTAAAATTTTTTTGTGAGTATTTTGGGGGTAAAGGGGAGACAGACAGAAGGCCTGGAGTGGTGTTCAATTAGGAGACAAAGTAAACAAATATTCAAACCCAGATTTCTCATGGAATTTATTATCTCAAAAAAAAAAAAAAAACAGTGGTGCTGTGAATATCTGTGTTTTTCCAGCACACTTATTAAGTTATTTATATGTAAAAGGATAGAATTAAAACTATTTGGAAGGATTTATAAGTATATAAAAATGCATAAATAGTTCAGTTTATATTATCCAACTATTATTTTTAATAAAGAGCCACTGTATTTCTTCATTATATATGTTCAAGGATATATGTTTATCCAAGTCCAGGGACTTAATCAATGTTCTTAATAGCTAATGACAACAGGGTTTACTTAAATTTTTTTTTAAATAATTAAACAAATATGTAGTGATCTCTTTAGTTTACATACACTGTAGGTATAGCATGAATATAATTTCATTTCAGAATATTTGAAAGCAAATGTATATTAAGAACTATTATAAATGAAATATTAACTACTGTTATAAAATGATTGCACTGAATGAATGTATAACTACACTTCTTCTCTAGAAAGATTAATAAACCAATATTAATAACTTCTCTCTTGAGATGTTTTACAATTTTCCAAATTAATAAGACTATGCTAAATTAAAGTTCGATTCCATTGTTCAGCATACAAATAAGCTAATTTCTTAATTATCCTTAAGATGCTTAGCCATGCTGTTTCAGTTTTTATTGTAACTGGGATTCCTAAATACATTTGTTTTTGGTGATACTCTATTTCTAGGTGTTAGTTACTTAAAGGGAATTTCACAACATTATTTTTGCAAAGTTAAAATTAAAACTGGGAACAGTTGACATGGAACACCAAATTCAGAACCATTTTAACTTTAAGTCAATTTTACAACTTTTAAAAATTCTTCCCAATAGGGTAAGAAATAGAAAGTAAAATATTTAATGTCTTCTTATCATTTTATATTTTGTTTTCACCAATAAGACCACAGCAATATTAGTTACTAGCTTTAAGATGCAAAATTATAAAACAAATACATGAAGCTGATCTATGCTTGAAAATGTTAAACCAAATAAAGGAAAAAATCAGATCTATGTAAAAAGCAAACTCAGGTTCCTGAAGATGCTAGAGAGACAAAATAAGGGTATGATATGAAGGCTGATCTCAAAAGACTTCCCACTTACAAGAAACCGAGAATAAGAACATTATACAATGTTTATTATTCATCCTCCAACTGACAGCGAGGGTAAGAAGCTTTCTAAGATTCTAAATGGACAATGCGTGGGAGTTTAAGAAAGAGACAGAAAAAGACAAAAAGAAAAATTAACCCTATTCTTTGCAATACAACCCCAGATAACTATAAGTAAACAAATTGATTTTACAGAGGTTTTTATAAAATCCACCCAAGAAAATTTAATTAATATTGTTAAAACAAAAACCATTTTTGAATTCATATTACTACATATTTTAAGATAAACTGTATTTAGAACACCCAAGTAGTAAATTCATAACATAACAATGCAACTGAACCATGAACCCACATATAAGAGAAAAAGGCAGAGGAAAGTGTTACAGTTCTGTGCATAACTTCACAAAGAGAATATTTAATATAATTAATGTGCTATTGTGCAACAAAAACAGCAACAAGTGATAATATCATCCATGTACATTTTTGTACATTAAATTTAGGAGAAAGAAGTAAGCTATGGAATTGCATTCTTCATTTGTGAATAATGAAATTATATTAAAAAAATACATTGCTATTTTCTGTCCAAAGTTTATTTACATTTCATTGGCTAATTCTAAACTTGGCATGAAAGCTATTCCAGGGGCTAAATGGGAAAAAAGTAATGAAAGATGATAAGCCCAAGTCTCACAAAAATAGAAGAGTTTTACTTGATATCCATAACATTCCAAAATATACTAATTCCTATTTGGTCTAGTATTGCAACCAGTGTCCAAACCAAATAGTAGTCCAAGACCTCTATTAAGTACATTTATTAAAAATCTAATGTTAGTGTAATATTACTCTGAAGTTGTGATAACCCATTATCCTTGCAAGTCATTGAAACATGCATCACAGACACGAACAGGCTTCTTGGAGGAAGGAGTTAAGGCATTTTTGGCTGAACATTCAGCACAGAAGATATTTCCACACTGTCGGCAGTGATGCTGTAAATGACAAAAATTAAACAATTTCAAGAATAAAAACTATACCAAAAGTATTATGAAACTACATGAATACCACCAACTACATTATGAAGGTACATTAGCTTTCAAGTCATTGGTATATTATTTAATGATATGTTTCAATATGTTAACTTAATCTCTGTTATAATTAAATTGAATGCTTCCTATTTATCAAACACTATGCTAAACATTTTACATAGAATTTATTATGGAACTCTCAAAAGAACCAGAGGAGGCATTTAAAAAGTTTTTATAAAGTATCTCTATCAAATGAAAAACTATTCCTATTTGCCAAATGTTTCAGGCACTAATGTCTCCAAAAGAAATATAAACTTAAGTCATTAACACAATGGTAGTATTTAGAATATATTTTTAAAATACCTCTGCTTTTTCTTCCTTTAAAGAACCCAATGATTACTAAAACATGAGTTTAATATTGGTGCACTGATTCAGAAAATGATTGTCCCAGACAGTAACTAAGTTGGAAGACAAGGACTGAATTTAAAAGTAAAATTCAAACACATATGCTAACCAAAAGCTAGACTGCATGAAGTTATTCTATGTTGTTGTTAAAGTTTACTGATAAACAGAAAATTATTCTGTCAAATGAAGGACTATTTTGATGGTTAAAACATTAATTATCAGTGACAAATGAAATCCAGAAACATAGTTACATGAACAAAATTATTTACCCGTCTCACTGTTACTGAAAAGCCTTTCCCACAGGCCATACAGTTTTGTACTTCATTGTCTTCGGCCCACTTTCTATTCAACGCTTGTGTATGTTTGATCTGTTTTTTAAAGAAGTATCGATATATTATAGTATTCAACATTTTAAAGAATGCTAGATTATTTCTAACTTGCTGCCAGAGTTCTATAAAATTTTGACTATATGACCCATGAAATAAAATTTTAAAAATCAGAAATACACTGGTCAGCTTCTATTGTCAAAAGTAGCTATACTCATAAATCTGAATGACAAAATAAAATTAATTGAATTTTATTCCTGAAATATCTTGCTAACCTTTGCTGATTTCCAATCCATTCTAAACATAATGATGAATTTTCCCTGGTGACTCTGAGAATATACTCAGATCGCTTCTTTAACACATACTGACTCATATATTCTTTGGTATTCTTGAATTTTGTAGTTCTTTCCATATACTAACAATTAATGAATGACATGGCTTTCTAATGAATCTCTGAGGTCTCTGAAACAAGTTCTTTACTTTTATATTTAATTATCCACAAAACCTACAATACTGCTAAACAGAGAGTAGCTATTTGAAAGTATTTATAAAACATGAGATTTTTTAAAAGGTAAAAATATGCTTTTCACTAATAAGCCAATTCTAGACTAAAAAACTGCTTCATATCCATAGGTGACTGACCTGAAGTGATTGGTTTTCTCTGCCCAGCTCCTGCACTGCTGCAGTTGTATTATCCAGCTTTCTTTGCAATTCTAATACTTTGGTTTGAAGCTTTTCTATTTCACCTTCTCCTTTAAGACATCTGGAATAGATTGCAAAGAGGTAATTAATTTTTTAGAAAATCATTTAAAGACCCTTCTAGGGTATAGATAATGGACTACTTTAGTAATTTAAAATATATGATACATTAATTTTGACTATCTGATTGTTTTACAGGTTAATTTTTAAATGGCTACTTAAATACCTATAGAGGCTTATGCACTTTTCTCAAGATTCTTCTATTTTTAAAAACTATGGAATATGACAATCTTTTTATCACTTACAATGGAAATAAACTAATTTTACTAGATATCAATCACCTTTCCAGTAGTGCTCTCCTTTCATCTTGATTATTCTGAACCGTTGCTTCTAATACTGCAATTTCACCCCGTAAGTCATCCGTTTGTTTCTCAAGCTCACTAACTCTCCGTTGACTAGATTGCCACTCCTTCTTCACAGTGCCTAAGTTTTCATTTAATGCTGTAATCTGCATGGTAAGTTTAGCCTCATTTTCTTCATGCTTCTTCATTCCTACTTCCTTTTCTTTTATTTCGGAATGCTGAAAAAAAGGAAAAGTTGGGGGGAAATCTATTACAAAAGTAGTGCAAAATAAATGTAAGTGATTTATTACATTTAAAATACTGGCAATTTGCTTCTTCGGGAATGGAGGCAGGAGAACATATTTCATTACACATTAATAAAACTGATTCCACAAGCATCTATGTAATATGAATTGGCTCAAAGGTCAAAATGCTGAAATGATGGATAGTGACCATCATGATGGTGAGCTAAAGTGACACAATGTGAGATCTTTCTTCTTCTCCACCAGAGCAGGAAAGACACATATGGTTAGGGATAGCAAGGTGCCCTAGAGACAAAGCTGAAATTTCCTTATTCGTCCCAATTCCATATGCTTTCTTTTCTCTATCAGTCTGCCAAAAACCATTATGAAACCTTCAAATGACTGTTTGAAGTTAAAATTGAAACTCTTCAACTAAAATATTCAATGGCCAAGTTATCTGGGCATATTTGGACTTAATTCAACAGAGGAAAGCCAGATGCTTCCCATTTGGCATGTGCAACTTAGGAAAGGAAAAGCAGACTTTGTTCATCATAATTTCAAACTCAAGTTTCCGCTCCCCCTTATCAACATTCGTTTTGACCCAACAAATGGGTTTAACATGACTAGCATTCACACCATTTACCAGATCTACGTAGTTGTGGGGTTGTTTAGCTTCTGACACTTAAAAAACAAAAAAAATTTTTTAATTTTATTTCATTTCAATGTTCACTTATAAAAACAGAATTATGGTTACAGGGTAAAATATTTCCAACCACATGTCAGCTATGTAAATAAATCAGATCTCCTTCCTTAATCAAAAACTAAAATGTTAGGAAAGCATTTCAATCAGATCTTATAAGTAGAACAGTCCTCTCACTGGATTGATTTAAAGCTCTACTGCAAAACACACTTCCCCCGATTAACTCACTGACCAACTTAGCTTCTTTCTCAATAAATTCTTTCTTCAGCTCCTCTTCTTCCTTTTTCACCTGGTCTTTTAGTATCTGCTGATTTCTCTTCTCCTGTTCAACAGCTGCCTTCAGGGAGTCCGCTTTTCCTTGAAGTTCTAATTTCTGCTGAATTAGAAGCTGTTTAGCATCTTTAAGATTTGTTATCTCCTGTTGAAAAAGTAGGGCCAAAAATAAATCATCCTTCATAGTAAATATTTCAAAATTTGGCTAAAATTTATGCAATTTATCACAATAGATCAAATATAGGTTTTACCCACTTATGAAATTCTTAAAGTTCAGTATTTTAAAGAATTGGTTAAAAAGATACAAGATTATAGTATGTCTTGCTCAACAATCATTTAAATCCAGGTGACAAAAATGTATACGTTTTGATTATGTGGAGAAAAAAAAACAAACTGTACTCTCTATTTTCCCTTTCCTCACTTAACATTTACTGGTCATCATTTAGTTATCACACACTGAGTTACGTTCTGGGGATATAACATAAAGATGAATTATACACATTCCCTGATTTAAGGAAGTCACATTCTAGAGGACAGAGGAACATAAAGAGATAATTAATTATAAACCAAAATGAAAGTATGCTTACAGACATAAAGGACATTATGAGTGCTCTCAAGAAAGAATCTAACCTTTTTTTAAGAAATTAGTATTTTACAAAGCAAATAATAGACAATTAGTTTTCTTCAATGGGTACCCTATCTATGCTTATAACAGGTAAAATGTTAAAAATAACAGATTATGAAAGGACTTTAGGAAGAAAAATAATTGAATAAACAATCCCTTTAAATCTTACTTCTAAACTCTTTCATATTTTGAAATTTACTACCTGTGAGCATAATTTTCTAAATCAATACATCTCTTGATTATCATTTCAATGAGATCCAAACTCTTAGGGTTACTTTGCTTCATTGGGTAATGTGAAAACAAATGTAGCAATTTCAATATGTGTACGGGTATTATGCAATACAAAAGCACTCTGGCAAGAGTATTTGTCAGAAACAACAGAACAATTTGCCTAGCACATAGCAAGTTCTCAATAAATAAATAAATATGTATGGGTATATATATTTCTTTAAAGAGCAATATAACACAGAAGGCAGGAGAAATGATTATCTTAACATACCTTTATGCTTTCTAGTTTGTGGGACTTGAGTTCTTCGTTTAGTTTAGTGATTTCTTTTTCTTGTCTACATTTAATTTCTTCTATCTCTGCCAATTTAGACTTCTCATTTACCAGTTCTTTTTCTTTCAGTGACTGTAGAAAAATGATATATTTTAAAATTATTTTAAAGCAAATACTTAAATGAAAATGGGTGTAATAAAAATGACTGCTACTATTGATGACACTGGCTCTGCCCTTTTCTACCTAACTTGGGCAAATTACTTACCCTCTCTTGGTTCTTGGCTGTTTCCTTATTTATACAGTGTGAACAATAATAAAATAATTGTAAAGATTAAATAGTTATAGTTAATATTGTGAGATAAATTGTACCTGGTCAGAGTAATGATACTGCAAAACTACGATTCTTACTCTTATAACTCCTATTTTATTACTATCACTATCTTTATATAAGGTATCTAGTTAGGATATTATCTCAGTTAATCTCTAGTATATGTAGACTTTTAAATCTCCATTTTCTAGGTGAAGAAACAAAGGTTTAAGAGACATAAAATAATCTATCAGAGATAGAGCCAAAACCAAAGCAAGTCTGTATGATCTAAAGCTCACACAACTAAACTCCTATAAACAACAGTTCTTTTTCTTTTTGAAACAGGGTCTCATTCTATCACCCAGGCTGGAGTGCAGTGGTATGATCATGGCTCACTCACTGCAGCCTTGACCTCCCAGGCTCAAGCTATCCTCCCACCTCGGTCTCCCGAGTAGGTGGGACTACAGGTGTGCACCACCATGCCCAGCTAAATTTTTTTTTTTAATAGAGACAAGGTCTCACTATGTTGCCCAGGCTGATCTTGAACTCCTGGGCTCAAGCAATCCCTCCTCCTTGGTCTCTGGGAGTGCTGAGATAACAGGCATGAGCCATCAAACCTGGCCTTATGAACAAGAGTTCTGTCAGAATTCTCTAAACTTGAAGCACAAATCATGAATTTCATTCCAGCTTCACCATCACCACACCCACAGAACATTTTTAAATTAAATTTCAGGAACTGAACCATTTAGAATTTACCAAGAATTTCAGGGAATATACACTGCAGAGTAATATCCTGTCAGCTAACAGGAATATATGATTTCAACTATAAAACAAAAAATAAACTCTTTCCTAGGATCTGAATTTTTCTTTCATACAGAATTTAAAGTGATTTTTAAAATGTACTGGTCATATATTAGTAAACCAATGCTTTCAACTTTGAAACTTAATAAACTCCTTAGACAATCTGGTTCTTAATTTTAAGAATTCTTAACATGTTTAAGAATTATTTCTAGATCTTTTATTATCTCATTCACACATCTAAAGGATAATACGTTATATGAGAAATAGTTGAGGAACTATATTATCTTTTCTGCAATAACCAAGGGTCTATGGTGTGAAAAATTGACTTGTTTGTAAAACTAAAGAGCAGTAAGAAAAAAGGGTAGAAATAACAAGGAGGCCATTAAGAAGTACTTCCTAGCATTAAAATCCCAATGATCAAAAGTGTCAGAAACTAGAGGTCCCTCTGAGAGAGCTGTTGAAAATAAGGATGATGCCTGTACTAAATAAGAGGTTTGACTGGATGATCTCTAAGACAACTGTAACTCTAAGATTGTAGATTTAGGTCAGAAACATGCAATACCTTTTCTTTCTGAATGTCTTGTAGTGCTTTACATCGCTCCTGCAATTGCTGTTCTTTCTTTGCTGAATCCTGCTCCAATGTAGCCTTGGCAGTCTTCAGTTCTTGAATCAATTTATTTTGATTTCCAATTTGATTTCTGTTTGAAATCAAGTCCTCCTGTGCTAGAGAAAGCTTCTCTTCTACAGACTTACAAAAACAATTTTCCCAAATTATTATATGCCATGTTTTTAGTAAATTCAACAGAAACATAGTTAATATAAACATTGTAGAAAGCAATAAACTATAAAAAGATAGCATATTATACCCTTCAGTAAGACAGGTAAAAGAGAAAGAATTCTAAAATATTAACTCTCTTGCTTATAGAAAACATTTATAATATAAAATATTTAGTAAAATGGAAGCAATTCCAAAGCCTCCAAAAATAATCTATTTACTAAATAAATATTTAAAGTATTTGCTGAATGTTGATCACATCTTCAATATTGGCTAGTTGATATGAAAGAATACCAAATAAGTAGGGACCATATCAGATACACTCAGAGAACATATATATGGTTAAAGTCATAAGGCAGTGTGAAAGAAAACAATCTTAAAAGAGATATAATTAAATGCTTCATTATGCATACATATACATTTGGTAGGTTCTATGATGTCCCTTGACATGCTAAAAATATTAATAAATAGTATGGTGTTATGATATAGTGGTTTTTGTCCAGGGTTCCTGAATCACAACTCCCACATCCTTTGTTACAGTTTTTTGTTACAATGTTGGGTATGTTAGGCCTCAGGAAACAGAATCTCGTCTCCTGCCCTTCTTCCACTGGTCCCTAGGCAGGCCTCTAATCTTCTTCCCCACCCCATTTTCTGATTGTGAGTCTTAAGACTCTTCCCTGAAAGGGTCCTGCCTCATACCCTGGGTGAAAGAATGCTTCCATAAAAATCCAAGAGAACTGGGTTTGGGGAACTTCTAGATAGCTGAACATACGGAGCCTGGAGGGTGGCATGCCCGGGGAGGGCACGGAAGCTCTGTGCCCCTTCCCCCATATCACCCAACACATCTCTTCATCTGTATTCTCTGTAATATCCTTTATAATAAATCAGTAAATGTAAGTAAGTTTTCCCTGAGTTCTGTGAGCTGTTCAGCAAACTAACTGAACCCAAAGAGGGTGTCATGAAAACCCCAACTTGAAACTAGCTAGTTGGTCAGAAGTTCTGGAAGCCTGGATTAATGATTGGTGTTTGGAGTTGTAGGGAGCAGTCTTGGGGATTGAGCCCCCAATCTGTGGGATTTGATACTATCTCTAGGGAGATACTGTCAGAATTAAATTGGAAGACACACAGTTGGTGTCTGCTTCTTGGTGTGTGTGGGAAAATCCCCATATGTTTGGTCACAGAAGTCTTCTGTGTTGATGATTGTTGTGGTGTGAGAGTAGGGGAAAAACACAATTTGAGAGAGTTTTTCCTGAAACAAATAGGAAGGATTATTTTGTCATGGAATAAAAATAATAACAACTTCACAGCTGACAACCTGATCAAGTGAACAAAAAGAGAAAATTCAGCCAAACATAGAATGAGGCTCTATCCTGAGAAAGCACACTGTCCTCTTCTCATCTATATCGTAGAAGTAGTGATTGTCATTTAACATAGTCCATAGTTGTTGACTGTTTTAAAGCCCAAGTATTTTGAGAAGAAGAAGTTGGGGAAAGGGGAAGCTTTTTCACTCATGACACTTCAGTTGGGGATAAATATGGTAACAGGTAGATAATGGGTATGGTAGGAACCTTGCCACTCTCAGCTGCTACTGCGAAGAATCAGCAGGGTAAGAGATCCAACTGATCTCTTCCATCAGATCTGGAAAAAGCTGATCTTTCTTATTCTGGAGATACAGCTCCTTTGAAAAGGAGGCAGAAAACGTAATTTAGCAAAGGATCCTTGCTGAGTAGGCTTGTATACAGCAAGTACTCAGTAAAAAAAAAAAGAAAGATGAAATAAATAAATAAAGATCTTATTTATGAGGATTCTTAAGCTTCCTGAAAGTTTACTTCTTACCAGTAACCCAGTTACGTCTTTCTGATATAAATTAAATCTTAATTTTCAATGACTGCCAGTAGAACACTAAACCCCTTGAGGCTTTTTTCAGGGAAGAATTAACATCAGCTAGTTCTTCACTAATCCAGCACCTAACCATTAATTGAGAACACTGCTAAGACAGAACAGGAGGGTACAAGCTGGTCTTTGACTTAAGGGAGTTGAGTACATCGCCCAAAAAGCAGAACAGCCATGTAAAATGGAAGCTACACAGGGCAGGAGAGTATACGCTATGTGCCAAATGCACAGAAAAACAGTGAGTGTGAGATGCTGTGGAGTGGGGTTTACAGAAGGCTCTATACCACATGTGGGAACTGACCTATATGTCACAAAGGGTGAGAGTGATTTCACATAAAAAAGGAGAAAAGTTGACAAAGTCCAGTTCAAACAGTCTACAGCAACTATAATTAGTTAATAGAGATCCTGATCTAATGTTTAAAAATACCAACGCTTGCTAGAGCCTGGAAAGCAACCCTAACCTCTAACCACAAGATTTCCAAAAAGCCCATGGTTTAAATAACAGCCTATAAAATGTTAAACTCACAAAACCCAGTGACTGATTTTTTAAAGTCAAGCTCAAAATTTGGACTGCTCCATGAAATCCTTTCTGAACATGCCAAGACATGTTTTCCCCTGCCTCTGAACTTTCATCTACATCATTCAATGACATAGATGAACATTTATACTGCCATGCATTTTAAATGTTCTTTTCATCTTTCTTATTGCAGATTATAATAATATTGCATATTATTTCCTCTGCTCAGCATCTCTTCCCTCGGAGAACCCTCTCTCCCATTCCATGGTTTTGTTGGGACTATCTCTAACCCATCTACTCCCCTTGAAATAGGCAAATCCCTAAATGGATCAAATACCAACCTTGACCCTGATTATGCCAATCACATTATAGCACCCCAGTAAACAAATGATTTCTGCAGTGTTCCATGGTAGCTGTTGTTTTTGTCTATTCAGCAAGTTTTCCCATACTTTCTTAAAAAAAAAAAAAAAACTTCATATTTTTAGTTGTTTTTTCTTGATTTCTGATGAAATGATATAGAGTACTAGGCTAAGAAGATTTATATTTAATTCTAAATCTATTATCCTAGAATTTTCACTTCACTCAGGGTGTAAATTTTACAGTTAAATTCTACCTCTACCTTTCCTGGACAACAAAGAGTGGTGTACAGCATAGCCAATCTGAAATATCCAGTCAACAAACTTAAGTACTTCATAAATAATCCAGCAGATGGGGCTAAAGGCATAGATCAGGCCAGGCTACCTTCCATTCTACTGGTGTCTAGGTATATACACTGTTAGCCCATGCTCTACACTGTCAACCCATGGTAGATAGCCTTGAAGTAGTTAGGTATCATGTTACAAGGCTCTGAATCTCTCCTCTTCTCTCTCTTATACACAAGACCATCCAACATCATTGAAGCAAAAGAAAAATAATAACTGATAGCCATCTCTTATCCTAGTCTATAAATATCATCTGAACTTCCCTAGGAATTGACTATTTTTTTTAATTAGCTTCTTAAGTAGTTCATACACTTCTCATTTTAAAAGCATTTTATATAAAATTTACCAATCTTTTATTTTGTTAAAAAATTATAGTGAAATGATGAAAGAATGGCAGACTTTGAATCAGAACTAAGATTTAACCATGGTTCTGTTATTGTACAGCAGTAGGCCTGTCTTCTCTGCAAAAGGAAGCACTGGGCCTGCTCTCTTTGGCAAAAGCAAGCTTTGGAATAGAGGATCTATCCAAGGTCCCTTAACAGTTGTAAAACTCTATGGCAGCCTTGTCCCTCAGCTTTCTCTTTTTGCCCATATTTACATTTGAGTTATTCTTTCATGTATGAAATTATTAGTACACAACATAGCTTTCAAGCATAATAAAAATCGCTGGCTTAATGAAAGAATATCAATCAAATCAATTAACATTGATTAATTTAATGTTGGTTCCTGTTACTAGCTTATGCTTTGGGTAAATGACATCCATATGGAAAGAGTGTGATTTCTATAAGACTTTTCCAATCAAACATTAAGTTTCATCTCTTCTATCATTTAAATATCCTTCAAATTCATCCACTTTTCTCCATCCTTGCTATTACCAGCCCACACCACCATCGTCTTGCACTTAGACTACTGCAAAGTCTTCTGGTCTTCAGATTCAGCCCTGTTTCTCATTCCTCAATCTGCAGTGAGTCATTTGCCTAAAATACAAATGTAAGTAACTCCCTTTAGTGGTTCCTCACTGTTCTTAGGCTAAGCCCAAACTCCTCCACAAAGCTTCCTTGACTTTCAATACTTTCAATAGTGTTGTAAGGTCAAATAATAATAATTTAACACTACCTAAATCTTGTGTGGTATTTTTTCTTAATAACAACTATTGCTAATTTTTACCTCCAGATAAACAGATAGATACATAGATAGATACATAGATATTCTACTGGCACTATGAAAATTCTTTCACCCAATTTCCTATCTCTGTCAAATCCTTGCAGCCAGGTATGGGTTCAGTCCTTTTGTTTCTTCTCTCTCTCCCATTAATCTCTATTTCATCCTCTTTAATGTTCATCCCAGTTCTAATCAACTCATACCTCGACTATTAGAATTTATGGAGAAAGGAAGTTAGTAACCTCTTAACTCATCTCTCCACCACTAGTCTATCCCAGGTCCAATCCAAGCTGTCTGCAAACCACTACCAGGTTGTTTTCTAAAGTACTATTTTCTTCATTTTACTCCTCTATTTAGACTTTTCACTTTTTCCCCTCAAATATAAAATCCAATCATCTTTGCTAGGCATCTAAGATACTTCACAATTTAGATCCAACCTTTTAAACCTTAATTCCAAACATAAACTAGTACGCCAGCAAGGCAATTATGTTAACTGTCTGCTTGCTTTATTCATTCTCACTATGGCACCTTTTCTCAAATGTGCCCCTGAATAAAATGACCTTTCTCCGGAGTCTCTGTGTATTCAAATTCAGGACCTAATCAAGTCCCACCTCCTTCATAATTCCTTATAACAGCCTATGGATAAAATATATGCTCCCTATCTAAATAAAACATTTTAATATTCTTTCATTCTCAGAATTTTGCAATATGCACTTTAAATAAACAAAATCCCAAACATAGGAAAGAAACAGATAAAGCATTTCCCCTTAACAAAAAGAGAGACAGAAAAAAAACTGGCTGAATCCTCTGTGAGAGAACACAAATATTCCATTTTCCTTAGAAAACTGGTACCTTCCTGTGACCTAAAAATTGTTTACCCTTTTCCCATTATCCTTCAATTTAATAAACTTGATACTTTATCTAATCAAATAACATTACCAAAGACAAAATTTCTATACATTGTTATATAATTAAGGGTAAGTTTATTTTGAGCTATAATCTCCTAATTTTAATCATTAGGCAATCCAGTAATATTGGGAACTTGACAAATATTATAACTAATGTCAGAATTGCCTGACAAGCAATGGTAAAATTGCTTGCATTTTTTCACAAGTGGTTTACATTTAAAACTTAACAGCAGCCTATCTTTAAAGTTATTCACACACAAAGACAGCATAATACTTACATAAGTTAACAGTGTCACAATTAAGATATATCCAAATTATCTTACTATTATAAATATGTCATTTTAAAATGCCCACATTTTAAACAATTTTTTAAAGCATGCTAATACAAAATAACAATTTAATAGAAAACAGCACACTATTCCACAAATACTAACATTTCCTTGCCCATTTGGATTCAAATAGATCATTTAATAAATGTCTATAAAACTTACTGAGACTTTATGGTACAGTATAGTTTACTATACCTTAAGATCTTGCCTGGTGGCTAGAAGTTCAGATTCCCTCCCATAGAAATCAGATTGAAGCTGTTTGAAAGTTTCCTGACTTTTTTCATAGTTGTTTTGTAATACTGATATTTTCTCTTTCTCTGCTGCAAGTTCCTGGGCTGCCTGTGTTAACTGCTGCTGTAGTTTATTCTCAAGCTCTGTCTGAAACATACAATAGTTATTTAAAACAGTATGCATTCCAAAAACCAATTACAAATATAAAGTAAAATCCAGACAACTAGAAGAAAATTCCAAACAATAAGATGAACTGTACTTATGCCCCAAATTTCTACCTCAATAGGGTAAATTACTTATAAAGTCAAAGAATTACAAAATCTAACAAGTCTCAATTTAAAGAACATAAAATACAAAAGTAATTAATTTTTTTTTTTTTTTAAAAAGGCATTTCACTGGGAAGTACTATCAGGTCTCGGGAGAAAGAGTAACAACTACATTCTGAGGGAGCATGCAGTGCTAGATGCCTCAGCTGACGTAATTTAAGGTGGAACTAAGGGAAACTTGTACATGAAAGAAAGTAAGAAGCCATTACTTTGTTGAAGTATTAATATATAGTTTCTACTCTTGGAAATTCAAGAATAACTTAGGAAATTTCTACAGGTCATCTTAATTAATATCAAGGCAGAAAAAGAAAATCTCACAAAGTTTTAAAGCTCCTCTAAACTCTAAACTTGTCTTTAGTCTTCAAGAAGATTCAGGAGATATGCACAAATTATGACATAGTTAAAACATATACATATGCATAGTATGAAAAATAGGTATTTGACTTTCAAAATATACTACCTTCAATAAAATTGCTGTTGAAGTCATTAGTGACTGCCATGTTCCAAAATCCTATATTCTTATCCTTGTCAATGTCTTACTTGACCTGTCAAGTTGTACCTGATATAGTTGATTATGTCTCCTTCTAGAAACACTTTCTTCAACTGGTTTCCAAAGTACTTTATATTTTAGGTTCTCTTCCTACCTTACTGGTGATAACTTCTCAAAATCTTTTACTAGCTCCTTTTCCTCTGCTACTTCTGTGAATGTTGAGACACCCCAGAGTTCTATTGCTGGCCCTCTTTTAATCCATACACTCTCTCTTTAGAAGATCTCAACTAGGCCGGGCATGGTGGCTCACACCTGTAATCCCAACACTTCGGAAGGCTGAGGTGGGTGATCACCTGAGGTCAGGAGTTCGAGACCAGCCTGACCAACATGGTGAAACCCCGCCTCTACTAAAAATACAAAAATTAGCTGGGCATGGTGGTGGACACTTGTAATCCCAGCTACTCAGGAGGCTGAGGCAGAAGAATCGCCTGAACACAGGAGGTGGATGTTGCAGTGAGCCGAGATCGCACCACTGCACTCCATCCTGGGCAACAGAGAGACGCCATCTCAAAAAAAAAAAAGAAAGAAAGAAAAGAAAAAGAGAAAGAAAAGAAAAGAAAAAAAACCCAGATCTCAACTAGTCCCAGGCTTTAAAGATATTCTTTACAACTGACTCCCAAACTTATGTCTCTAACTGCAACCTCTCCATCTGAACTCTGGGTTCTTATATCCATGTATCTTCCTGATGTCTCCACTTGAATGACTGACATACCTATCTCAAGCAGAAATCTGGATTCCTGAGAGTAGCCACGAGCATCAAAAAGCTGTTACTTCTGAGCCTGGCTCGGAGAGGGGGGTCTGCCATTGCTGAGGCTTGAGTAGGTAAACAAAGTGGCCAGGAAGCTCGAACTGGGTGGAGCCCACCACAGCTCAACAAGCCCTACTGCCTCTAGACTCCACCTCTGGGGGCAGGGCATAGCTAAGCAAAAGGCAGCAGACAACTTCTGCAGACTTAAACGTCCCTGTCTGACAGCTCTGAAGAGAGCAGTGGTTCTCCCAGCATGGCGTTTGAGCTCTGAGAACGGACAGACTGCATCCTCAAGTGGGTCCCTGACCCCTGAGTAGCCTAACTGGGAGACACCTCCCAATAGGGGCCAACAGACACCTCATATAGGCAGCTGCCCCTCTGGGACGAAGCTTCCAGAGGAAGGATCAGGCAGCAATATTTGCTGTTCTGCAATATTCACTGTTCTGCAGCCTCCGCTGGTGATACCCAGGCAAACAGAGTCTGGAGTGGAACTCCAACAGATCTGCAGCTGAGGGACCTGTTAGAAGGAAAACTAACAAACAGAAAGGAATAACATCAACATCAACAAAAAGGTCATCTACACCAAAACTCCACCTGTAGGTCACCAACATCAAAGACCAAAGGTAGATAAAACCACAAAGATGGGGAGAAACCAGAGCAGAAAAGCTGAAAATTCTAAAAATCAGAGCACCTCTTCTCCTCCAAAAGATCACAGCTCCTCGCCAGCAACAGAACAAAGCTGGATGGAGAATAACTTTGACGAGTTGACAGATGTAGGCTTCAGAAGGTTGGTAATAACGAACTTCTCCGAGCTAAAGGAGGATGTTCGAACCCATCGCAAGGAAGCTAAAAACCTTGAAAAAAGGTTTTTTCAACCTTTTTGAATGATGAATGGCTAACTAGAATAAACAGTGTAGAGATGGAGCTGAAAACCATGGCACGAGAACTTCATGACACATGCACAAGCTTCAACAGCTGATTCGATCAAGTGGAAGAAAGGGTATCAGTGATTGAAGATCAAATGAACAAAATAAAGCAAGAAGACAAGGTTAGAGTAAAAAGAAATGAACAAAGCCTCCAAGAAATATGGACTGTGTGAAAAGACCAAATCTACATTTGATTGGTGTACCTGAAGGTGATGGGGAGAATGGAACCAAGTTGGAAAACACTCTTCAGGATATTACCCAGGAGAACTTCCCGAACCTAGCAAGGCAGGCCAACATTCAAATTCAGGAAATACAGAGAACACCACAAAGATACTCCTCAAGAAGAGCAACTCCAAGACACATAATTGTCAGATTCACCAAGGTTGAAATGAAGGAAAAAATGTTAAGGGCAGCCAGAGAGAAAGGTCGGGTTACCCACAAAGGGAAGCCCATCAGACTAACAGCAGATCTCTCGACAGAAACCCTACAAGCCAGAAGAGAGTGGGGGCCAATATTCAACTTTCTTAAAGAAAACAATTTTCAACCCAGAATTTCATATCCAGCCAAACTAAGCTTCAAAACTGAAAGAGAAATAAAATCCTTTACAGATGAGCAAATGCTGAGAGATTTTGTCACCACCAGGCCTGCTTTACAAGAGCTCCTGAAGGAAGCACTAAACATGGAAAGGTACAACCGGTACCAGCCACTGCAAAAACAGGCCAAATTGTAAAGACCATTGATGCTATGAAGAAACTGCATTAATTAACGGGCAAAATAACCAGCGAACATCATAATGACAGGATCAAATTCACACATAACAATATTAACCTTAAATATAAATGGGCTAAATGCCCCAATTAAAAGACACAGACTGGCAAATTGGATAAAGAGTCAAGACCCATCAGTGTGCTGTATTCAAGAGACCCATCTCACATGCAAAGACGCATATAGGCTCAAAATAAAGGGATGGAGGAAGATCTACCAAGCAAATGGAAAGCAAAAAAACACCAGGGGTTGCAATCCTAGTCTCTGATAAAACACACTTTAAACCAACAAAGATGAAAAGAGACAAAGAGGCCATTACATAATGTTAAAGGGATCAGTTCAACAAGAAGAGCTAACTATCCTAAATGTATATGCACCCAATACAGGAGCACCCAGAATCATAAAGCAAGTCCTTAGAGACCTACAAAGAGACCTAGACTCCCACACAATAATAATGGGAGACTTTAACACCTCGCTGTCAATATTAGACAGATCAACGAGACAGAGGTTAACAAGGATATCCAGGATCTGAACTCAGCTCTGCAACAAGCAGACCTAACAGACATCTACAGAACTCTCCACCCCAAATCAACAGAATATACATTCTTCTCAGCACCACATCACACTTATTCTAAAATTGACCACATAATTGGAAGTAAAGCACTCCTCAGCAAATGTAAAAGAACAGAAATCACAACAAACTGTCTCTCAGATCACAGTGCCATCAAATTAGAATTCAGGATTAAGAAACTCACTGAAAACCGCAGAACTACATGAAAACTGAACAACTTGCTCCTGAATGACTACTGGGTAAATAACAAAATTAAGGCAGAAATAAAGATGTTCTTTGAAACCAATGAGAACAAAGACACAACATACCAGAATCTCTGGGACACATTTAAAGCAGTGTGTAGAGGGAAATTTATAGCACTAAATGCCCACAACAGAAAGCAAGAAAGAACTAAAATCGACACCCTAACATCACAATTAAAAGAACTAAAGAAGCAAGAGCAAACAAATTCACAAGCAAGCACAAGGCAAGAAATAACTAAGATCAGAGCAGAAATGAAGGAGATAGAGACACAAAAAAAACCTTTCAAAAAAATTCAATGAATGCAGGAGCTGGTTTTTTGAAAAGATCAACAAAATTGATAGACTGCTAGCAAGATTAATAAAGAAGAAAAGAGAGAAGAATCAAATAGATGCAATAAAAAAATGATAAAGGGGATATCACCACCGATCCCACAGAAATACAAACTACCATCAGAGAATACTATAAACACCTCTACACAAATAAACTAGAAAATTTCTAGAAGAAATCAATAAATTCCTGGACAGATACACCCTCCCAAGACTAAACCAGGAAGAAGTTGAATCTCTGAATAGACCAATAACAGGATCTGAAATTGAGGAAATAATTAATAGCCTACCAACCAAAAAAAGTCCAGGACCAGGCAGATTCACAGCTGAATTCTACCAGAGATACAAAGAGGAGCTGGTACCATTCCTTTTGAAACTATTCCAATCAACAGAAAAAGAGGGAATCCTTCCTAACTAATTTTATGAGGCCAACATCATCCTGATACCAAAGCCCAGAAGAGACACAACTAAAAAAGAGAATTTGAGGTCAATATCCCTGATGAACATCGATGCGAAAATCCTCAAATAAAATACTGGCAAACCGAATCCAGCAGCACATCAAAAAGCTTATCCACCACAATCAAGTTAGCTTCATCCCTGGGATGCAATGCTGGTTCAACATATGCAAATCAATAAATGTAATCCGTCACATAAACAGAACCAACGACAAAAACCACATGGTATCTCAATAGATGCAGAAAAGGCCCTCGACAAAATTCAACAGCCTTCATGCTAAAAACTCTCAACAAACTAGATATTGAGGGAACGTATCTCAAAATAACAAGAACTACTTATAGTAAACCCACAGCCAATATCATACTGAATGGGCAAAAACTGGAAGCATTCCCTTTAAAAACCGGCACAAGACAAGGATGCCCTCTCTCACCACTCCTATTCAACATAGTGTTGGAAGTTCTGGCCAGGGCAATCAGGCAAGAGAAAGAAATAAAGGGTATTCAATTAGGAAAACAGGAAGTCAAATTGTCCCTGTTTGCAGATGACATGATTGTATATTTAGAAAACCCCATTGTCTCAGTCCAAAATCTCCTTAAGCTGATAAGCAACTTCAGCAAAGTCTCAGGATACAAAATCAATGTGCAAAAATCACAAGCATTCCTATACACTATTAACAGACAAACTGAGAGCCAAATCATGAGTGAACTCCCATTCACAATTGCTACAAAGAGAATAAAATACCTAGGAATCCAACTTACAAGGGATGTGAAGGACATCTTCAAGGACAGCTACAAACTACTGCTCAATGAAATAGAAGAGGACACAAACAAATGGAAGAATATTCCATGCTCATGGATAGGAAAAATCAATATCATGAAAATGACCTTACTGCCCAAAGTAATTTATAGATTCAATGCCATCACCATCAAGCTACCAATGACTTTCTTCATAGAATCGGAAAAAACTACTTTAAAGTTCATATGGAACCAAAAAAGAGCCTGCATTGCAAGGACTTCATGACTAAAACACCAAAAGCAATGACAACAAAAGACAAAATAGACAAATGGGATCTAATTAAACTAAAGAGCTTCCGCACGGCAAAAGAAACTACCATCAGAGCGAACAGGCAACCTACAGAATGGGAGAAAATTTTTGCAATCTCCCCATGTGACAAAAGGCTAATATCCAGAATCTACAAAGAACTCAAACAAATTTACAAGAAAAAAACAAACAACCCCATCAAAAAGTGGGCAAAGGATACGAACAGACACTTCTCAAAAGAAGACATCTATGCAGCCAACAGACACAGGAAAAAATGCTCATCATCACTGGCCATCAGAGAAATGCAAATCAAAACCACTATGAGATACCATCTCACGCCAGTTAGAATGGCAATCATTAAAAAGTCAGGAAACAGCAGATGCTGGAGAGGATGTGGAGAAACAGGAACACTTTTACACTGTTGGTGGGAGTGTAAATTAGTTCAACCATTGTGGAAGACAGTGTGGCGATTCCTCAAGGATCTAGAACTAGAAATACCATTTGACCCAGCAATCCCATTACTGGGTAAATATCCAAAGGATTATAAATCGTGCTACTATAAAGACACATGCACACGTATGTTTATTGCAGCACTATTCACAATAGCAAAGACTTGGAACCAACCCAAATGTCCATCGATGATAGACTGGATAAAAAAAAATATGGCACATATACACCATGGAATACTATGCAGCCTTAAAAAAGGATGAGTTCATGTCCTTTTCAGGGACATGGATGAAGCTGGAAACCATCATTCTCAGCAAACTATAACAAGGACAGAAAACCACACACCGCATGTTCCCACTCATAGGTGGAAAGTGAACAATGAGATCACTTGGACACAGGGCAGAGAACATCACACACCAGGGCCTGTCGGGGGGTGGGGGGCTGGGGGAGGGATATCATTAGAAGAAATACCTAATGTAAATGATGAGTTGATGGGTGCAGCAAACCAACATGGCACATGTATACCTATGTATCAAACCTGCATGTTGTGTACATGTAAACTAGAACTTAAATAAAAGAAAAAAAAAAGCTGCTACTTCCCCCAATAAATGGCATTACCAACTACCCACATGCACAAACCCAAGTTATCCTTGATCCTCTTCCTATTACCTCTCACTTTTGAATCTATCAGAAAGTCCTGATGATGCAACTTCCAAAATATATTCACAAATCATTATAATCATTCACAAAATCCTTTATTTTCCCTTTAGTCAAACCCCACCATTCTCTGTTCTAAATTCTCCAATAGAGTCCAATTGCCCTTAGAATAAAATATACCATTCTGTTATCTCATAATCTAATTTGCATATAAATGATCTGGCCCCTGTCTAATTATCTGAGCTCATCTCATGTTACCTTCTCCCTCAGAACCAAATTTAACCATATTGGTCATCTGTTTTTAGAAAATACCAACATCAACTCAAATCTCTTCAGCAAAGCTTCTTTGATCACCCAACCTTCAGTAGAATTATGTCCCATCACTATCTTTCATACCTCTCTGTTTAGTTTCTCTACGCACTAAAGTATAAGCTCCACAAGAACAGGTCCCATGTCTGTTTTATTCGCAGCTGTGTCGTCTTCAGCACCTAGAATTGTGCCATGGCATAAAATAAGTGCCTAGTAATATTTCTGAAACAAGTGATTGAATGACAAATAGACTGGAGGGCCCGGAACATTTATTAGGCTATATTAACAGCCTAGATAAGAGAAAAAGAAAGTCTGGACTAAGGCTGTAGCAGTGGAAAATGAGAAGGATGGATTCAAGAAAGCTAGGAGACAGAATGATAGGAATTGGTGCTAACTGCCTATCGGGGAGCAGAGAGCTGATCTCCCTATACAGTATCTGATAACATCCCATGCCATCCTCCTTTCATAGAGTTCTTCTTCCAATTCACATTGAAGAATTCCTGGATATCTTTTTCACATTGACGGTCATAATGCACTTACACATTTTCTTTTCTAAAATACTGCTTCTTTTCTTTAACATTTTTTCACAAATCTAGGTTTCTTAACTCTTTAATTATTGTTCTGACTCTTAACTAAGCTCTCTGTGAAGTCTCAATAATGGCCATAATAGCTCTTTGGGCTCATGTTTGGGCTTTCAATATTTTTCCTTTGACAAACTCATTCATTCATTTTTTTAAAATGATTAAGAGCTTATTTGCTAGAAAAGACAAAATTCTCTGTCTTTGAGGAACTCAAATCCATTAGTGAAGAAGTTAAATGAAAAAAAAAACAGATAAATGCAACAGTTTGATAACTGCTCCATTATATAATACAGTTTTCTTTTGCTTTACATTTTGCTTTCTCATTAAATTATAAGCTGCTTGAAAATAAGGGGCCATATCCTATTCACTTTATATTTCCACATTAGATTTTGAGCAAAGTTGGTGAGGGATTGTTGACTTAACAGCATGCTTTCTTGATTCTAGATCAGTAACTCCCGAATAGTCTTATGCTATATATAATGTTTTAAATCATCTTTAGATTACTTACAATACCATTAGGTAACATAGCATTAACAATATAAATGCTATGTAAATAGTTGTTTTTACTGTATTTTAAATTTTGGTATTTTTAATGCTGTAGTATTACTTTTTATTTATATATATATATGCAGAAAATGTGTAAGTGCATTATGACCTTCAATGTGGAAAACTATATATCTATAGATATCTACTTATATATATAACTCTATAGCTATAGATATAAAACTACATATCTAGACATAATGTGTGTATACATATTTTTATGTTTTATATATATATTTAAGTGTGTACACACATACATCTATACCCATTTAAACATTATCCTTGTTTTCCCTACTTCACCATGGGCCAGTGACAATGATAACTTTGTCATGGCCTATTATTACATGGTCTACCATATACACTGACATTCTCAGGTCACAGTTTGCTATACTTCCATATAATATCCAACAACTATTTTACTTCCACATTGTATGAGTCACAGTACTAGAAACTTTAAATACATTATCTCAATCTTTACAACAACTCTATGACTCCATTAAATTGAGCTCAGAAAGATGAATCATTTCTCTATGACCAGTAAGTTAATGTGTGTCCAAATTTAACAAAATTAAACAAAATTTGCATTCAGATCTGCCTGGCTTGAACATCTCTAGATTACTTACAATACCTAATACAATGTAAATGCTATGTAAATAGTTGTTTTACTGTATTTTAAATTTTGGGTGTTTTGGTTTTGTTTTGTTTTGCTTTTTTGAGATGGAGTCTCACTCTGTTGCCCAAGCTGGAGTGCAGTGGCACGATCTTGGCTCACTGCAACCTCTGCCTCTGGGGTTCAAGCGAGTCTCCTGCCTCAGCCTTCGGAGTAGCTGGGACTACAGGTGCACACCACCATGCCCAGCTAATTTTTGTATTTTTAGTAGAGACAGGATTTCACCATGTTGGCCAGGCTGGTCTCGAACTCCTGACCTTAAGTAATCTGCCTACCTCAGCCTCCCAAAGTGCTGGGATTACAGGTGTGAGCCACTGCACCCAGCCAATTTTGTATTATTTTTTAATACTGTACTGTTACTTTTTATTGCTTTTCTTCTCCCAAATATTTTCAACTCCAACTGCAGTTACAGAATCTACAGATATGGAGGGTCAACTGTACAGGCAATATATATTAATCACAAATCCAAAAGAAATATTATTATAACTCATAATTTTTAAATAAGAAAACATGCTAAAAATACTTGTGTTTTTTATTTCACTAAGTTACGATGCTATAAAAACGAAGATTTTGTAAATATTTGGATACAAGGCTAGTATATTTTGAAGAAAATGACCTCAGGATATGAAAGCATACAACAAAGTATGCACTGTGATAATTACATGTTGACTTTTGATTATATATGGTAAGAAAAACAAAAGAATAGACACATTTGTCTACTCTTGGTTGTATTATTAAAGAACTACTATTTTGTAAAGCAGCATAATAATAGCTACAAAAACAGTGGTCAACATAAAATGTGTATTTTTGATTGTTTTAATTTATATACTTTGTACTTTAGCAGTATGAAAGCCAACTCTTAATGGCATGATATATTTAGTTTATTCTACATAGGAGGGATTCTACTATCTTCTCCATAGACCAATTAACATGGACATACTAACAGTAGAGAAGGAACTCATTGTGCTCAAATATTTCATATTAAGTATAATCCATTTTTACCAACTCTTGGTCTGGACAAGTATTAAAACACTTAAGAATAAAAAATATGCTCAATAATAAATTAGAATAGATTTGGAAATGGAAACCATTACAGTGTAACTTAAAATATTAATAATTAAAACTATATGAAGCTTTACACTAGTGAATGTTTTTAAGATATCCCACTTTGTAATTTTTATTCTTAGCCCTTAATAAGAATGATTTATTTTAAATTCCTTTAAATTTTTCTAATACACGATGAATGTTGCATAAATTATTTCCTTAAGTGTTACATTATTATTATTATTATTTTTTTTTGAGACAGAGTACCTCTGTCGCCCAGGCTGAAGTGCAGCGGCATGATCTCAGCTCACTGCAACCTCTGCCTCCTGCCTCAGCTTCCTGAGTAGCTGGGATTACAGGAATGCACCACCACGCCCAGCTAATTTGTGTATTTTTAGTAGAGACGGGGTTTCACCATGTTGGCCAGGCTGGTCTTGAACTCCTGACCTCAGGTGATCTGCCTGCCTTGGAGTGCTGAGATTACAAGCGTGAGCCACTGTGCCCGGCCAGTTATATATTATTTTTAATAAGATAGTTTCATGTCTATCAAATGATTAGTACAATAATTTTAAATAACAATTATCTGACAAGAGAGTTATAGTGAATGGAAATCCAGACTCAGGTATTTGATAATATAGTCAAATGCTTTCATATATTAAACTTAGAAAAAAATTAGCTTATGTAAACTTTTCAATGTTGCAACTTATCCATCTGTATTAATCATCATACTATTTTCTTAATTGCCAAGTTTTTCTTCCTATAAAAAGTAAACAAATATATCACTACCTTCTGTAAAACAGCAATTTTAAGCTCTCCTTGGAGTGCTTCAATTTGTTTTTTCTTCTGTTCACTTGATTGCTTTAGCTCATTTATGTTCCCCTGAAGTTGTTGCTCTTCTTTTTCATTTTGTTTTAAAGTATTCTGGGCCTGTATAAGTTGTTCCTGCATTGAATTGAGTTCCAATTTCAACTGATGAGAAGCCTGAAAGAAAAAAAAAATCTATTTAGCCTTCATTTGTTCATTCAAAAGACGATGTACTGAGTAACTAGAAAAAAAAATCTATTTAGCCTTCATTTGTTCATTCAAAAGACAATTTACTGAGTAACTACTACACTCCAGGCACTACTCTAGGAAGAAATTACTGAGGCTGTTGGCTACAGATAATTAGTAAAGATACCTGCCCTCATATTGCTTTCATAACCAACACTATTCACTATTAGGTGACATGCTGGATTAATCTTTATTATTTTTTTTAACACTACCTTTCTTTTTGACTTATAATTGTATAGTTACAGCTTGTAAATGATCTACATTAGTATTCTCTTGTATTATGGAAAATAGGTATGTCAACATCAATGTCTAAATTGTTGGATGTCAACTGTCTTTCAAGAATATTCTCGGCCAGGCACGGTGGCTCACACCTGTAATCCCAGCACTTTGGGAGGCTGAGGCGGGAGGATCACGAGGTCAGGAGATCGAGACCATCCTGGCTAACACAGTGAAACCCCATCTCTACTAAAAATACAAAAAAATTAGCCGGGTGTGGTGGCAGGTGCCTGTAGTCCCAGCTACTCGGGAGGTTGAGGCAGGAGAATGGTGTGAACCCAGGAGGCAGAGCTTGCAGTGAGCCGAGATCGTGCCACTGCACTCCAGCCTGGGCAACAGAGCAAGAGACTCCATCTCAAAAAATAATAATTAAAAAAAAAAATTCTCATATGCCACTAAGCCTATTGGCCACAGTTGTCGCAAAGAATAGCTCTATAGTAACTATGATAAAAACAAAATCACTTTTGACAAAATACATTTAGTATCTGTCTGATGACATTAAATTACACTGCACAGGCCAGGTGCTCACGCCTATAATCCCAGCACTTTTGGAGGCCAACGCGGGCAGGTTACTTGAGGTCAGGAGCTCGAGACCAGCCTGGGCAACATGGTGAAGCCTGTCTCTACTAAAAATACAAAAATTAGCCAGGCGTGGTGGCAGGCACCTGTAATCCCAGCTACTTGGGAGGCTGAGGCAGGAGAATCGCTTGAACTTAGGAGGTGGAGGTTGCAGTGAGCCGAGATTGCGCCACTGCACTCCAGCTTGGCTGACAGAGCGAGACTCTGTTTAAAATAATAATAATAATACACTGTAGAATAGTTACCTCATTTAGAGATCTGGGGCATATTTTACTACTACCTTGTTTGTACAATCCACTAGGATATGTTTCTGTTCAAATTCAGACATCATACAGAAGTCACACTGAAGTTCCTCTGTCACCAAGGTAAACCACTATTATCTCCCACCCTCCAACCAAAGTCATGTTTTCATGTTCTATGCATATTTTACTAAGAACCTAGCATTACATTCAAGCATTTGACCATATCCAAAGTTACTTTTGAAAAAATGTTAGTGTTATATATAGACGTCTCAGCTTATCTCCACAATGAATAGCAAAATATTTTTATGCAAAACAGGAGTCAGAGAGTATGACAATAAGGATGATATATGATATAACCAATGATAAAATAATAACTAGCATGAGCATTTACTTTATTATAGTCAGTGTACTGAGTACTTTAAAGATATTAACCCATTTATTTCTCACAATAACTCTATCACATAGATTCATATAGACTCTATCATATAGAAACTAGAGCACAGAGATTAAGTATTTGGTCTAAAAGATGGCGAAATGGCATAGCTAATAAATGGCATAGCCAGGATATAAATTTGAACAATCTTGATTCAGAACTTGGGCATGAAGCAATTATAATTTTGCTACTTACATGGCTGGCATCTACAACACAAGTCTGCTTTCAATCAACAACTAGAATACAATCACATCAAATACTTGTCAGTACTATGTCTTGCTCCTTTATCAAATCAGATTTTCTAGAAAGTTGCATACCTAGACTCTAGCAGCTAGCAGGTATGGCTTCAGAGAGCAACAACCATATATTATACCCATGTGTTTACTCATTTGCTTGTCTGTTTTTGCTGGAAACAATAGAAGCATTAACCACAGAAAAATATTTTGGTTGTTCTACAACCATTATCAAGTATACATTAGTATGTGTATAAATGTCCATGAAATAAAGAGCCATAAAGAGTCCATGAAATAAAGGTCATTTCTATAGAAAGCCTTTTAAGATTTTTTTTTCAACCATAAAAATGGTCCTTAACCCTGTAGTTAGCTGACTCAATTTTCTACCTTTATTAATAATATTTCTTTATTTGGGTCTTTGATTATAAACTAGCTTAAGTCTTTTTAATAGTAGGCAAAATACAAATAACAATTTTAAACTATATACATGATTTGTTACATTTCAGAGAAATGAACCTATGACCTAAATATCAGTATGAAAATGCTTATTTTTCTTAAAACTATAAAAAAAAATTATCTGTGGAAATGCCCCCAAGAACAAACATGCTTTATATATTTATTTGAAAATATAAAGACCTTACTATACTTTACAGATTTTATGTTACAAAAAAAAAATCTTACCTCCTTCTCTTTTTCAAGTGACTTTTTCAGTTCCTTCTGTTCCTTAAGTGTGTTTTCCATCTGCACTTGAAGTTGATGCTTTAATTCTTTGCAAGTTTTTTCCTTAAAAAAAATGAAAACTATATTACATAAAAAATATTTGTAATAACCTTAAGAAGTTTAGTTTATAACCTTAGTAAGATACACACGAAGAAATAAACTAAAATTATGATGAGCTAAGATGAGACAGGATCATCCATTTCAATGATAAAACTAGGAAAATATTACAGAAGTAATGGAGGAGGGACAACAAAACACTAAGGGTTTTGATCATCAACCAAGTCACAATGGCATATTTTAAACATTAAAATGATATCTTAGAACACTTTAGAAATCACATTTTATGTCACACAATTCATTATAATTAACTTGCCACACTACTTTTATAGCAATGGGCTTCAAGAAAATGGAAGCAAGAAAACTTAGGAAACAATAAATTAAGAAATGATCACAATAGGAAAAGTGTACAGATAGAAAATGTTTTCTCTAAACAGAAAAGAACATAACAACACACATGAGAAAGACTAATATTCAACTGAAAATATTCTTGGCCTTTAGAAAATGGCGTGCACACAGGTGCATACACACACATTATTATCTTGGGCTTCTTCTCAGGTTAAGCAATCCCAATTAATTTCCTCATAAGAACTACTTTAAACTATTTAAATGTGGAAAGAAAAGCAAACTGTGAATTAAGCAGAAAAATCAGTACATTTTAAATAAAATAATCACTTCTACCTAAGAAAGTAAATGTAAACTACTAACCAAGTCTAATATAGCGGCTTTTCCTTTCTGATTCTCCTTTTCAAATTCACTTTTAGAGTTTTTCAAAGAATCAGAAACTTTTGATAGTTTGTCCTTTACTGTAGAAAGCTCTGTCATTAAAGCTTCTTTCTCCATTTTCACTTTTTGTAGTTCTGTTACTGTTGTTTGAATTCTGTTATTCAATTCCTCATGCTGAATCTTTGTTTCTTGACTTAAAGTTTCAAAATCTTGTTTCAGGATTTTTTTTTCTTCCTCTTGCTTGGTAAGCTTTTGCTTGATACTTTCAAGGGCTTCAGATTTTTTCTGTAGATCCAATCTTGTACTGGATACTCTAAATATTTAAAAAACAATCTTTTTAAATAACACATAATTTACCACTTCTAATTTACCATTCAAAATTAATCACAAACAATTACTGAGTTCTGAAACTTTTTTGTATAGTTCACAAGTAAAAATAATTTAATTTCATAAAATCGCACCACTGAAAAATACTTTAGAACATCTCATTTGATCATTTAACAGATGTAGATTATTTTTCCCAAGTCAAATAAGTTAGTAGTGAAGACAAAACTATCTAAGCTTCCTGACTTAATCCATTTTTGTCCGCCACAACTAATCCCGAGGAAAAAAACTATGTATCACAGACCCTCTACTCTATAACAGCCAGAAACGTTTTTCCATAAAGAATCTATTCATTATGTTAGTTCTCCAACACAGAGAGAACTTTGTCTCTTTCCTTGAAAACATGAAACACATTATGTGTGACAGTTCTTAGGCTTCAAAATATTTATGGTTAACCCAGAAAAAAATCAAAGAAAGAAAATTAAAAAAATATTTTATTTACAATATAGAGGGAAGACAAATGATTTACTTTAACCCTAGAAGCTAGCAGATTATACAAAGGATTTGTTATCATTTGTTCCTTAATATAGTTCTCTTATACATGAATGAAAAAAGCAACAAGAATGAAGAAATAAAGTTATAGCTTTAGAAAGCTATAGACTTTTATTGTTTTCATAAAAGGAACTATGCAAATTATACAGCAAAACCCTCAATACACTATAAATAACAGCCATTTTAAAAGTCAAAACCAGATGCTAAGTAACAGTATTTCTAGAATGCACACTAGTTCCAATGTAATCAGAATAAATTTGTAACCAATAAAAATAAGTCAATATGTTAAAGGGAGGTTGTTAAAAGATGTACTAATAAAGTATTTGAAATTGTGTATTAATACAATATCAAAACTGTATTTATACCTCGAAATCTAATTTTTTAGTTCTAGAAACACACTTTTACCTCCTAAAAAATAGCTGGAAAAGATGTTAAAGCTTAATAGGTTCACAAGATATTATTCCTCCTTGATTTTTAAAGGTCCAAATGGAAAAGTCATTATACTAATATTATTTTACATTTTAATATAGTTAAAATCCCTGTTAAGCAACCTTAGAATTAAGACTTGATATATTTATTTACTATGCTGCTTAACTTTTTCAAAATTAATTACAAAATCATAAGACTATGTGAATCAAAGAAAGCAAAACAGAAATAGAGGCTTACATAGTCACTGTGACACTTCTTGTTTTTTTTTAAGTAACTAAGGGAAGAAATAAACAAGTCCACAATCATAGTTGGAAACTATAATATCTCTTTTTAGAAACTGATAGAACAACCAGAGGAACAAATTGGCAAGAATATAGACAATAAGAACAGCACTGTAATTGTTATTTATAGCCACTCCACCCAATAACACAGAGTACATATATGTGCACATGGAAAATTAATTATGATAAGCCATATGCTGGGCCTTAAATAAGACTTACTTTCAAAAGTTTGAATTTTACCAAGAATGTTCTCTGACCACAATAAAATTAAATTAGAAATTAGGGCCAGGCACGGTGGCTCACGCCTGTAATCCCAGCACTGTGGGAGGCCAAGGTGGGCGGATCACAAGGTCAGGAGATCGAGACCAACCTGGCTAACACAGTGAAACCCCCATCTCTACTAAAAACACAAAAATTAGCCAGGCATGATGGCAGGCACCTGTAATCCCAGCTACTCGTGAGGCTGAAGCAGGAGAATCGCTTGAACCCAGGTGGCAGAGGTTGCAGTGAGCCGAGATCACGCCACTGCATTCCAGCCTGGGCGACAGAGTGAGACTCTGTCTCAAAAAAAAAAAAAAAAAAAAAAATCAGTAACAATAATATACCTAGGAAAGCCTCAATATTTGGAAAGTAAACATACTTATAACCTACACATTAAAGAAGGAATCACAAAGGAAATCAGAAAATATATTAAACTGCAGAGGAATGAAAATACATTGTAAGATGGGAGGGAAACATTGGGTGTATAAATGTAAGGGGGCCCTCAAAAAGGGGAGCCCTGTATCCTGTTATTTGGGCTAAGCCCTGGGCTCATGGGTGGGGTTTAGTCAAAGTCTCTATATGTTTATCTGATATAAGAGCAGAAGGGACCCCAGCCCTCCTTGCCTAGGTAGTACTCCAGAAATGTGAGAAGACCTCAGAGGAGAAATGTATGTACAAAGTACATAGGCAAGAAAGATCTTAAAGGTTTTCCTACCCCAATAGGATGTGGGAGCCCTGTAAGTGAATTCTGAACCATGAGATTAGAACATAGAATGAAAATGGGTCCACTTCCATTGGGCCCATTGGAAACAGAAAGAACCATTGGGCCTGCAGAGTTTTTGAGGAACAGAACAAAAGCCATCTCGGAGATGATCTTCATGGACTGATGCCTGCATTCTAGAGATAATGATGAACCATTTGGTTGGTAATGTAATGGATCAGATATGCTCCTCAAATACCTAGGCACTGGAAACTACCGTGAGGAGGAATGCCACCTGAGGCACAAGATGCAATTCTATAACCTCCGATTCAAAGCATCAGGACCCAATTTACTAGATATGAAAATGAGAATATTTTCACCATCATATCCCCAAACAAGGATGAAAACCATGAAGGTGTGAAACAACTTAATCATCAACTCTGATGGGTTTTATTTCACCTTTCTGAAGAGGACTTTTCTCAGGTTCTTAGTCTCTACCTTTACTACTGGAACAGTCAAGAGCCCTCATCCCCTTGACACAAGTCAAGTCCATCAACTCAGTCAGAGCAGGTGATTTGATGTTTAAAGACAAAATGTACTCAAATGTAACCAGTTATATGAAGACATTCAAATGAATTGGGTGGAACTGATTTTTATCCATCAAAATAATGGTGAGTGATGTGTTCATTGAAGATCTCATCATGGCAGGACCCAAATTCAGCATCAACATCAAGGATAAGCTGGGCAAGAGACTAATTCTACCTTGGGAGTGAACGAATGATGCTGCAGCTAAGCACTTCTATGGCTATATATGTTCAGAAGCACATGCCCATTCTGCCACCAGAGACATTTGAAATTTCATATACTAATAAATCGTATAGGTCCCAATAACTTCTAAACCAATCCACCCTTATACTCAGAGCTGCCATGAATCCATTGAGCACTTTAGTGCAAATTAGAAAAAAGATACCCTCTTTCAAGATAATTTATTCCATCTGTGGCAAAACTGTCATAATACACTGATTTTATTAGAATAAGGCTACATACTACCATCTGCAGAAATCTTACATCTAGCATTGACAAGTGAAAAGTGGGTAACTGAAAAAAAGAAACAGATACTACAAAATGTAGACAGACACAGTGACGCTTTCACATTTAAAAGCTATTAAAAAAAAGCAAAGTAATAAGGTCTAAAGATGGAAACAATAAAGAGGAGAAATAAATAAGATAGAAAACTGACAAAATAAATCAAAAGCTTTTTACAATAGTCTGATAAAACTGATAAATCTCTAATTAAATTGATTTTTAAAAAGACAAATTAGCATGATTAAGAATAAAGGAGGAACACTACTACAGATCCTAACAGACCTTAAAAGTGTAATATTATGAACAACTGCCAATAAACTTGAAGTTTAGAGGAAATGAACCCATTTCTGAAAGACACAATGTACCAAAACTGACTCAAGAAAAAAAAATCAGGAAATTAGAATAGCTCTATGTCTATTAAATGAATTGAACCCCAAATGAAACAATCCAGAAAGAGAACTCTAAGCCTAGCCAGTTCACTAGTGAATTCCATCAAACTTTTAAGAAACAAATAATATCCATCTCATACAAACTATTTCAGAAAGGAGGAGGAAATACTTCTCAATTCCTTTTTAAGGCCAGTATAACTCTGATATCAAAACCTGACAATGATATTAAAAGAATACTACAGACCAATACCCCTCATAAATATATGAAACATTTTTAACAAAGTATTATCAAATCAAAAACAGCAATATACAAAAAGGTAATACAGCATGGTCAAGTTAATTTATCCCAGGAAAGCAAGGTTGGTTTAACAGTAAATCAATCAATGTAACTGACCATATTAACAGAATAAAACAGAAAATCCATATGATCACATCAACAGATACAGGAAAAAAGGTGATAAAATTCAATCCAAGCACGGTAATTTTTCTTTTTTAATAATTTTTTTTTTTTTGAGACGGAGTCTCGCTCTGTCGCCCAGGTTGGAGTGCAGTGGCACTGGAGTGCAGTGGCATGATCTCAGCTCACTGAAACTTCTGCCTCCCAGGTTCAAGCAATTCTCATGCCTCAGCCTCCCGAGTAGCTGAGATTACAGGCGTGTGCCACCATCCCCTGCTGATTTTTGTATTTTTAGTGGAGACGAGGTTTCACCCTGTTGGCCAGGCTGGTCTCGAACTCCTGACTTCAGATGATCTGCCTGCCTCAGCCTCCCAAATTTCTAGGATTACAGGCATGAGCCACAAGGCCGATAATTTTTTTTTTATATATAACTAGGTATCAAAGGTAATGTCTTCAATCTGATAAAGGGAATCTCAGAAAAACCTACAGCTAACCTCAAACTTAATGATGAAACATTTAATATTTCCTGCCTAAGATTAGAAATAATGCAAAGATATTTGCCAATACTGTTTACATTCACAATGTTACTGGATGTCCCAGCCAGCAAGAAAAAAGATATAAAAGGCCTATAGGTTGGAAAGGAAGAAGTAAATTTGTCTCTATTCACAGATAACATGAATGTCTAGTTAGAAAACATCAAGAACTCTACAAACAACAACTAAAACTAAAAAGTAAATTGAGCAAGGTTATAGGCAGAAAAGTCAATATATATTTAAAAATTCTATTTTTATACTAGTCATAAGTGGAAAATTAAATTTAAAAAACAATTACATTTACAATAGCATTAAAAAAATATTCAGGAATAAATTTAACAAAAGATGTACAAGATGTCTATGTTAAAAACCATAAAATACTGCTCAGAGAAATTAAAGAAGGCCCAAGTAGATAAAGAGACATATGTTTGTGTATTAGAAGACTCAATGTTGTTAAGATGTCATTTCTCCCCAAATTGATTTATAGTTTCAAGGGAATTCTAATCAAAATACAACAGTTTTATTTGTAGACATGTACAAGTTAATACAAAAATGTGTATGGAAAAGCAATGAACTTACAAGAGTCAAGACAATCTTGAAAAATAATAAAGGTGAAGGATTAATATCTAATATCATAAAGCTACATTAAAAATATACCATTTTATGGTATATTAAAAATATCTTCTGGTTTCTTTTGTGTGTTATGCCACACCAACTTAGCTACATTTATGACTTTCAATATCATAATTATGATATTAGATACTATGATATTAGGTACCAATACCATGATACTGGTGTCAGGATACCATATAGACACATAGACTGTGGTTGTCTACAGGAAAAGGATAAGGAAGGTATTGACTAGAAGGGCAAGTGAGAAAACTCCTGGAGTGATGACAATGTCCTATATGGTGCTGTGGCTAGATCCACAGATACACAGAATATACACTGATTAAAACTCAAAGTACATATGTAAAATCTGTGCATTTAACTATGTGTGAATTTCGCATCAATAAGAAAAACAAGAAGGCACACTGGTTTTTGTGTTTCCTTTGTCTTCATAAACATAGACAATCTGCCAAAATGCATCACAAAGCTGAGGTTATTTTTTTTTTTTTTTTCTTTTTGAGATAGAGTATCACTTTGTCGCCCAGGCTGGAGTGCAGTGGTGTGACAGCCTCGACCTCCCAAGCTCAAGCAATCTTGCTATGCTACCCAGGCTGAGAAGATCACTTCTTATAAGAAAGAATCCATTCCCTATTTGGTATAGCTAGAAGGCTAACTACTTTTGGGTAACACATAAATATCCCCGAATTTTTTAATTTTACAGTAATTTATTCAAATTTGTGAACAACATAAAACAAGGTTTATGCCAGAGAAATGAGCACCATATCATTGTTGAAAAGAAACTGGATGACCCAAATTTTATAAAACTAAGTTTTCAGTCCTTTCTAGAGAAGTTTAACCCTATTATGATGGCTTTATTTTTTCATTCACATTAACATCAGTTTATAAAATCAACACAAAATAAATATCTAATAAGTCTTTAAGCACTACGATAGCAAAATTTAAATCTGAAGGAAATTTTAATACTTAGTTCACAATCTTTTCCCTTAATTTGTAAGTAAAGTGGTTTAGCTTACATTTCCTTCTCCATTTCAAGTTGTTTACTCAATTCTGTGGCTCTGAGCTCTAAATCTGTGTTCAGCTGTCTTTGCTGTTGTAGATCTTGCAAAGCCTGCTCCTTGCTTGCTTTAACTTCAAGACTATCAGCTTCTAGTTTCTATGAAAGAAATATGATATGGCAGCCATTTTAATATTAGTAATTATCAATCTATTATTAAATACTATAACATTTTTGTTTATATTCAAACAGGTGTGACATACAAAAAAAAATTTATTATAATAAAAAACATATTCTGAAACCATTACTAAGGGTGTTATTTATTTTAAAATCTTTCAGAAGACCCAGCAGAAAGCTTTATACATGATAGACTGCCACTAAGTGTTGGTGTTTAAAATTAATTCTGGGCTGGGCGCGGTGGCTCACACCTGTAATCCCAGCACCTTGGGAGGCAGAGGCAGGCAGATCACTTGAGGTCAGAAGTTCGAGACCAGCCTGGCCAACATGGTGAAACCTTATCTCTACTAAAAAAAAAAAAAAAAAAAAAATTAGCCAGGCGTGGTGGCCGGTGCCTGAAGTCCCAGCTACTCAAGACGCCGAGGCAGGAGAACGGCTTGAACCTGGGAGGCAGAGGTTGCAGCGAGCTGAGATCGCACCACTACACTCCAGCCTGGGCAACAGAATGAGACTCCATCTCAAAAAAAAAAAAAATTAATTCTGAATGAAACAATCAACTTAAAAGAAACATAGAAACATAAATAGTTATTATCTCAGTAAAAGTTATTAACTCAAGTATGAAAAAATAAGTTAACAGGTTCACTGATCTACTCACTTAAAACATATTATCTTTTATAGTCACAGTTAAAAACACTGATGTAATTATAAGATATTTAAAACTAAAATGAAGTTCTCACGTACTCCTTCTCATTAACACCTATTGATCCTAAATATAAAGCCAATTAAGTTCCTGATTTTGCTTCTTTAATCTCTTGGACTAGATGACATTGTTGTTCTTCAGAATATAGTTTGCATCTCACATGTATACATGTAATTATGTGTGTATTTTTACAAACTTACAAAATCAAACTGTTGAATATAAGTTTGAAAAGCTTTACACAATGCATTTCCTTGCAGTGGTAGTGATTTTGCACACTAAATATTTTATAAACTGATTGGTATCTGTAGCCCTTACCATTGACCTACACTGAAAATATTCATTAAATAAAAGATATTTGATGTAGCTAAATTAATTATACATGTCTATATAAAAAATATGATACTCCCTAAAATGATAATTACAAAGTGTTAGAGCTGATAATCACAATAAAAACTCAGTTCTAAATAACCACTATTTTTAATAGGTACCCAAAAAGAATTCTCATTAGACACTTTTCAGTAAAATAATACTTCTGTTATTTTTAACCATGCCTAAAGTACCTTGCCTTTGCTATTATCGTTTGTCATAAAGAAAAAGGAACCTATAAACAGAATTGTAAATGTAATTATTCCCCCATACTATATTGGTATGTATGTACATATATTCATTTCATGACTCTAAACTTATACACACACGCTTCACCGGGTTGAGGAAGTATAAGTTACATATATAGTAACTTGAGAAGTTTTTGTTTAACTGATAGTAGCTCAATTTTTAAAAATTTTTTTTTTTTTTATTTTTAGCCAAAGGCAGTTAAGCAGCAAGCGGTTCTAATTTGAAGGACACAAAAACTCAGGTCAAATCCTTCTGAGATGTCTAATCATCTTATCTCTTCAGTAAATCAACACATTCATATGGAGTTGTGTTAAAGTAAGATACAGTTTATCATAGTCTCAATGTGTTTTTAAATTAGAAGCAAAATCCAAAGGGTATAAAGTTCTAAAAAGGAAAAGTCTACCATATCTGAAATGTGATATTGGAGTAAGTTGGTAAGAGATGGAAGAATGAAGGAACAGAAGAGACTTCACAACAAAAAATTGAGAAGTTCCTTGTAATGGTAGAGTAGATACCTGGTTATCTGTCTTTGGAAAAAGTAACACATTACAATGGAATCAGTATGTAAGTTGACTGTCATTTATAAAAGATGCTCATTAAGGGAGACATTAAAAATAAAGATAGAATTCAAACTTAAGACATGAAAAATTACAAGCAATTTTTTAAAAATTTTATACCACAACTTCACCTTTCTTTGTTAACTAAAAATCTTTGATTCCATGTAGGTCATGAGATTCCATTGCTACTGAAGTAGAAAATATGACTAAATTCAACTTCTTTTATACAAACCTTAATTTGACCTTCTAGCTCTTCGGTTTTCTGTTCTAAAGAGAGGTATTTCTCTTTATATTCTTTAAGATGACTTTCCAGCTGACTGCAATGTTCTTGCTTGTCTTGTAACTTTGCAGTGACCTGATCCAACTGAGTAGTAATCTTATTTAACTCCTTTAGAAAAGTACAATTGAAGAAAACTTTGGTAAGGTTTACTATATTGTAGTGGCCAAATGTTCAACGTAAAATTGAAAACTCTAATTTTATTTAAAAAAATATTTGGAGTAAGAGCTCAGATAAATCTAATGATATATCAGAGGCTATACTTACCTACCAATATAAACGACATGAACTAAATTCTTGCATAGTCTGAGATCCTAAGTTTATATGTATAACAGTTTAATAACTTTTCAATGTTTATCTAGGAAGAATTATTTTAGGAGCCAAATATTAGCCAGGCTAATAATAAAATAACACTTTTATATTATAATTAAATATTTTCAATGTTCAAGACACCAATTTTTAAAACTATTTTTTAAAAATATTACAGTGTTTACATTTATGATGCTTTTCAATTCATTTGGAATATCCAGTTGCACAAAAAAAAAAAAATAAAATAAAAATTACTAGTAAATCTACTATGTACCAAAAGTAGGACACATACCAAATTTAACAGCAAACATTCCATTCAAATGGGCTTTTCATAAAGGGTAAATATAGAAAACTGTTTTGTTCTGTTTTTTAACTTGATATACTTCTGTATTGTTTTTTAAAAAATGGACCAATAAAGCCAGGTGCGGTGGCTCACACCTATAATCCCAGCACTTTGGGAGGCCAAGGTGGGTGAATCACCTGAAGTCGGAGTTTGAGACCAGCCTGACCAACATGGTGAAACCCTGTCTCTACTAAAAATACAAAATTAGCCAGGCACGGTGGCACATGCTTGTAATCCCAGCTACTTGGGAGGCTGAGGCAGGAGAATTGCTTGAACCCGGCAGGTGGAGGTTTCAGTGAGCCAAGATTACACCATTGCGCTCCAACCTGGGTAACAAGAGCAAAAAACTCCATCTAAAAAAAAAAAAGACCAATAACTAATATTACTCCCTGAATAACAAGTAAATTTTAAAAATTTCTACCAGTAAAAGCTAAGAAAAATCTACCAGCAACATTCACCGTGACCCTAAAGTAGGATGCTTCTATTCTACCAGAGTATCGCTTCTGTATTCCCTCCAGCTCCTCACTTCCTCCTATTACCAAGAAAGGAGTAACTCTTATAACTGAGGTAGAATATACAGTGTTCTTTTCCTGTTTCCAAGTGGCAAGTACATTTGGGTCATGGTCCAGTCTACCTACTAAAAACAAATGTGGTGGTCTGCCCCATCCAATCACCAACACTTGAAGGGATGGGGCAACAATTCAAAAGTTAGGAGGAAACATTACTGCTCTACACCAAGGTCTAGGCTAGGGGAGAAGGACAATATCAGGAAACCAACCACACCTGCACACTAGTAGAAATTTATCAAAAACAAAGCTGTTATTTTTATCTCCATCTATGTGACCCCCACTTTTACTACTCAACTGGAACTCATGGAGAAATTAAGGGGGATAAGCAAGTCTATCACAAGATTATACAAAACTGGGTATCATCTTTACATGTTTGCAATTTATTTATCTACCAAAGCACTAGGTGATAGTATGAAATTGCATCTGTTTCCCTACCTGCTGTTTATCTTGTAATGCATTTTGAGCTGTGTCCAAATGATTCTGAAGATCAGCTCTTTGAGCAGTTTTTGCTGCTTCTGCTGATAGTAATAGTTCGGTTTTGGCTTTAATCTGTAACAGCATTTACAAATTATTTAATTTATATTTAGTTCTTGATTTCCTCTTGCTTGAACGCACACTCCTTTTGTGACTAAACAAACTATTTAAAAATTAAGTCCTTGGCAAAAACATATGGATTTATATATTGAAAAATATGTATGTGAAAATCGCCAAAATAGGAATGATAGGGGAGAAGACTCCTAATAATGCTGGATAAATAATAAAAAGATATCCTCATGTGATTCCAAAACACTTTAGTATTCCTTTGCTAAGAAAGAAAAGGTACACTTTTTTTCCAAAAAAGGCCACTGTATTTTCAGAAGTGAGTATCTGAAAGTCTACCACTATTATGATAAAGTAAATAACCATGCCCCAAAAAATGATTACTCCGAAGATAATCAAGAATTACAGAATTCAATGACTCAAAACAGCCAGACAACTGGCACTTTGTAAAATTCAGTATTCCCTGATAACTTCTCACTTAAAGGGTTTTATTTTTGAAGCTCACAGTCAAAATATTAAATATTAAAAATTCAAGGCTGCCAATAAAATCAAACAAGCAAAAAGATCTATCTTGTTATCAAAAGTAACACCTTTAAGTGTTGGAATACCTTTAGTACAACTCACCTCGAATACGAAAAGCAAAAAATAGGCCAAGTGCGGTGGCTCACACCTGTAATCCCAGCACTTTGGGAGGCCAAGGCAGGCAGATCACAAGGTCAAGCGATCGAGACTATCCTGGCCAATGTGGTGAAACCCCATCTCTACTAAAAATACAAAAATTAGCTGGGCATGGTGGCATGCACCTGTAGTCACAGCTACTCAGGAGGCTGAGGCAGAAGAATCACTTGAACCTGGGAGGTGGAGGCTGCAGTGAGCTGAGATCGCGCCACTGCACTCCAGCCTGGCGACAGAGCAAGACTCTGTCTCAGAAAAAAAGAAAGAAAGAAAGAAAAGCAAAAAAGAAAATATATATGTAAAAACATGTATTTAAAATTAACATATTTTGAGAAAACAGTAAAAATGGGGGGTGCATTCTTTTAGCTGGTTGAAGAGAGGATCAATGAACATAAGAAATCTAAGATTTACATTGTATGGATAATTACAAGCTGAAGGAAAAATTCAAATAATTTTTTCTCAATATCAAAATACTTAATTTTCACAGAAATAATAGTTACATCAAGGTATATACATTTACATTGATTTAAAGGTGAAAACTAAAGAAATCTTCCCTTTAAACAACACATAGTAAATCTATACTGATGAATATATAGCATAGACTACAAATATATTTTTGCAGAAGTCAGCTTTATTTACATACGGCATTTCATCTATCTGAGGAACCAAAAACTCATGAAATATTTTAACATATGATAATCACTCATGATCTTTTTTATACAGCATGCTTCAACTAATGTAATATATGTATATTCCAAAATCATGTAGCATATAAAGAAAGTTTGGGGGAAATTAAGTAATTGCTCCACTAGTTTGCCTTATTTTAGAAAGGCTTCTGATGGGGGGCGGGGGGGGAAATGTGGCTATTCATATAGCCAGCCCCTCTGTTTGCCCTTTTTATAGGCAATGACTAAGTACCAATTACTACAAGGCTACAATTGTTGCAACTTTTGCATTAAAGCCCTTAAAACAGTAAAAGCAGTGAAGTGCCCTCATACATGTGCATAATAATGTACCTTGATGCTGTCCTGATCATGCACACAAGGAAGTACCGTGGAAGTAGAGATCAAAAGGTGTATTATGGAACTTTAAACTGAGAAACAGCTTAAAAGCCTCATTTGTATAGTTAAAGGGACACTCCAGAAAAAAACATTACCTTAACAGTTAAGCTACAGCTGGCTACAGCTAATACCCTTTGGCTAAGCACTTTTGGTTGACATTCTTTTATTAATAATATCACTTAAAGCACTAGGTTTTTCTCAGAGTCCTAATTCTCAAAAGAAAAGTAAGGCCATACATCCTACTTTATGAACTAACACTAGCTCATAAAGAAGTTAAAGTAGTTTTGAAAAAAGCCTCAAAAACTTAAAAAATATCTACAGGTAATATTTTTCAGAGTAATGGCAAAGAAGAAGTTACTGTCAAGGTGATAATGGGAGCAATGATAGTAACAAAAAAATGGGCTGATCTCATTGCTGGAACTAGTTCTGAAATGAATAGCAGTGGAAGAGCAATATTTTGTAAAGGAAAGGAGCTTACAATGCAGAAAGAATCACAGACTGCCCTAATATATTAGTTCATTCACATTGTCACTAGACTCCCATTCCCTCCTCATTCCCCTCCCCCTTATATTTGACATCCACATAACAGGTTATCTATCATATAACTCATCTAGCAAATAATTTTTTAAAAAAGAAAGAAATGTATATTCTCTCCAAGTTCTAGTAAGTATGCCAGTTATATTATTATATTCCGTCTTTCCAGTGGAATCATTATCTTACAGTAAAATCAAGCCTTGAACTATTTCTATAAATTTCTATTCTATATCATAGAATAAGAAATCAATAGTAAGAATGGAGAAAAAATTATGTCTTACTGCTTACCCCATGATTGACTCATTGAGGAAGACTGCTATATAGAATTCTGAAAGAATACGGCACCATGTAAGGGAATTTTTTTTTTAATCAGAAGTCAGACTTTTAAAGGAAGATTTAAAAAATCAAAGTCAAAAAAATATTTAGCATAGAAATCTAATGGTATAATATCTAACTAATTTGAATGTAAAAAACAATCATGGCATGATCAAAACAAGGAAAATCTAAAAGATTTAGTGATTTCACTAGGTGTAGCTTGAGGACAGAGAGAGCGCACCTGAGAGCAAGAGCCAGAGACAGAGAGACAGAGACAGAGAGAGAGAGGGAGAGGAGAAAGGAAGAGTGAGAGGAAGGCAGAAGGGAGGAGGGAGGGAGAGACAGAGAGGGGGAGCAGGGGAGAAAGTCAAACAGGAAAGTTCAACAAATTATCTAGATATAGCCTTTATCTAATTCTTATTTCAAATTTTTTTCAATTAATATGCAAGGTAAAAAGAGATAGAAACAGAATTTAAAACATTTGACGGTCTAAAACTGGTGCTTTACACAAACATTAAATTTAATATTACCTGTATGTCAAGCTGGGAGACCTTCTCCTTGCTTTCATTTAATTGACTATTTAATTCATTGACACTAGTTTCTAGGGAAAGGACACGGTCTTGTGCAGCTCTAAGATGTGCCTTCTGCTCTTGTACCTGGTCATGCAAATTCTCCTGGGCTTGTTTATGACTTTCTGACTGATTCTTCAGCTTCTCTGTTAGTTGAGTTACCTGTTATACAAGTAAGACTAATCGTGAAGTTCACAAATGACATAACAAAAATTCAGAAACCTAAATTTAAGAACCATGAGAATATTAAAGTGCTTTATGATAGTTTATCTCAAAATTTTTCAAGTAAAATTATTCACTTGCCAAAATATGTCAACATAGTATCTCAAATACCAAGAAATAACATTAAATTCAAAGACTGATATTACTTTTAAAATTATTGAGCTGTAAGTTATATAAAATTCATTCAATTTAAGTTGTACAATTTGAGATTTGATGAATGCATACACTTATTTAACTAGCCATCACCACAATCAAGATAAAGAACATTTCCATTAGCCCAGAATGTTTCCTCATGCCCTTCTGCAGTCATTCCTCCCATCCCATCTCTAACTCCAGCCAATCACTGATTTGGTTAAGTAATAAGTTTTCTTTATATATTCTGGGCATTTCTGAATTGTCAGATACACATACTGCAAATGTTTTCTCCCATTCTGTGTTACGGCTTTTATTTTCATAATGGTATCTTTTGAAAAGCATACTTTTTTTTAATTTAGATGAAATCCAAGTCATTTGATATTTCTTTGATGTACCTTGCTTTTGAGTTCACCAAGCTTTTTGACCATGTTTTTAACCAAAAATTAAAGTTTTTTCATTTGCATCCATTGAAATTTTAAAAATTAAAATTTTTTCAGCCAGTTTCTATTTTCCTCCTCCCCACCCTTCTGTGACATTAATTGTACTTATGCTAGCTTACATAATACTATCCCATGGGTCACTAAGGTACTGTGTTTTTTTCCCCATCCTTTTTTCCCTCTGTACTTCATTGTGAACAGTTTCAACTGCCTTGTCTTTTACGTTCACTGATATTGCTTTCTACTTGCTTAATCTATTAAGTACATCCAATAAAATTTTCATTTCACGTTATTTTTGTTTTATCTCTAAAAGTTCAATTATTTTTATTTTTTTTTTACCATTTCTGTTTTTTTTTAAGAGACAGGGTCTCACTCCGTCACCCAGGCTGGAGTGCAGTAGCACAGTGATAGCTCACTCCCAGGCTCAAGTGATCCTTTCACTTCAGCCTCTAGAGTAGCTGGGATTACAGGCACAAGTTACTGCACCCAGCCATTTCCACTGCTATCTCCATCATTATAGTTTTTTGTTTCTATCCATAAGCATATTTGAAGAGCTGTTTTAAAGTACTTGTCTGGTGACTCCATCATCTCTTACTTCAGGGTCTGTTCCCACTGAATAATTTCTCTCCTCGTCATGGCTCACATTGTTTCTGTTTCTTCACATGTGTAGTAATCTTTTACTATTTATTGTGACCACTCTCGATTTTGTTGTCTTCTTTCAAAGAATGTTTTGTCCCAGCACATATTTAATATTTTTGTGGTTCTACTGGATCCTTTTAAGGTCTTTTTTACACTTCGTAAGGTCAGGTGTATGGCAGCTTTTACTCTAGGGTTAGTTTAGCCTTACTGCCCTCCTAAGGTATGACATTTCTGATATGTCTACTGAATACTCCAAGTGTTCAACCACATCTTTCTTCTGATTGGCTGGAACCTGAACATCTTCCAGCCCTGTATAAGCACTAGTAATTTTTCAGCCTGTAGCTCCTTGATAGTATTCATTGGCCTCATAGAATCCCACTTTACAAGTACAAAACTTGGCATTGAACAAAGCCTCAAGTGAATTCCTAAGCAGATTTCTGAAGCTTTTTCTCTGTACTGCTCCTTCCTTTCTGGTATCCTACCCTACAAATTCGATCTGCCTTAACCTCCCTGAACTTCAGTCTCTCAATTTAATTTAATATCTCACATCCTCGGTTCAATAAGACCACCAGGCTTTCCTTAGATTCCCCCAAGCGGTGCCACAGTCTGGAAAATGTCTCTGGATCAAAAGTTAGTGTGGTCAAAGAGTTCATGTCACTTGCTTCTCTTCTCTCAGGGATCACAGTCCTGCACTGCCTATTGTCCAATGTCTGAAAACAGTAGTCTTGTACATTTTTTCCACTTTTCTTGGTGTTTATGGTAGAAGGGCTAAATAGGTATTAACTATCCCAATATGGCCAGAAACAGATTTATTTTAATTTATTCTTTAAAATGAATGCAGGGCTTCCTGACCATATTTATATGATAAGCAACATCAAGTTGTATACAACTAAAAACTAACCTAAAGAATTCTTCAAAACTAACTTTGAAATTTGGGGGGAAATCTGTTATATTCTAATTCTAAAATTAGAAAAGTGATATGGCTTTCTGATACTTTGTTTTAAATATTTTCTCATTTAGATAATAACTCTCTTATTACACAATTCTTCCAAAAAAGCAACTGTAAATTCTTTTTTGTTTGAAAATGTATTTATCTAAATTTTATAAACTTTTCCTAAACTACATTTTAATGCTGGAACATTAAGGCAACTTATCAAAATTATTATTGGCTATACATGATGCAAAGACATATACTTTATCAAAATATGTTACTGTTAAGTCTGTATATTAATCAATACACAGTAAAAACTAACACTTGATTAATATCTTCAATTTATGAATACATTTCATTATTCTTTTTTCTAAACATCACAAAATGCCATTAGGCAAGCATGCACTATTAATATTTCTGTTTTTCCAGTGAGCTAATAATGTAAAATGATTTATTCATAGTCACACTAACTTACATCCAGGGACATGAACTGAGAAATTTTCCTTTGTCAAATCATGTTAACTAACTTTCACTACAATAGTAACCTACCTCTTAAGGTACATGAGATGCTATTTGGCAAAAAATATATAACACTTAAAATGTGCTAAAAAGAGCAAGAATGAAGAATCATTTAAATAAAGCACTTAGTAAGACTTAGAGAGACAGAAGTAAATTTTACAAATATAATATATTTTACAAGCTTACTTGCTCCTGTAGTGTATGGTTTTTTTCTTGTAACTGGTTAAGAACAGCAGTCTCTCCTTCACCAGCCTGAATTTTTGCATAAAGATCTTCTCTTTCTTTTTCTAGTAATGAAATATTTTCTTTACTCTTCTGTAATAAAGCTTCAAGGTTCTGGATCTTTTGGTCCTTATCGCCAATTTGACGTAGAACTTGTTCCAAATCATTCTGTAAAGAATTGAAAACTACTACTTTAAGAATAGAGAACTTAAAAAGTTATTCCTCAAACATAAAATGACTAATAATAAATTCTATCACTCAAATACTCAGTCTTACATTTTTTAAAACTATTACATTTCAATATGGTAAATTTAGTTAAGTACTTAGAACTATATATTTAATAATATAAATCTATATCATTATAAGCTAGAATTTAACAAAAAACTCTCACTTAACCACGTTTTTTTTCTAACACTCTAATATGACCTCCTGCTACTACTCTTTTTCTGACCCTGATTTCAGACACATGAGACTCAATCTCATACTAGGCACACTCCCACTTCAAAGCCTTAGTGTACCAACTGTTCCTTTTGCCTGGAACTCTTCCCCCACAGAGTCATATAGTTTACTCCCCGTTCAACTGTTTGTTCAAACATCACCTTCTTAATTAGGACTACTCTGACCATTCCATTTAAAATTTCAGCCTTTCCCAATATTCCCTATCTTGGTTATCATTTTCTTTCCATAGCGCTTACTTTCCAACACACTAAATAATTTGCTTACATTGTCATGCTTATCTGCCTCACTCCAACCACCCCCCATTAAAATGTATACTCTAAAAAGGATTTTTGTGTCTCAGTCATTGATATATCCAAGATATCTGACACATGTTCTAAAAAAGTCACTGAATGAATAGAAAAATAAATGATTCCACTCTAAATCACATATACCCGCAGGCTCACTTCAATACCCCAAAAGAACTCTTCCATCGATATAGCAAGAGATCCCTCTTCTTTTACTTTCACACCACTCTGCTGACACAGACCCAGCAACCATGTGGTACTCTCATGATTTGTGCCAATATTAAAATATTTGAGATCAGTCACTTTCAAGCATACTTCTCATCCTTCTAAGCTTTGGTCAAATGACAAAAGGCAACCAAACCTCTCTGCCTCTCAGTCTCTGTTCCTGCCACCGATAGATAACTCCTCTCTCTACATTCCACTAATCTGGAATCAGAATTCCAGGCCTAAGCTTCTTTCCATAAAAGTCACTCTGAGGGAGGGGAACATCACACACCGGAGCCTGTTGGGGGTTGGGGGCAAGGAGAGGGAGAGCATTAGAGCAAATACCTAATGCATGCGGGGCTTAAAACCTAGACGACAGGTTGATGGATGCAGAAAACCACCATGGTACATGTGTAACTATGTAACAAACCTGCTCATTCTGCACAAGTATCCCAGAGCTTAAAGTATATATATATATATATATACACACACACACACATATATATATGTAAAGTCACACTGTTTTCAAACCTTAACTGAAATTTGATTCTCCCTTTACAGATGCCAATTCTCCCTCACCCCTCACCCTGCCCTGGTCGGTAATGTCTATTCCACTGGGCAAGTAGAGGAGGGTTACCTTTTCCTGGTATTTCACTGCCATTACTCTCTCTCTCATGTGAAAGCTTCGTGCTGCTCTGGGGAGTATGCCATTTACTTATTCTACTCTCTACTTTTTGTTGCTATCATCTATTAAATCCCTACCTCATTCACTGAAGACTTGAGACCTGATTTAGTCTTTCTCTCAATCCCAATTTCTGCCAATTTCCTGGGAAATACAAAATACATAGATAATTAAGAGCATAGCCTCAACATTTATATCATCTTAATTACTGGACCTTTACTCATTCCACATTTCACCCCCTCATATAGGATTTGTAACCACCTGAAATTCTTCCAGCTAGAAATTTCTAACTATCCTACTGTATGACCACAACTTACTGCCTTCCAATTTAATGACCTAATTTCTGTTATTCAATGTCAGAGACGTCAATTTCCTTCTAACGTATTCAGCATATGCCTAGCTTTTCTTCCTGAACTTCCTGTGTAGATACGAACTAACCTTAACTATTCTTTCAACCACATTGTCCATTTCCTTTCACCCAAAAATTTCCAAAAGCCACTCCCAAAATAGCCCAATTCTCCATTCCTTTACTTCTAAGCACTGTAAAATCACAAAGTAAAATCACAAAGCTCCATAGATCGACGCTACTACAAATTTCTGGTTCCGGTTTCAACCTCCATCACAGTATATACTCAGAATTATCTTGTCAATCTTTTTATTTGAATGAGGTCCTCACCCTCAAACATTCCCCTCAATAACGACTTAAAAGATTCCATATTATCTCTACATTCTCAATCTCTGCTTGCCTGATTTTCAGCTCTTACTATCTCCAACTTTATCAAGAAACATGAGATTTTCAGGAATGATCAATCTTTATTTTCCAAAAATAATTTTATATAAAATTATATATGTATATATAATTACATACACATATAATTAATTAGAACCATGTTTAATAATATAAATCTATATTATTATAAACTCGAATTTAACAAAAAAACCTTCAATTAACCACATTCTTTTTCTAATGCTCTAAACTCATCTCCTACTACTCTTCTTCTGATCCATGAGACATATATATATATACATATAACTACATATACATATAATTATATATATAGATATATGGAGCTATGTATATATACCCCACTCCATATTTTCCTCCTTTCCTCAAGCTTCAGTGGATGAGTTCCATTTCACCCTCCCCCATTGTATCCGTTACCTCGTAGCTTCTTAACAATACCTTATTCCCTCAGTTGCCTCTCCCCCAATATCCTTAATAACTCCCTCCCTATGAATCCCTTTGTCCTAGACTACAGACATGTCCAGGTCTCTCGTATTCTCAAAAACATTCCCCATGACACATCCCTCTCCAGTTTCTGTCCAGTGTTTAAACAATTCACATTTACATTTCAAAAATAATTTATATTTACATTCCTAATTCCCTCATCTCTCATTTACTCATTAATCGACAATCAGATTTTCATCTCTATTACTTTACTGAAATTATGTTTAGCAACATTATCAATTTACTTCTTAATTGCTTACTCTAATTGGTATTTTTCATTTATCATACTGAGCATCGCCACCACACAAACCCACATTTGAAGGTGCTGATTACCCCCAACTTTCGACCCTTCCTATTCCTTTGGCTTCCATCTGCAGGTTATTCTTAATTACTCTGATCATTCTCACTCTTCCTTGGGCTGCTCTTCTTCTACCCAGTCATCACTTAAGGGGTGGTGTTTCTCAGAAGTCTTATGTAACCAATTACCTATTTTTCTCACTATGCTCTCTCTTCTGGCTGATCACATCTACTCTAATAATTCCATTTACTTCATATATTCTGATGTCTCTCTCGGTTAACATATATAGCACGATTCCCTCCTCCGAGCTTTAAATTAATATTAAATATATCGCGCTGGTGCCTCAAGACACATCCTAAACTGAACACACCACATTCCCCTATGAGATGGCCATTTGTCTCACATTCACTAACACAGCTGATGACACCTCCACTTACCATGCATCCACCGCTACCAACCTGGAAGTCATTCCCCTTCTCCCTCATCCCTTTTATCTATTAAGTCAACCAGTGCTGTTTATTTATTTTACCTCCTAAGTATTTCTCACATTTGTCTGTATGACTTCAACAACTGCTTGAACTAAGACCATTATTATTTTTCATCTGAACTGCTGCATATATTAGTCTTTTAACTCATTTCATTCCAGAATATTCCCACCCAAATCCATCTTTCACACATCGACAAGAATATTCTATTTAAAAAGCAAATCTGACTATGGCAATTCTTTCTTAAGACCTTCAATACCTTTCCATCTTCAAAATCTTTCCATCTTGAAATATAAATGTCATGTGAGATCTGCTATAAACTTACCCATATCTAATGCTCTGACTTCTTTAAGTAATCTCTAACTTACACTTTAAGGTCCAGCAAAACCTAAGAGTTTAGTTCACACTAGCTTCAGTATCCTTTATCCTTGTAACTTCTATCTGGAGTAAACTTCTCACTACCACCATCTTTGCACCCCAGAAATATCTACTCATCCTTTGTGCTCAGATTGTCACTTTTAAAAAGTTTTCCATGGCTGCTCCTTTCCAGACTCTGTTTGGTTTAGGTAACTATTCTCTATGCTACCATAACAATTTTATATACAGATACACACCTAGAACTAGACTCATTACATCTGTTAGTTGTGAGGACTTTTCATGTTTCCATAATGAGGGACTTTGCCTGGCCCCTCTTTCATCCTTTCTGTATTCCTCCCCAGGGAATAAGAATTTAAACTTATTGGAAAGTGCAGAATAAGAAACAAATAACCATGTTCAACTGAGTCCCTGCTGTTCCCTCAGTTTGAGAGACAACCTGTCTGCAAAAGGGTGAAAGGCTGCCATTTCTAGCTTTGTGGCTAAATTAATAAAGTTAATTCTGGGTACAGTGTAAGAAAGCCCACTTGGCTGCTGACTTATACCAAATTCTTCACACTTGCTTTACTATTGACATTTCTTCCTTGACCTTTACAATAAAGCTCCTAGAGTTATCTATATTCACTCTATCAAACTTTTTTCTTCCCATTCTCTCTTGAACCCCCTCCAATCAGGCTTTTGTCTCACTTCTTTATGCAAATCACCCTAATCAAGGTCATCAATGACCTCCATATTGCCAAATCCAGTGGGATTCTCCATCTTCATTTTGTCTGGTCTCCATCCTTCCAAATGCCCAGACTAAAATCCTTGGAGTCACCCTTGAGTTCTCTCTCAATACTCTACAATAAATCAGTCAGCTTTACCTTTAAAGCATAACTAGAATCTGACTTCTCACTACCACTCTAATCCAAGCTACATCATTTCTTGTCTGGATTATTGTAGTAGCCTTTTAGCTAATTTCTATGCTTCTACTTATGTACCTATACAGTCTACTCTCAACACATCAGCCAGAATAATTCTGTGAAATCATAAGTCAAATCATTTCACCGCTTTGCTCAGAACCCTCCAGTGGTTTTTCAACTTAACTCAAAGTAAAATAAAGTCCTTAAAATTACCTATGAGGAACTGGAGGTTCTGATCTCCTGTGAGCTCTATGACCTGCCCTTTTTAACTCTTCTAACACTCTCCCATCCAGCCCTGACTTCCCGTTATTCTTGAGACATGCTCCTGCCTCTGGACCATTTAACATACTAATGTTCTTCTCTCTGAATCACAGGCTCCTCCTTCCTTCAGGTCTTTCATCTTTTCAAAGAGGCCTAACACTGCAGTCCCAACTCTGGCCTCCCCAAAACACTTCCAACTCCCCATCCCTCCTTCCTTCATCTTTATAGCACTTATCACCATTTAACATGCTATATGTTTTGCCTATTTACCTTGATTATCCTTGCCTCTCTCACTAAGCTCCATGAGAGCAGATATTTTTGTCTGTTTTGTTCACTGCTATGTTCACAAAATCAGTTCCTTGGCTGAGACTAGAAGTTAATAAATGTTTTTTGACTAACTGAATAAAGAACAAATAAATGAATCCAGTATTTTGATCTCTATCCATCTGACTCCCATGCCACTCTCCAAACTCAGAAGAGAAGGGCATATTATTTATTGCCTCCCTCAAACTGCAATATTGTTTCTACATATATATCATTAGATTGCCATCTCCTAGAGGGCAAGCACTCTGTCTAGTCACAGTGCTGAGCACAGTGATTAATGAAAGAATGAATTAAAGCCGGGTGCAGTGGCTCATGCCTGTAATCCCAGCACTTTGGGAGGATGAGGCAGGCGGAGCATGAGGTCGGGAGGACGAGGCAGGCGGAGCATGAGGTCAGGAGATCGAGACCATCCTGGCTAACACGGTGAAACCCCATCTCTACTAAAAACACAAAAAATTAGCCGGGCACGGTGGCGGACGCCTGTAGTCCCAGCTACTACCCGGGAGGCTGAGGCAGGAGAATGGTGTGAACCCAGGAGGCGGAGCTTGCAGTGAGCCGAGATAGCGCCACTGCACTCCAGCTCCAGCCTGGGCGAAAGAGCAACACTCCGTCTCAAAAAAAAAAAAAAGAATGAATTAAAAAATATCAAAGTCAAATTCACTTCAGCATTTGGGCAACCTCCCCTTACCATAACAAAATGAAAACTTCTTTCAATATTCTAAGGTATGCTGCAGACTTTGTATAAATTTAACCCAAACAATTATATTTTCTACACCTACAATTCCAGTGTTCAGATTATGGTTATAAAGCAGGAAAAGAAATGACCAACAAATACTAAGTTCTACTGAAGGAAATACAAAATATTCTTCTTTACTGGGCTAATGATGCCAGAAAATTTTATTTGAACATTTTTCATTTTCCAAATACTGTATTTTAGTCAATAATAAACAATAATGAATAAATTATTTATAAGTAATTTAAATAAATGTATTTAACTAAACTGATTTAATAGATAAATCTAATAAATTTAAGTAAATTAATATATAAAATATAATAAATACATAATAAATTAGTTTATAATAAATATTTTACATTATGTTGGAAAAACTTTTCAACATAGTAATCAAAAGAAAAATAATTTTCTGATTATCCAGACTTCAAAGTTATCAAAATCCCTCACAATCAAGTATTTTGTACTTTCTAGTTTTACCACAACAAAAGGATAATGATTTGGATTAATTAATTTTATTTTTTCTCTTATATTCTATGTAATGGTAATTAATTTGTGTTTACAAGGCTAATAACGCAACTAATGTTTACCTGAGCTTCTCGAAGTTTTGCCGTGGTGCTTTGCTGAAGAGCCTGTTGTTCTTGATGCTGTTGCTTTGTTTTATCTAATTGATGCTGCAATTCTGTAGAATTTGTAACTTTTTCCTTCAACTTAAAAAAATGTAGATTGTCAATTGAGAACTTAAAGGCATAATGCTATCATTCATAAGTATCTGGCATTACTTCAATTCTCAAGTCTGAACAGAACAAAAAATTCAGGAATATATAAGATAAACTTTAAAAGTGGTACCTTGGCTGGGCACAGTGGCTCATGCCTGTAATCCCAGCACTTTGGGAGGCCAAGATGGGCGAATCACAAGGTCAGGAGTTCGAAACCAGCCTGGCCAATATGGTGAAACCCTGTCTCTACTAAAAAAAAAAAATACAAAAATTAGCCGGGCATGGTGGCAGATGCCTGTAGTCCCAGCTACTCAGGAGGCTGAGGCAGGAGAATCACTTGAACCTGAAAGGCAGAGGTCGCAGTGAGCCGAGATTGCGCCACTGCACTCCAGCCTGGGTGACAGAAAGAGACTCCGTCTCAAAAAAAAAAAAAAAAAGAAAAGAAAAAAAGCAGTACCTCATTACTTACAGAATCTTAATCTCATGTTAAAGAAAGTATTTTCTATAAATAGGCTTATCCTAAAAAAACTTTCTCCAGGCTGGCATTTAGTTTATTATTTTTTTGTAAACTAGTATGATCAAGGAATTAATTACATATAAATTATTTTTAACAATAATTTAAACCACATATCAGTATTTCTTTTATTTTTTTCCTTAATAGTCATAATTATCACTTATTGGAAAAGAATAGGATCATCTACCACATCTAAGATTTTAGGTCTAGAAGAAAATCTATTGCTGAAGCTACAGATTTTATCGTAGAATATGTGTTTAATTCTGGCCAGTTGTGGTGGCTCACACCCGTAATCCCAGCACTTTGGGAGGCCGAGGCAGGCAAATCACTTGAGGTCAGGAGTTCAAGACCAGCCTGGCCAACATGGTAAAACCCTGTCTCTACCAAAAAATATAAATATTAGCTGGGCGTAGTGGCGCACATCTGTAGTCCCTACTGGGGAGACTGAGGTGGGATAATTGCTTGAACCCAGGAGGCGGACGTTGCAGTGAGCCGAGATCAAGCCATTACACTCCAGCCAGGGTGACAGAGTGAGACCCTGTCTCAAAAACAAATAAAATTAAATTAAAAATTAAAAACTTAAAAATAAAAAAGTGTGTTTAATTGCAATAAAGATGCAATTTAATAACTTTTACTTTATATTACAGGCATCATTTATGGCAACTGCAAGTCTAATGAGGGACAGCATTCAAATATATGCTTAATTTTTAAAAGCAAAAATCTTTAAATGGAAACTCAAAGTTTATATATACCAACTACATGTCATTAACGATCTTTACCAACAATTCATAGTTTACTGTTTCATTAGGAAGTAGTCCTTCCTGAGTAGGAAGACTCTAGCAGCCTGATGGGTTCACCCCCAGAATTTTTCCTGCCTAAACCTGAAAGAGTAGTTTTCCTTGTGCATTTCTGTTGAGAACTTTAGGGAATACAATTACAACAAAATGACTTAATGTAGTTAATAAGCAAGATGTTGCTATTGGAGAGCAATAAATTTGCACTTTAAAAAGTCCAATTAAAGCTTTGACAATTAACAGATTGATGAATCATAATCATGTTAAAGATGCCTCAAGCCTATCAATAAATTGAAAATGCTAGCTTACCTGCTCTTCTAACCGAGAAAGTTTGAGTTGTAAATCAGCCACTTGTTGTTCTTTATCCATCAACTTTTCACTTGAAAGCTGTCTCTGTTCCTTCAGCCTACCATGAGCTTCCCCTAGTTGGCGCTCTGTCTCCAGAAGTTTGCTATGTAACTTTAAAAAAAGAAAAAAAAATGTATGTACATATGTACAAACACACACACAGCACCACCTACTTTCCAAACAATGTTTTACTTTTCACCAAAATAAGTACAATATCTTAATTTTCGTGATACTTTGGGGAAACCTAAGATTTTATACAGTAATTTTAACTGCAACTGAATTTTAATCATATATTATAATGAATCACATAAAATTATCGTTAAACATCACAATTTTTGTTTTTGTGTTATGTTACTGCTCTCTTAAAACAAATGCAGGTTCTTGTTTGGATATAAGTGTTGGAACTTTCAGGAACTTAAAAGAATAAAATACAACTTAAAAATTAAGACACTTAGTACACACTCAGATCTATTTTACAGTATTGTTTAAAGTTCCACAGTGATTCTTGTTGGTTTTCCATAGCCAAGAACTACTACAGTTAACTTTTTACATTTGGGTATTGGATAGTGCCCAGTGCATTCCCAAGTCCTCATACTGGCACATAATTTCTAAATAAAATACAGGAAATGATCATATATATAGATATATATATGTGTACATATATATATCATATATATATATATATGGTGACCCTCATTCATTAACTTTACAAATGCCACCCAATTAAAACTAAGGGAGTTAAGAACCATCACGAGTAGTCCACCCTGTTATACATACCCTATCCTAACAGCAAATCAGTGTTCCTTCCTACCTCTTACAACACTTTCCTGCCACTAGTTCGCTCTCACTAATCCCTCTGGCTGTGAGACACATCTGCTTTCGAACTGCCACCTGTCAAAACCTATCCGATATTCCCAATTCCAAGTACCACCTCCTCTCTCTAACACAAAGATTTCCTGATCACATAAATGGATTAAAAATTACAACAGCTGAAGTACTAAGAGGGGGAACAAAAGAAAGAAACTCTTCCAATTTCCCATAATATACAGAATCCTTTTATTATAATTCTCATAATCTTTGGTATGATAGATAGTACTTGCCTTATCCTCTCCATGATATTTACACAATTATTAAAGGTAGGTACTGTCTCTTACTCATTTATGTATCCCCTAGTAAATGAGGGATGTGTCTTTTAGAAAGCATAAACGCAGCCAGGCACAGTGGCTCAGGCCTGTAATCCCAGCTACTCAGGAGGCTGTGGCAGGAGAATCGCTTGAACCCGGGCGGCAGAGGTTGCAGTGAGCTGAAATCTCGCCACTGCACTCCAGCCTAGGCAACAAAGTGAGATTCCATCTCAAAAGAAAAGAAAAAGAAAAAAAGAAAGCATAAATGCTAAATTTGTTTATCTGAACTAAAACTCAAATATGTAAGTTAGTTTAAGTTATTCATTGATATCCCCATGGCTCAGTTTCCTTCCACTATGAATGCTTATATTTATTCATTCATTCACTCACTAAAACATAGGCAGATTAACAAGCAAAATGCTGGCTGGGCGCGGTGGCTCATGCCTGTAATCCTAGCACTTTGGGAGGCTGAGGAGGGTGGACTGTCTGAGCTCAAGAGTTCGAGACCAGCCTGGGCAACATGGTGAAACCCCATATCTACTGAAATACAGAAAGTCAGTCAGGTGTGGTAGCATGTGCCTGAAGTCCCGGCTACTCAGGAGGCTGAGGCACGAGAATTGCTTGGACCCGGAAAATGGAGGTTGCAATGAGCCGAGATCATGCCACTGCACTCCAGCCTGGGTGACAAAGTGAAACTCTGTCTTAAAAAAAAAAAAAAAAAACAAAAAACAAGCCAAATGCCAGGCAGTAAAAATAAAAAATGAGTAAGAGATGGTCTTTGCACCCGAAGAGTTCAGAGTCTATTAAAGAAAGACATAAATTATGATAATAAACTATATTATGGTATAAGTAAAATATTAAAGATATGTACATGCTTAAGCTATCTTGGGTGTGGGGAAGCAGTGGCATGTTTAGAAAGGATTTTTAGGGAGAGTGTGGGGGGGGCGGGTGAGGGTTGAAAAATTACCTGTTGGGTACAATGGTTACTATACGGGCAATGGGTACACTAACAGTCCAGACTTCAACATTACACAACACATACATGCAAGAAATCTGCACTTTTACCCCCTAAATATATTTTTTAAATTTTTTCAAATATTTAACTTTTATTTTAGGTTCAGGGATACATGTGCAGGTTTGTTATATAGGTAAATTACGTGTCACAGGGGTTTGGTGTACAGATTATTTCATTACCTAGGTAATAAACATAGTACCCAATAGGCAGTTTTTCGATCCTCACCCTCCTCCCACCTTCCACCCTCAAGCAGGTCTGGCTGTCTGTTGTTCCCTTCTTTGTGTCCATATGTATTTAATATTTAGCTCCCACTTTTAAGTGAGAACATGTGGTATTTGATTTTCTGTTCCTATATTAGCTCGCTTAGGACAATGGCCTCCAGCTCCATCCACATTGCTATAAGGAGCATGATCTTGTTCCCTAAAAAAAAAAATTATAAAAAGTGACAAGTGAAGTAAATAGTATCTATCAAGGTGAAGAGGAATAAAAAGAATATTTCAGGTCAAGAAGACAGACTGAATGATACAACAAAAGCAAGACACAGCACACATGTAGGAAAAAACTAAAGACACTTCCATATTCTTGCAGTGAAGAATAAGGAAAAGAAGGGTAAATTGCTGAGGAGGTGAGCCAACAAGATCACTATGGATAGTGCATGTCATAACAAGGGACCTCAACTTAATCCATTAGGCCATAAAGAGTTATTAATGGGCTTAAAGCATGGTTGGAACATGGTAAGATTTGCCTTTAATATAGATTACTCTGATGCCTATATAAAGAATCAATTTGTCAGGGGCAAGAAGGAAGGCAGATCAGTTAACGGTTGTTACAGTGGTTTAAGAGTGAGACAAGGAGGACAGGGCCAGCAGAAGCAGGGAAGGAGAAGACATGTTACAGAAATATTCTTAATTCTTCTGATTCACTGTATCATGGAACTCACAGTCCAAACTCAAAAATTAGTATTAGCATATGTGAAGTGCTTACTCTAATTTCTGAAACATAACTGAAGCTCATTAAATTACTAACATAATCATGATTATTATTATTACTAAAGGATAGAAAGCCATGAAAATTATTAATTATAGTAAAATAAAGTATCACTGCCATTTTAGAAAAACAGCTGAACATTATCAAAAAAGTAGCTGAGACCTGAATATCCCCCAATTTCCATTTTCAACCAATTTTCAATGTTACCTAAAGCAATAATTAGAACACAGGTATTAAAAAATTAAGTTAATGGCAAAGTCAAAACTTGCATTAAACTTCATCTGATAGCCACTATATTATTAACCTATACAAAATATTTTTGCCTTTAAGCTAGATTTACCTACACAAAATACTTTTGTGTAGGTAAATAATGTAGTTCAAAATATGAGCTATATAGGTAAATAATATATGAATTGTATATAATATATGATATGAATAATATATGAATTATATATCAATATCATGATATGAATATCATGATATATTGTGTGTATATATACTATATATATAAAATATATATTTCATAAATATATAAATATATAATATATATTTCATAAATATATAAATATATAATATATAGTTCATATATATATAATTCATATATTATTTACCTATACAAAATAGCCACAGCATTAGGGCTGATTCACTTTCTACAAAATATCTAATTTTTATTTATTTTCAAAAAAGTTTTCCCTAAAACACATAATTTTTTAAAAATATCCAATTTGGCCGGGCGCGGTGGCTCACGCCTGTAATCCCAGCACTTTGGGAGGCCGAGGCGGGTGGATCATGAGGTCAGGAGATCGAGACCATCCTGGCTAACAAGGTGAAACCCCGTCTCTACTAAAAATACAAAAAAAATTAGCCGGGCGCGGTGGCGGGCGCCTGTAGTCCCAGCTACTCGGGAGGCTGAGGCAGGAGAATGGCGTGAACCCGGGAAGCGGAGCTTGCAGTGAGCCGAGATTGCGCCACTGCAGTCCGCAGTCCGGCCTGGGCGACAGAGCAAGACTCCGTCTCAAAAAAAAAAAAAAAAAAATATCCAATTTGTATGCTATTTGTTTTATAATAATGATGCTTTTAAAATTTAGTAACAAAAAAATTTCAAATGAAAGAATGGTCAACAATTCAAATTAATTATAATAGCTAAAATCTAGTGAGTACCTACACGCCCCAGGTACCATCCTAAGCAATTTATAGTATCAATTCATAAACATTTCCCCACAAAGCTGTAAGATGGATATTATAATTTTTTTAAGGGAAACTGAAATTAAAAGAAATGAGATCTGACAACACTACAGGATATAAAAGTTAAGAGTTAATCTTTTAAAATGACAATATTTTTTCAACATGAACTATATTATGATCAAATAACCATCAAGTACACGAAGAAGAAACCAGAGGGAGAATTACAATAAATAAAATTAACAGCTCTTACTTGATTAATTTCACTTTGGAGTTGTAACCCATGCTGCTCCTTTTCTTCTCTCTGTTGTTGTAGCTGCTTAAACTCCGCCTTTAGATGCTGGTACTTGGTCTCTACCTCAGATAATTCTTCTTTGAGCTTTTGAGTAGCTTCTCCTTTTTCACTTAGTTCTACATGTATTCTATGCAGTGAGGTTTCAGATGCAGACAATCTTGACTGAAGCTGTTGACAATCTAGGTCTTTTTGATGAAGGGTTGCCTGAATATTCTTTTTACTCACAGATTCTTCATTATGTTTCTCCTCTAACTTAGTATAGTCTTGTTCTTTTTTCAGCAAGTTTTCTGTCAAGGTCTAAAATATCAATTTAACAATTTATTTCCTTTTCTAATATTTTTAATTACTCCAATTACTCAAACAATCTTTGGAGCAGTACTGTCTCCTATTATACATTTTAGTCAATATTAAAATATAAAACAGTGACAATGTTCTAGTCAAGAATTAAATCATTACATACTAACTTGTGATTTCACTATTGGTCCACTTAACTAAAATCTACTAATACAACTTAAGAATTGCCAAGCAAATGTTGACATAAAAAAAAAATAAAATCTACTGGATTTTTTAGGTTATGTGACATATTTATATTCTTCCACTTGAGTTAAAAACTGAAACTACCATTCTACCAACAAATTATTTTGAGTAACAATATACTATGCAAACTTTGATTTTTCACTGTGCAATTTCATAGTTGGTAAGAGCTTTAGCACAGCAATATCATCCACTGTTCTAATGCACCTAACCTATTGATTGCATCTTTTTATGCTCTTCTTGTTAAAGACCAAGTTTTGGAGTCACAAGCTAAGACTAATTCAAATTTTTTTCTAGGTGTATTAAAAAATGATCTAAAGCTAATCACCTGCCTTAAATTTTGTCATTTTTCAATGCTATCAAGTATAAAACACAAAAATAACACTTCTAATCAAAGACCTGGATCAACCAACCTAATCTAATGTCAAAGCCTGGTCTCAGTGGGGTTGTAAAAATTAACACTAAACATTTTAAGTAAACATATTTAAGCAAAAAACATGGATCAGAATTTTAACTAAATTCTGTAAGACATCCAGCCAGGATAAGAAGCTACTGTAAGTACCTGGTGAGTCAGTTAGTGGACCTTTAGTGTACAAACTTACATGCAGTGTGCTGGAAGGGGATGACACTGAAATAGGAAAGAACAATCAAAGCCTTCATGCTTTAAACAAAATATACTCTAAATGAAATACACACAACTAAACAAACAACAACCACAAAAACCTTCTAAGAAAGTTAAAACATAATGCATGAGTCAGAATGGGTTAATAGAAAAGTGTGTCAAATTTCTTAAGGCACAATTTTTTTAAAAAATGAGCAAAGTCAAGGGGAGCTAGCTAGTTAAGATCATCTAAATACAATGAAGTTTGAGCCTGGTTTTAAAAGCAATGGGAAAAATCATGGAATACATACATATGATACATGCCATCTGCTCTATATAAATGTATAAGACATGAAGGAAAAGGCAAACAAGTTTCAGGTGGGGTGACAGCAAAACCCTATTATTTCACAGGGGATAATAGATCTTTATTGCTGCGTTCCCCAACATGGGAAACGCAGCAATAAAGGTTCTTGAATATTTGTCTAAGAAAAAGTAAGCTAATGTTACTTATCAAACAGAAATATACTATGGAAAAGCAGTGTCCAGAGAGATGATAAAAGTATGTATAAGAGAGGCCAGGTGCAGCAGCTCACACCTGTAATCCCAGCACTCTGTGAGGCTGAGACAGAAAGATTACTTGAGGTCAGGAGTTAAAGACCAGCCTGGGCAATATAGCAAGACTCTATCTCTACCAAAAGAAAAACAAATTAGCCAGGCATGGCGGTATGCACCTATAGACCTAGCTACCCGAGAGGCTAAAGCAGGAGGCATGCTTGGGCCCAAGAGTTTAAGGCTGCAGTGAACTAAGATCACGCCACTGCACTCCAGCCTGGGCAACAAGGGCAAGACCCTGTCACTAAAAAAAAAAAAAAAAAAAAAAAGAGTACTTATAAGAGAGGATGACAGACAGACTTAAAAGTAAGAAGAGCAACCATTAAGTTTACAGCAAAATTAGCTACAAGATGTGTGCTTTGACTAAGCAACAAAAACAGAAAAAAAGACATAGAGCCAAGAAAATCACAGAACAAAAATAATACTTCTGATTCAACTATGTTAGAAAAATTATCTTTTTATAAACATTTCTTTGTAATTCCAAATTTTTCTTGACATAATTCTACATTTGTTTTGTTTAGGAAAACATTTGTTTTAGAATTTGTAAGCAAATTATTCATTAATCTATAAATCATCTTTTTTTTTTCTTTTTCTTTTTTGAGACAGTCTCACTCTGTCGCCCAGACTGGAGTGCAGTGGCGCGATCTCAGCTAACTCCAAGCTCCGCCTCTCGGGGTTCACGCCATTCTCCTGCCTCAGCCTCCCCAGCAGCTGGGATTACAGGCTCCCGCCACCATGCCCAGCTAATTTTCTTGTATTTTTAGTAGAGACGGGGTTTCACCATGTTAGCCAGGATGGTCTCGATCTCCTGACCTCATGATCCGCCCACCTCGGCCTCCCAAAGTGCTGGGATTATAGGCCTGAGCCACCGCGCCTGGCCAGCTATAAATCATCTTTTGTAAAGAGAATTCTAAGTTACTGAATTTCATAAATGCAACCATGTTCACATACACTGAGAACTTGGATGGAACATACCTTTTAAAATATGCTACAAAAATTAAGGCATATAATGAGTTAGAGTCTTCTTCCCCACAGACTTACTTAGAAAGTAACCAACTAATCCCACCTTTCTATATACACCCTTGAGATAGTTTCACTCCTTTTTTTTTTTTTTTTTTTTTTTTTTTTTGAGATGGAGTCTCGCTCTGTCGCCCAGGTGGGAGTGCAGTGGCACAATATTGGCTCACTGCAAGCTCCACCTCCCGGGTTCACACCATTCTCTTGCCTCAGCCTCCCAAGTAGCTAAGACTACAGGCGCCCGCCACCATGCCCAGCTAATTTTTTGTATTTTTAGTAGAGACAGGGTTTCACCATGTTGGCCAAGCTGGTCTCGATCTCCTGACCTTGTGATCTGCCCGCCTTGGCCTACCAAAGTGCTGGGATTACAGACATGAGCCACCGCGCCCGGCTGATAGTTTCACTCTTTAAAAGGCAAAAAACATATGGTAACAACTAGGGACTGTTTAAAATTGCCTTGTCCCAAAAAAATTAACCAAAATCTACCAGCATTATTACAAACATGAAAGAGAATTAAATTTTCTTTAAAAGTACCGAAACCACTTTCTTTCTTTTTAAAAGAATCTAATCCACTCACACTTTGTAATTTTTACAGGCAAAAGACTAACTATATTTTATTATTAAAACTTTTCATTTTTATTATGGTCTTCCCATGGAATCTGAAGCAAAATATTATAGTGAATACATGGTTTTTGAAGAGTGACTTTTTAAACTATAGTGAAATTCATTAAAAAATAATAAGAGCATTTTCACTTCTCCATATTAATCTTTACAACAAAATATGAGATAGAGATTTACAGATGAGGAAGGTGAAGTTGACAGAGCCTGATATGATTGGTCAAATGGTAGAATCATGGATTATGATTCTAAATCCAATAAATTTTTCATAACACAATTGAGACATTCAATAAATCAATTTGTACTCCCTAAAATATATCCTATTCAAATTTAAATTATAAAATGCATGTTAATCCTATGTTATAACCTAATTATCATTTGAGTAAGCAAAATTCTTCCCTTCCAAGTATCCAGTCCCTTTTTATTTTCTCACCAATTGTTATCTCAATATATATTCTTACAGCGACAATTTCCCTATATTACGCTCCATTTTTCATTTGTTACTTGTTCAGATAATGAAATGAATATAAAAAGAGTGCCATGTTTTAATGCTTCATAGCTTACAAAGTTATTTCAGAGATCTCATCTCACTTGTTCCTCAGAATAGCTTGGTGAGAATGAACAAATTAAACTACTTTGTAGCTCGCCAACGTCTCTTATTTTATGAGATACATATGCTCTTACATTGTTCTATGCCTTTTGTACACCTAGCTCTCAAAATGAAATGTCTTAACCCCTCTGCCATATGAAATGCTCCTTAGCAACCTTAAAGACTCAGCTAAAAAGTTATGTTTTATACAAAAGCCTTTTACTGCCTAATTTACTAGGCAGTAAATTAGGAAAACTCTCACCTTGGTCTTGACCCAATCCTGTATCACAACACTTAACAATTAAAAACAACAACCAGCCGGGTGCAGTGGCTCACATCTGTAATCCCAGCACTTTGGGAGGCCGAGGCGGGCAGATCACAAGGTCAGGAGTTTGAGGCCAGCCTGACCCACATGGTGAAACCCCGTCTCTACTAAAAATACAAAAATTAGCCAGGCGTGGTGGTGCGTACCTGTAATCCCAGTTACTCAGGAGGCTGAGGCAAGAGAATCACTTGAACTCGGGAGATGGAGGTTGCAGTGAGCTGAGATCGCACCACTGCACTCCAGCCTATGTGAAAAAGTGAGACTCTGTCTCATTTAAAAAAAAAAAAAAAAAACCAACAACAACCCACATTCACTAAGGTGCTTACTAAAAGTCAATAAGCACTTTTATTATTTTATTAATTTATGTAATGTTCCTATTAATCCTAAGAGGTAAGTGGGTATAATAATATTTCTTAGCAGGAGAGTAAACAGACTCTCAGAGGCTTAGTGTCACAGCCAGTAAGTGGCAAAGCTGAGATTTAAGAATGCCTGTGACTACTGCACTATACTGTTCTTATCAATATACCACTTTGCAATGCAGTGGTAATACAAGCGATATAATAACTACTGGCCAAATGTGGCTCCCACTTTGGCATGTGAGCGTCTTAGAACTGGGACTGGTGAAAAAGGAGAGCAATGGAGAAAAGCGATGAAGGATGAGACCCAAAAAAATCTCTGTCTCTTCCAATGACCTATATTATATTGTAGTGACTGTAGATAAGCAATATAATTTTGTTTAGAATTTATAAGGAAACAGTTAATTGAGCTGTTTAAATGTCAGAAGTTATTTTTGTTAAAAACTAGGAAGAAAGTTTCTTCAATTTTTCCATTATGTTTTTAAGTTTTCAAGGCTAGTAATTATAAAACACTGGTTTAAACCTGAAAACCTTGACATTAACACAAAAGCAATTATCTTTTCCATCCATTATATATTACAATGTTACCTATCCACGTTGATACTACCTGTGACCCACAAAAGCTGCCCAGGACATTTCATGTAATAGCCTTCAAATGACCAAGTAAAGAGATTCCAAATTCAAAGCACTTGAAAATCACCACTGTCAATAATTATGGTTTACCAAAGACATGGGGTAAGGAGGGGTGAGAGAAGTAGATAGTGAGGATAATAAGAAAAGGCAGATGCAACTGTGGGCTTGCACTGACTGGTGACCAAATCCCAAACAGAGAAACCCTTTGGGAAAAACAAAACAAAACTGCAAAGTGTTAAATTTATGTAAGGCATTATTAAGATTAGTAGAAGGTCTTATTATTCCCTAATAAGAAATGTTCCAATTCTAACACAATAAAATAATCTTGATTCTATGTATTAATCATAAAATAGCCACAGGACTTCTTTCAATAATGTGCACGTGTGAATATACATACACACAACACACACAAAATGTGTGCTAGAGTATTTGACTGTACATTTCAGCTATCAATATCAAATCATGTCCTTTATTAATAGCTTAATGTTTGAGAAACACATAATAACACTGATCATCAACACTCACTGCTTGCAAACTGCTACTCTACATATCCTGGTCAGCTTCCAAGAGATAGAAGGTAAGCTCTGGGTTCAAAGAAATTAAAAATCAAACAGAGGGACAAAGGCAAAACTAAATTATGTAGAAGTTTTCTACGTGTAGTTTGACAGGATATAAAAGGGGCGCAAGGATCTAGAGGTTTACTAGGGAAAAGCACAGCTATGAAAGATTATATTTTAAACATCAATCAACACCAAGAGTTGATGGGGAAAGGGGCAATGGTAAACTGGTATAATTACTTTGGAAAATAGCTGGAGGTCATCTAGTAAATCTGAGCACGTGTCTGCCCTACAGGACAGGAATTTCACTTCGAGTATCTAACATAGAGAAATTCTTGTACTAATGCATAAGATTTATATATGAATGTTCATAGCTATAATATTTGAATATTTGTAGTAGCAAGAAAAATAAAAAATAGAAAGTATACATGGACCATTTCTCCTCCACACCAAAGTATAATACAGTTGTCATGAAGAAAAGTACTCATGTGATTGAGTTATACTGAACTAGCCACACTTTTTTTTTTATGAAACACCACTTTTACTAGAAAGACCGACAGACTATTAATATTCGGACTTGAGTAGGAAGGGAATCTGTCACTTTAAAGAATAGAATTGATAGTATTTGTTGCCAGTGATAAAACTCAAGCTTTCAAATACAGCTTAGAATTTTGGAAAACATGTATCCACCACCATGAGCTTGACAGCTTCCTCATATTTAAAGCCTAATCTGAGATTGATGGTGATATTGACAAATGTGACTGTTTTTATATTGTACAATAAAATGTATCAAAATTTGGAAGATCTGAGTAACTCAGTGAACCAATATTTTCCACATGACTAATGCATGATCTTATAAAATCACGCACAGGAAAAGATCCACTCAAAAGGCAAGATAGATCAAATTTTAATGTTACAGTGTACAAAAAGTCCACTGACTCGGTTTCAGATTCCACATTGTCACTAACTTTTAAGACACTATTATCAAATTTGAGCACAGTATCAAATAAAGAAAGCCACAATTATCTGAAAAAGTATTAAAATATTCCTTCCTTTTCCAACTACATATCTGTATGAGACTAAATTTTCTTCATATACTTCAACCATATACTACAATAGATTTAATGTAAAGGCAGATATGAGAATCTACCTGTCCTATATTAAGCTAGACATTAAAGAGGTTTCCAAAAATGTGAAACATCACAACTATTCTTGCTGAATTCTTTTGTTTTAGAAAATGGTCATTTTTCATAAGAAATGCTATTTATGTTAATATTTAATGAGTTAATGTTTTTTAAATAAATTAATATTTTTAAATTACTTTTAAATTTCGATATGACAAGTGTCCATAGATATAACCTCACCCAAAAATGGCTCTTTGGAGTCCTTAATCATTTTGAGAATGTAAAAAGAAGTGCTTGCCAAGGGCAGCAAATTACCCTGAAACTTCATGGCAGCAAATTACCCTGAAACTTCATGGCAGCAGCCTAAAACAATATCTATTATATCATATAGTTTTTGAGGGTCAGGAATCTAGAAGTGGCTTAACTGGGTGATTTCACCTCAGGGTCTCTCATGAGGTTATAGTAAGCTGCTGGCCAGAGCTACAGTTTCTGAAAACTTGACTAGGATTGGAGCATCTACTTTCAAGCTCATACACATGGCTGTTGGCAGGAGGTTTAATATTTATAGCTAATTATATTTCTCTTTATTCCCTTATGCCCTATTTTTTTCTTTCTTGACTTTTTCCTTATTATATTTCACGAAAATGTTAAGTTATTACAACTTAACCAACACATTCACATCTCTGAATAAAAGGGTTTCATAACTCTCTACTGCCCCACCACCAAAAAAGTAAAGACAAAGGGAAAAAGTATTAATATTAGTACCTCCCCTAACCCCAAACAAAATACTATATGTTGCTCTTTATTTTTTGAGATGGAATCTCACTCTGTGGCCCAGGCTGGAGTGCAGTGGCATGATCTCGGCTCACTGCAATTTCTGCCTCCCATGTTCAAGTGATTCTCCTGCCTCAGCCTCCTAAGTAGCTGGGATTACAGGCATGTGCCACCACACCCAGCTAATTTTTGTATTTTTAATAGAATGGGATTTCACCATGTTGGCCAGGCTGGTCTCAAACTCCTGACCTCAGGTGATTTGCCCGCCTTGGCCTCCCAAAGTGCTGGGATTACAGGCGTGAGCCACCGCACCTGGCCAATGTTGCTCATTTATAAAGAAACAATACAGAAAATACTAACATTTAAAAATACAAAACAAAGTTGAAGGCTTATCTTCCTGATTTTAAAACTTATTACAAAGCTACAGTAATCAAAACAGTGTGGTACTAGCATAAAGATGGACATAGAGTCCAATGGAATAGAATAGAGAGCCAGAAATAAACCTTTGCATATATTGTTGCTATGGTCTGAATGTCTGTGTCCCCCCAAAATTCATATACTGAAACTCTAACCCTCAAGGAGATGGTATTAGGAGATGGGGCATTTCAGAGGTAATTAGGTCCTCAGGGTTGAGTTCTCATGAATGGAATTACAAAAGAGGCCCCAGTGAGGTCTCTTGTTCTTTTCACCATGTGGGACACAGTGAGAAGGCACCATCTATGAACCAGAAAGCAATGTTTCACCAGACACCAAATCTGCTAGTGCCTTGATTTTGAACTTCTCAGCCTCCAAAATAGTAAAAAATAAATTTCTATTGTTTATAAGCTACCCAGTTTATAGTATCTTATTATAGGAGCCCAAACAGACTAAGACAATGGTCAAATAATTTCTGACAAGGGTGCCAAGATTATTCAACGGGGAAAGGACAGTCTTTTCTACAAATGTTGCTGGGAAAAATGGATATCCATGTATAAAAGAATAAAATTAGACCCTTACCTTATACTATATACAAAATTAAATCAAAATGGATCAAAAACCTAAACATAAGACCTAAAAATTAGAAAACTCTTATAAGAAAACAAAAGAAAAGCTTCATGACACTAGGTTTAGCAATGATTTTTTGGATATGACACCAAATAGACCTTAACAAAAATGAAAGTAGATAAATTAGACTACATCAAAATTTAACATTCCTACAGAATGGGATAAAATATTTGCAAATCACATATCTGATAAGGGGTTAATATCCAGAATATATAAAGAACTCCTACAACTCAATAACAACAATGAAACCCAGTTTTGTTGCATATGGCCAGCAAGCACATTAAAAAATGTTCAACAACGTAGTCATTAGGGGCATGCAAATCAAAGCCACAATGAGATACCACCACCCTATACCCATTAAGATGGCTACTCTCAAAAAAGAAAAAGAAAGTAAGTGTTGGTGAGGATGTAGAGAAACTGGAACCCTGGTACAGTTGGTGGGAATATAAAAGGGTTACAGCCACTATGGAAATTAGTATGGCAGTTCCTCAAATAATTAAAAATAGAATTATCATATGATCTACCAATTCCACTTACAGGTAAAGAATTGAAAGCAACGTGACAAAGAGATATTTGTACAGCCATGTTGAAAGTGGCATTACAGCCAAAAGATTGAAGCAATCCAAGTGTCTATCAGCAGATGAATGAATAACATATATACATACAACAAAATGTTATTCAGCCTTAAAAACAAATTCTGACAGAAGCTATAACACAAACGAACCTTGAGGACACTATAAGTCAGTCACAAAAAGACAAATACTGTTGGATGTAGTAACCCAAAGTTGAAAAAATTTAAAAAACAACATTTTTAAAAGACAAATACTGTATGGTTCTATTTATATGAGGCACCTAGGGTAGTCAAATTTTAGAGACAGAAAGTAGAATGGAAGCTTCCAGGAGCTAGAGAGAAGGAGTAATGCAGAGTTAACAGTTATAGAATTTCAACTTTGCACAATGAAAAAAGTTCTAGAGATTGGTTTGCACAATAATGTGAACATATTAAACACTAAAAAAAAAAAATAAGTCACATTGTACTATGCCAATATATTTTTTAAAGTATGTAAGATTAATATTTAAAATACATAAAATCAATTTGCTATTATATATAGCTTTAAAATTCTCACCTGATTTTTTTGTGTTAATTCATTAACTGAACTTTTCAGTTTTTGTAGTTCCTGTACATATACAGCAACTTCCTGGGGGCCTTTGGCAAGTTCACTCCTTAGCTGGCTTATTGTGGCCTAACAAAACAAAACAAAACAAAAATTAAAGCAAACTAAATTGTCTAAAAGATAAAAAAAATGAAAGTATATAAAGGTTTTAAGAAAACAAATTTTTTGTTGTTGGAATTTTCAATTTTGTTCTTTATCCTACCACCTATACTGCCACATTATGCTTTTTTCGGCTTACGACAAATTTTTACAATTTAACTAAGATGCATAACTTCATTTATTTAGTAATACATAAAATGAAAATCTGGCATCCTACTTTAAGTTTCTGAAGTATCAAATTGCAAACCTAAATTTACTGGTTCTTAAACTCTATACTTCAATCTTCCAGAATTTAAAGATAATATGCCAGTTATATCTACATTTCCTCCCAACTTCTATAGCATAAAATTATCCTTTTACTTTAAGACATGTATATACAAACATGCAACACAGAGCTTGATATTAGTGAATCATCTTTCTAAATTGTAAAGAAAATATCTTTGTCCAAAGAAGTTACCAAGCTGAAGTTATACACAGCTTCCTTAAGCTAGATCACTATATGGTCAGGTATAACCGTCAGGCATGAACTTGCTTTAGTGCATTTTAATTATTATTATTTTTTTTTATACAGGGTCTTGCTCTGTCACCCAGGCTTGAGTGAAGTGGTACGATCACAGCTCACTGTAGCTCTGAGCCTCCCCGCTTCAAGCAATCCTCCCACATCAGCCTCTCAAGTAGCTAGGGCTACAGGTGTGTGCCATCACGCCCAGCTAATTTTTTTATTTTCTGTTGAGACAGGGTCTTACTATGTTGCCTAGGCTGGTCCCCAACTCCTGGGCTCAAGCGACTCTCCCACTACGGCCTCCTGGGATTACAGCCATGAGCCACTGAGCCCAGCCCATTTTAATATTTTAAAAAATGTGAAAATCACTTTTTATTACTAAAGCAACAGTTTGATCATTTAAAAATAATATAAGACAAAGACAGGTAAGCAAAGATCTTGGAAATAATAAATTTCGAATACATAAAAGCTGAACCATTACAGAGAAAGACGAAGTATTTTTTTTTAAGTATGGTCTGCTGCAAATGACATTGACAAAATAACTTTCTATTATATTAATATTTCTAATATTGCTTATCGGCTTTACTTTCCACTTTATTTATAAAGTTACAATCATTTCCAGTGTCTATTTCTTTATTACTGAATAAACTTTATAATATGAATAAGATACAAGTTTTAAATTTTTTCTTAATACTTATACTTATTCATATCATATATTACAAATGAGTGCTTTCATCTTCAAGGGAGAAATCTCAGAAGGCTACTAACTTATCACGGCAACAATGCTATTATTTAAGAGATCATTGGCTGATCTTCTTTTGGAAACCCTTCCAGAGTGTGTGGAACTTATTTTTTTAAGGGATTCTCAGTGGTGGTGTATCCTCATCCATTTTATGGTGGCTTTGATTCTAAGTTTTGGAAACCAACAAGTTTATAGGCAAGGTAAGTGACTGAACTGAAAGATCAAACACTTGGGCTTATTTTATTTTAATAATTATTTTATTTAATAACCATTTTATTTTAATAACTTGGGCTTATTTTAAAAATCAGAAGGTAAGCGATTGGACTGAATGATCAAATTCTTGGGCTTATTTTAATAACCATAAATTAACAAAATTAGTTTTTTTAGTGTGTTCCAGATGGGCTAAAAGTCAATGAAAATAAGTTTCAAAAATGCTTTTAGGAATGGAATATGTCTGAGATATGTGCATGGCCTGACCTTTTTGGGAAAACATTCACTTAAAAGTACAAATTCTGATGCAATGAAAGGCAATCTGTAACATTACCATATTGTTACACCTTATACACAGTGCTTCAGTATCATATGTAACAGCTGATATGTTAATATATACATAATCTTATACAATTCAAAGAAGAAAATGTTGAAATATTCATGTATTTTCAACTACACTCAAGTTAAAGGCCTACCCTAAAACCATCTGTCTTAAACTGAACATGTAACCTTGAAATGGATTTAGCTACTGTGAGTTTATTTCAAATTACTATTTCTAATAATTTTGAATCCCAAAATTATTTTGTTAGTAGGGTAACAATTTGACTATTTTAACTCACTATGTTTTAATCATATAGCAAAAATGCCAATTTATTACAAAATAAAATATCACATTTAAATCCCTACTTGTAAATATCTTATCAAAAAAATTTGCACAGGTTCCTGGCACATAACGCACAGAAATAATAACAGTATATATTAAAATGCAAATTATGTGTATATCTCATTAAATATCATGATTTCATATTGAAGTTCATAAAATTTATTAAGCCAAGTGTAAGGTCTATCTTGCTGATAAATTCCAACATGTAGAAATAAGAATTTCTAGTAAGAATAAGAATAGAATTTTCCTTATTAAATAAGGAAAATGTAAAGCAAACACACTCCAAAATATCCTATTTTAGAGCTTTTTTGTATCCTATTTTATAGCTTTTAGATATGCTCTTACTGTATAAGGTTAACAACTAAAAAACTGGACATTAAGTGTATCATTTACACTTTGTACAACAAATTTGGATATTGTGAAAACTAAAATTTTTATATAGATAAATTCCAGCACTTGAAACTTTAAAATTTACTCAAGGGGACAATAAGGAAAGATTTGGGAAGACTTATACATCCAGAGGCCAACTTTAGTTATGAAGAAGAGGAGTGAGGAGAGTGAATTCTGGAAAGGCTTCCCCTTTTCTATTGCACATTATGAATCATTAATCTTTTACAATAATCACATATTATGTTTATATTTGGGGAAAAAATAAAGATTAAAGACAGACAATAATTACAAAAGACAAAAAGTAAATACAATCCCTCTTCAGATATCACTATGGGTGAAGTTCAAAGATCTCTATTCATACTGACCTTCTTCTCTAATAGGCCAAGATTGTATGTGCCTTGGACTTTAACCTTCTCCTGGGAATCCTAGCTCCCACTGCTTAACTCTGACTCTTGCTTATTTCATTCTTCTCACACATATCCTCCATGAGATCTTCCCCGACAACTCTAAAACTGTTCTAAAGTATTCCCACTTCCACTACCGCCCATATGCACTTTATTTTTCTTCCTCGCAGCCCTTATTATTACCTAGCTTTCTATCATGATTCAGTGTACTTGTACAGTCTGTTGTTTGATTTCCACAAAGGATTAAGCCTTATGGGAGCAAGCATTCTGTCTTATTCAGTATTTTAATCCCCACACCTAAAGTAGTCCCTGACACTTGGAAGACCCAAAAAGACTCACTAAAGGAATGAGTAATTATACCTCCAAAGAGATAATAGATATTTATTTCCAAGGAAACAATATATTAGATCCTATAAAAAGTTTGCACTTCCTTGGTTTTCTGAAATGTTATTGAATTCAATACTGAATTTTTACTAAAAAACTTTACAAAATAAGGAAAGATATTTCAAGCAAACATCCTGCTGGTGCATTAGAATTAAAATTATTGTTTTAATATGCTACAACTATAAGTAAATAATCATTTTAAAATGGTTGAAGCTATGCATGATTAGCAAAACAAAAATGAGCATGTCTTCAAAGCTCTAAGATTGCCTTAAAACATAAAATTGCCATATAACAATTGAAGGTGACACATTAAGGGTATTATTAATATTAAAAAGCCTCCCAAAATCACATTACCTCAAGTTTAAGCATCTCCATTAGAAAGCAGAAAAAGTAATAACAAAATGGTGGATGAAAGGTGGCAGACAAGACTGACAAAAGTACACACTGAGCACATAATTAAAATGACCAAACATGCCTACACATCTAGTCTCTTAAAGAAGCATACTTTAAAAGATATTTAAATACTTTCATAGCTATGCATGGGTATAATCATACTTATTCCATATCTACATGAACATTTTAGCACTTAAAACTGGGATTCAATGAGTTTATTTGGAAAAAAGTAAAATTCTTTAAAAATCATTTCCATTAAATACTACACCAAATATAAGTTGATTACAGCTTAGATATTTTCAATAATGTAGATTTGTATAAATATACTTTTTAACCTTTAAATCCTCAATTTCCAATCCATAAAACAGCCAATTATCTATAAAGAATTTTCAAATGCTTTAGAATGAGATATTTTCTATATGCCTTCAAAAATACCCAGGCAAAAAGAAGTCAATGAATTCATAAGGTATGCATTCAATGAAAATAATAAACACAAGGACATACATAGTTAATAATGTACACCAGATTATGTATCTTCAGCCCCAACTAGGTATACTAGTCAAATAAACATTTATTTGAGCTAAATGTTAAAACACATATTCCTAAAATTGCCATTAATTTTGTTTGAAATAAATGTTTACTTGAGATTTTAATTTTTTTTCTTTTTTTGAGACAGAGTCTCACTCTGCTGCCCAGGTTCGAAGTACAGTGACATGATCTTGGCTCACTGCAACCTCCACCTCCCGGGTTCAAGGGATTCTCCTGCCTCAGCCTCCCAAGTAGCTGGGATTACAGGCATGCGCCACCACACACCCGGCTAATTTTTTGTATTTTTAGTAGAGACAGGGTTTCACTGTGTTGGTCATGCTAGTCTTGTACTCCTGACCTCAGGTGATCCACCGCCTGGGCCTCCCAACGTGCTGGGATTACAGGTGTGAGCCACTGCACCTGGCCCTTAAAAATAAATTTTTAGCTTCTTTAATTCCTTTGTATGTGTTTTGTTTCTGATGCCAATATTTAGGTTTGGTAAAAACAGCAACATCCATAATAAAAATTGTTGTATTAAGTCCTATAATTCACTAACATACTTAATTGAAAATAACTAGAATTGAATTTTAATAAATTAATAAAACGTCATATATTCAGATTAAGGAAAAGCTAAAAAACAAATGCAGTTATAAACAAATAAATGAGATGAAGTAATTAGTAATTTTTTTCATATGGAAATGGTATGACACAACTCAAAAGTATTTTAAGCTATTACCCAATACAAATATTACAACACACAATATGGCAAAATTAGAAAAGTAATTAACAATAAGTTTTAGGACAAGATTAATAGCACAAATTTACTTAAAAGGCAATCATCAGACCACCTAAATTAGGAGACAACATAATAAAAAGGGAATGACACAGGCTTTGGACAAAACCTGAGTTCCAACCCTAGCTTTTATATTAGGTGTGACCTTGAACAATTTACTTAATCTCATTGCCTCTCAGATTCCTCACATGTAAAACATACTTAATAGTTAACTTACAGGGTTATAAGAAACAAATGCGACCACGTTTTAAGTGCCTAACATAGTATCCAAAACCTACTGGTGCTCAAAAGAGTAAGAGTTTGTTTCTAATAATAATATTATTCTGACTCTTAAGTTACCATTTCCTAAAGTTATTCAAAATATTTTAACATAGCCAAGGTCTCATTCATCACTACATATCTATTAATTAAATAGGTAATAAGTATTATTATTTTATTAAAAATATAATGAAATATTAAATCACCTATTCAGTTACTCAGCACAAATAAGTTCCTTTCTAAATTTATTTCCAAATACTTGAAAAGATAAATTTTTATGAAAATTTAAATGAAAACACGAAGAACTGATTTCTAAGCCATTTTCCTTCTTTCCTAGAAATACCTTTTCTAGAAAAAAAAAAAAAATCACCATTTCTTACAAAGCCCTGTTTGCAGGAGGAGACGATGGAGGGAGACACTAAATTCTTTCACCTCCCTATCTTTCATAACTCTAGTCATAGAATGGGTGTGGTGACTCACATCTTTAATACCAACACTTTGGGAAACTAAGGCAGAAGGATCTGCTTGAGGCCAGGAGGTCAAGACCAGCCTAAGCAACATAGCAAGACCCCATCTCTACCAAAAATAATTTGTTAAATAAAGAAAAACAAAAAAACTCTAATCATAGCTTTTTCATCTTAAATGACTTATTCTCCTTAGATATAAAGGTATTTTAATCTACAATAGAAATATAAATTCATAAAACACTAAAAATTCTTAAATAAGAATTTATTAGAGTAACTCTTAAATATTACTTAGAAATGAGTAATTCTTAAATTAGAGTAACTCCTAAATGTTACTTAGAAATGTCTTCCCATTAGCAAGTTATATTATATTCTCACCTTTTTTTTTTTTTTTTTTTTTTTTTTTTGAAACAGGGTCTGCCTCTATCGCCCAGGCTAGAGTGCAGTGGTGTGATCATGGCTCACTGCAGCCTCAACCTTTTGGGCTCAAGCAATCCTCTCACCTCAGCTTCCCACCTAGCTGGGAGTACAGGTACGTGCCAGCACGTCTGGCTAACTTTCTATAGAGACAGGATTTCACCATGTTGCCCAGGCTGGTTAAACTCCTGGACTGAAGCAATCTGCCTGCCTCAGCTGCCAAAGTCCTGGGATTATAGAGGTGAGCCACCATACTCAGCCTGTATTTTTTTTAAATGCAAGTAAACATGTAAATTTATTTTCCTTGTTAATGTTCTATTTGTTTAAAAAGTATATGCATAACTCCAAAACTTGCAGCTGGAATAAGTCAGAGAGGACTCAACTTTAAAATACATATTCCTAAAACTGACATTAATTTGGTTCTGTTTTAGTCACCATAATACATTTATTTTAAAATTTCAAATAGCATTTAAGATATTTTTTAATCAAAAGGGAGTGTATTTTTTTTTAATTTGAGAAATACCAATAGGCAGACATATCTAAACAAAAATAGTTCTTACTGATACAAAGAAATAAATGACTGGGTTCACCCTGGTTTAGGTATTTTGACATTAACATCTGAATAGCACTTTTCCTCATGAGACTTCTTTGATTCAGCCTCTCCTTGATTTCACATTTGTACTTATAGATTTATCATTGTCTTCTGCTGATTAATAATACCAGTAGGACAAGAGCTTTTAACTGGCTTCAGTAAGTTCATGAACCACCTGAAATTGTTTGAAAATTTTTGGAATTAAGTGTTATTGGGCTACAAAGTGTCAATTTTGGAAAAACTGCATCCAAATATCATAAGTTAGAGAGTGTAGTGTTAGGCATCATAAGGCCTTACATGCCTATGTGTGTTATATCCACAAACTTTCACCATCTCTTCCCATAAGATAAAGAAAGATTTTTAAAAATGAATTAGACATGGGTTATCTATAATACTTATACCCCAAAGCTTGATGACATGTTATATTTGTGAATAGAGTGGCTTTTAGATCACCAGTTACAAAACTCTAAGGAAGAGATTCAAATTAAAATGTTACGGTAACAACTTTTTAAACTGAAAATATGAAAATCAGAGGTCTACTTTACATAAGGGAGCTTAAAGACTACAAATAACAGTAGTCATAACAAAATGTCTCCTATAATAAAGTAAAAAGGACAAAGGCTAGGATTTTTAAGCACATTTATGTATTATACATCTTAGAGTTTATTAAATGCTGACATATTATACAAGGGATTTACAGGCCAAAGTCATGTCATGTAAGAAATAGTAGAAGAACTGAAAATGTTTATCTTGGAAGAGAAATACTCCGAATAAATATGAGCAGTCTTCAAATACCTCATGTGGAAAGAGGAACAATTTATTCTGTGTAATTCCTAAGGACAGAACCAGAACCAGCGCATGTAAATTACAGGGAAACAAATGTCAGCTCAATAAAATAGACTTAGGAAGAAATATGCACACCGTACACCACCTAGCAAGGATTGTGGATCACTTAGCAGGGTTGGCATAAAGGGAAGTTCTGGACTGAATTTAGACTAGTTCAAGACTTCTTTCAAATTCATAATTCAAAGTCCATCAATTAGAAATAAGCTTATGGCCGGGTGCAGTGGCTCACGCCTGTAATCCCAACACTTTGGGAAGCCAAGACAGGCAGACCGTCTGAGGTCAGGAGTTCGAGACCAGCCTGGCCAACATGGTGAAGCCCCATCTCTACTAAAAATACAAAAATTAGCCAAGCGTGGTGGCAGGCACCTGTAATCCCAGCTACTTGGGAGGCTGAGGCAGAAGAATCACTTGAACCCGGGAGGTGGATGTTGCAGTGAGCTGAGATCACGCCACTGCACTCCAGCCTGGGTGACAGAGCAAGACTTTGTCTCAAAAAAAAAAAAAAAAAAAAAAAAAAAGAAATAAGCTTATTACAAAATAAGCCTTTCTTAAATATATTTTCTAAACAAAATTGGTAATATAATTGTAGAAAATGCTATCATTCTTCCTTTAAAGTCAATTACCATTTATCAACCAACCTTGAGTAAATTTAACCTTAAATATCATGTCAACAATATATATATTAAACAGAATAATAATCTTTATGCAAATATTCCTGAGTGTCTAGCTTTATAAAGCAAAACATACTGAGAGACCACATTGACTATAAACAAATATTATTCAGATCAAAAATGAAAGAAAGACAAATATTTTGATAGGCCACTCAGAAAAATCTCAAATCCTGGCTTCACTCAATAGTATACACTACACAAGCTAATATGAATCACATTTAAGTACAATGAACTTCATTACCTCTGAGCTAGCATATTGTGACTGCAATTTTTTGCATTCATCTTTGAGTTTTTCAGATTCTCGCTCACGTTCCAAGGTCATGTTATCCATTAGTGTTTGAACTTGGACCAGTTCTTTCTTTAGCACGGCAACATCTTCTATACCAGGTCTCTGAAGCTGTGAAACAACACATTTTAATTAAAAATTAAAGTGAAAAACTAAAATAATACACATTTTTAGAATCATTTCACTACAAAGGAATCAAAAGGGAAACAATCATCAATATCAATTTTTAGACTTCAAACATTGAACACTGATATCTTCTCCCACAATAAGCCACTTCCTCTTCCCATCCTACCTCATATTTAATAGTATTAATACTCAAGGTGCTGTATAGTAAATTCACAATTATCTTTACTACTTTATTTGTTTTCCTTCCCTTCACAAACTACATCTATTGGTCATAACAGTGACTTGAAAATGCTACATTCCTTCTTTTTCTATCCTACAAAACTGGTAATAAAAATGAAGGAGCAAATGAAAGCATAGAGTTTGCTCCAGGTTGGATGTAGTTAATTTATATATTTATTGAGAGCTAAATAAAGGAAAGAAAGTCAAGGACAGATCCAAGATTATTAAGTCTTGGGAGAGTATTAGAGATGTATGGTTCCAATAACAGAAATACAGTAATGAGGAAACATGATTACTTTGATTTTATACTTGTTGAATTTGAAATTAAAGCTAGAAATTCAACACAAAGTACCCTAAAAGCAGATGGATTTATAAAACAAACATGCAAGAGAAGACCAGGATCAGAGATGCAGATATGAAAACTACTAAAATGACAGATGATATTTAGATAGAAACAACAAAAATGTTAAGGTAGTAAGTTACGTATCATAACATTCCATTTTTATTTTAAAAATCATATACAGAATATATATGCAGGTGGTAGAATATAGGGAATTGCTTATTTCCTGATTTCACTCAAATTATATTTTTAAACATTTTCCTTCAGGGTATGTATTTTATTTTTAATTTAGAAAGGTATAAGAGTACATCTCAATAAATAATTCCTAAATTACCAGTTCCGTCTTCAGATCTTGAATTACAGTTGCCTCTTTGTTTAATTCTTCTGTCAGACGTGTCACTTTTTGTTCAGCAGCTTCTCGAAGACTCCTTTCTTCATCATACTTTGACTTTATATCTAATTAAAGATAGTTATATAAATATTAGTTTAAGGGGAGGACAGTTTTATAAGTTTCCATATATTACTCTGCATATCTGTATATCACTCTAATTCAAATTCACATTCCTTAGATAACCATAAATATATACAGTAAATTTATACTTCTAATTACATGAAATGAACTTAAAATTAACTGTCTACATAAATTCCACTCAACATTAAGTTAATAATTAGCATTTTAATGTACTTAATCACATATTTTACCTAAAAGCACATGTTAAAAACATATATATGTAATAGTATAACCAAGTGTTACATTTATACTACATTATTTACTTCACTTCTTTAAAATGTTCCTTTTTAATCTTTAAGCATGCCACAGAAGAAAATGTATCTTCTCTAAATTTCAAGAAGAATCTACAAAGAAACACCAGTCCTTTGAAGGCAGGCAGCTAGAGGACAAACAAAATAATTTACATAGCAACTCTGAAATCATTAAATTCCATTAATCACCATTGGAAGTCTATCACAAATGCTTTAACACACTAAAATACTATATTTATTGCTAGGGTATATAATGGCAAAAAGGTAATGAGATTGATTTATTGGCTAAAAAATTCTAACTCAATTTACCTGCAATTTCAGTAGCAAGTTGGGCTGCTTTCTGTTCAAATAAGTCTTTCATTTGCTTAATATTAAAATTTTCTGTTTGGGCTTCTTCTAATTGCTGTTCCAAAGACTGTAGTTCTACAAAAAAGTGTCGCAGTTATTCAAATACCATGTTAATTACATATGCTAAATTGTTATTACTTATATTTATTACAGTTGTAAAGATGATCAACTTAAGTTTATTATCCAATTACAAGTAGTATTTTGACACTTCAAGAAATTAAGTATATCTGCTTCACTTAAGGTACAAATCATAATTTACAAACATACACTACAAATGAAATGAATATTTAGAATCACTGCTAAATAATCTATAAATATTTTATTACAAGTTATTTTGATTTCACATTTCACAGTTATTTTCCCATATCCATCAAATGACCAAAAAGGAATACACCCCTTATCTTTTTTTTAAGAGATGGGGTCTCGCTATGTTACGGAGGCTGATCTTAAATTCCTGGGTTCAAGCCATCCTCCCCTATCAGTATCCCAAAGTGTTGGGATTATAGGCATGAGCCACCAAGCCTGGCTCAAAAAGGAAAACATTCTGCTCCTCTGATAAAATTAGTTATAAAGCGGGATGTTGGAAATGGTTAAGATCTCAAGGCCTTTTAATTCATTAAAGTATGCAGTCAACTCCTAATACTTCATCATAAAGAAAATAAACTATCTTACTCTTAATATAGACTTAAAATTTCATTAAACAACCATATTAATGTAATATTCCAGAAGTTTCTTACTTCAAAATATAATGAACTAAAAAAACTAAACTTTTAGTTAACTGATTAAATTATGAAGTTCACATGTAACTCTCTACACCTAGAATATGACCATTATCTTCACTGTTTTAGAGTCATAAAGCATAACCATGAAACAAAATTCATTTGGCAGGCATCAAAGAAAAAGAAAGGAAAACAAATAAGAAGAAAAAGAAAACTGACAAAATATCTGCTTTAAGTAAAGTTACCTGCTGATGAATCAGTCACCAACCCATCAGGTTTGGCCTCCTCAATTAAAACAAAAGACATAAACAAATGAATTAAAAGGAAAAGATAATACTGTTAAAATGGTCAATGTTAAAAAATCTCTGAAAGTCACTTTCTTTCAGGTAAGTAGTAAGATTTTGGTGAAAATTTAAATTTGGTGGTTTCCATTCTTCCAGATCTGTAAGAGACCAGCAGGCAGACTAGCCTAATGATCTAACTTCAGTTTATTAGTTCTAACATAGATTTTTTTGTATGTTAATATATATGAAGTTATTATGGTCATCTTAAATTCCATGAATTCAGTAATAAATAAATAGCACAATTATTGTAATTATAAATATAGATTCTAAAACAAATACTTAAGTCAACTGGCAACATTCAATCGTATTAGTATGTAGCTTTGAAATAACTTCTAACACTAACATAGTTTGCTACATGGATGCTACATATTTTGCTGTCATAAGAACTTGGAGTGTTATCCCCCTCCGCTCAAGCATGTAATACCTGTTAGACCCCATATGTGAGAACTTGGAATGAACTTCTCCTCTCTTCAGTAGTATTACATCAGACCTTATCATACCGCAGATCTGAGCTACTGACCTCAACTACTGGACTTCAAAATACATATTAACCAAAGAGTTTGAAAGATACTTTGAAAGCTTAGGCCATGGCAGGCTGCACTTTTTCAGCTGCTTTCTTTGAGACTGGCAGCTCATGCTGCAATAGGGCCATATCCTATTGGCCTTAGATCTTTGAGTCTCGGCAGCCAACACCTACATCTCCTCTAGCAGCAGGAGATCCCCATTGTCTGGGATCTCCACTGTTTTGGATGCCATCTCTCCAGAGAGACTGCTCATAAAAAAAGGTACACCTCAACCCTTTTAGACTTTACTTTTCACAAAAGCCTGCTTCCATCCTGAGAAAGTGACTAGACTTTAATAATTTTGGAACTCACCCACTATATGGTTAATATACCTCATCTATTGATATTCCCTGTAAGATTTGTTCATGTTATTTCTCTCCCTTTTAAGCACTGTGAACCGAAGAAAATCTCTCTTTGGCAATAAACCATGCAATTCATGAAATCATACTTCAAATCATGCTTCTTATTACAATCAAACAGAACACCTATAATAGTTGAACATTTGCATTAGTTAAAACATGCTATCAAGCTATCACTACTAAAACTTGCATTAGTTAAAACATCCTATCACGGCCGGGCGCGGTGGCTCACGCCTGTAATCCCAGCACTTTGGGAGGCCGAGACGGACGGATCACGAGGTCAGGAGATCGAGACCATCCTGGCTAATATGGTGAAACCCCGTCTCTACTAAAAATACAAAAAATTAGCCGGCCTGATGGCGGACGTGCCTGTAGTCCCAGCTACTAGGAAGGCTGAGGCAGGAGAATGCTGTGAACATGGGAGGCGGAGCTTGCAGTGAGCCGAGATCGCGCGCCACTGCACTCCAGCCTGGGTGACAGAGCGAGACTCTGTCTCAAAAAAAAAAAAAAAAAAAATGCTATCAAACTATCACTACTAAAAAAATTGGCTTTATAAGCATAAATTTTTAATTCAGGACAAGTCAACTTTAAAAGAAGCAGAAATAACAGATTCCATAAGGCTTAATTTGTCACATGTATTAGGAACAAAATAATATACTACCTTGGCATTATTTTTATATTTTAAAGAATTATACCCATCTGAAAGAGTTTAATAAGGCATTTCCTAGTATATCTGACTTTTTGTTTCTCTATACATTGAACTAAGACATACTGATTGCTAAGAACCTTAAGTATTTAAAATATATTTTCCCCAAAAGGTAAATTTCCTGCCAAGGTAACTTACATCTTGCACTGTGGAAAAGTTATTTAAGTGTATTAAATGTGAAATAGTCATCTCAAATGCAGTAAACAATTTCCACTCTGCTTTCAGATACAGAAAAGAATACAGCCCATACTCAATTAATTATTAATGGCATCTATATAAAACATGAGTAAATGAGTTATAAGTAATTTGGATTACTAAAAACTCCTTTAATGTTAACAGAATCACCAATTAGAAAAGCTGAGTAGTAATAAGACTGATTATCTTGTCATTTATTTATTTGTTTTTGTCTTTTTCAGTCCAACTGCCAATTCTTGGTGCAAAGGCTTTAAAAAGCAAACAAGCCTCACTGAAAGTCACAATATGCCAAGATAACATGCAAAGGGATTATTAATTACTTTACAAAAATATTAGAACTATTGCTGAAGGGTAACTACTTTTATTCTTACAAATGATGACTATGGTAAAATTATTTGGTAAAACTTCGTTAATCTTTGATTCTTCCTATAATTTCAGAATAAAATCAATATAATTTCAGCATAAAAATCATAATTAAGGCATTTACTTAGAAAATACACTAAACTATATAGAATCTAAGACATCAAAAAAATCCTATTCAAAGAGAACCACTTTTGATACTGCAGTGATTTTCTTCTGTTTTTCTCTATGTATTATTTTTATGTAAAGTCATACAGAATATGAGTGTGTGTGCATGTATGTACAAATACACATTTTTTAGTTTTTTAAAAACTTAACATTGTTAATAGAACAGGTTTCCCAGTTTTCAATCTTCACTAACATAATACATAATATTACTAGCTATTTATAGCTAGTAATATCTCTTTCCCTACCAATATACACTTTAGTCATTATCAATTTGTCAGAAACTTAAATGCTTTGAAGACTCACTACTGTTTGAACCTATTTTTTTTAACCATTTAGGTATATTACAAAACATTAGGATAATACAGCCTGGTATAAAAAAAAACAACATATAGATACCTGATTCTTTTTTTTTTTTTTTTTTTTTTGAGGCAGAGTCTTGCTCTGTTGCCCAGGCTGGAGAGCAGTGGTGAGATCACAGCTCACCACAGCCCTGAAATCCAGAGGTCAAGTGAATCTCCCATCTCAGCCTCTCAAGTAGCTGGGACCACAGGCACATGGCACCACACTCAGCTAATTTTTAAATTTTTTGTAGAGACAGGGGTCTCCCTGTGTTGCCCAGGCTGGTCTCGAACTCCTGGCTCAAGCAACTCTCTCGCCTCAGCCTCCCAAAGTGCTGGGATTACAGGCGTGGGCCCATCCAGTAACTCATTTTTAATGGAACACCTTTTAAAAAATTACATCTTCACTCCTCATACATTTGTTTGCATTCATCAGAATTCAACACAGAGAAACAAATTAGGAAGTTATTTATATCAGGCCGCCACCTGCTTGCAAAAAGGTATTAAGTTTAGTTTTCAACAATAAAAATAAACAACTAATAAACATGCTTTAAGTAGTTAAAAGCAATTACTTGCTGCTGCAGCCCTTGATATTTTTCTAATTCCTTCTTTAATTCTTCCGAGTACCATTTTTCTTCCTAATAAAAAAGATTTTTAATTAGTAAATTTAAAAAGAGGTATTATCTGAAACACTGAAAATAAAAAGGTATAACAATTTTTATTCTTACCTTAAGTGAAGCCTGTAGGTCTTGGACCTCTTGTCTGAGCAGTGTTACATCATCTCTAAATAAAAATGGGAGGAAGGAATTAATAGTCAATGTCCTTTAATTAACAAACTGGTCTTAAGAAATCATGGCTAGTAATTGTATATTAATATTATAGTTTTTTCAATTCAAAAAAAAACTACGGAAGATTTTATCTATAATAGCATATATATAAATCCCTCAGAAAAACGATTTTATTCCTAAAGCTTACTGTTTATAAATGGAAAAAACATTTTCTCATGGAAATAATCATATAACTGACTGTTAAGTGCCCAAGCCAAGAGGCAAAATGTCTCCCATTAATTTACTAACAATAAGCATCAATGGCTTCCTATTGTAGTTAGCATAAAATCTAAACTCATTAACATGGACTACAAAATATACATAATCTAGTCATTGCCTTATCACTCTCCCCTTCATTCATTTAGCTCTATCAACATTGGCTTCCATCTTTCATACTGAGAAAAAGCCCTGGTTCACTCTGCACCACCATTGGTTACGCCCTGATACTGCGCACTGAGTAGAATGCCGTCTGCAACTTGCGCATTTCGCAGCTGCCATCTTGCCGCTGCTCCTTCTCAACGCCACTTCCACTCACTGCCACCAACACCAACATGAACGGGAGCTCAACAGCTTCCACTAGGTGTTCATTGAGAAGGGCACATTCCTCTTCACCTCAGAGTTGGTGGGGGAAGGCCCACCCAGATAAGATCTGTGACCAGATCAGTGAGGCTGTCCTTGATGCCCACCTTCAACAAAATCCTGATGCCAAAGTAGCTTGTGAAACTGTTGCTAAAACTGGAATGATCCTTCTTGCACGTGAAATTACATCCAGAGCTGCTGTTGACTAACAGAAAATGCTTCGTGAAGCTATTAAACACATTGGATATGATGATTCTTCCAAAGGGTTTGACTACAAGACTTGTAATGTGCTGGTAGCCTTGGAGCAACAGTCACCAGATATTTCTGAAGGTGTTCATCTTGACAGAAATGAAGAAGACATTGGTGTTGGAGACCAGGGCTTGATGTTTGGCTACGCCACTGATGAAACTGAGGAGTGTATGTAGGCCTTTAACCATTGTCTTAGCATACAAGCTTAAAGCCAAACTGGCAGAACTACGCCATAATGGCACTTTGCCTGGGTTATGCCCTGATTCTACAACTCAAGTTACTGTGCACTATATGCAGGATTGAGGTGCTATGCTTCCCATCAGAGTCCACACAATTGTTATATCTGTTTGGCATGATGAAGAGGTTCGTCTTGGTGAGATGAGGGATGCCCTAAAGGAGAAAGTCATCAAAGCCATTGTGCCTGCAAAATACCTTGATGAGGATACAATCTACCACCTATAGCCAAGTGGCAGACTTGTTATTGGTGTGCCTCGGGGTGATGCTGGTTTGTATGACTGGACAGAAAACCATTATGGACACTTACAGAGGTTGGGGTGTTCATGGAGGAGGTGCCTTTGAGGAAAGGATTATACTAAGATCAACCGTTCAGCTGCCTATGCTGCTCATTCAGTGGCAAAATCCCTTGTTAAAGGAGGTCTGTGCAGAACGGTTCTTGTTCAGGTCTCTTATTCTATTGGAGTTTCTCATCCATTATCTATCTCTGTTTTCCATTATAGTACCTCTCAGAAGAGTGAGAGGGAGCTACTAGAGATTATAAAGAAGAATTTTGATCTCCACCCTAGGGTCATTGTCAGGGATCTGGATCTGAAGAAGCCAATTTATCAGAGGACTGCAGCCTATGGCCACTTTGGTAGGGACAGCTTCCCATGGGAAGTGCCCAAAAAGCTTAAATATTGAAAGTTTTCATCTTTTTTCCCCATACTTGTTGGCAAAGGCAACAGAGAAGCCTTCAAGCTCTGAGGGAAAGGGCCTTCCTTCCTAAATTTTCCTGTCCTGTTTCAGCACCTGATCAGTTGTAGTCACTCTAGTCAATGACATGAATTTTAGCTTTTGTGGGTAAGTTGGGCTTGCTATTCTGTCCGTAGGTGTTTTGTTTATCAATAATGAATTTAGTGAGCATAGGTGATCCATGTAACTGCCTAGAAACAACACTGTAGTAAATAATCTTCGGTGTTTTGTTGGGCTTGCTATTCTGTCCCTAGGTGTTTTGTTTACCATTGTAATGAATTTACTGAGCACAGGTGATCCATGTAACTGCCTAGAAACAACACTGTAGTAAATAATGCTTTGAAATTGAACATTTGTGCCCTACCCAACGCTCCAAAGTCCTAATTGCGTTGACTTTCCCACACCAGATGCTGAAAATGTCCACATAAAGTACTTGTAGTTCCGCTTATAGCCTCTGCCTGGCAATGCCACAGCCCTGTCAGCATGAATTTGTAATATCTTGAGCTCTATTATGAATGTGAAGCCTTCCCCTTATCCTCCCTGTAACTTGATCCATTTCTAATTATGAGCTCTTTGTCAGGGTGTGTTCCCTATCTGATCAGTCTTGTATGTAACGCAAGTTCCCAGTTGGAGCTCTAGCCTGACATCAAAAAAAGGCAGTTACCATTAAACCATCTCCCTGGTGCTTACGCTCTTAATTGCCACCTCTTTAACAGCACCAAATCAAAATCTCTCCACTTTCAGCTGTATTTTGGAGGACATACACGCAAGGTTTTAATTTAGTAAACCAATCCTATGCATGGTTTCAGCACTAGCCACACCTCACCAACTCCTAGCTCTAGAAAAAAAGGCACCTGGCATCTTTGTGATGCCATACAGGGAAGTCACAGGCCAGTACCTGAGGGTCTGAAGGTTGCACACTTTAGTACCAGATAACGTTTTTTTTTCTTTATAAGAAAGCCTGAGTACTCCACACTGCACAATAATGCCTCCCAGGGTTTTAGTTTTGTTTTATTTTCAAAACCAGATCCAATGAGCTTTCTCAACAGCTGGTGTAGCTACAGAGAAGTCAGCTTCCTTCAGAAAGCAGTGTTTTTGGCGGGGAGGAGGAAATCCCTTCATACTTGAACATTTTCTAATTGCTTATTTATTGTATTCTGGGGTATGGCCTTAAGTACAGTGAAGCTATCACCTCAAATGGCAGCTTTAAAAAAATTTTTTTTCTCTCAATACCATGATTACCATGATTCCTTTAACATGTTTCCAGCATTCCTAGGTAGGCCAAGGTGTCCTACAGAAAAACCTTGGGTTTGACCTACAGGGGGTTTGGCTGGTGTTAACAGAAGGGAGGGCAGAGCTGGTGTGGCTGGCCATGGAGAAAGCTGACTTAGCTGGTGTGATACAGAGAAGCCAGCTTGTTTACATGCTTATTCCATGACTGCTTGCCCTAAGCAGAAAGTGCCTTTCAGGATCTATTTTTGGAGGTTCATTATATATGTCTGGTTCTCAATTCCAACAGTTTAATGAAGATCTAAATAACATGCTAGGTTCTACCTTAAAAAAAAAAAAGAAGACAAAGAAGAAGAGGAGGAGGAGGAAGAGGAAGAAGAAAAAGAGGAGCAGCAGCAGCTCTGTAAATAGGGGGGAAATACACACAACACACACAAAACACTGCTTATTTCTGTTCCTTTGGGTATGACATGCTCTTTCCTGTCTCAGAAGCTTCTCACATTCTGTTCCCCTCACCTAAGGGTCAAACTGACAAAGAATGGTGAACTGACCATTCTAAGCCCTTCTGCAGGAGAGAGATTTCATGAGAAAACATCATTATAAAGAATTATTATTCTGGCCGGGCACGGTGGCTCACACCTGTAATCCCAGCACTTTGGAAGGCCGAGGCGGGCAGATCACCTGAGGTCAGGAGTTCGAGACCAGCCTGACCAACATGGAGAAACCCCATCTCTACTAAAAATACAAAATTAGCCGGGCGTGGTGGCGCATGCCTGTATTCCCAGCTACTCAGGAGGCTGAAGCAGGAGAATCGCTTGGACCCAGGAGGTATCGGTTGCGGTGAGCCGAGATTGTGCCATTGCACTCCAGCCTGGGCAACAAGTACAAAACTCAGTCTCAAAAAAAAATTATTATTCTGGATGTCAGGAACATATCTTCCCCTGCTGGATTCAAATTCATCCTACAGATATACTCAAACAAGTACAAATGGTATCTCCAAAGGAACTTTGTGATGTCATAAGTATGCAAAACATGAGAAATAACCTGAATAGTCATCAACCAAAGAATGAGAAAATTCCATGCTATCATTAAAAAGATAAGATAGCTCTATCTACCTTGATATGAAAGAATCCATAAGATACAGAGAGAAACAAAAGATACAGAACAACGTAGAATTGCTATCTTTTATATAATTACATATATTTATATATTTATTTATATGTACATAGATATAAGCATATGAATATATAAGCATAGAATATCTCTGGAAGAATACGTAAGAAATTGATGAAAAAAAGAGGCTAGGGAAAAAGGGGTGGCAAGCGCTCAATTTTCACCATAAACTTTTTTGAACCATCTGAATTTTGTACTATGTACATCTACATATGTACATTTAAAGATCTAGCCTAAAAAAGCTCACTAATGCATCAAGCTTCAAATATTTGATTGATGTTGATGAAATTCGCATATAAGCTGATGAACAGAAGGCTTTAAAGCAAAAAGGTTTCATGACCCACCTGAGTCATGTGGACTTTTGATCTAAAAGACATAGCCTGCTCATAGTCACATGTCATCCACAGTGTTATAGTGGAGTAGAATGTAATTGTCAGAAACTGAGGTGTAGGAAAATGGGAAGAAGAGATACAATACAATAAAAACGGAAACGCATGCAGTAACTTCCGTAAGCAATGAGAAGCCTGCAAAAATTACTACTTAGAGCAATGCCAATCAAATTTGCATTTTAAGAATATTATTCTGGCCAGGCGCAGTGACTCAGGCCTGCAATCCTAACACTTTGGCAGGTTGAGGTGGGAGAATTCCTTGAGGACTTCTTGAGGTTCTTGAACAACATAGTGAGACACTGTCCCAAAAAGAAAAAAAAAGTAAAAATTAGCCAGGCATGTTGGTCCATGCCTGTAGTCCCAGTTACTTGGGAGGCTGAGGCACGAGGATTACTTGAGACCAGGAGTTGGAGGCTACAGTAAGCTATGACTATACCAGCCTGGAAAACAGAGCAAGATCCTATCTCTAAAAAAAAAAGAAAAAAGAATATTATTCTGGCAGCAATATGGAGAATTGGAGGAGTACAAGACTAAAGATAGAGAGCCAACTATAAATATGAAAAAACATTTCTGAGTGAGATTTAAGGCCTAAAATAAACTATAACAGTAAAAATGTAAAAGAATATATGCTGTTAAGGAAACAGAATTAACTAAACTTTATGATAAATCAGATGCGGGTAGGAGGAGCAGATGTGTAAAAATGATCACACCTACTTTCCTGGCTTTACTAACTGGGTGGACAGATAATGACACCATTCTCCAGAAGAAGTAATAGTAGACAAGCAGTAGGTTTAGAAGAAAACAGAAAAAACTCTGTTTTCAAAATGTCAATGATGAGGTGCCTCCAGAACATCTGAGGGAAGATACCTAATAGGCAAGTTGGGAGATAATTCTAGGTTGGAGATATGGTTTAGGAGGAAGTTATGGATGTAGATATTACCCTAGGTAGATCATACAGAGAAAGAGCAGCATACAAAACAGATCAAGAAAAAATTATCACAATGGTATGTCATCTCAGAAGAGTAGAAGGAAGGAGAACTGGCACAGCCAAATTTTGCAGTGGTTGTTGCAGATACTCTACAGAGATGACTACAATCAAGTTCTTCCTTTCCTATACTAATCCACTAAAAGACAAAGTTTATCTTCAGGCCTCATGAATCTGACTTGGCACTATGACTACTTTATCCAATAGAATGGCAGAAGTGATGCTCTGACACTTTTGAATCAAGCCTAAAGAAGATTGGCAGCTTCTGCTTCTTTCCTCTTGGAACATACTACCTTAGAACGAACTACCAGCTTTTGAGGAAGTCCAAGCAGCCACATAAAGAGGCCCACATGAAAGAGAATTGAAGCCTTTGGCATAAAGCCCCAGATGAGCTCCCAGCTGGCATCCAACACAGACTTCCAGCCATGAATGTGAGGCCATTTTGAACCTTCTGGTCTTCCTACAACCCCAGTCTCCCTCACTTAAAGCAAAAGAATCATGCAGTCAATTCAAAGAATCATGAGAATTCATAAACTGTTATAGTTTTAAACCACTATGTTCTTTGGGTAGATTGTCAGACAGTAATAGATAATCAAAACAGAGGTCAAGCAAAATAAGAACTGAAAATAATCCAGGTTACTGTTGGTCTTCAGAGCCATAGCCAGAGAATGGTAGGGCAGAAGTCAGGCTTCAATTAACTAAAACACTAAATGAAAAGTTAAGAAGAACAAGGGTAGACCGTGGATGCTTTTATGTTAAAAGTTCATATACTGGACACAGTCTAATTCATAGTTGAAACACAACTCTATTAAATTGATATTAAATATAAGAACATTTATAATATAATTTAACTACATGTTTTTAATGTATTTCCTAACAAATGACAAAAGAATAGTAGCCAAAATTATTAATTCACACATAAAAATACCCGAGAGCATTAGCAGTCATATTAAAAAGGAAGATCCATTCTTCCCAAAAGCACTGGTTTTCCCACATATTTTAATACAGTAAAATGGCCATGTTTTATAGATCTACATTATCTATCAACCACAAAGTTTATATGGTTATCATATTTTCCTTTATGTAGTATTCTTTGTGTTACAGCAGATTAATCAACCAGTAAGTTTTTTTTTAGGAAAGCATAAAAATACTTTTTTACAAGTACAATGAAGTGAAACTTTTATGCCCTCAGTGGGGATAAAAGACAAGAGTTCTCTCCAATAGCAGAAGAAATGCAAAGTTATACCATTGAATGCTATTCTAAGTAGTTATATTTTAGTTTACTTTTACTTCTTAAAATGGCCAAGAAAAATTACCAGGAAACACAATGTGTACGTATGCTTATTGCTATACTGGTGATTATAAATGGAAATTTTTAAATTTTAAATTAAAAATTAAATTTTAATTGTTGGCTAAATTTATTATTTTAACAACTTACTATAAAGTCATCTAAGCAAATCGTATCATCTTATATTACACACAATATGCTAAATATAATTTAATCTTCTTTTGCTAACTCACAATCTTCATTAAAAACATAACCTATGTACCGTATTGTACTTGCTGGCATAGATAGTTACTGGTCAAGGATTGAATAGTTTTTAACAATAGTGGAGGAAGGATATGCTAAATGATGACAGATTTAAATTAAATAATACAAAAAGGTTACTATTTTCATAAGCTAATTAATCATGATTAAACGACGATACCACATGCATATTCCATAACATTATACTTCAAAATTATCATACCGTACCGCTTCAAAGCAAGATTAGACTCTCCTCCATGACCTGAGTCATTACCAGCATCATGAACAGCTTCATAATGTTTGAAAAGTTCATCAGCAGATCCAAGAGATTTCATACACTGGGGACATATGAAACCCTATAGAAAGGGGCAGAAAAAAGTTTCAAAATAGTATTTAATATTGTGAAATAACAATTTGCATATTATTAAATATCACCAAATGTCTGAATCATACCAATGGTGCCATTAGGTAAATTTTATCTTATGGTATTAATCCCAAATTCTAGTATCATGCAAAGATACTTCATTGTCTATTCTAGTTGAAGTTTACAAAATACAAAGAAAGCCCTTGCAACCATCTTTTATTTTTAGGTCAGATAAATTAATAGCTGGAGTACCCAAGTCTAATCTGAAAAGTTAGTTCTAATATAGATTAGTTGAGAAGATTTGCCATCATATCCTTCCTTTCTCTAGCTATCCTCATTAGTAAAATAATATCTGTTCCAATCTACTTCATAGGAATGCTATGAAAAAAAAAAAAAGAAGATGAACCACTGAGGGGGAAAAAAAGTAATTCATAATCACCACAGAGTTTGGATATCTACAATGATAACAAGTTTTCTAGTCAGTAAATGTCCTTGCTAACCTACAGCTAACACAGTAAAGGCCTAAAATTAATGTGTAGCCCCATAAAATATAAAAAACAAACATAACTACATAACTAATCTCAAAATTATTATATGGTTAAAACTACCAACTAGAGTACTATGTTAAAGATGCTGATAAAGATCCATGTTTTACAAATTTTAGGTTGCAATTCATTAATGAATTATGAAATCAACTTACTGGGTTGCAACTTTTATTTTTTTATTTTATTTTATTTTATTTTATTTTATTTTATTTTATTTTATTTTGAGAATGAGTCTCGCTCCGTCACCCAGGCTGAAGTGCAATGGTGCAATCTTGGCTCACTGCAAACCTCCACCTCCTGGGTTCAAGCGATTTTCCCTGCCTCAGCCTCCCGAGGAGCTGGGATTACAGGCACCCGCCACCACGCCCAGCTAATATTTGTGTGTTTTTAGTAGAGATGGGGTTTCGCCATGTTGGCCCGGTGGTCTCGAACTCCTGACCTCAGGTGATCCACCCGCCTCGGCCTCCCAAAGCATTGGGATTACAGGCATGAGCCACCATGCCCAGCCGGGTGTGGTGGCACACACGTGTAGTCCCAGCTACTCAGGAGGCTGAAGTAGGAGAATTGCTTGAACCTGGGAGGTGGAGGTTGCAGTGAGCCAAGATCATGTCACTGTACTCCAGCCTGGGTGACAGAGCAAGACTCCTTCTCAAAAAAAAAAAAAAAAAAAAAAAAGAATATTTGTAGTCATTCATTAAATCAAAGATTTTTTTAAAATAGTAATTAGCAAAATCATGATAAAGTTATTACACATACAATTCTGCTAATTAAAGGTAGCAAGAAATAAACTTGTTTTGCTTCCATCAAGTACACCACAATTCTAAAATTCCCCTCTATTAGAGATACAAAAATAAAATGGAATGTGTGTGGCAGTGGTGCTTCGGCACTGTAAGCAACAAGTAAATATATTATAACTTTGAAGGTTCTATGGAAAGTAAGTTTTATTAGAATGTACAGCTTTTACATATAAGAATGGTCATCCTCTCTTGATTCTATAAAAAAAAAAAAATACAATTCCCTTTAAAGATCACTGTTCCCCAGGGCTCTCTCATTGACCTCCTCCTCTTCTGACTCAGCATTCTCCCAGGTATATAACAATGCAATGGTTTTAGCTATCACTGACATGCTGATGACTCCCAAATCCATCTATCTAGCCAATAACTCACTCCAGAATTCTTCTGGATCTTTAACAACATATATCTCTACCTGCATCCCACAGGCATCTCAAATACAACAAATGCAAGACTCATTTTCCAAACCTCCTTTTCTCATCAACGCCCACCTTTCACCTAAACTAGAAACCTAAAAATTTGGCTAAACTACTCACTACTCTCCCTCTCACTCATTTCTAATAAAACATTAAGCATAAACATTTCTCCTTTCCATCTTCTCATCTCCATCCTCATTGCAGCTGCTCGTGTTCGGATACTCAGTATCTCTTGTCCACACTCTGCAATAACATTAGAAACAGTGCTCCTATATCCAGTCTTCCCTCTTCCTAATTAATCTTCCACAGAGCTGCCAGAGGAATCTTTCTAAAACAGATTCTTCAATATCCTTCAGCAAACTTTATCATCAATATGGCATACAAGGTTCTGCATAACCATTCCCCTAACAACCTATGCAGTCTGATCTCCAGACACTCCCTCACCATACTTCAACAATACTAAAATACCTGCGTTTCCCTGAGCACGCCATCATACTTCAAATTTCTGTGCCTTTGCGTATACTGCTTTTTCCCTCCAGGAGCACCCTCATTAGCTTGTCAAGTTCCTATACTCACTGTAATACACAGCATATTGGATTTTTTTCATCCATATTTCCATAATGGCCACAGGTGGTACTTTAAACATACTATATTTTTCTATATTGTATATTTATTCACTGAAATATGAATGAACATGGCAGTGCAAAAATTGGCCAAAAAAAAGAAGATCTTTAATAGCTTACAGATTATAAAATCTTCTAAGGGAGAAAATGAGCTAAGCAATAAGTACTCTGAGCACGTAAAAACTAAAAATAAATAAATAAAAAAACTGCTCCTTGAATGCTGATGCCAAAAAATGTACATCCTCATTTATTATTTGTGCACATTATGTGGCAGAATCAAGGCTCACTGTTTATTGGGGATACTGATATGTAGACAAATATTACCATACAATGCTATATAATACAATTATATATAAAGAATTACAGGAACACAGGAGAAGTATCCAACTCCACCTGTGGCAGCAGTTAATACTTTACAAAAATACATATACACATACATATTATATATGTGTCTCATCTCCATCCTCATTGCAGCTGCATAGTGTATGTGTGTGTGAGAGAGAGAGAGAGACACAGTCACTGGAATTCAGTACGAAAGAATAAATAGGAGTTTACCTGGCAGAGAGAAAAGCATTCTAAGCAAATGGAGGAGCATAAACAAAGGTGCAGGAAACACTATGAATAGTCATGTTACATTTAGGAAACAGAAGGCTTCTAGGTGTGTTCTGATCACAGAGCCAGAATGAAGGGCAGGGGCACAACAGGTGATAAATGCAATAATCTCCTATGAAACTCCTGAAATGAGCAAACGGTAGTATTGAGGATGTGCCTCTGGACATCAGAATACAGTAATGCCATTAGGCTCCAGAGATATGGTACTCAACATTGTCTTCTGAATGAATGAATGCTCCCAGTCAGGATGTTAGTCTAGCTGCTGTTATTCTCCTTTTCTTCAAAACCATCTGTTGGCATTCTTAGATCTCCTACCCACTGTTGTACAACACTAGTAGATATGCCTTTAGTGCAACAGTACATGTACCCATATAATGTTTAGCCTGTCATTTCTCTTTTGTGTCTCAACTTCTGCTAATAACTAGAAAGCAAATGAAAAAGTGTTCCTCGGAGAAGCTACATCCCTATTACACGATTTAATCTTCACAACTGTGGCTTTTTGACTATTGGCTCCACTTTCAGGTTTGGGCTCCAGATACCTAAGTGTGCCAGAAAGCTAATGATCACACTGAGGTATGCCATACCTTCTTACAACTTCCAAAAATTACCAGATTAATACCCTGAAATAAATGATTCATTCCTAATGAGAAATTTCAGAAATCAGTAACATACATTTCATTATAGAAATATTCCACATAAGTGAATTTTCCATGTGATTAAGATTTCCTTGTTTAAATAAAACTTAAATTTGGGGACATTTCTAATAAAAATAAATCTTTCTAAAATACATATAATTCCGCACCTTCTCAAATAGATGATATTAAACCTTTGTCTAATACCTCCAAGACATAAATATTTATCACTGAAAAGATGTCTTCTACCCTATTAATTCTGGCAAGCCTCTTTAATTCTTATATCCACATTTTATAGTTTGCCTGCTCTGTATTTCAACAGTCATTACTAAAAATTCTTAGCATACTAGCTCTGGGAATGCTAACTTGCAATAAATGGGATGGGTAGATTAAAAAAAAAAGTTTATTAAAACCCATCATTCATTTAAAATAAAAGTATAATGAGTTTAGAATGAGTGCCTCAGGGATGTCCCATGAACAGATCGCATGACCTTTAGTTCATGGACTTTGAAAACCAATTTGATATAAGAGACTCCTCTATTTTTTTCTAAATGATGTCCAAGGGGATCGAGGTTGCTAGATAGATAAATTCCAGAGAAAGGCTGTTAGCTAACAATAACACACTAAAACTAGCCAGCTACATTTATTTCCCTTAGTCATTTCAAATTTGTCACCAACTTCCAAAAAACACAATTTACTTAAGATTTAAAACAATATATTCAATACTTCCAGAGTTTGGTTATCTGTAATCCTTTCTCATATCCACTGCAACTAAGAACTTACCTTAACTGGAACTTAAGGTACTCCTGTTGTACCAAGTATCCTTTTAGTTAAAAGAAAAAGCCCTGGCCGGGCGCAGTTGTTCACGCCCATAATCCCAGCACTTTGGGAGGCCAAGGCAGGCCGATGACTTGAGGCCAGGAGTTCTAGACTACCCTAGCCAACATGGTGAAACCCCATCTCTACTTAAAAAAAAAAAAAAATACAAAAAATTAGCTGGGCATGCTGATGCACCCTTGTAGTCCCAGCTACTCGGGAGGCTGAGGCAGAACTGTTTGAACCTGGGAGGTGGAGGTTGCAGTGAGCCAAAATTGCACCACTGCACTCCAGCCTGGGTGACACAGTGAGATTCTGCCTCAAAAAAAAAAAAAAAAAAAAAAAAAAAAAAAAAAAAGGAAAGCCCTTATTTTAAGTGCAGAGTAGGTGAGATTATTACTTTTGATTTTGGCTAGTCCATCAAGAAGAAAAGTTGACCCACAAGGTCCAGAAGGATAACATGTGATAAAATGCTAACCAGATTTTCAAGAATCTTTTATGCCTCCAGCTTTGCTTGCACTGCTTCAGCCAGTTTAACTGGTATCATCCTACATGCACCCATTTTCTCCACCACAGTTAAAATCTCTGGTTTAACTGTCCTCCTATAAAGTTTTTCCTGAGTTCCTCTTATGCTGAATTAGCCACTGCACTTTTTGCAAATAATACCTATCATAGAAACCTCCTGGGGTAGAGATTGTACCTTATTCACCTATTATCTCCCTCACCTGCCAAAATATCTGCCACATAAAAGGTACTCCATTAATGTGTCAAATAACTAAATGTTGTTAAGAATCCTTTCTTATATACATAATTACCTCATAGAAAAAAGTAATTTTTGGTCTTTCTGGTGCAAAAGGTTGCATTATTTTATAAGATTTATAAAATATTTTTTAAAAGCTATGTTTCCTTTGTTTTTGGAATACCATAGTGATTTTCAAAGAAAACACATTATCAGGATCATCTGAGAAATTCTTTTCAGCCTGAAAATGGGCAGCGCTTCCCCTAACTTGCTCCCCTCCTCAGCCTTTGTTACGTGCAGCCTCAGATACTGGGAAATACTGAGAAATATTTTCGGACTGATCCACTGTTACTTATGAGAGTATGTCATTCTGTCACCTTCCTCAAGTCTAGGGGTGTTAAAACAAAAATTGAGACAGTCTGAGATTCAAGTTCTAACGCTGTATATTTTCCTGAATAGGGACAATAACTGTTTATATGCAAAGTCTTTTTCCTTTTTTTTTTTTGGCGGTGGTGGGGCAGGGACGGGACAGAGTCTCACTCTGTTGCCCAGGCTGGAGTGCACAGGCATGATCTCGGCTCACTACAACCCCTGCCTCCCATGTTCAAGCGATTCTTGTGCCTCAGCCTTCCCTGTAGCTAGAATTACAGGCACATGCCACCACACCCAGCTAGTTTTTGTATTTTTAGTAGAGACAGGGTTTCACCATGTTGGCCAGGCTGGTCTCAAACTCCTGACCTCAGTGGTCAGGCTGGTCTCAAACTCCTGACCTCAAGTGATCTGCCCACCTCAGCCTCCCAAAGTGCTAGGATTACAGGCGTGAGCCACAGTGCCCAGCCTCAAAGTCCTTTTTCTAAGTAAGAGCAAAGTATTTTATACTAAAGCATTTTAATACATCCATTAATGAAACATTAACAAAATAATAAAAATATAACTTACCAATGTTGGAATAATATTCACTTAATATTTTGATTTCATGGCAAAATTGATACAAAATATTAACTTAAATTTCTGTATTTATTTACAAATTCACAAAAAGACAGCTGCAAACAGGAAGAGAAACCACGCAGACTTCCCAAGAGCCTCTTTTCCTTATTGAAACTTCCTTTAAGCATGCATAATTAAAGCAATCCATATTCCCTTGTAGCATAAAAAGTTAAGCAACACCGAGGCAAGGAAAAACCAGCTATTTTGAGCAACCCAAAACCAAGCTGCTAAAACAAAATATACAGGACCCACAGTAACACTGGAGTCATTAAGAAGTTCCTGTCCTCTTGTTTCATTTTCATCGTGCACTTTCTGGTAATGCTCCAATAAATCAATAGCAGTTATACATCTTTTCATACATAAGGGGCAGATGAAACCCTGTGAAATAACAACTTTTAGAAAAATATACAGAAAAATATTTTTATAAAACAAGACAATGCAAATAGAAATAACAAGAAAATAACTAGTGTATCTCTTCTGGTATACGTAAGGAAAATTTTCAAGTGGTAACTGTACAAAAGGTGAAAATCTATCCAAAGTAGGACTTCTAAAATTAGTTCCCATCCTTATGCTATAAATTTGCATTGGTTCAATTCCTTTTCATTATGGTATCCAGTTGCTTCAGTTAGAATATTATTTTGTTTATGACACTTTTAAAAAATTCTTTCTGCTTATGATACTTTGTCCTTACCTATGTAAGACCTATTATCGGCAAGTTAGCTTTTATTTTATTTATTTATTTATGAGACAGTTTCACTCTGTTGCCCAAGCTGTAGTGCAATGGTGCCATCTCAGCTCACTGCCATCTCCGCCTCCGGGGTTCAAGGGGTTCTTGTGCCTCAGCCTCCCGAGTAGCTGGGACTACAGGCGCGTACCACCAGGCCCAGCTAATTTTTTTTTTTTTTTTTTTGAGACGGAGTCTCACTCTGTCGCCCAGGCTGGAGTGCAGTGGCACGATCTTGGCTCACTGCAACCTCCTCCTCCCAGGTTCAAGCAATTCTCCTGCCTCGGCCTCCTGAGTAGCTGAGACTACAGGCATGTGCCACCACACCTGGCCAATTTTTGTATTTTTAGTAGAAATGGGGTTTCACCATGTTGGCCAGGCTGGTCTCCAACTCCTAACCTGAGAAGATCTGTCTGCCTCGGCCTCCCAAGGTACTGGGATTACAGGCGTGGGCCACCACGCCCAGCCGAGATCAAGAAATTACTGGCAAGTATAACAAATACTTTTATGTCATATAATGTGTTCAACAAAGAAGTTCTCTTTGAAAGTAATTTAATGAAAGTAATTTTTAGTCTTTACTATATTCCACTAGGTTGAGATCCCATTCTTCCCCACACCCATAATTCCCAGCAGATGATTCTTCCTTGTAATTTTCTGAGCCAAATAAAACCATCTTCAAACAGTATTTTAAATTACATATACCTAACAATATCTATATTTTAAAATATGGGCTGTTATACTGATGTATGTATGGCTTGAGGTTTTGTCAAATAAGAATAATAGGATGAGGGGCTGGGCATGGTGGCTCATGCCTGCATCCCCAGCACTTTGGGAGGCCAAGGCAGGCAGATCACTTGAGGTCAGGAGTTCGAGACCAGTCTGGCCAACATGGTGAAACCCCATCTCTCCTAAAAATACAAAAATTAGCCAGGCATGGTGGTGTGCACCTGTAATCCCAGCTACTAGGGAGGCTCAGGCCAGAGAATGGCTTGAACCCGGGAGGGGGGAGGTTGCAGTGAGCCAAGATCACACCACTGCACTCCAGCCTGGGTGACAGAGTCAGACTCTGTCTCAAACAAAAAAAAGAATAATAGGATGAGAGACTAGAATTGAAAGCATCAGGGAGAAAGTAAATAAAATGAAGACAGCAATAAGCATGAAATGTTATAACATCATGAGTGTCAGTGTCAAAAATAGATGTGGACTTGGGTCTTGGGTCTCAACCAATGCCTGATTATATGACCTTAAGGAAATCACTTTGCTTTGCTTAAATGTCCTTATCTATAAAATGGGGCTAATACTAGCACCTATTCTTCTAGAGTTTTTGTGTATATAAAATACTAAATACAGTGCTTGAGATATTGTAAGTGCTCAACGAATATGAATTGTCATTAGATGTACGCTTAAAGATGAAAGGGAAAGACTGAGAGACTAGATGAAAAGATAGCAATTAAAAACCTAGATTACTCAGCAAGGCCAAGGAAATGAAGTAATGAGAATATGAAGAAGAAAGTTTGTGAAAGGATAGACAATTATAGTAAAGAATGGGGAGATATGACTTTAATATTTCAGGTGAAACTATTGTGCCTGATGATACAGTAGAAGGTACTGCCATGGAATTAAGTAGCAAGAAAAGAGATACGAAAGATCATTGACATTGACAACATTAAGGAACTGGGAGGTTAAAATGTTCCTTGAGTTATCAAAGTCACTTAGAATAGCAAGGAGAGAGAGGAAGACTGAAAACAGATGCCAGATGGGAAGCAAGACAGGGTAGCAATTAAGAGCTAGGCTTGGGCTTGAATCCTGGATTCATATCACTCTTAGTAGCTATGAGACCTTCAATTGCCTCATCTGTTAAGTGGAATAACAATAACACCTACTTCATATGAATCTCATGACAATTAAATAAGATAATACATGCAATGCATTTATCATTGTACCTGGTACAAAGAAAACATTCAGTAAATGTTAGCTATCATTACTTTAATTATTCCTTTTGTTAATAACCTTTAAAGGAGATTATCCAGGGGATGAAAATGAGGAATATGAGTTCATCTTTTTTTTTAACTGATGAAAGAGTTGTCTTCCAGATGACCACAGTCTCAAGTGCTAGAACTACAGAACAATTCTTCTTTAAAAGATGCTTCAGCCCAGCACAGTGGCTCACACCTGTAATGCCAGCACTTTGGGAGGCTAAAGCAGGCAGATCGCTTGAGCCTAGGAATTTGAGACCTGCCTTGGCAACATGGCAAATTCCCATCTCTACAAAAAATACAAAAAAAAAAAATTTAGCCAGGCATGGTGGCATGCACCTATAGTCCCAGGTACTTAGGAGGTTGAGGCGGGAGGATCACTTGAGCCCAGGAGGTCCGGGCTGCGGTAGCCATGTTCACACCACTGCACTCCAGCCCAGGCAATAGAGTGAGACCCTGTCTCAAAAAAGAAAGAGAAAAAAGAAAAAAAGAAAAAGAAAATATGCTTCATTTGTTTTGTATTGTTTGAGACAGAGTCTCGCTCTGTCACCCAGGCTGGAGTGCAGTGGCACAATCTCGGCTCACTGCAACCTCTGCCTCCCAGGTTCAAGCGATTCTCCTGCCTCAGCCTCCCGAGTAGCTGGGATTACAGGCGCTTGCCGCCAGGCCTGGCTAATTTTTGTATTTTTAGTAGAGACGGGGTTTCACCATGTTGGCCAAGCTGGTCTCGAACTCCTGACCTCAGGTGATCCGCCTGCCTCAGCCTCCCAAAGTGCTGGGATTACAGGCGTGAGCCACAGTGCCCAGCTGTTTTGTTATTGCCACCATAGCTTTAGGCTGCCTTTCACTTTACTCTTGTTTTTCACTGTTAAGTTTCCATATACAGTCATTCATTCAAAAAGTATTTACTTGCTGGTATTCTACCATGCAGTAGGGTAACTGTGGTTAACAGTGAAATATTGTATATCACAAAATAGCTAAAAGACAGCCTTTTGAATGCTCTCACCACAAAGAAATGATACATGAATAAGGTGATGGATACACTACACTGATCGGATTATTATACAACATACATATGTATTGAACATCAAAATGTAACCCACAAATAGGTGTAATTAAAATGTGTCAATTTAAAAAGTAAATAAATTTTTTTAAGTAATATACGATTTTTTAAAAATCACATGGGCATGTGATTACTATGTTCTAGCTGTTGTGGTATGGTGCTAAGAATACAATGATAAATAAGACAAGGTCTTCACCCTCAAGAAGCTTACAGCCTCTCTGAAAAAGTTACCCAAAAAAATGACATTTTAGGCCAGACACAGTGGCTCATGCCTATAATCCTAGCACTTTGAGAGGCTGAGGCAGGCGGATCACAAGGTCAAGAGATCAAGACTATCCTGGCCAATGGTCTATTAAAAATACAAAAATTAGCTGGGCATGGTGGCACGCGCCTGTGGTCTCAGCTACTCGGGAGGCTAAGGCAGGAGAATCTCTTGAACCCAGGAGGCAGAGATTGCAGTGAGCTGAGATTGCACCACTGCACTCCAGACTGGGCGACAGAGTGATACTCTGTCTCAAAAAAGAAAAACTTACATTTTATGCCCCACTAATCAGAAAATCCTATTAAATCCACATTGAAAATGCATCCAGAATCTCAGCACCTCTACTGTTACCACTCTGCTCCAAGTCACCATCACATTGTACACAGATCATTACAACAGCCTCCTAACACTCTTTGCTCCTACCCTCACCCCACTAACACACAGCAGCTAGAGTGTATCCCATAAAAATGCAAATCAAATCTTGTCGTTTCCTTGCTTAAAATTATCCGATAGCTTTCTACGACAGTAACAGTTAAAAACTAAAGTCTGTATAATAGTCTATAAGGCCCTACAAGAGGCAGACCCGATCGCTGACCCAATCTCCCCCTTGCTCACTATGCTACAGCTACAATAGCCTCCTGGTTGCTTTTTCAACATGACAGGCATATTCCCACCTTAGAGACCTGCTGTTCCACAGACCTGGAAAAATACTTGCCCCAGAAATCCACGTGACTCATTTCCTCACCTCCTTCAGTTCTTTTTGTGTTATCCCCTCCTCAGAGAAGTCTTCCCTGATAACTATTTAAAATTGCAGCCACCAAGAACACTTTATATGCCTCCTTTCCTGCTTTATTTTTTTCAATAACACCAACTGTCTAACTTGATACATTTTTTATTTATTTATTTTTGAGACAGGGTCTCACTCTATCATCCCAGCTGGAATGCAGTGGCAGAATCATGATTAACTTGCGGCCTCGAACTGCTGGGCTCAAGCGATCCTCCCACCTTAGCCTCCCGAGTAGCTGAGAATACAGGTGCATGCCACCACTCCTGGCTAATTTTCTTTTTTATTTTTTGTAGAGATGGCATCTCCCTATGTTGTCCAGGCTGGTCTTAGGCGATCCTCCCACCACAGCCTCCCAAAGTGCTGAGATTACAGGCGTGAGCCACCATGCCTGGCCAATACATGTTTAGTATGTTTTTATTTTTGCCTATTTCCACCCACTTGAATGTAAGCTCCACCAGGATAAATACTTTTTAGTTTATCCTAACAAATGGGTAAAAGGGAGCTCTTTAACCCATCCCACCACGTGAGGACACAGGGATAAGACCCTATCTATGAACCGGGAAATGGGCCCTCATCAGACATCAAATCTGCCAGCACCTTGATCTTGGACTTCTCATACTCTAGAACTATGAGAAATAAATTTCTGCAGTTTATAAGCTACCAAGTCTGTGGTATTTTATAATAGCAGTCTGAACTTACTAAGATAAGCAGGTGAGGTACAGAGATTAGCTTATGGAAAAGCCCAAGAAAAGAAAAAACTTGGCACACTATAAAAACAGAGAATTCGATATGCCCGGATCAGAGTATCAAGAAGACTATGAGAAGAAATGAAGCTATAGAGGTAAAAAGAAAGCTGATCACCAAAAAAAAAAAAAAAAGATAAATAAACAACAACAAAAAAACTTCTAGAACAAGCTAAAGAATTTAGACTTTATTCTAAGGACAATTAATTGAAAGCCATTAACCTGGGTGTTGTTTTTTTTTTTTGTTTTTGAGACAGAGTCTTGCTTTATCACCTAGACTGGTGTGCAGTGGCACGAACTCAGCTCACTGCAACCTCTGCCTCCCAGGCACAAGAAATTCTCGTGCCTCAGCCTCCCGAGTAGCTGGGATTACAGGCATGTGCTGTCATGTCCAGCTAAATTTTTTTTCTTTTTTCTTTTTTCTTTTTTTTTTTTTTTTGTATTTTTAGTAGAGACAGGGTTTCTCCATGTTGGCCAGGCTGGTCTCAAACTCCTGGCCTCAACTGATCCGCCAGCCTGGGCATCCAAGTGCTGAGATTTCAGGCATGAGCCACCATTCCTGGCCTAACCTGGGTTTTAACCAGGAAAATGGCATCATAAAATCCTAGCGATATTTTAAAAGAATAGATTCAATTGGAAGAGAGAGGAGATAGGAGGTGGGTAACATCAGATAAAAGGAGGACAGTTACAATAATATGTGAGGGTTAATGATTGATGGTAGTCTGTGTTAAGGCAGTAACAGAATGGATTAAAATTATTGCTTAAGCAATTTCAATAGAAAAGGTTTTCTGAGAAGGTGATAATTGAACTAAAATTAAAATAATTTTTTTTTTTTGAGACAAAGTCTTGCTCTGTCACCCAGGCGGGAGTGCAGTGGTGCGATCTTGGCTCACTGCAACCTCCACCTTCTGGGTTCAAGTGATTCTCCTGCTTCAGCCTCCTGAGTAGCTGGGACTACAGGTGCGTGCCACCACACCCTTTAGTAGAGATGGGGTTTCACCATGTTGGTCAGGCTGGTCTCGAACTCCTGATCTCGTGATCTTGGCCTCCCAAAGTGTTTGGATTATAGCCATGAGCCACCACGCCTGGCCTAAGAAATGAGATTTGATAGGTAGGTGGAGGCCACAAATGCAGGGCCTTATAGACCATGATAAGATATAATGGAATTTATTTTGCATAATAGGAAGCCAATGAATTTTCTTTTTTCTTTTCTTGCTGGGAAGCATAGCCTCCAGCAGAAGCTGGAAGCAGGCATTTCCTAAAGCCAATGAAGATTTTAATTCAGGGAATGGCCTGATCTGATTCCAGTCCTTGTGGTTGCTCTTTGGAGAAGTGACCTAAAATGATAAGGATAATACACCCTTATGATCATCTAGGTGACCAGCAGAAACAGAAAGAAGAAGATAAGACCAGGCACAGTGGCTCACACTTGTAATCCTAACACTTCAGGAGGCCAAGGTGGGAGGATTGCTTGAAGCCAGGAGCTTGAGACCAGCTGGGGCAACATAGCAAGACCCCTCGCTACAAGAAAATTAAAAATTAAATTTCCATACAGCTACCTTTGGAAAAAACAAAAACAAAAAACAAAAAAGGTGGGGGAACGGACTGAAGATATATCTGGGGGCTAAAATGAATAGGACTTATCATGTACTGAATATGGTGGATGAGGAAAAGGAAGAATCAAGTTTACTCTGAAATCCTGAGCTTCAATATCTGAGATTTTCTACAATTTTCAGCTTTCTGAGACAGCTAAAAGAATAGCAAGTTGAATGTTGGGGTAGGAAAGACTGGAGGGCAAGAATTTAGCTTAAACAATAAATTTAGGACAAATATTAAATTTAAAATGCATATTAAAGTCCTAAGCTTCCACCTTAAGAATCTAGAAAAAAGATGAGCAAACTAAATCCAAAGTAAGTAGATGGAGGAAATTAAATATAAAAGCAGAAACCAATAAAAGAGGAAAGCAAAACACAGAGAAAATTAACAAAGTCAAAAGTTGGCTACCTTAAAAATTAATAAATGGATAAACTAATAGGAATAATTAGGAAAGAAAGAAAAGGATAAAATATTTTATCTCTTACCAAAATCATGGGATATCACTACAGATGCTATAGACATTTATGCCAATAAATTCAACACATTAGATGAAACAACAGATTCCTTAAAAACACAATTCACCAAAACTGACTCAAAAAGAAACAGAGAATCTGAGTAATAATCAATACACTTCCCAAAAAGAAAGCTCCAAGCCCAGATGGTTTTACTAGTGAATTCTAGCAAACATTCAAGGTATACCTCCCTAATTTATGAGGCCAGGAAAACCCAGATACCAAAACCTGATACAAACATTTCAAAAAAGAAAATTACAGACTGATATCCCTCATGACCAAATGAAAAGGTCCCCCAAAAATACATAAACAAATGAAATCTAGCAGTATACAGGCTGAGCACCCATTATCTGAAATGCTTGAGACACTTTTGGATTCTGGATTTTTTTTTTTTTTTTGTATTTTGGAATATTTACATGATACTTACCAGTTGGACATCCTAATCCAAAAAAATCCAAAATCTGAAATGAACATCATTTCGGCACTCAAGTTTGGAATTTTGCAGCATTTCGGATTTTGAATTTTCAGATTAGGGATGCTCCACCTGTATTAAAATAGTAACAACACAGCAAGACCAAGTGGAGCTTATCCTAGAAACAAGAGTAGATCAACATTCAAAAATCAATGTAAATCTTCACAGTAACGGAAAGAGAAAATCATATTATCATCTCAATAGATGTGGGAAAAGCATTTGGCAATATTCAAAATTCATTCAAAGGGAAGGGGGAGGGGAAAAGAAGGGAGAGAGGGAGGGAGGGAAGGGGAAAAGCTCTCAGAAAACTAGAAAGCATCCTTAAGCTGATCAGAAAAAAACCCATGGCTACCATCATTCTCAGTGGTAAAAACCTTAAATGCTATTCCCTAAGTTCACAAAGTAAAATACTTACTCTCCCCAATTCTATTTAATATTTGACCCAAATTAAGGCCCAATATTGTGTGCTGCCTTGACATCTGGTGAAAGTGGGAGGGCCTCAAATGGCCTAACCAGAAGTTTGCCTCCCCATTCTCCTCCCACAGATAAGGCTGCCTACTCAAACAGCCCTTCTGATCACAGGGACCAGGCACAGTCCCTGCTTATCCCTACGTAGTGGGTTTCCCATGTCCTGGTCCCCTGCCAGCCCACAGACTTATCCAAACAATCCAATCATATCCTTCTTTAGGAACCAGAAGGCACCCCAGACTCTTGATACTACCAAGCCTGCCTCCTACAGCCCCTGGTTGTTCATTTTGTTCCCAAATGTAATCTACATGTAGCCATGCATGGCATGTAGTGTCCTACTCCCCTAGGCTGTAAACATAAAACAAACTGCTGTTGATCTCAACTGTCCAGTGTCACGTGTTACATGTTCAGCCATTCCCATAACCTGGGGCAAAATCCCTCCTTCACTACACAGTAAATAGGAGGCAATGAAAACACTGGCAAATGCAAATGACTTGCACCCAGTATAAAGGAGTCTCACAATTCAATAATAAAAAGACAATCCAATGTTTTTGTTTTTTTTTGAGTTGTGGTCTCACTCTGTCACTCTAACTGGAGTGCAGTAGTGCAATCTCGGCTCACCGCAGCCTCCACCTCACAGGAGCAAGCGATTCTCCTGCCTCAACCTTTCAAGTAGCTGGGATTACACGCACACGCCACAGTGCCTGGCTAATTTTTTTTGTTGTTGTTGGAGGGGGCGGAGTCTCACTCTGTCGCCCAAGCTGGAGTATAGTCATGCAATCTCGGCTCACTGTAAGCTCCACCTCCCAAGTTCTCACCACTCTCCTGCCTCAGCCTCGCGAGTAGCTGGGACTACAGGCACCCACCACCATGCTCGGCTAATTTTTTTGTATTTTTAGTAGAGACGGGGTTTCACAGTGTTAGCCAGGATGGTCTCGATCTCCTGACCTCGTGATCAGCCCGCCTCGGCCTCCCAAAGTGCTGGGATTACAAGCGTGAGCTACCACACCTGGCTTAATTTTTAAAATAGGCATTTCCAATTCCAGAAAAAATGGCATAGATGCACTTTTCCTTATTCCTTCTGCCAAGTACAGCTAAAATTCATGGACATTACATATAAAACAAATGTAAGAAGACTCTGAAAGATACAGAGGGGAAGGCAGACCAGTTAGTGATCTCAGGAGACAAGGAATGACAGACTGATGAGTTCTTTGCCTCATATATTCTGAAATGAATACTAGAGAAGCCAGCAATCTGGAAACACCAGACTATGCTAACAAGAAAAGCCTGCTCTCTCTAGGCACATGATCAGGGATGAGGTAGTCCTCCCACTGCTAAATCTGACTGGCTTTTTAGAAAACGGGCTCAGTGTAGTAGATCATGCCTGTAATCCCAGCACTTTGGGAAGCCGAGGCGGGTGGACTGTTTGAGCCCAGGAATTCAAGACTGGCCTGGGCAACATGGCAAGACCCCATCTCTATGAAAAAAAAAGAACAAAAATTATCAGGGCCATGGTGATGTGTGCCTATGGTCCCCAGCTACCTACTCTACTCGGGAGGCAGTGGTAGGAAGATCACTTGAGCCCGGGAGATCGAGCAGTGATCACACCACCACAATCAGCCTGGGCAACAGAGTGAGATGGAGAGGAGGAGGGGAGGGAAAGAAGGAACGGAGGGAAGGAAAGGAAAAGGAAGAAAGGGAAAGAAAGGCGATGCAGTACTGAGATACTACAACATCTGGAGGTCAGTTGAAGAGGTAGGAAAAACACCAGAAGAGAGGTATCAGAGAAGCACAAGAAAGACTGCGTTATTAGACAGCAAGAGTCGACTGGACTAAATGCGTCTAAGAAGTAAAGTAAGATGAGGACAAAGAAGTACAGATGAGAATTAGTAAAAGACAGGCCATTAGTGAGTAGTTTCAGTGGAAAAACTGAGGATGGAAGCCAGCTTGGAATAGGATAAACAATAAACAAAGACATTTACTTCTAGCAATATGGTGTACTAAACAGTCTGAACTGTCCTGATGAAAACAATGAAATGATATAAAATATCACTTATTACATTATGTATTACATATATTATATATGTTATTACAGCTGACCCTCGAACACCGCAAGTTTGAACAGTGTGGGTCCACTTACACGTGGATTTTCTTCCACCTCTGCCTCCTCTGAGACAGCAAGACCAACTCCATTTCTTCCTCCTCCTCCTCCTCATCCTACTCAACATAAAGACAAAAATGAAGACCTTTATGACCTTCCACTTAAAGAATAGTAAATATATTTTCTCTTTGTTATGACGATTTTCCTTTTCTTTTTTGGCTCTATGGAATCTTTCTAGTCATATGATTTTTCTTTTTTTTTTGTTGAGACAAAGTCTCACTCTGTTGCCCAGGCTGGAGTGCAGTGGAGTGATCTCAGCTCACTGCAACCTCTGCCTCCTGAGTTCAAGTGATTCTCCTGCCTCAGCCTCCTGAGTAGCTGGGATTACAGTCACGTGCCACCATGACTGGCTAATTTTTGTATTTTTAGTAGAAACATGGTTTCATCACGTTGGCCAGGCTGGTCTCAAACTCCTGACCTCAGGTGATCTGCCCGCCTCGGCCTCCCAAAGTGCAGGATTACAGGCATGAGTCACCGTACCTGGCATCTTTTTTTTTTTTTCCACTTTTATTTTAGATTCAGAGGGTGTATGTGCAGGTTTGTTACCTGGGTATATTGCATGATGCTGAGCTTTGGGGTACAAATGATCTTGTCACCCAGGTACTAAGTATAGTACCCAACAGTCGGATTTTCAACCACTGCCCACCCCCTTCCCTTCTCATTCTAGTAGTCTCCAGTTTCTGTTGTTGCCATCTTTATGTCCATGAGTACCCAATGTTTAGCTCCCATTTATAAGTGAGAACAAGCAGTATCTGGTTTTCTGTTCCTGTGTTAATTTGCTTGGGATAATAGCCTCTAGCTGCATCAGTATTCCTACAAAGAATATGATTTTGTTATTTTTATGCCTGTGTGGTATTCTGTGGTATATATGTACCATTTCTTTTTTTTATCCAATCCACCATTGATGGGCACATAGTCCGATTCCATTTATTTGCTATTGTGAATAGTGCTGTAATGAACATACAAATGCGCATGTCTTTTTGGTAGAACAGTTTGTTTTGTTCAGATATATACTCAGTAATGGATTACTGGGTTGAATGGTAGTCCTGTTTTAAGTTCTTTAAATCTCGAAACTGCTTTCCACAGTGGCTGAACTAATTTACATTCCCACCAGCAATGTATAAGCATTCTCTTTTCTCTGCAGCCTCACCAACATTTGTTTTTTAATATTTTAATAACAGCCATTCTAACTGGTGTGAGATGGTATCTCATTGCGGTTTTGATTTGCATTTCTCTGATGATTAGAGATATGGACCATTTTGTCACGTTTCTTGGCCATTTGTATGTCTTCTGAGAAGTGTCTGTTCGTGTCTTTTGACCATTTTTTAATGGGGCTTTTTGCTTGTTCAATTGTTTAAGTTTCTTACAGATTCTGGATATTAGACCTTTGATATCTGCAAACTTGGCTGCACAGTTTGCAAATATTTTCTCCCATTCTGCAGGCTATCTCTTAACTCTGTCGATAGTTTCTTTCACTGTGCAGAGGCTCTTTAATTAGTCCGGCTTGTCAATTTTTGATTTTGTTGCAATTGCTTTTGAGGACTTAGTTATAAATTCTCTCCCGACACTAATGTCCAGAATGATGTTTCCTAGGTTTTCTTCTAAAATTCTTATAGTTTAAGGTCTTACATTTAAATCTTTAATCTATTTTGAGCTAAATTTTTTATATGGTGAAAGGTAGGGAATCCAGTTTCATTTTTCTGCATAAGCCACATGATTTTCTTAATAATATTTTCTTTTCTCTATCTTACTTTATCGTAAGAATACAGTGAGACACGTTCATCAGCTTGTTCTTTTCTGCCCGCGGACGCCACTGAAGAAGCATCGTTAAAGTCTCTCTTCTCCCTTCCGTCATGTCTAAGTCAGAGTCTCCTAAAGAGCCCGAACAGCTGAGGAAGCTCTTCATTGGAGGGTTGAGCTTTAAAACAACCGATGAGAGCCTGAGGAGCCATTTTGAGCAATGGGGAACGCTCACGGACTGTGTGGTAATGAGAGATCCAAACACAGAGCACTCCAGGGGCTTTGGGTTCATCACACATGCCACTGTGGAGGAGGTGGATGCAGCCATGAATGCAAGGCCACATAAGGTGGATGGAAGAGTTGTGGAACCAAAGAGAGCTGTCTCAAGAGAAGATTCTCAAAGACCAGGTGCCCACTTAACTATGAAAAAGATATTTGTTGGTGGCATTAAACAATGAAGAACAACACCTAAGAGATTATTTTGAACAGTATGGAAAAATTGAAGTGACTCAAATCATGACTCACTGAGGCAGTGCCAAGAAAAGGGGCTTTGCCTTTGTAACCTTTGACGACCATGACTCCGTGGATAAGACTGTCATTCAGAAATACCATACTGTGAATGGCCACAACTGTGAAGTTAGGAAAGCCCTGTCAAAGCAAGAGATGGCTAGGGCTTTATCCAGCCAAAGAGGCTGAAGTGGTTCTAGAAACTTTGGCGGTGGTCGTGGAGGTGGTTTTGGCAGGAATGACAACACTGGTAGTGGAGGAAACTTCAGTGGTGGTGGTGGATATGGTGGCAGTGGGGATGGCTATAATGGATTTGGTAATGATGGAAGCAATTTTGGAGGTGGTGGAAGCTACAATGATTTTGGCAATTACAACAATCAGTCTTCAAATTTTGGACCCATGAAGGGAGGAAACTTTGGAGGCAGAAGCCCTGGCCCCTATGGTGGTGGAGGCCAATACTTTGCCAAACCATGAAACCAAGGTGGCTATGGTGGTTCCAGTAGCAGCAGTAGCTATGGCAATGGCAGAAGATTTTAATTAGGAAACAAAGCTTAGCAGGAGAGGAGAGCCAGAGAAGTGACAGGGAAGCTACAGGTTACAACAGATTGTGAACTCAGCCAAGCACAGTGGTGGCAGGGCCTAGCTGCTACAAAGAAGACCTGTTTTAGACAAATACTCATGGGTATGGGCAAAAAACTCGAGGACTGTATTTGTGACTAATTGTATAACAAGTCATTTTAGTTTCTGTTCTGTGGAAAGTGTAAAGCATTCCAACAAAGGGTTTCAATGTAGATTTTTTTTTTTTTTTGCAAACATGCTGTTGATTGCTAAATGTAAGTCTGATCATGATGCAGAATAAATGTCTTTTTTTAATGTGCAAAGAAAAAAGAATACTGTATATAATATATATATAACATGCAAAATATGTGTGAATCAACTGTTTATATTATAGGTAAGGCTTCTGGTCAACAATAGGCTATTAGTAGTTAAATTTTTGGGGAGTCAAAAGTTATACATGAATTTCAGCTGCACAGGAGGTTGGCACTCAAATTGTTCAAGGGTCAACTACACGCTATAAAATATAAAATATTATATAAATAGAACCAAAGTTAGCTTTCACCCTGAATATTTCTTTAATGTCCTGGAGACCATGATATTTCCAATTTAACTTAGAAGCTGTTAAAGGCACAATGTTAAAACCTACAGCTTGTCCAAAGTAGGAAGCCAAAGTCAATGTAAAGGTAAAAAGGAAACAAACCTCAGAGAGACAGAGACAGAGACCAACCAAGACCTTGTCTGTACCTTAGTATTGGTGGCATATGGAAAAAACAATTTCCCCTGAGAATCCATAACCACTAATAGCCCTCAATTAGATTAGCAGTCAGAATGTATGCTATTGTATAATCTGAAGAATTTCAAGCTCAGAACTTAATTTACGGCAGTCCCCAGTTAACAGCACCTCTCTAATGTTCCCCAGTTAACGGCACCTCTCTAATGTTCCCATCCACTAAGTGGAAGTGGATCATGACAAAGTTTTTCATCCTTGTTGTCTCTGAGTAGGCTGAAAAGCAAGAGAAAGAAGTGGAATGGGTCTTGCTGTCTCAGAGGTGGCAGAGGTGGAAGAAAATTCACATATAAGTGGACCTGCGCAGTTCAAACCTGTGTTGTTCAAGTGTCGGCTGTAATAACATATATGTAATACATAATGCTGAGCAAATCCTCGCTGCAAGAACATCGACATAGCCCACAAAGAGTTTCCACTAGAAAAGTTCCAAGGAACATAAATTCACAATCGAAAAAAATTCACAAAATACACAAGAGAAAAAGCCACAAGCCATTACGAGTGACATCCAACAGAAAGAACTGGCAACAGAGTCAAACCTATAAAGTTTCAAATACTATAATGCTATAAACATTACCAGACAGAAAATATAGAATAATCATATTTGAATGTTTTAATAAATAAAAGGGAAGCTTGAAAATTAAAGCAAAGAACAAGGAACTAAGAAAAAGAAAGATCAAATTTGAAAAAAAAAAAAAACAATCAGAACTAGCTGGACATGGTGGCACATGCCTATAATCTCAGCTACTCAAGAGGCTGAGGTGGGAGGAATGCTTGAGCCCAGAAGTTCAAGGCTGCAGTAAAAGCTATGATTGCACCACTGCACTCCAGTCTGGGTGACAGAGCAAGATCCTGTGGAAAAAAAGAAGAGGCGAGGAGAGGGGAGGGGAGGGGAGGGGAGGGGTGGAGAGAGGAGAAGGGAAGAGAAAGGAACGCCAGGAGGGGACTGGAGGGGAGAGGAGGGGAAAGGAGGGGAGGAGAGGGGAGGGGAGGGGAAGGGAAGAGAAAGGAAGGGATGGGAGGGGAGGGAGAGGAGGGGAGGGAAGGGGAAGGGAGGGGAGAGAAGGGAGGGGAGGGGAGAGAAGGGAAGGGAGGGGAGGAAAGGGAAAGAGAGAGGAGGGGAGGGGGAAGGGGGAAGGGGAGAAGGGGGAAAGGGAGGAAGAAAGGAAGGAAGGAAAGAAGGAAGGAAGGAAAAAAGAAAAAGAAAAGCCAGTCACGGTGGCTCACGCCTGTAATCCCAACACTTTGGGAGGCCGAAGCGGGCGGATCACAAGGTCAGGAGATCGAGACCATCCTGGCTAACATGGTGAAACCCTGTCTCTACTAAAAATACAAAAAATTAGCCGGGTGTGGTGGCAGGCGCCTGTAGTCCCAGCTACTCGGGAGGCTGAGACAGGAGAATGGCATGAGCCTGGGAGGAGGAGTTTGCAGTGAGCCGAGATCCGCACCACTGCACTCCAGCCTGGGCAACAGAGCGGGACTCCATCTCAACAAACAAACAAACAAACAAACAAACAAAAACAAAGAAAAAAAGAAAGAACTTCTAGGAATGAAAAAAAGACATTTAAAATGAAAATTAATGGCATATTAAACAGCAGGTATTCTCCATAGCTGAGGAAAGATTTAATTAATTGGATAATTCATTTTTTAATCCAAAATGAAAAACAAAAAAAAAGGATATAAAATATAAAACAGGCCAGGCACAGTGGCTCATGGCTGTAATCCCAACATTTTGGGAGGCCAAGGCAGGAGGATCACTTGAGGTCAGGAAGTCAAGACCAGCCTGCAACCAGAGTCACAGATGGAGACCCCATCTCAAAAACTAAAACTTAAAAATTTAAAAAATAAAACAGGGAGGGGTGCAGTGGCTCACATCTATAATTCCAGCACTTTGGGAAGCTGAGGCAGGAAGACTGTTTAAAGCCAGGAGTTCAAGATCAGCCTAAGCTACATAATGAGAGCCCATCTCTACCAAAAACAACAACAACAACAACAACAAAAAGCCAGGCATGGTGATGTGCACCTATAGTCCCACTACTGGAGACGTCAGATTGGGAGAATTGCTTGAGCCCAGGAGTTTGAGGTGCAGTGAACTATGACCACGCTCCAGCCCAGGCAATAGAGCAAGACCTTGTCTCAAAAAATAAAAATAAAAAAAATACCTATGATAGAATAAATGATAAAGGGAGAAATTTTAACATACAGGAAGCCCCCAACTTAGAATAGTTTGACTTAAAATTTTTGACTTTATGACTGATTTATCAAGATGTAACCCCATCATAAATCGAAGAGCATCTGTATATCTAATCTAGGTTTCAGATGGCAATATCAGAAAAAAATTGAGGCAATAGTCAAAGATAATCACCGAGAATTTTCCAAAACACTTCAAATACACATTGGTGTGTACAGAAAGCCCAATGAGTCTCAAGCAGGATTAAACACACACACACATAACAGGAAATGAAAGAAAGAGACTAGAACAGATTAATTTATTGGCTGATTAATTATAAAAAACAACCACAGGAGTAGAGAAAAGGATCCCTTCAATAGAACCAAATAGACTAAAAGCAGTCTTCTCAACAGTAACAATGTGACCCAGAAAAAAGACAGAGATGGAAGTTTTCAATGTGCTGACAAAAAAAAAGGTCTGTATGTAGAATTTTATGCTCAGCAAAATCGTGTTTCAAGAACGAGCATGAAATAACATTTTAGACTGAAACTGAGAGTCTAGCAAATCAGTCCTCATTTTAAAAAAATCCTAAATGATGTTCTATAAAACGAATAAAATAGGCCGGGCGCAGTGGCTTACGCCTGTAATGCCAGCACTTTGGGAGGCCGAAGCAAGTGGACCACAAGGTCAGGAGATCAAGACCATCCTGGCTAACATGAAACCCCATCTCTACTAAAAATACAAAAAATTAGCCGGGTGTGGTGGCGGGTGCCTGTAGTCCCAGCTACTCGGGAGGCTGAGGCAGGAGAATGGCGTGAACCCGGGAGGCAGAGCTTACAGTGAGCCGAGATCGCGCCACTGCACTTCAGCCTGGGCGACAGAGCCAGACTCCATCTAAAAAAACAAACAAACAAACAAAAAAAAAAACCCAAGAAAACAATTGTAAGTGGAAGGCTGAAGATGCAATAAGGAATGGTAAACAACTACACTGGTAAATACATGGATAAATCTAAAAATAATAATAACCTCTAATTTGTGAAGATAAAAGAAAATAAGATAAATCTAAACTAATGAACCACAATATAAGTTAGGAAGTAGTGATCCATATCAAAGCATTCAAAAATCCTCGAAACGGAAGGAAAGAAAAGTATGTTAGACATTATGTATGTTACAAAAGAAACAAAAATGGGCCAGGCATGGTGACTCACACCTATAATCCCGGCACTTTGGGAGGCCAAGGCAGATGGATCACTTGAGGTCAGAAGTTCGAGACTAGCCTGGTCAACATGGTGAAACCCTGTCTCTACTAAAAATACAAAAAAATTCGCAGGGTGTGGTGGCACGTGCCTGTAATCCCAACTACTTAGGAGGCTGAGGTGGGAGAATCATTTGATCCTGGGAGGTGGAGATTGCAGTGACCCAAGATCATGTCACTGCACTCCAAGGCAACAAAGCAAGACTCTGTCTCAAAAACATTAAAAAAAAAAAAAACACTAAATGAACAGAATATAGTGCATAATATCCAAACTAGTAGCAGTACCCAGGACTAAACCCAGCAATGTACTCCACCACCATGTGAAGGTTGCTTACCAAAGGGCCAGCAAATAAGGAGAATGAACAGCTAGAGAGGTAAGAAAAAAACCAGAAGTGTGTGGTATTACAGAAGCACAGAAAAGGGTGTGTAGTAAGGAAGTTAAATCCAAACTAAGGCAAAAAGAGAAAAAGAAACAGAAGAGCAGGACAAAGAGAAAGTACATAAAGAGTAATAAAAATAAATCAAAATATAACCAAAATAATTCAAAGGGGTTTAGCGGTTTTCCCAGTTAAAAGACAAGTGTTAACGCTCTTTGCAAAAAAAAAAAAAAGAACAAACCAAAAAAAAACCCCCACCTAAAACAAAAGGAACAAGAAAATACGAAAATGAAAAGAAAGATAAAGTCCGGGAGCAGTGACTCATGCCTCTAATCCCAACACTTTGGGAAGCTGAGGCAGGCAGATCACCCGAGGTCAGGTGTTTGAGACCAGGCTGGCCAACATGGCAAAACCCCGTCTCTACTAAAAACAAAACAAAACAAAACAAAAAAATTAGCCAGGTGTGGTAGCATGCACCTGTAATCCCAGTTACTCAGGAGGCTGAGGCAGGAGAATCATTCGAACCTGGGAGGCAGAGGTTACAGTGAGCCAAGATTGTGCCACTGCACTCCAGTCTGGGCAATAGAGTGAGACTCTGTCTCAAAAAAAAGAAAGAAAGAAGAAGATACACAAAATACTAATCAAAACAAAGCTGGGGTTATTCCACTACTATTAAACACCAATTCATCAAAAAGATATAACAGATCTAAGTAGATAAAATATGAAGCCAGTGACTGTAAACAGCATATTAGAGAAGTTTGGCTCTGAAGGAAAGCAAATAACACATGGTACCTGAAGACGGGATTTCAAGTCAAAGAAAGAGTTTTTGGTCTTGGTTTTATTCATTTTTGATTTTTTGGTGTTCTTTTCTTATTTGTTTTCATATGAATCATATTGAACAAATTTGTATGTTATTGGGAATTATATGAAGTAGAGGTAAAAAGTGAAGTAGCAGGAGGGAGAGAGGATAAATTAAAAATGAAAAAGAATGGAATCCACAGAACAAGAGAAAGGACTGAAATTTTATAAAAAGGACTTTTTTTCAGTGTAATAAAGTAAGAGGAAACAGGTATGGTATAGGTATGATAAAATAAGAACATTTATCTAATGGTTCCTATTTTCTCAGTTATATATACGGTGACTGAGAGAAGGTTAAAAAGAGACAGATTTCAAAACAAAGAAGGTACAAAATAACTATCTCAGAAAGTAGGAAGTTAATCCTACTAATATGATATTAACAGTATTGCCAGGCACTGCTCAATACCAATACCCATTGGAATTGTTTTTTGGTGTTGTTCTGATTGAGGTCAACTAAATTATTACTAGATTCCTTTCAGTTCATCATATTATGAACACAGTTTAGAACATTTTTCTTAAAGACATTTACTGAAACTTGTTCTTAATAAAGTCCAGCTGATAGTTTTCCTCCCCTCTCGCAAATCTGTAAAATCTTACTATGGTTAAAATACATACACATGGAGACAAAAAATAAACACATGGTCAGAGAGAGACAAAACAGAATGATGAATGGACAGAAAGAGGACATATCCAGAAACGTATGCACAATACACAGACTCATCAACCAAGAGGTGGAGAAGAGGATAGCAGAGAAAAAAAGACTGGGTAAGGACTACAGCTAGGCCTTCAAAGGGGCAACTGACAAAAACTATCAGAGCAAAATTTGAGCATCTTCATCTCTTCGTGGCAGTATTATGGGTGAGTGTTATGTTCTTCACATTCCTTATCTCCTTTTTCTATAATCATCCAATATTACTTATTTATTAAAAATAATATTAATGCAACTAAAGCTGACTTTTCAAATTTTTGGAATTTTTTTACTTATTTACAATAATTTCTTCATTTTTAATATAATGTATTTATATTTAATATAATGTCTTTAATATCAAAGACAAAAGTCCTTACAAAGTCATACATGAAGACAGTAAATAATATGTAAATTTTATAGATAACCCAATTTTTCCTTAGTCCAATAACAGTTCATGACAGTACACACACATAAATAGATACTAATTAACCTGTAATTCTTTATAAACAGACGTTTTAAAATCTTCAGTGAGATGACATTAGCATTAAAGACAAATTGGCAATATTATTTTTCAGAGTCTTAATGTACACTTTCTCAGTCTCACAACTAGGCACAGGCATATAGCTACAAGTATGTTTCAAAAGTCACATTCCAACTTTTACAAGAAAAACTTGTGAGAACTTTTCCTATACAAATCACCAATCGTTACACCAAATATTTGCTCATTTTCCCTTAATATTGAATTTTATTGCCAAGTTATTATTTTCATACCTCTGAAGAGCTTTCATTATTGACGTCCACTGTGTTTATAGGAGTTGCTGATGAATCTAAATCAGAACCTTGAGAGCCAACTCTCCCAGGAGTCTGGAACACAAACAGTAGGGAGGAAAAAAAAACAAAGCAGACATTAACAATATATTCATCGGCCATTTAATAATCTAAACCTTTTCACATAAGAAAAGTAGATGTCTTTACAATAATAACAGTACTAACAGTATCATTTATGGAAGAGTGTACCTAATGCTGTATCAAAATCTCTATATATGCATTTCTCTCATTTTAAGTCACTTTAAACAAAATGTATACAACACTTTACAAAGTCTTCAAGTCACCTTCACAAAACATCATATTTAATCAAAATGACATCTCTTAAGACAGGTAAGATGGATGTTATCTCTGTAGAGAAGAAAACAGATTTAAAGCAGGAAGTGACTTGTTCACCATTGTACTCTTTTGTTTTGGTTGTTTTTTGAGTTGGGGTCTTGCTCTGTCACCCAGGCTGGAGTGCAGTGGTACAATCTTGGCTCACTGCAACCTCCACCTCCCAGGCTCAAGCGATCCTCCTATCTCAGCTACCCAAGTAGCTGGGACCACAGGTGCACACCACCACACCCAGCTAATTTGTTGTATTTTTGGTAGAGACGAAGTTTCACCATGTTGCCCAAGATGGTCTCAAACTCCTGAGCTCAAACGATCTGCCCACCTCCGCCTCCCAAAGTGCTGGGGTTACAGGTGTGAGCCATAACGCTCAGTCCACCATTGTACTGTCAGCAAAAATCAGAAAGTCCTCAAGATGCAAGTTCAAGGAAGAAGAAAAAAAATCAGAAAGTTCTCAAGATCCAAGTTAAAGCAAAAAAAATCAGAAGATGCAGAACTAAAATGCAGATCTTCTGATTCCTTTGACAATGCTTTCTCTTTTCTTTTTTTTTTTGAAACAAGAGTCTTGCTCTGTCATCCAGGCTGGTCTCACTCTGTCATCCAGGCTGGAGCATAGTGGCACGATCTTGGCTCATTGCAATCTCCACCTCCTGGGTTCAAGCAATTCTCCTGCCTCAGACTCCTGAGTAGCTGGGACTACAGGCACATGCCACCATGTCCAGCTAATTTTTTTTTGAGTAGCTGGGACTACAGGCACATGCCACCATGTGCAGCTAAATTTTTTTTGTATTTTTAGTGGAAACGGGGTTTCACCATGTTGGCCAGGCTGTTCTCGAACTCCTGACCTCAAGTGATCCCCCCACCTTGGCCTCCCAAAGTGCTGTGATTACAGGCATGAGCCACAGCGCCCAGCCGGCAATAGTCTCTTTTCTACACAAACTAAAACTACAGTGATTCAAGTGGTGCAAAAAAGACCAATGCAGCCCAAGTTATCAAGTCCCCATCACCTACCACTCAAACCAATCATTACCATCCAGCTCCAATACTTGATATGACACCATCAGAGACACATTTTGGAGGGTTAAAGGTCTTTTCCCCCTGTACCATTTATCACTTAGCATTATCATTCATTAAAATCTAGGTGTTACTTTTATATCAAATTGCTTTTTGGATGAATCTGAAACCTAGTAAAACACTGGGTAAAAAGAGATTTAGAGCACAAAAACTGACTCAATAATACTCATCAAAAATATATATGGTATATGCTAGCATTATCCACACTTTACAAATGAGGGAACCAAGGCATAGAGACTAAGTAAATTGCCCAAGGTCAGATGGGTAATAAATGAAAGAAGGGATTTTAATTAGAGCAGTGTGGCTCTTAATCACTAACCAATACTGCTTCTCTGTTAGACATCTCCACTGAAATGCCCCTCAATCACCCAAGATTCAAAACACCTCACTACATATTTGCCTCAACATGTGAACATCCTGTACATCACTACTAAATGTTCAACCTAAATCCAAATAAGGATGAATTCATAATGCTATATTCATCAAAATGATTATAAAAACTATATACAATGGAAAAATATACACAGTATGATTTAAATTATATATAAAAACTACTGATATAAGAAAAAAGATTAAAAAGAAATATTCCAAAATTCAAATAATGATTTCTGTAGCAAGACAGGAATCTTCATTTTTATTTTTTTCAGTTTTCATTTTGCTACTTTTTTTTTCAGAATTTTAGATCCATACTTGAATTGCTTTTATCTTGAAAAAAATGTTTTATGTTAAAGATAAGCAAACCTCCAGTTTAATAGCCAGCATTCCTTTTTTTTTCCTCATGCAGATACTTTGCACATTTATTTACAGGCATATCTCATTTTATTGTGTGTCTCTTTATTGCACTTTGCAGATGTGGCGCTTTTTAGATATTGAAAGTTTGTGTCAACTCTGCCATCAAGCAAGTCTATTCCTGCCATTTCTTCAAAAGCATGTGCTCACTTTGTATCTCTGTGTCACATTTTGGTAATTATCATAATATTTCAAGCTTTTTTATTATTATCATATCTGTTATGGTGACCTGTGATCAATGATCTTTGAAGTTACTACTGCAATTGTTTTGAGGCACTACAACCCATACCCATATAAGATGGCCAACTTAATTGATAAATGTTGTGTGTGTTCTGACTGCTCCACTCACTGGCCATTTCCCAGTCTCTCTCCCTTCTCCTTGAGCCTCCCTATTCCTTGAGACACAACCATATTAAAATTAGGCCAATTAATAACCCTATAATGGCCTCTAAGTGTTCAAGTGAAAAGAAGAGCTGCTCATTTCTCACTTTAAATCAAAAGCTAGAAATGATTAAGCTTAATGAGGAAGGCATGTGGAAAGCTGAAACAGACTAAAAGCTAGGCCTTTGTGCCAAACAGCCAAATGTGAATGCAAAGAAAAAGTTCCTGGGGAAATTAAAAGTGCTACTCCAGTGAACACACAAATGATAAGAGCACAAATTGCTGAGAATGTTTTAGTGACATGGATATAAGTTCAAACCAGCCATTAACGTTCCCTTAAACCAAAGCCTAATTCAGAGAAAGGCCCTTCAATTGTACGAAGGCTGACAGAGATGAGGAAGCTGCAGAAGAAATGTTTGAAGGTAGCAGAGGTTGGTTCATGGGATTTAAGGAAAGAAGCTGTCTCCATAACATAATAATGCAAAGTGAAGCAGCAAGTGATCATGGAGAAGCTGCAGCAAGTTATCCAGAAGATCTAGCTAAGATAATTGATGAAGATATCTATATTAAGTAACAGATTTTCAATTCAGAAAAAAACAGCCTTCTATTGGAAGATGTCATCTGTAACTACTATAGCTAGAGAAGAGAAATCAATACTGGGCTTCCAAGCTTCGAATTCCAAGCTTCAAAGAACAGGGTAATTCTTGTTAGGGGTTAATGCAGCTGATGACTTTTAAGTTCAAGCCAATGATCATTTATACCGTTCTGAAATTCCTAGGACCCTTAAGAATTACGCTAATGCTACTCTGCGCTCTATACATAGAACAAGAAAGCCTAATTAATAGCACATCTGTTTACCACATGGATCACTGAATTTTTTTTTTTTTTTTTTTTTTTTTTTTTTTTTTTTTTTTGAGACGGAGTCTCACTCTGTCGCCCAGGCTGGAGTGCAGTGGCCCGATCTCAGCTCACTGCAAGCTCCGCCTCCCAAGTACATGCCATTCTCCCGCCTCAGTCTCCTGCCTCAGAGTAGCTGGGACTACAGGTGCCTGCCACCAAGGCCGCCTAATTGTTTTTTTGTATTTTTAGTAGAGACAGGGTTTCACCGTGTTAGCCAGGATGGTCTCGATCTCCTGACCTCATGATCCACCCGCCTCAGCCTCCCAAAGTGCAGGGATTACAGGTGTGAGCCACTGTGCCTGGCTGGATGACTGAATATTTTAAGCCCACTATTAAGAGCTGCCACTGGAAAAAAAAAAAAAAATCCTTTCAAAAATATCACTGTTCATTGACAATTCACCTGGTCACCCAAGAGCTCTCCTGGAGGCATACAAGGAGTTTAATGTTGTTTTCATGCCTATTAATATAACATCCATTCCGCAGCCTATGGATCAAGGAGTAATTTTGACTTTCAAGTCTTATTATTTAAGAAATATATTTTGTAAGGCTATAACTACCATAGATAGTGACTCCTCTGACAGATCTGGGCAGAGTGTGTGGAAAACCTTCTAAAAAGGTCACCATTCTAGATGTGATTAAGAACATTTGTGATTCATGGGAGGAAGTCAAAATATCAACACTAACAAGAGTTTAGAAGTTGATTCCAACCTTCATAATGACTGTGAGGGGTTCAAGACTCCAGTAGAACAGATACGGTGGAATCAGCAAGACAACTAGAATTAAAAGTGGAGCCTGAAGATGCGACTGATAATTTTCTTTTTTTTTTTTTTCTTGAGACGGACTTTTGCTCTGTCACCAGGCTGGAGTGCAGTGGTGTGATCTCAGCTCACTGCAACCTCCACCTCCCAGGTTCAAGCGATTCTCCTGCCTCAGCCTCCCGAGTAGCTGGGACTACAGGTACGTGCCACCACGCCCAGCTAATTTTTGTATTTTTAGTAGAGACAGGGTTTCACCATGTTGGCCAGGATGGTCTCGATCTCTTCACCTCGTGATCCACCCACTTCGGCCTCCCAAAGTGCCGGGATTACAGGTGTGAGCCATCGCGCCTGGCATGACTGATAATTTTCACAATAAAACTTTAATGGAGGAGGAATGGCTTCTTAGGGATGAGCAAAGAAGGTGGTTCCTTGAGATGAAATCTGCTACTGGAGAAGATGCTGTGAACACTGTTGAAATGACAACAAAGAATTTAGAATATTCCATAAATTTAGTTGATAAAGCATCAGCAGCTTTTCGGAGGATTGACTCAAGTTTTGAAGGAAGTTCTACTGTGGGTAAGATGCTATCAAACAGCATGCTACAGGGAAATCTTTCATGAAAAGAAGAGTTAATCAAAGCAAAACAGCAAACTTCATTGTTGTTTTATTTTAAGAAATGCCACAACTCCAGCCTGACCAACATGGTGAAACTCCGTCACTACTAAAAATACAAAAATTAGCCAGGCGTGGTGGTGCGTGCCTGTAATCCCAGCTACTCAGGAGGGAGGCAGGAGAATCGCTTGAATCCGGGAGGTGGAGGTTGCAGTGAGCCAAGATCGCACCACTGAAAGAAAAGAAAAAAAGAAAAAAAAAGAAATTGACACAGCTATCCCAACCTTCAGAAACCTCCACCCTGGTCAGTCAGCAGCTATCAGTATAGAGGCAAAACCTTCCACAAGCAAAAAGATTATGACTAGCTGGGCAAGATGGCCCACATTTGTAATCCTAGTGCTTTGGGAGGCCAAAGAAGGAGGATCGCTTGAGGCTAGGCATTTGAGACCACTCTGGGCAACATAATGAGACCCCATCTCTACCAAAAAAATACAAAAATCAGCAAGGCGTGGTGGCGTTCACCTGTAGTCCCAGCTACCAGTGAGGCAGGAGAATAGGGTCTGGAGGCAAGGAAACTAAGGCTGTTTCATGGCAACTTCCTAGAACTAAATTGAAAGGAAAACCCTAACTTTCCACACCTAAGTAACAAAAGGACCACAGGCTACTCCCTTTGACCTTTCCTTTGACCTTTTCTGCACAGATGGGAAATTGGCTATCCACAACAAATCAGACTGATTGTGGGCAAGTCTTCATTTGCATAGAAGTATAACTGTGTAGCTTTACCCTAGGCTCTGATTGGTTGCCTTTTGCAACCAATCAGATGTTTGCACAGGAGTGTGACCTTTGTAACTTTACTTCAGCCTCTGGTTGGCTGTTTTCTGCAACCAATCAGACTGAATGTGGGTTACCACTTCATTTACATGAGGTGAGCGTGAAGTGGCTAATCAGAAACGTCTAGGGGGTATTTGGACCCAAGAAGATGCTGTATCCAGGCCCTTGAGCTGCTGCTCAGGCCCACTCCCACACTGTGGAGTGTACTTTCGTTTCCAATAAATCTCTGCTTTCGTTCTTTTGTTGCTTCATTCTTTCTTTGCTTTGCTGGGCGTTTTGTCCAATTCTTTATTCAAAACGCCAAGAATCTGGACAACTTGCAGTCACGACCCTCTACCAGTGACAATAGGAAGGCTGAGGCAGGAGGATCACTTAAGCCCAGGAATTCAAAAATGCAGCGAGCTATGATCACACCATTGCATTATAGACCGGATGACAGAGCGAGACTCTGTCTCATCAAAGAAAAAAGATTACAAATCACTGAAGGCTCAAACGATTGTTGGCATTTTACAGCAATAAAATATTTTTTAATTAAAGTATCTATTAGACATAATGCTATTGCACACTTAATAGACTACAGTATGCCGTGAATATAATTTTTATATGCACTGTGAAACCAAAGAATTTATGTGACTCGTTTTATTGCGATACTTGTTTTATTGCAGTGATCTAGAACCAAGCCCGCAATATCTCCAAGATATGCCTATATACAAGTATGCCTATATACTTGTATAATTTTTATATAAATCAGGAAACTAGAACAAGTACAAAATAACAACCAGTAATTAAAGCTACAGAGAAATTCCCAAACTCTTCTCAAACATACTTCCTCAAAGAAGGGTATAAGATTAAACTTTTATTTTATATTCTGGATAGAGTATTAACCTAGCATGCCATGACAAAGGGGAAATAAAATGATCTTGAACCTTTTTTAAAGTACTTATGTTCTTTAGGATTCTCAGAAGAACTCAGGGTTCTGTGAGGTTCTGTCAACTAAAGAATGACAAAGAAGGAACATTATGGCTGGGTGAAATGGCTCACGCCTGTAATCTCAGCACTTTGGGAGGCTGAGGTGGGTGGATCACTTCAGGTTAGGAGTTTGAGACCAGCCTGGCCAATATGGTGAAACCTCATCTCTACTAAAAATACAAAAATTAGCTGGGCATGGTGGTGCACACCTGTAATCCCAGCTATTCGGGAGGCTGAGGCAGGAGAATTGCTTGGACCTGGGAGACAGAAGTTGCAGTGAGCCGAGATCGTGCCACCGCACTCCAGCCTGGGTGACAGAGCGAGACTCCATCTCAAAAAAAAAAAAGAAGAAGGAACATTACTTGTGTAACTATGTCTTCTTTTTTTTTTCCTTTTTTTCCCTTTTTTTTTTTTTTTTTTTTTTTTTTTTAGAGACAGGGGTCTCAGAATGTTGCCCAGGCTGGTCTTGAACTCCTAGGCTCAAGTGATCCTTCTCCCACTTCATCCTCCCAAAGTGCTGAGATTACAGGCATGAGCCACTGCATCCAGCCTATGTTTCAATAAAGATGGCTAGAGAACATCAGAGGCACACTTCAGAAAGAGACAGGTATCTTACTCATGAGTGAAAAAAAAAAAAAAAACCACAAACATTGTTTAGAGATGGAGGAGGCAATAACTGTATCCTGTCCAAGAATAGTAGCAACCACCACACCAAGGCTTATCCAAAACAGGTAGAAAGTGGCAGAATTTCAATAAAGTACTAAAGATGAAGAATGCAAAATGAATCTCTGGCCAAAGGCAAAAAAAAAAAAAAAATGAGAGGAGCTGGATATGAGGGGTCTCCATTTGGTTGTCGATACCAGGAGACAGTACCCACTACCCGAAATGATGAAATTGTAAGGCTTTCATCCTCAGAGAAGTCAGAGAAGGTTAAGCCAACTGAATACATGAGTGAAATAAACATGAATTTTAGATACCACCAATCTAGATCAAATCTCACTTCAGCCTAACTTCAATTTGCTACAGGCTTTAGAGAGGCTGCACTTTATTGCCAGGTCTTGGAGCCTGAGCACTACCTCCTGCCTCAGCGTGGTCGCTGACCCTTCTTCTGGGAGGTTTCCACTTTCTAGACAAGCAGACAAAGCTTGTGAAATAATCAAAGCAGTGATGCCAAGGATGTCATGGCAGAAGGCCTGGGTTCCTGAGTCACTGAGAGCTCAGAGGGCTGGATTTGACATTCCTGATGCATTACACAGGCACATTCATCCTGCTGACACTGTAATCTGTCCTCATTGGGAAAGTTAGGATCATCTTCCTGGGCACTGAATAGGGTCAGCTTTTAATCTGGTCTCTTCACTTTGTAGTGGGACAAAAGGTGTTGGAAGAATTAGGGGAGAGGGTGCAGTGGGCCTCTACTTTCTCCTTCCTCTTGCTCGTTCTCATTTTCTTTGTCCTTACAATCTTCCTAAAATGCCTATGCTTTTTTGGAAGTTGATCTAGCTTTCTTTTCTGGACTGGAGGCACAGCAGGATATTGTGAAACCTCAGCCACATGACTCTTGGGTGTCTCCTCCAATGGCTCTGATAATGATTCCAAACTTCTCTTCAGAGGGTGAACTTCCATTCTCCCTTGGGTGGAATTTATCTTCCACATCTTGAGTATTTGGTGATGAACGTTCAAGTCTTTAGTGACATGTTTGGGAGACTGGAGATTCCTAAAGTCTGTCACTGAGGACTTTTTTTTTAAAACCTACTATGCTGATCCTAGCCAGCTTTGCAGAAACAAGGAATCACAACAAAAGGGACCAAAAGTCAAATGATATTTTTAAAATGGTAGTTAGCACCCTGACTGTTTCCAATGACGTATCCTTAGCTATCACTGATACAGGAGATATACTCATTTCAGATTTCTCCCCTCGACTTATCTAAAGGCATTCAATGGCCTTCAGAAATAAAGTCCTCAAGTTGTTCTTAGCCTAGGGAATCTCAGATTTCCTAGTATAGTATGGAAGAGCAGGCCTCAGTCTCTACAGTCCCTTTAAACTTTCCCAAAATCTAACATTCTAAAACTGTCTAAATTTATCCAGAGTATGTCTTTACTGTGTGTTTTTTTTTTTACATTTAATGCCCACAAAATTTTCTTGTTTTAATATCAGCTACAGTTCTGCAAACACCAAAGCAAAATTCTTTCCCAAAATAATATAATTGAGACATGAATTTATAAATAAATAAAAGCCAGCTCTGGATTTAATGATACACTCATGGATGTGGCAAAAAGTAAATGGCGAAAATGTTTTAAAAGAGCATTTAAATTTTTTTTTGTAGTTGTTTTTTTTTTTTGTCTTGTTTTATTTTTTTGAGGCACAGTCTCACTCTGTCACCCAGGCTGGGGTACAATGGTGTGATCTTGGCTCACTGCAACCTCTGCCTCCCAGGTTCAAGTGATTATCCTGCCTCAGCCTCCCCAGTAGCTGGAATTACAGGTGCCCGCCACCACGTCCAGCTAATTTTTGTATTTTTAGTAGAGACAGGGTTTCACCATGTTGGCCAGGCTGGTCTCTAAATCCTGACCTCAACTGATCCGCCCACCTCAGCCTCCCAAAGTGCTGGGATTACAGGCGCGAGCCAACACGTCCAGCCTAAACTGGATATTTAATATAAAGAACCGTTCTATAAAACTAGAAATTCATTTTTGATTCATTAACATTTCAATAACTTCACACTACGATGGTATTAAGAACAATGAAAGACACTGGAAACAGGAAGTTATACTTCCAAAGAACTGTATTTTCCTCATTTCTGTTTCCTTTATTTTTCCAGATGCCAGATGGCTTTTCACCAAGGTTTTCCTTGACTGAGCCGAAGTAAGCAATTCAAAGAAATATTGTACTTTTTTTTATTTTTGTAAAGATGAGGTCTCTGTATGTTGCCTAGGCTCATCTCAAACCTATGGGCTCCAGTGATTCTCCTGCCTCACCCTCCCAAAGTGCTGGGATTACAGGTGTGAGCCACCATGGCCACCTGAAATAAGGTACTTCTACATAAACCTATTATCATCACCAAAAATACCCTTTCTCAAATTTGCCTACAATAATCCTAGTAAATATACCTAAGTAAAGCCCAAGAGGCATGGGGAGTAAACAGAGAAAAAAACAAGGAAACCCTCACAAGTCAGGGGTTTTTGATGTCCATATTTTAAATATACTCCTCATGATTGCTGTTAAATTATCTAAGAACTTCTTGTTTTTTTTTTTTTGAGACGGAGTTTCACTCTTGTTGCCCAAGCGGGAGTGCAATGGCATTATCTTGGCTCACTGCAACCTCTGCCTCCCAGGTTCAGGCGATTCTCCTGCCTCAGCCTCCCAAGTAGCTGGGACTACAGGTGCACGCCACCATGCCCAGCTAATTTTTTGTATTTTTAGTAGAAACGGGGTTTTTCCATGTTGGTCAATCTGGTCACAAACTCCTGACATCAGATGATCCGCCCACCTCAGCCTCCTAAGGTGCTGGGATTACAGGCATGAGCCACCGCACCCAGCCTTCATTCTTATTCTATTTTTAAGCCACTAAAATTCCTTTATTTCAAGGAGAAGCCCAAAAACAATAACACTAACCCTAAATAAAGCATATAAAGCATTCTAACTTTTTCACTTATAAAAGTTTTATTTTGCAAAAAGAATGGGATTGGAATGATTTATGCTAAAAATTTAAAGTGATAGGCTGGGCACAATGGTTCACATCTGTAATCCCACCACTTTGGGAGGTCCAGGTGGGAGGATCACTTGAGCCCAGGAAGTCAACGCTGCAGTGAACTGTGATTATGCCACTTTACTCCACCCTGGGCAACAGAGTAAGACCTTGTCTCCACAAAAAAAAGAATTTCAAATATTATTAAGATGGAACCAATCTTAAAAACAAGGTACACAATGGACCAAAAATAAAATGGAAACATAGAGTATCCAGGATTCTGGAACCTAAAACAGGTAGAGGCAGCTAAGTTCAGTAATAAGAACCAAAAACGCCCTGGATGCGCAAGGTAACAAGAAGCCAGGCCCACTGTGAGAACTTAGTAAGCGGGGCAAGGCAACTATCCCTTGCAATGAATAGAAACTCTTTAAAAAGCTGTAAATCCGGCCGGGTGCGATGGCTCACGCCTGTAATCCCAGAAGTTTGGGAGGCCAAAGTGGGCATAACACGAGGTCAGGAGTTCGAGACCAGCCTGGCCAACAGGGTGAAACCCCGTCTCTACTAAAAACACAAAAATTAGCTGGGTGTGGTGGCGGGCGCTTGTAATCCAAGCTACTCAGGACGCTGAGGCAGTAGAATCATTTGAACCTGGGAGGCAGAGGTTGTAGTGAGTCAAGATTGTGCCACTGCACTCCAGCCTGGGCAACAGGGCGAAATTCTGTCTTAAAAAAAAAAAAAAAAAAGGCTGTAAATCCTGCCACACACTGTTTAGGCCCAAAGTTTGAGCAGAGCTTTTCCAGGTAGAGATGAGAGGGCATTCCAACCAAAGCATTATTTGTAACAGCTTATAAATCATAAGCAACCTATATGTTCAAAATGAAGAAACTGTTAACTAAACTACGACGTAACTGTTCAACAGTCTTTTTTTTTTTTTTTTGAGACGGAGTCTCGCTCTGTCACCCAGGCTGGAGTGCAGCGGCGCGATCTTGACTTACTGCAAGCTCCGCCTCCCGGGTTCACACCATTCTCCTGCCTCAGCCTCCCAAGTAGCTGGGGTTACAGGCACCCGCCACCACACCCGGCTAATTTTTTTTGTATTTTTTAGTAGAGACAGGGTTTCACCGTGTTAGCCAGGATGGTCTCAATCTCCTGACCTCGTGATCCGCCCACCTCGGCCTCCCAAAGTGCTGGGATTACAGGCATGAGCCACCGCGCCCGGCCTGTTCAACAGTCTTGACAATTAATGGGATAAGTGTGTAGGTTATAAAAGCATGAAGGTTATGTAGAAAAATGAGAATGCAGTCGGAAGCGGTAGCTCACGCCTGTAATCCCAGCACTTTGGGAGGCTGAGGCAGGCAGATCACCTGAGGTCGGGAGTTTGAGACCAGCCTGACCAACAAGGAGAAACCCCATCTCCACTAAAAATATAAAAATTAGCCAGGCGTGGTGGCACGTGCCTGTAGTCCCAGCTACTCGAGAGGCTGAGGCAGGAGAATCACTTGAACCCAGGAGGCGAAGGTTGTGGTGAGCTGAGATAGCACCATTACACTCCAGCCTGGGCAACAAAAGCAAAACTCCATCTCAAAAAAAAAAGAAAAATGAGAATGCATATGATATATGATACATCTATTGTGAGAAATTAAAAAAAGAAAAAACAAAAAGAAAGAAAAGAATGTATATGATATAAATCCTGAATTTGTCAAAGAGGTAAATACAACATTTGTATATATTATGACTTCAATTACATAAAAATACATACACATAAAGAGATTAAAAGGTAATCATATAAGACCAATGAGTTTTATGTTAGGATGATTTTTTTGTTGCTACTTTTCCCCCTCATATTACTGAATAGATGAGATTTGTGTTAAGATGATTTTATTAACCACCCACCTACTTCCACCCATAATTTTTTGTTAGTGTTGTCATATTACTTTTTAAAGTTTTCTGATTTTTTTTTTTTTGAGACGGAGTTTCTCTCTTGCTGCCCAGACTGGAGTGCAATGGTGCAATCTCAGCTCACCACAACCCCCGCCTCCCGGGTTCAAGCGATTCTCCTGCCTCAGCCTCCTGAGTAGCTGGGATTACAGGCATGCACCACCACCCCGGCTAATTTTGTATTTTTAGTAGAGACGGGGTTTCTCCATGTTGGTCAGGCTGGTCTTGAACTCCTGACCTCAGGTGATCTGCCAGCCTCAGCCTCCCAAAGTGCTGGGATTACAGGCGTGAGCCACCATGCCTGGCCAAAAGTTTTCCGATTTTTAAAAAACCATTTGGCCTTGACAAAAAGATCCAGAGAATTCTAATTATCAAACACTCACCATTAATGTTTAAGTAGCTACAACCAAACAGACCAACTAAAGGAAAACCAGCTACAACAAAACTATTTCTCTATTCACTATACTTCTGAACAAATGTTTGAGTTTTCCACACCAATTCTCTGCAGCCACCAACTGTATGTCCCACAATTTAATTGAATTCTGACACTATCTGGAATTAGCACAGACCTCACAGACTAAGGGATCAGTCCCTTAAGACTGCCCTCCCCTTCTAACACCAATAGCAAATAAAAGGTCCCCAGGTTACCCACACTTTTGTCTACTTTGGCTACATGTCGGGAACCCTCACAACTCCCCTCCTCAGGTTTGATAATTTGCTATAGCAGCTCAAAGAACTCAGGGAAACATTTTACTTATGTTTACTCTAAAAGATATCTTAAAGGATACAAATAAACAGCCAGATGAAACAGTATGTAAGGGAAGGTCTGCAGGGCTCCCAAGCACAGGAGCTTCTGTCCCCATGAATTTAGAGATACATCACCCTCCCAGCACATGAATGCATTCGACAACCAGGAAGATCTCCAAAATCACTGTTTAAAGTTTTTACAGAGGTTCCATTATGTAAGCATGATTGACTAAGTCATTGGCCATTGGTGATTAACTCAATCTCTAGCCCCTCTCTATGCCTGAAGGTCAGAGGGTAGGGTCGAAAGTTCCATAGCCTTAATCTTGTGGCTAGTGTCTATGGCAACAAGTCCCCAACCTGAAGCTATCTAGGGGCCCATCAATATCACCTTATTAGCATAAACTCAGGTATTGCCAAAAGGTACTTATTATGAATGACAAATGACATTCCTTTCACCTCCATCACTCAAGGAATTCCAAGTTTTAGGAGCTCCATGCCAGAAACAAGAAAAAAGACCAAATATATATTTCTTATTATAACAATATTACATCAATATTTGAAATTATGAAAAAAATACATAGTATTCCAAGTATTTACTTCAAATAAGAACAGATGTTGGCTGGGTGTGGTAGCTCACACCTGTAATCCCAACAATGGGAGGCCAAGGCGTGCGGATCATTTGAGGTCAGGAGTTAAAGACCAGCCTGGCCAACATGGTGAAACCCCATCTCTACTAAAAATACACACACACACACACACACAAAGCTGAGCGTGGTGGCACACACCTGTAATCCCCTGGGGAGCCCAGGGCAGGAGAATCGCTTGAACCCGGGAGACCGAGGTTGCAGTGAGCCGACATCACGCCACTGCACTCCAGCTTAGGTGACAGAGAGACTCTGTCTCAAAAAAAAAAGAACAGATGTCTGCAATAAACAGGATATCCTAGACTGCTGGTAATAAAAACAAATTCATACTACAAGATCAGTATAAAACCGCATTAATCTCTGCAAAAAACTATCAAAGAAGCAAACACAAATTTGAGAAAGAACAGCACTTTACTGGGAGAAAAAATGTTATTGTTTACTTATGCAATATCTTAAAAAGAAATATCACTGTCACAGAAGTTTTAACAACCTAAAACTTTTTTGAAATAAATGATTTATCTATTGCAGACTAGTTGTTTACTGAGTATAATTTAGACATATATATATATATATTTTTAATAGGCAAAATCTCACTCTGTGACCCAGGCTGAAGTGCAGTGGCACAATCATGGCTCATCGTAGCCTCAAATTTCCTGGGCTCAAGCCATCCTCCCGCCTCAGCCTACTGAGTAGCTAGGACTACAGATGAGTGCCACCACACCTGGCTAATTTTCTTTTCTTTTCTTTTCTTTTTTTTTTTTTTCTGAGACAGGGTCTTACTCTGTCACCTAGGCTGGAGTGCAGTGGTGTAATCTCGGCTCATTGCAACCTCTGCCTCCTGGGTTCAAGATATCCTCCCACCTCAGCATCCTGAGTAGCTGGGACTATAGGCACATGCCACCACACCTGACTAATTTTTGTATTTTTTTTATAGAGACGGGGTTTTGCCATGTTGCCCAGGCTGGTCTCAAATTCTTAGGCGCAAGCAATCCACCTGCCTCAGCCTCTCAAAGGGCTGAGATTACAGGCATGAGTCATCATGCCTGGCCCTGGCTAATTTTCTTTAAGCAAAATTCTTTCTAAAACTGGAAAGGATACAAGTATTAGAAATTAAATAATATACAACTCAAAACCTTGGGGATTTATAAGCTATCTATAAGGATTTCTTATAAAATGTAACTTTAGGGGCCGGGTGCAGTGGCTCACGCCTGTAATTCCAGCACTCTGGGAGGCCGAGGCGGGCGGATCACGAGGTCAGGAGATCGAGACCATCCTGGCTAACACGGTGAAACCCCGTCTCTACTAAAAACACAAAAAAGGTTAGCCGGGCATAGTGGCGGGCGCCTGTAGTCCCAGCTACTGGGGAGGCTGAGGCAGGAGAATGGCATGAACCCAGGAGGTGGAGCTTGCAGTGAGCCAAGATTGCGCCACTGCACTCCAGCCTGGGTGACAGAGCTAGACTCTGTCTCAAAATAAAAAAAAAATTAAATAAAATGTAACTTTCAACACTGATTTTGTTACTCTATTTCATCTGCATCCCACCATAAAAACAAATTAGAAAGATTTTCACAAAAAGTTTGAAAAGCCATTTACTATATGCAGACCTTAAGAACAATGCTTTAAATACATTATGCAAGCCTTATACTAAATGGATAGACAAAGGGCTCTCACTAACCCTTTTCTACTATTAAGAGCTAAAAACGTAACATATAGATAAAGCGAGAAGTTATCTTTGCAAATAACAAATACTATTTCATGAAAAAAAATTCATGTAAAGTAATTGAGGGGTTCCCAGGGAGTTTTCATACTTGACCTCTTAGCTTATCACATACTCTTTAGGTAAATTCATTTACTCCCTTAATTTTCATTAACACCATTGCTGAAAATAATAAAACACTAACTTTAATCCAGACCTTTGCTGAGTTTCCAATTCATATTTTCCTGTCCTGCCAAATATATCTAATTGAATGCCTTGAGAGCACCACAAAGTCAGCTTATTCAAAACCAAATTCATTTATCTTTGCTCAAAGCTTTCACCCATCTACATTCTCCATCTCAGATTATAGAACCATCACACACTCATTTTGCCTAAATCCAAGGCATCACTCTTACTTGTCTCTATTCCTTAACCTTCACATCCAATCACCAAGTTAATTCAACTGCCCACTTAAATTTTGAATCTATCCCCCTTTCTCCATCTCCTTGGCCACTACCTTAATTCATGTTGCAATCATCTCTCACCTGGACGATAAAAGAGACCTAATATAGCACTCTATACCTCTACATCCACATTTGTAGTTGTTTACTAAGAAATCAAGCAATGGATTTCTCAAAGCATTGTAACCAAACCAAACTCTTCATTCATCTCAACACTTTACCATCCTAGGAAAAAGTTTACTTTCCTCACTATGTTCTCCAGCTTAGTCAATAATATCCTCATTTATCAAGAACTTCAGTTAAAACCTAAATGAACTATTAACCAGGCATGGTGATGGGCACCTGTTATCCCAGCTACTTGGGAGGCTGAGGCAGGAGAATCACTTGAACCCAGGAGGCGGAAGTTGCAGTGCACTGAGATCACACCACTGCGCTCCAGCCTGGGTGACAGAGTGAGACTGTCTCCAAACAAACAAACAAACAAAAATTAAAACCTAAATGAACTAAAACAGATATTTGCACACCAATGTTCATAGCAGCATTATTCACAATAGCTAAAACATGTAAATAATCCAATGTCTGTCAACGGATGAATGGATAAACAAAAGGTAGTATATACATCCACAATGAAATATTATTCAGCCTTTAAAAGGAAGAAAATTCTGATAACATGCTGCAACATGAAGCTAGAAATAATTATGCTAAGTGAAATAAACCAGACACAAAAGGATCACTATCGTATAATTCCACTTATATGAGGTACCTAGAACAGTTAAATTCATAGTGACAGGAAGTGGAATTGTGGTTACAGTGGGTTCAGGGGAGGGGAGGAATGAAGAGTTATTGTTTTATGAGTATGGAGTTTAGTTGTAATGATTGTACAACAACGTGAATACATTTCATGCCACTGGATTATACACTTAAAAATGGTAAAAATTGTATCTTTTAAATTACGTATATTTTGTCATAATTTAAAAAAAATTTTTTTAAAACCTAAATAAGTATTATATTGCAGGCATTACCATACAGACAAAATAATTATTTTAAGTATTTAAGAATGCAGAGTTTCTACTACATATCCTTTTGGGATATAGCACAAAGCCAAAAAAAATTGCTAAAAAAAGAAACAGTAAAATTAATTCAATAATCTTAGCCATAATATTCATATTGTTAATTTTAAAGCTATTTATGTATATTTTAGCAAAAAACATTTGCTAATGTTAAGAACCAAGATATTCAGTATAAGAAAAAATGATATAAATACAGAATCAAATAAGTAAAAAACCATTTTATATCTTAAATTTGAATTATCATTTGGGTTTTTGTTTCATTTTTTTCCTGAGACAGAGTCTGGCTCTCTCACCCAAGCTGGAGTGCAGTGGTACAATCTCAGTTCACTGCAACCTCCGCCTCCCAAGTTCTAGCAATTCTCCTGCCTCAGCCTCCTGAGTAGCTAGGATTACAGGCGTGCACCACCACACCCAGCTAATTAGTAAAGATGGGGTTTCGCCGTGTTAGCCAGGATGGTCTTGAACTCCTGACTTGTGATCTGCCTGCCTCGGCCTCCCAAAGTGCTGGGATTACAGGCATGAGCCACCGCGCCCAGCCCTGTTTCTTAACAATAATTCTTATCATTCAAAAGCTTAAAAGCAAAGACAACCCAAAAGCAAAGCGCACCCTACGTGCTTATACTATGGTCTCTAACCATCACTCCCCACTCAAAGGAACCAGAATTTTCTAGAGAAATGGCTGATTCCAGACATGGGAGAGGGAATTTACAAGATAAATCTGAAACATATTATTGTGCCAAAAAGCAAGGAAGCTTTTTGAACACAAATAAGGTCCTGTCAAAATGACAAACGTCACCTTGAAGGTACTCCCAGTAGCTAAAGCTGAGATCATTTTCACATCAGCAAAACACATTGACTGTAATTGACTGAAACATGCTAAACATATGTAAATCCGTGAGTTCATAATATAAAAATCCATGAGTTAGTCAACTAATCTTTGACAATGGAACAAAGGCAATAAAATGAGAAAAGATAGCTGTTATCGCTTGAATGTCCCCACCAAAACTCATGTTGAAATTTAATTGCAAATGTAATGGTATTGAGAAGTGAGGCCTTTAAAAGGTGACTAGGTCATGGGAGTTCCACCCTCATGAATGGATTGCCATTATTGTGAACATGGATCAGTTATCATGGGAATGGCTTTGTTATAAAGACAAGCTTGTGGCCGAGCATGGTGGCTGACACCTGTAATCCCAGCACTTTGGGAGGCCGAGGTAGGAGGATCACTTGAGCTCAGGAGCCCAAGACCAGCCTGGGCAACATGGTGAGACCCCGCCTTAATAAATTTAGGTTGGGCACAGTGGCTCACGCCTGTAATCCCAGCACTTTGGGAGACCGAGAAGGGTAGATCACCGGAGGTCAGGAGTTTGAGACCAGCCTGGTCAATGTGGAGAAACCTTGTCTCTGCTAAAAATACAAAAATTAGCCAGGTGTGGTAGCAGCCACCTGTAATCCCAGCTACTTGAGAGGCTGAGGCAGAAGAATCACTTGAACCCAAAAGGTGGAGGTTGCAGTGAGCCAAGATCACGCCACTGCACTCCAGCCTCGGCAACAGAGCAAGATTCCATCTCAAAAATAAATAAATTAATTAAATTTTAATTTTAAAAAATTAACTCAAGGTCAGGCGCGGTGGCTCACACCTATAATCCCAGCACTTTGGGAGGCCGAGATGGGCAGATCACGAGGTCAGGAGTTCAAGACCAGCCTGACCGACATGGTGAAACCCATCTCTACTAAAAATACAAAAATTAGCCGGGCATGGTGGTGCGCACCTGTAATCCCAGCTACCCAGGAAGCTGAGGCAGGAGAATCGCTTGAACTCGGGAGGCGGAGGTTGCAGTGAGCCAAGATCATGCCACTGCACTACAGCCTGGGCGACAGAGCAAGACTCCATCTCAAAAAAAAATAAATAAATAAACTCAAAATGGATCACAAACCTAAATGTAAAACACAAAACTATAAACCCTAGAAGATAACATAGGAGAAATTACTGTGGTTTGTCCATTATTTTTTTAGGTAGAACACCAAAGGCGCAATCCATGAAAGAAAGAATTAATAAGCTGGACTTCATTAAAATTTAAAATGTCAGCTCTTCAAAAGACATTGTCAAGAGTAAAAAGACAAGTCACAGACTGGAGAAAAATATTTACAAAAGACAAACCTGATAATGGACTATTATCCAAAATATACAAACAACTCTTTAAATTCAACAGTAAAAAAATAAACAATCTAATTTAAAAATAAGGCAAAGACCTTAATAGACAGGCATCTTACAAAAGAAGATATACAGATGGCAAATATGCATATGAAAAGTTGCTCCACAGCATACACCATCAGGGTAATGCAAATTAAAACAATGGGATACCACAACACAGCTAGTAGAATGGCCAAAATCCAGAACACTACCACCATCAAATGCTGACAAGGATGTGGAGAAATAGGAACAGGAATTCATTGCTGGTGGAAATACAAAATGTTACAGCTACTTTGGAAGACAGTTTGGTAGTTCCTTACAAAACTAAACATACTCTTACTATACAATTCAGTAATCACACTCCTTGGTATTTACCCAAATGAGCTAAAAACTTCTGTCCACACCAAAACGTGGACATAGAAGTTTAAAGTAGCTTTATTCATAATAGCTAAAGCTTGTAATTGACCAAGATGTCCCCCAGCGGGTGAATCAATAACTTACTAGTACACCCAGACAATATTCTCCAGCGTTAAAAAGAAATGAGCTATTAAGCCATGAAGACAATGAAGAAACTTAAACATATATTACTAAGTGAAATACAAAGTGAAAGGAGCCAATCTGAAAATGCTACATACTGTAAGATTCCAATTATATGGATTTCTGGAAAAGGCAAAACTATGAAAAAAGTGAAAAGATCAATGTTTGCCAAGAGTTAAGGGGAAGGGAAGGATGAATAGGCAAAACACAGTGGATTTGTACAGAAGTGAAAGTACTCTGTATGGTATTATAACGGTAGATACTAAAAATTTGTCCCAAAATCTACAGAATGTACAACACCAAGAGTGAACCCTACTGTAAACTGCAGACTCTAAATGATAATGATATGTCAACATAGGTTCACGAATCATAACAAATGTACCACTCTAGTGGGGAATGTTGATAATGGGGGAGTCTATGCATGTGTAGGGGCAGGAAGTACATGGGAAATCTCTGTAACCTTCACTCAATTTTATTGTAAACCTACAACTGCTCTAAAAAGTAACTTGTTTTTCAAATCTATGAATTTCCTTTTCTCAAGAAAGAGAAAATCAAAAGAAAACTAAGAAAACCTCAGTGATCACTGCTGGAGTAGCTAGTGTACCAACTCTTATTCTAACACTTAGTAATCAATGAAAAACAATTAAGTCTTTATCCTGCCTTCCAAGTATGCACTGAAATTTGGGATAACCAAATAGCCCTGGTTGATATCGAAAAGTTCTTTACAGAAAAAATTTCAGTTAATATATGTAGAAGCAATGAAAGATTTAGAAGATCATTTTGCAAATACTGCTGAAATCTAACCCAAATGACATCATAAAATCTTCTTTGAATGTTCTTACTCAAATAAGAAGTCTTTCCATCCTTTAAACTCGACTACGTCCCTTATTTATATTTCCTCTTGCAGCACTTACTCATAATACAAGGAAGAACAAAGTGGTGTCAGTGGTAGTTTGTTATGGTAATTACCATCAATGAATCAGGCCTATGTTTTCATGCCCTTGTAATTCTCTTATGTAATCCTCCCCTACATAAACTCTGGGCTGGCCATGAGACTTGCCTTGACTAATGGTAGTAGCAAATGAGACACAAGCAGAGACTTGAAAGGCGTCTGTCTGCACAATGGGATTTGTTCTCTTGTTGCTGGAAACTCCTCTGCCACCACATAAACCCAGACTAGCCTTAGACACATGTGGCCCAATGGATAAAACCAGCAATATGACTGAAGGTACCTTAGATCATCCATTCTGTTTTCCACCTTATTTTCTTTTTATAGATTTAGTGGGTACAAGTGCAGTTTTGTTAGATGGGCATATTGTATAGTGGTGAAGTCTCGGCTTTTAGTGTACCCACCACCCTAATAATGTCACTGTACAGAATAGGTAATTTTTCATCCCTCACTCTCCTCCCACCCTCACCCTTTCCCCATTTCCATCTTTACGTCTATCTGTATCCATTGTCTAGCTCCCACTTATAAGTGAGAACATGCAGTATTTCACTTTGTTTCTGAGTGATTTCACTTAGGATAACGGCCTCCAGTTCCATCCCTGTTGCTACAAAAGACATGATCTCATTCTTTTTTATGGCTGAGCAGTATTCCATGGTATACAGAAACCACATTTTCTTTATCCAATCATCTGTTGATGGACACTTAGGTTGATTCCAAGACTTTGCTGTGGTGCAAAGTGCCATGATAAATAGCCATGTGCAGCTGTCTTTTTTATACAGTGATTTGTTTTCCTTTGGATATATACCCAGTACTGGGACTGCTGGATTGAACTGTAGTTCTGTTTTTAGCTCTTTGAGAAATCTCCATACTGTTTTCCACAGAGGCTGTACTAATTTACATTCCCATCAACAATGTATGGGCATTCCCTTTTCTCCACATCCTCACCAACATGTTGTTGGTTTTGTTTTTTAATTTTTTGTAACAGCCATTCTGACTGGTGTAAGATGGTATCTCAATGCATTTTTAATTTGCATTTCTCTGATTAGCAATGTTGAGCATTTTCTCATGTTTGTTGGTCACTTGTATGTCCTCTTTTGAGAAATATCTGCTAATGTCCTTTGCTTACTTTCTGATGGACTTGTTTTTTTCTTGTTGCGTTCCATGTAGATTCCGGATGTTAGTCCTTTGTCAGATGAATAGTTTGCAAGCATTTTCTCCCATTCTGTAGGTTGTCTGTTGATTATTTCTTTGGCTGTACAGACAATTTTTACTTTAATTCCCATTTTTTTTCTATTTTTGTTTGTGTATTTGCTTTTGAGGTCTCAGTCATAAATTCTTCGCCCAGGCTAATGTCCAGAGAGATTTTCCTAGGTTTTCTTCCAGGGTTTTTACTTCCAGGTTTTTTGTTTGTTTGTTAGTTTGTTTTTGAGGCAGAGTCTTGCTCTGTCACCCGGGCTGGAGTGCAGTGGCGCGATGTCAGCTCACTGCAACCTCCACCTCCCAGGCTAAAGCAATTCTCCTGCCTCAGCCTCCCAAGTAGCTGGGATTACAGGCATGTGCCACCACATCTGACTAATTTTTGTCTTTTTAGTAGAGACATGGTTTCACTATGTTGGCCAGGCTGGTCTTCAACTCATGACCTCAGGTGATCCGCCCGCCTAGGCCTCCCAAAGTGCTGGGAGCCATCACACTTGGCCTAGTTTGAGGTCTTACATCTAAGTCTTTAATCCTTCAGTTAATTTGAGTTATCTTTCGTATATGGTGAACAATATGGGTCCAGCTTCATTCTTCTGCATATGGCTAATTTTCTATTTATTGAATAAAGTATCCTTTTTCTATTTATTGAATAAAGTATCCTTTCCCCGCTGCATTTCCCTACCCCCACCACACCCTCAGGTCTCCCCTTACCACTCACCCACCAGCCCATGCCCCCATGGCCTCTGCCCCTGCCTTTGCTTGCCTCTAGCCCTGCACTCAGATCCCAGGCCCATAATCAGAAACCACAGTGCATATTTTTGTCAACTTCATCGAATATCAATTAGTATAAGTATGTGGCTTTATTTCTGGGTTCTCTCTTCTGTTCCATTGACCTGTGACTATTTTTATACCAGTACCATGTTTACTGTAGCCTTGTAGCATAACGTGAAGTCAGGTAATCTGATGCCTCCCACTTTGTTCTGCTTAGGATTGCTTTGGTTATTCGCTCTCTTTTTTGGTTCCACACGAATTTTAGAATTGTTTTTTCTAATTCTATGAAAAACAATGTTGGTAATCTGACAGAAATTGCATTGAGGCTGGGTACACTGGCTCACACCTGTAATCCCAGCACTTTGGAGGCTGATGTGAGAGAATCACTTGAGGCCAAGAGTTTAAGACCATCCCCTGGGCAACATAACAAGACCTTGTCTCTACAATTTTTTTTTTTTTTTTGAGAAGGAGTCTCGCTCTGTAACCCAGGCTGGAGTGCAGTGATGTGAGCTCAGCTCACTGCAACCTCCACCTCCAGAGTTCGAGCAACTCTCCCACTTCAGCCTCCCAAGTAACTGGAAGAAAAGGCGTGCATCCCCACGACCAACTAATTTTTGTCTTTTCAGTACAGATGGGGTTTTGCCACATTGGCCAGGCTGGTCTTGAACTCTTGACCTCAGGTGATCCACCTGCCTCGGCTTCCCAAAGTGCTGGGATTATAGGTGTGAGCCACCGCACCTGGCCAAGCTTTGTAAATTTACTTAACTTCTCTAAGCATGAAATTCCCATTTGTAAAGTGAAACTAATAATGTCAGCCTCACAGAATTGTTGCAAAGATTAAATAATAAATATAAAATGTTTAAATTAGTGTCTGGCATTATGGTAGATACACTATAAATAGACACATATTATTATTAAGTACATCTCTCTACACAAAAAAGACCTAGAATCAAAATTTAAAAGCTGTCCAGGCACAGTGGTTTGTGCATGTAATCCCAGCACTTTGGGATGCCAAGGTGAGAGCATCACTTGAGCCAAGGAGTTCAAGACTAGCCTGGATAACAAAGTGAGACCCCGTCTCTACAAAAAATACAAAAAAGTAGCCAGGTGTGCTGGTGTGGGCCTGTAATCCCAGCTACTAGGGAGGCTAAGCCAGGAGGACTGCTTAAGCCTGGAAAGGCTGAGGTTGCAGTGAGCCGTGATCATGCTACTTGCACTCTAGCCTGGACAACAGGGCAAGAACCTGTCTTAAAAACAAAACAAAACAAAACAAAAACAAAAAAAGCTGGAAGGTACTCAGAAATCATTTGGTCCAATTGCAGTGACTTCATACATGAAGAAACTAAAAGAAAGAATAGCTGGCTTGCCTGACAACGCTCTGCTATCTAATGGTAGAGTTGCAATTAACACTTAGGTTTCTGGGATCTCAACTGATATTTTCCCTACAATCTCAAAATGTTTCTTGTTCATCTCTCTGATAACAATTAAGCCTAACTTTTCTAATCTCAATTTCTTCATTGATAAACTCTAAGGACAGGATGAATTCACAGGATCTTCCAACTCCAAAATTCTCATTCTATGATTGATTTGGAGCCATAAATTGGCTGACCTAAAAGGATGTCAAACATATTTCCAGTATCTGTATATGCTTAGTTTTCTTATGGTCATATTTAAAATTCTAAAACTTAAGTTATTAGTTACATGAAAATAATTTGTCTCTCACAAGCAGCCAAGTCAGTAAGAGACTGAGACTATCAGAACTCATTATAGATAAGTTCCTAGTACCTAAATTGAGTTTACATATATCATACAATTAACTTAATATTAAGTGAAATATTAAGTGAATATAAGTATTATTAAGTGAAATAATAAAAGTTTTAAAAATACCCACCATATGATTAAAATTGACCTACATATGTTAGGCAAGTTTAAAGTATAGGGTGTTTTGATTCATCAAATATGAATAGACAGCTACAAAAACATACCAAAATAAGGGTTAACAGTCTGCTTTAAAGAAGAAGCCACTTTTCATTTTATTTAAGTCTTAAACTCACTTAAGGGAACAGGGAAAGGTACTGACAATAAAATTTCTTGAACAGAGATCTGTGGATCATGCTCAAAATCATGGACTGTGAAACAAACTTAAAAATCTGGGCCGGGCGCGGTGGCTCATGCCTGTAATCCCAGCACTTTGGGTGGCTGAGGTGGGCAGATCATGAGGTCAGGAGTTCAAGACCAGCCTGATCGAAATAGTGAAACCCCGTCTCTACTAAAAATACAAAAATTAGCTGGGCGCAGTACCACACACCTGTAATCCCAGCTACTGGGGAGGCTGAGGCAGAATAATCGCTTGAACCTGGGAGGCGGAGGTTGCAGTGAGCCATCATCAAAGACCAAAAGTAGATAAAACCACAAAGATGGGGAAAAAACAGAACAGAAAAACTGGAAGCTCTAAAAATCAGAGCGCCTCTCCTCCTCCAAAGGAACGCAGCTCCTCACCAGCAACAGAACAAAGCTGGATGGAGAATGACTTTGACGAGCTGAGAGAAGAAGGCTTCAGACGATCAAATTACTCTGAGCTACGGGAGGACATTCAAACCAAAGGCAAAGAAGTTGAAAACTTTGAAAAAAATTTAGAAGAATGTATAACTAGAATAACCAATACAGAGAAGTGCTTAAAGGAGCTGATGGAGCTGAAAACCAAGGCTCGAGAACTACGTGAAGAACGCAGAAGCCTCAGGAGCCGACGCGATCAACTGGAAGAAAGGGTGTCAGCAATGGAAGATGAAATGAATGAAATGAAGTGAGAAGGGAAGTTTAGAGAAAAAAGAATAAAAAGAAATGAGCAAAGCCTCCAAGAAATATGGGACTATGTGAAAAGACCAAATCTACATCTGATTGGTGTACCTGAAAGTGATGGGGAGAATGGAACCAAGTTGGAAAACACTCTGCAGGATATTATCCAGGAGAACTTCCCCAATCTAGCAAGGCAGGCCAACGTTCAGATTCAGGAAATACAGAGAACGCCACAAAGATACTCCTCGAGAAGAGCAACTCCAAGACACATAATTGTCAGATTCACCAAAGTTGAAATGAAGGAAAAAATGTTAAGGTCAGCCAGAGAGAAAGGTCGGGTTATCCTCAAAGGGAAGCCCATCAGACTAACAGCGGATCTCTCGGCAGAAACCCTACAAGCCAGAAGAGAGTGGGGGCCAATATTCAACATTCTTAAAGAAAAGAATTTTCAACCCAAAATTTCATATCCAGCCAAGCTAAGCTTCATAAGTGAAGGAGAAATAAAATACTTTACAGACAAGCAAATGCTGAGAGATTTTGTCACCACCAGACCTGCCCTAAAAGAGCTCCTGAAGGAAGCGCTAAACATGGAAAGGAACAACCAGTACCAGCCATTGCAAAATCATGCCAAAATGTAAAGACCATCGAGACTAGGAAGAAACTGCATCAACTAACGAGCAAAATCACCAGCTAACATCATAATGACAGGATCAAATTCACACATAACAATATTAACTTTAAATGTAAATGGACTAAATGCTCCAATTAAAAGACACAGACTGGCAAATTGGATAAAGAGTCAAGACCCATCAGTGTGCTGTATTCAGGAAACCCATCTCACGTGCAGAGACACACATAGGCTCAAAATAAAAGGATGGAGGAAGATCTACCAAGCAAATGGAAAACAAAAAAAGGCAGGGGTTGCAATCCTAGTCTCTGATAAAACAGACTTTAAACCAACAAAGATCAAAAGAGACAAAGAAGGCCATTACATAATGGTAAAGGGATCAATTCAACAAGAAGAGCTAACTATCCTAAATATATATGCACCCAATACAGGAGCACCCAGATTCATAAAGCAAGTCCTGAGTGACCTACAAAGAGACTTAGACTCCCACACAATAATAATGGGAGACTTTAACACCCCACTGTCAACATTAGACAGATCAACGAGACAGAAAGTCAACAAGGATACCCAGGAATTGAACTCAGCTCTGCACCAAGCGGACCTAATAGACATCTACAGAACTCTCCACCCCAAATCAACAGAATATACATTTTTTTCAGCACCACACCACACCTATTCCAAAATTGACCACATAGTTGGAAGTAAAGCTCTCCTCAGCAAATGTAAAAGAACAGAAATTATAACAAACTATCTCTCAGACCACAGTGCAATGAAACTAGAACTCAGGATTAAGAATCTCACTCAAAGCCGCTCAACTACATGGAAACTGAACAACCTGCTCCTGAATGACTACTGGGTACATAACGAAATGAAGGCAGAAATAAACATGTTCTTTGAAACCAACGAGAACAAAGACACAACATACCAGAATCTCTGGGACGCATTCAAAGCAGTGTGTAGAGGGAAATTTATAGCACTAAATGCCCACAAGAGAAAGCAGGAAAGATCCAAAATTGACACCCTAACATCACAATTAAAAGAACTAGAAAAGCAAGAGCAAAGACATTCAAAAGCTAGCAGAAGGCAAGAAATAACTAAAATCAGAGCAGAACTGAAGGAAATAGAGACACAAAAAACCCTTCAAAAAATCAATGAATCCAGGAGCTGGTTTTTTGAAAGGATCAACAAAATTGATAGACCGCTAGCAAGACTAATAAAGAAAAAAAGAGAGAAGAATCAAATAGACACAATGAAAAATGATAAAGGGGATATCACCACCGATCCCACAGAAATACAAACTACCATCAGAGAATACTACAAACACCTCTACGCAAATAAACTAGAAAATCTAGAAGAAATGGATAAATTCCTCGACACATACACTCTCCCAAGACTAAACCAGGAAGAAGTTGAATCTCTGAATAGACCAATAACAGGATCTGAAATTGTGGCAATAATCAATAGCTTACCAACCAAAAAGGGTCCAGGACCAGATGGATTCACAGCCAAATTCTACCAGAGGTACAAGGAGGAACTGGTACCATTCCTTCTGAAACTATTCCAATCAATAGAAAAAGAGGGAATCCTCCCTAACTCATTTTATGAGGCCAGCATCATCCTGATACCAAAGCTGGGCAGAGACACAACCAAAAAAGAGAATTTTAGACCAATATCCTTGATGAACATTGATGCAAAAATCCTCAATAAAATACTGGCAAACTGAATCCAGCAGCACATCAAAAAGCTTATCCACCATGATCAAGTGGGCTTCATCCCTGGGATGCAAGGCTGGTTCAATATACGCAAATCAATAAATGTAATCCAGCATATAAACAGAACCAAAGACAAAAACCACATGATTATCTCAATAGATGCAGAAAAAGCCTTTGACAAAATTCAACAACCCTTCATGCTAAAAACTCTCAATAAATTAGCTATTGATGGGACGTATTTCAAAATAATAAGAGCTATATATGACAAACCCACAGCCAATATCATACTGAATGGGCAAAAACTGGAAGCATTCCCTTTGAAAACTGGCACAAGACAGGGATGCCCTCTCTCACCACTCCTATTCAACATAGTGTTGGAAGTTCTGGCCAGGGCAATTAGGCAGGAGAAGGAAATAAAGGGTATTCAATTAGGAAAAGAGGAAGTCAAATTGTCCCTGTTTGCAGATGACATGATTGTATATCTAGAAAACCCCATTGTCTCAGCCCAAAATCTCCTTAAGCTGATAAGCAACTTCAGCAAAGTCTCAGGATACAAAATCAATGTACAAAAATCACAAGCATTCTTATACACCAACAAAAGACAAACAGAGAGCCAAATCATGAGTGAACTCCCATTCACAATTGCTTCAAAGAGAATAAAATACCTAGGAATCCAACTTACAAGGGATGTGAAGGACCTCTTCAAGGAGAACTACAAACCACTGCTCAAGGAAATAAAAGAGGATACAAACAAATGGAAGAACATTCCATGCTCATGGGTAGGAAGAATCAATATTGTGAAAATGGCCATACTGCCCAAGGTAATTTACAGATTCAATGCCATCCCCATCAAGCTACCAATGACTTTCTTCACAGAATTGGAAAAAACTACTTTAAAGTTCATATGGAACCAAAAAAGAGCCCGCATCGCCAAGTCAATCCTAAGCCAAAAGAACAAAGCTGGAGGCATCACACTATCTGACTTCAAACTTTACTACAAGGCTACAGTAACCAAAACAGCATGGTACTGGTACCAAAACAGAGATATAGATAAATGGAACAGAACAGAGCCCTCAGAAATAACGCCGCATACCTACAACTGTCTGATCTTTGACAAACCTGAGAAAAACAAGAAATGGGGAAAGGATTCCCTATTTAATAAATGGTGCTGGGAAAACTGGCTAGCCATATGTAGAAAGCTGAAACTGGATCCCTTCCTTACACCTTATACAAAAATCAATTCAAGATGGATTAAAGATTTAAACGTTAGACCTAAAACCATAAAAACCCTAGAAGAAAACCTAGGCATTACCATTCAGGACATAGGCATGGGCAAGGACTTCATATCCAAAACACCAAAAGCAATGGCAACAAAAGACAAAATTGACAAATGGGATCTAATTAAACTCAAGAGCTTCTGCACAGCAAAAGAAACTACCATCAGAGTGAACAGGCAACCTACAAAATGGGAGAAAATTTTCGCAACCTACTCATCTGACAAAGGGCTAATATCCAGAATCTACAATGAACTCAACCAAATTTACAAGAAAAAAACAAACAACCCCATCAAAAAGTGGGCGAAGGACATGAACAAACACTTCTCAAAAGAAGACATTTATGCAGCCAAAAAACACATGAAAAAATGCTCATCATCACTGGCCATCAGAGAAATGCAAATCAAAACCACAATGAGATACCATCTCACACCAGTTAGAATGGCGATCATTAAAAAGTCAGGAAACGAGAGGTGCTGGAGAGGATGTGGAGAAATAGGAACACTTTTACATTGTTGGTGGGACTGTAAACTAGTTCAACCATTGTGGAAGTCAGTGTGGCGATTCCTCAGGGATCTAGAACTAGAAATACCATTTGACCCAGCCATCCCATTACTGGGTATATACCCAAATGACTATAAATCATGCTGCTATAAAGACACATGCACACGTATGTTTATTGCGGCACTATTCACAATAGCAAAGACTTGGAACCAACCCAAATGTCCAACAATGATAGACTGGATTAAGAAAATGTGGCACATATACACCATGGAATACTATGCAGCCATAAAAAATGATGAGTTCATATCCTTTGTAGGGACATGGATGAAATTGGAAATCATCATTCTCAGTAAACTATCACAAGAACAAAAAACCAAACACCGCATATTCTCACTCATAGGTGGGAATTGAACAATGAGATCACATGGACACAGGAAGGGGAATATCACACTCTGGGGACTGTGGTGGGGTTGGGGGAGGGGGGAGGGATAGCATTGGGAGATATACCTAATGCTAGATGACGAGTTAGTGGGTGCAGCGCACCAGCATGGCACATGTATACATATGTAACTAACCTGCACATTTTGCACATGTACCCTAAAACTTAAAGTATAATAAAAAAAAAGAAAAAAAAAAAAAAAAAAGAATCGCTTGAATCCAGGAGGCAGAGGTTGCAGTGAGCCGAGATCACACCACTGTACTCCAGCCTGGCGACAGAGCAAGACTCTGTCTCAAAAAAAAAAAAAAAAAAAAGAAAAAAAGAAAAGAAAGCTATTAGAAGATGGTCAGAGAATGACAGATTACATTAATGCATTTAATATTTCAATAATTTCCATGTAGTCTGTACTCCCTGTTTCTATTCCCTTACTTCCTAGTCATTCATTTCCCCCTGTGACTCTCTTGAAACTGAAATAGGTATGACCCAATTGTCACATTCAGCGGCCACTTCTCAGTCCTTATTTGACTCAACTTCTCTTCAACATTTACACATACCCAACACCTGGCCTCTACTTGTCTTCTGAGTGCTGGACCTGTATTTTCTCCTGCCTACTGAACATCTCCACTTGGGAAGTCCAGACCTCTAGTTCACATTTATCTTCTTCCCCAACATTTTCTTCCTCCTCTACCCTTAATCTTACATCTATTCCACCACCCTCACAGCTACCCAAACTACTCACAAGTCAACAAGTTCTAGCAATTCTATCCCTCTTATTGAAAATCAATTTATTCTTTCTCCATCCCCAAAACTGCTGCCTGAATTCAAACTTTCGTTATCCCTAGACTGAGGGCCAGAGGTCCAGAAATTCTGATTCAATTGAGAAACTCAAAAATCTGGTTTGTTTTTAAGAATTCCAAATGACTCCAATATGCAACGATTTTAAGAACGACAACAACTTTCTAGCTGATCTCTCCCTAATGAAGTCATCCTCTCTACAGGGCCAACAAGTAGTCAATATATACTACTGAAAAACCACCAGGCATCAAGCACCACGTTAGACCTAAACATAACAAAGAAAGACAACAAAATCTCTACCCTGGCGGGGTGCGGTGGCTCACGCCTGTAATCCCAGCACTTTGGGAAGCCGAGGCGGGCGGATCGCCTGAGGTCAGGAGTTTGAGACCAGCCTGGCCAACATAGTGAAACCCCATCTCTACTAAAAATACAAAAAAAAAATTAGCTGGGAGTGGTGGCGGGCACCTGTAATCCCAGCTACTCAGGAGGCTGAGGCAGGAGAATTGCTTGAACCCGGGAGGCAGAGGTTGCAGTGAGCTGAGATTGCACCATTACACTTCAGCCTGGCCAACAAGAGCAAAACTCCACCTCAAAAATAAAATAAAATAAAATAAAATAAAATAAAATAAAGATTACCTGGGAGAAATATTTTTGGAGGGTTTTTCCTTATTACAGATTTGATAACTTTAAAATTCTCTGGCCGGGCGCGGTGGCTCACGCCTGTAATCCCAGCACTTTGGGAGGCTGAGGCAGGCAGATCACGAGGTCAGGAGATCGAGACCATCCTGGCTAACACAGTGAAACCCTGTCTCTACTAAAAATACAAAAAAATTAGCCAGGCACGGTGGTGGGCGCCTGTAGTCCCAGCTACTCGGGAGGCTGAGGCAGGAGAATGGCGTGAACCCGGGAGGCGGAGCTTGTAGTGAGCCGAGATTGCGCCACTGCACTCCAGCCTGGGCGACAGAGCGAGACTCCGTCTCAAAACAAAAAAAAAAATTTTCTGTGGCTCCTTACTGTCTACAGTATAAGGTCCAAAACCCTTCAAGCTACCTGTTGCAAACATCCCATCCACATCCAGAAATACGCACAATCCCCCTACTCTATACTAAACTATATCATGCTCTTGGATTTGTCTGGTTCCTATCTCTAAAATGCCCTTCTGTCCTTTTTCCCTCCTTGCCTGAGTCACTGCCATCCTCTGCAAAGACTTCCACAATCTCTATTCCTTGCCCTCCCCTACCACACCCCCTCTCCACCACATAGTTACTTTTTCTTTTGTGCTTACAAACTTTTCCTCTGTGTATCTATTACACTTATCACATTGTTTTGTAATTATTTATCTGTCTCCTCCATTAAAACTCAGCAGGTTTTTTTTTTACTCTCAAGAGTGTTTTGCACAGTAGTTAGCACAAAATAAATATTCGGTAGTACATAAAATGAATGTACCTATGTTCTAAGTCCTCATCTACCTCATCTACAAAAAAAAAAAAAAAAAATGGAGATTAGAAAAATAAAGGAAGTGATAAGAAAAGTGTTCCTTAAAGAAATTTGGAGTTTATAATTATAATAACACTGAAACACCATTTTAAAAAAATCAGCCAGGTGTGGTAGTTCACACCTATAATCCCAGCTATTCCTGAGGCTGAGGCAGGAGGGCCACTTGAGCCCAGGAGGCAGGGGCTGCAGTGAACGTGACGGTGTCACTGTGTCACTGCACTCCATCCTGGCTGACAGAGCAAGACCCTGTTTCAAAAAAGAAAAAAATAAGAAAAGAAAGTTAAACACCAAAAACAACAACAAAACACCAACATTAGCAGCAGCTAACATTTAAGACTTTTTTTTTTTTTTTTTTTTTTTGGGATGGAGTTTTGCTTGTTGCCCAGGCTGGAGAGTGCAATGGCACAATCTCGGCTCACTGCAATCTCAGCCTCCCAGGTTCAAGCAGTTCCCCTGCCTCAGCTTCCCTAATAGCTGGGATTACAGGTGCCCGCCACCACGCCCAGCTAATTTTTTCTATTTTTAGTAGAGACGGGGTTTCACTATGTTGGCCAGGCTGGTCTCAAACTCCTGACCTCAGGTGATCCACCCACCTCAGCCTCCCAAAGTGCTGGGATTACAGGCATGAGCCACCGCGCCTGGCTGAGACTTTTATACATATTAGTTATCTAGTTCTCAACTTTATAAGGAGGCTAGTATTATTACAACTATTTTACTGAGACACAGAGAAGTAACTTCTCCAAAACTACACAGATAGTAAATGAAACAGGATACAAACCCAGGTAGTCTGGCATCAGAGTTCATGTTCTTAACTACTAAATTACATTATTTCTTTAGCTCAAGCAAAAGGCCACTGGAATTAGAGAAGAAAATTGAGTACTAGCCCTGGTTCTTTTCATTTCTTAACGTCTTCTTTATTCTTAGTTCTAGTCCTGGTTCTTTAATATCTTAATCTCTTCTTTATTCCTAACATGCTAAAAAAAAAAAAAAAAAAAAAAAAAACTACTCAAAAAGAAAATCATTCCATTAGCTGTCACTTTTTAAAATTCACTTCAATAAATTAGCAATACTTTCATCAAACTTAGATGGGCAACTAATCTGGGAAGCCTTCCCAACATCTAAAACCAGGGCCCTCTTGCTGGGTGTTCTTGGGGCATCCTGAGTTTGTCCTTCCTAGAACTCATTCAAGAGTATAGTTGTATGAATCTCTGAACAATTCCTCTCTCTTCCACTGGACGCTAAACTCCACAAAAAATTCATGACTACTTTACCCATCATTGTCTGCACAGCACACAGTTGGCCCACAAAAGATGTCTCAAAAAAAAAAAAAAAAACACTAATCACAGTTTTTTTGTTTTGTTTTGTTTTGTTTTTAACACAGGGTCTCACTCTGTTGCTGGAGTGCAGTGGCACGATCTTGGCTCACTGCAACCTCTGCCTCCCAGGTTCAAGCAATTCTCCCACCTCAGTCTCCCAAGTAGTTGGGACTACAGGCGTGCACCACGATGCCCGGCTAATTTTTGTATTTTTTGGTAGTGACGGGGTTTCACCACATTGACCAAGCTGGTCTCGAACTCCTGATCTCAGTGATCTGCACGCCTCGGCTTCCCAAAGTGATGGAATTACAGGCATGAGCCACTAAGCCAGCCCACAGTAAGTTATAATACTTAAGAAAGAAATGGCAACAAGGTTTACAAGCTGCCTAAGGTACTAAACGTTGATTAAATTTCTAACCATCAAGTACTTTAAATTCATGTTTTTCTTTGAAGGACTATTAAGTAAAATATTCAATACATACATATTGGAGCTACTTCACTTTGGTTTTGTTTTGAGGTTTTTTTGTTTTTGTTTTCCAGCTTCTTTCAAGCCTCAGAGAAACACCTTAGTAAGCTAATGAAAAAGGAGGAGCAGGAGGAGGGACAAAAGCAGGAGAACCAGAAACCAAATTTCCGTAAAGTATCCTGAGACTTATTGATGATGTTCAAACACTTTGAGTTCTAATTGATGGTAAGCAGTTTGTCTGTTTCTTCTTTTAAAAAATGCTATTTAAAGGAAACTATTCAGAAGAAAATAAGAATAGTTAAAATGAAAAGTTCATCTAAAAACAAAATGCTAAAGGAATGCCACATAATTTTTTTTTTTTTTTTAGACGGAGTTCCGGTCTTGTTGCTCAGGCTGGAGTGCAATGGAGCAATCTCAGCTCACTGCAATCTCCACCTCCCGGGTTCAAGTGATTCTCCTACCTCAGCCTCCTGAGTCGCTGGGATTATAGGCATGCACCACCACTCCCGGCTAATTTTGTATTTTTAGTAGAGTCAGGGTTTCTCCATGTTGGTCAGGCTGGTCTCGAACTCCCGACCTCAGGTGATCCGCCCGTCTCGGCCTCCCAAAGTGCTGGGATTACAGGAATGAGCCACTGCACCCAGCCAAGGAATGCCACATAATTTCAAAGCACAGAGTCCATTTCAAATAAATCTCTAAATTAACAATAGCTTTAATCTTATAGCTTAATATCTGTGCTGAGAAATAAGATTAGCAGGGAGGGGTAAAATAGGTTGCCATGTTACACAATTTAAAGATTCAAGTTATACTTGTTGGTAAATACCACTTGTAGAGTTAATAAAATATATATTCTACCTTCTAAACTAGTAAATCACCAGATTTAAGACATTTATCAAAATGTCCCTATTAAATACTCAGCATTAACACTGACCCAACTACAAGATAAAAGCTGAACTCCTTCAAAGGGACTCTTACGTCCTCTCACAATTTGGTCTCTAGCCACCACGGTAGCTTCATCTCTTACTAATTGCTACAGACCATCTCACTTCCTAAGCTTCATTGTTCACACTCCTCACAGTACTACCTGCGCCTTTTATGACTCCATCTCTTTGCATTTGCTGTTCCCTCTGCCTGACATGCCCTTCCCTCTTCTGAGCTGTGAATATGCCCCCGTCCCTGAAGCTTTTCCTAATTGCCCTCACCTCCCACAGAGTGCCTCCTGGGTCCTCTGTCCTCTTCATTATTCTATTACATAGCACTGTCATTACTTTTAAATGTTCACCTCCCAAACAGCCTGTGAGTTCTAAAGGGAGGACCCACAGCTTAATCAACTGTTTCCTACCCCTTAGCATGAAGCCTGGCATTTACTGAAACTCAATATAAATACACTGAATAAAAGAAAATTAAGTACTTAACTGTGAGAAACACTTCAAACTTTCCTACTAAAGAGTTAATGCATTTAACACAGTGATTCTCAACCAGAGGCAATTTTGCCCCTAGGGGACATTTGGTAAAATCTGGAGCTATTTTTGGTTGTCACAAGGGGGAAGGGATATAGGGGAATGCTACTGGCATCTAGTGGGGGTAGATGCCAGGGATGCTGCTAACATCTTACAAGGCACAGGGCAGCCTCCCACAACGCAGAATTATCCAGTCACAAATGCCAATAGCGCCGACGTTAAGAAACTCAGTTGTCAACTGACTTATTCAGAAGTGATGATTCAATATCACATCTCTGCAATAACCACAATCAATTTCACTTTTGTAGTTTCAACAGAAGCTTCTTTAACAGTTGATAGGTATGCACCAACATTAAAAATGATCTTCATATAATCTCGATGTTTAACTTTAAACCAAGATTACTAGAAAGCATCCCATATTTCTGAAAACCAATCTATAACTACAGCTGAGCTACCCTTAAACCAGTAAACACTTTTATTTGTAAACTTCAAAGCAAACCACAGGCAAACTAATTTTCACTTGCAGAACTATGACAGAAACACAATCTGAAACATGAGGTAATCAGTTCCTCCAGGTCTGATAAAAGAAAAATCTCCTAAAGCCTGAAAGTAAATCATGCACAGATGTCTTTACTGCTGAACTAAGGAAGTGATGGGGAAAGTAAAGGACATGCCCTTGTTACTGCCAAAATCATCGCTTACCGGGATTTCAAAATTCACAAAACACTGCAAAATACAATTAAATGTCAACACAGGTTGTCAGATAAAGAAGTTAACTATTTCTCCCTCTAATAACTGACCAAGTTTCACATGACTTCATTCTTTCAGGAGAAAGCTAGGCAGAAGCAAGAGCACTCCCTTCCTATCTACTGGATGACTCAACTCTCTTCCGCACATTCCTCGGCTGAATCCTACAAATTCACTAATTTCTTTTGTCCTTTGAACTAGTTATCCTACTCCCTCGGTAAAGAACTAATAGGCTCGGCACCTACTTTTCAATCATTTACATTTTGTTACACCCTATCAGCCTCAAAAAGAAAAGAAAAAAGCTATACCAAAAAAAAAAAACAAATTTAAGTTGACAGGTACAATAACTCTTACAGGAAAAGAGATGTGAATTATGTTATTCTAGTAACTGATTCTTAAATGATACACCTACAGTTTTCTAATGCTCTAATCTTTCTATCCTCAAGGTTTTCCAGATTTCAGAGACAGCACAGGCAGAAACTAAGTGTATATACCACTTGATCAAGCTTACTGCGGATTTATTCTTGGATAGCTAAAATAAGGTAGTGGGGCTTGCACAGAAAACATATTTTTAATTAAAAAAAAAGTTTCCAACAGTGAGTAACATCTTCCTTCTCGGCTGACTGTGCCAGTGTCAGTCCCACGCCTGGGCCCAGGCTAGGCCGGGGCTCACCACACCACCCTCCACTGTGGTCCAAAGGAGAAAGCAGGGCCGTGTGTGGCAGGTGCGCATCGTGTCAAATTGGGGGGCACGGGGAGTGCGGCGGGTGGGGAAAGGCGAAGCAAGCCGCCCGAATCTCCCATGGGGCGTTCTCCAGCCCGGCAGGCGGCGGCTGGCCCGTCCCACGGGCACCAACTCTCCATTTTCACTCCCACTCAGGGTTCCCGGGAGGAACGCGCCGGCACCACACCCTCCAGCTCGCAGCCCGCTCGCACACACGGAGCCCCGCGCCGGAGCGGGCGCCAGGCCTGGACGCGCGGGGCCACCAGGGCTCTGCCTGCCGCCCCGCCGCGCCGGCCCCACCCGCCCTCCCCGCCCCCGGGCCGGGCGACCGAGGCCTAAGCGCCTGCCGGGCTGTGGGGCCTAGGGAAGGAAGGAGCCCGCGCTGAGGAGGGGCGCCCGCGCCGCGGCCCCGAGCTCCGGCTGTCCCGCTCACGTGCTGCCAGAAAGACGGTTTCACTCTCTTACCCTCTGTAAAATCCTCCTTAACATGGTTTAACCACCACCCGGCGCCGCCGCGGTGACTCTCCAGACCCTGCGCGGGGCCACTCACTACTCGGGGTGCGCGGGCGGGAGGGACTGGGCCGGGAGGGGACCGGGAAGGAGGTCGGGGCGAGGCGGTGGCGACGGCCGCTCGGGCGGCCCCGACTTCCCCACAGGCGGCGAGAGGGAGCACGCGAGAGAGAGCGAGCGAACGACTAGGCAGCCTGCGAGCGCCTCCAGCCCGCCCGCCGGGCAGCCCCCGTAACTGACAGATGGGCGGGCCCGCCCGCGGCCGCCGGGGGGCGGGGCGGTGGCGGGCCCGCCCCTCGCCTGTCCATTCGCGGGAGGCGGGGCTGAAGGGGGCCGGTCCAGGCCAGCGACCAATCGGAAGCGGTGGCAACGTGGGCGGCTGCGTGACAGACAGGCGGCAGGACGCTGTCGCCGCAGCTTCTTCCGGCTAGCTGGGGGACGCCGAGGCTGCGGAGTGCACGCCTGGGCTCCGTCAGAGGGCCGCGCCCGCGCGACGACCGCGTGCCCGCTAGTGGGAGGCGGGCGAGGACCCCTGGGGGTGTCCCTCCCTGACCCAGGCGGGAGGAGGGGACGCCTTAGGCTGTTTTGTAAAATGTGTCGGTGTGACCCTTCCGGCGATGGCTCCTGACTCGACGTGGTATTGAGCCTGAGCTATATGCTAGTTTCTGCTGGAAACGCTGACTCTGCCTCTTAGCCCCTGGGTTGAAGCCGACTAGAGAATCTCAGACGTGCTTAACCGGTCTGTTGGGCTTCCCTGCCCTTTTCCAGTCCCAGGTTTCCTTTCCCTGCTCCCTTCCTGCTTCTAATTTCAGCCAAAGAGAAAGCAAAGATTTAGAAAAGAAGGGTAGGAAGAAGCTGGAATTTGAATTGGCAAGAGAAGTTTGAGGTTGTCTTTTCTAGATCAAAACAATTTTTAATAGGCTGATGTTCACATGTTGCACTTTCTAAAGCCCGTGCTTGACCTCCTAAGGAATTTTAAGTCCTATTCTGATAATCGATTTATGAAGTAAATTGTCATTAACGCCTCTGTTTTATAGATTAAGAAGAAAATGAGGTCACAGATAAATATCGTGCCAAAACGACGTGGTCTTTGAACTGACCTCCAGGCACGATGTCATTATTTAACTCGAGAAATCACAGCTTCTGCGTCCTACCATTCTGCCAATATTCACAGCCAAGAGGCTCAACTTAACACCCTGGTAGAAAAAGAGAAGCCTTTAATATTGCTTGAATAGGGAAGGAGAGGGAATAATGGAACTAACCTTGCTGGGAGGGAAAAAAAAAAAAAAAGAAAAAACCAACAGACCACTGAATGAAGCCTATGAAGCAATGAATGGAGTGCTTTTTGGAAAGCACTTCCAGATCTTTTGAAAAGCAGCACAAAATTAAATATTATTTGCAAATCAGTTAATGAATAGGAAAATGTTTTGTAAAGTATAATGCATTATATAATGTAATATGATATTTCTATCCCAAATATATTTGGTTTTTTATTATGTGTGTGTGTGTCTCTCGATGGTGCAGCAGCACGGTCATGCCTACAGCTAATATATGAGTAATCACTAGTGATAATGCACTTACAAAGAACATACTTTTCCATCTTTCTAAACATGAGGTGCTTTATTTTCAGACAATATGGGAAACATTCTCAGCGACATGGGGTGATAAAAGTGACTTTTTTTCTCTTTTTTGTTTGTTTTTCAAAAATTAGTTTAGGGTCAGGCACACTGATTTTATGCCTGTAATCCCAGCACTTCGGGAGACGGAAGCAGACAGATTGCTTGAGCTCAGGAGTTTCAGACCAACCTGGACAACATGGCAACAACTCGTCTAAAAAAATATTAGCTGGGTGTGGTGGCATGCGCCTGTGTTCCTAGCTACTCAGGAGGCTGAGGTGAGAGGATCACCTGAGCCCAGGGAGGTTGAGAATGCAGTGAGCTATGATCTCACCACTGTACTCCATCCTGGGTGACAAAATGAGACCCTGTCTTTAAAAAAAAAAAAAAAAGTTTAAAACTGCTTATTAATGTTACATGCTAAGACCTTCTTTACTGGAATTCTCATGTAGAATCCTTTGAATAATATAATAGGCTCTCATCTACAGCTGAGCTAGATGGATTATTGGAAAATCTGTGTACTCCCCTGCACAGTTCATGATAACTCCATCACTGGGATAATACACTGGAGAACTTAATTACTCCAAAAGAAAATAAGCAGTGGGTGAGAGCTAACCATGTAAGAATACCCTTCACTAATCTAGCAGCTTCCTATACATAGCAGTTCTGCTTACCCTGTCTGACCACTAATTCCCATCCGTTCAGCTCTTGTGCATTAATATTCCCCCACCATCTATTTACTTTGATCCCCAGCAAGACCTCAAATCCATTGGCCCTTCTTACTTTCTTAATATCAGTCATTTCCCTAGCCTACTCGTTTCCATCAAAACCCAACCTAAAGCCCATGGTCCAACTTTACAATCTTCCCTTTGCAAATATGCTTAACTTCTTCACCTTTCTTTTTTTTTTTTTTTTTTTTTTTTTTTTTAGATGTAGTCTGTCGCCCAGGCTGGAGTGCAGTGTGCAATCTCACTGCAATCTGTGCCTCCTGGGTTCAAGCAATTCTCCTGCCTCAGCCTCCCAAGTAGCTGGGACTACAGGCACCCACCACCATGCCCAGCTAATTTTTTGTATTTTAGTGGAGATGGGGTTTCACCATGTTGCCCAGGCTGGTCTCAAACTCCTGAGCTCGGGTAATCCACCCACCTCTGCCTCCCAAAATGCTAGGATTACAAACATGAGACACCATACCCGGCCACTTCTTCACCTTTCTCTTCCTCCATTGCTTTTGTCTAGCAGAGGCCAAACCCTGGTTAAGTTCAATTAACCACCTACTCTCTGCTGCACAGGATCCATAGGAATAGAAGGCTGGGCACAGTGGCTCACACCTGTAATCCCAGCACTTTGGGAGGTGAGGGGCGTGGATCACCTGAGGTCAGGAGTTCAAGACCAGTCTGGTGAACATGGTGAAACCCTGTCTCTACTGAAAATACAAAAATTAGCCGGACGTGGTGGCGCACGTCTGTAGTCCCAGCTACTGGGGAGGCTGAGGCACGAGAATCACTTGAAGGCAGGAGGTGGATGGAGGTTGCAGTGAGCTGAGATCACGCCATTGCACTCCAGCCTGGGCAACAGAGTGAGACTTCATCTAATACGTATATATATATGAATAGGAAAGTGTCTAAATATCACTAGAGATACACATATATAACTGGGGTTGTTGGGCTCATTCTGCATTAATAACCACAGATCTCAGGCATATGTCTCCACAACAAGAATATCAATTTTCTGAGCACAAGGATCTTGTCCCCCATTCAGTGCTGTGACCCCAAAACTAAAACATTGCTCAATTCATGGTAAGCACTAAATAAATATTTGTTGAACGAATGAAGGAAGGATTGAAGGAATGAAAGGTATGTAATTACTCCTTTAACAGTTGCCCAGCAGCATTCCTGTTACACTTTATTTCTGTCTTCTTTCTCAAGATCTTCAAGATGGCCTACACATCTATAGTTGCTGCACTTTCTTACTGTATATTTTCTTCTCGACCCATTCCAATCAAGCCTCTGTAGCCTGTGTCCCACTGACTCCAATAAGGCTGTTCTTATGATCACTAATGACCTGCATGTTTCCTATTCCAGTGACTACTTTGTTGTTTCGACTTCGACTGTTTCCTATATAGAAAACAGTTGGCCACTCTCTCCTTGAGTTACTTTATTCTCTTGGCTTCCTTGACACTATACTTTCTGGTTTTTCTCCTCATTGCCCATTCCCTCTATGTCTGATGGCTTCTCTACTGCGTATCTTAATGTTGGAGTGCCCCTACTCTGTTCTGGGGCCCTTGCTTTTATCTGTCATACTCAGCCTAGAAGTAATCTCAACTAGTCCCCTGACTTTTAATTTCATTTATCAGGCCAGCTACGGTGGCTCACACCTGTAATCCCAGCACTTTGGGAGGCCGAGGTGGGTGGATCACGAGGTCAGGAGTTCAAAACCAGCTTAGCCAACATGGTGAAACCCTGTCTGTACTCAAAATACAAAAATTAGCCCGGCATGGTGGTGCACATCTGTAATCCCAGCTACTGGGGAAGCTGAGGCAGGAGAATGGCTTGACCCCAGGAGACGGAGATTGTGGTGAGCCGAGATCGTGCCACTGCACACCAGCCTGGGCAATAGAGCGAGATTCCATCTCAAAAAAAAAAAAAAATCATCTACTTCATATTTCTTCTTGGATGTCTAGTGAGCATATCAAACGTAACATGGCCCAAACAAAACTGTTTCATTTTTATCCTCAAAACATCGTCACCAGTTTTCCTGTCTCCATATGTATCACTACAAGATACTTAGTTGATTCAAACCAAAAATCTCTTTATCTCACCACTTCTCCTCCTTCCAGCGAATCCATCAGGATATCCTGACAAATCCACCTCCAAAATATATCCCAAATCTGACACTTCTTGCCACTTTCACCCTAGTTTATAGCCCCTTCATCTCCTGTCAAGACTACTAGAATAGTCTTCTAGTTGGTCTCCCGCCTTTTACTTTGGCTTCTCTGTAATCCATTCATTACACAGAAGCCAGGGACGACTTTTTAAAATGCAAATCAAAAATGTCACTGCCCTCCTAGATTGTAGCTTCCATTATCATCACAATGAAATCCAAATACCTTATCCTGGCTTACACGCCCTGCTGATCTGGGCCTGCCTGCTTCTCTGCTTTCCACTTAGAATATCCTCCCCTTGACCCACTATGCCCCAGCTGCTCTGGACTTTTCTCAGTTGCACAAAACCTGTTCCTGCCTGTACACCAACCAGTTCCTATTTAGGGAATGCTTTCTCCTGAAATCTCATAGTTAATTTTGTGTCATTCAGATTATTCCCTTAAGGTCACCTCCTTAGAGAGGCCTTCAAGGACCACCTCATCCAAAGTGCTTCGAATCTCTGGTCACCCATTCTAATTCTCTACATGGTAGAGAAACTACCATTTCTGACTTCTCTTGTTTGTCTGCATATGTCTTCCCAACAAGAATGTCAATTTTCTGAGCACAAGGATCTTGTCCCCTCTTCAGTGCTGTGACTTCAAAACCAAAACATTGCTCTATTAATGGTAAATACTAAATAAATATTTGTTGAATGAATGAAGGAAGGATTGAAGGAATGAAAGGTATAGAATTACTCCTATAACAATTAACTTCCAAGGTTCCTCAAGCTAACATCTTCCTATTTATGAAGAAGTGATCCAAATGCAACAATCCTGAAAGCAACCCAACAATCTTTTGATCCTATCTGACAATCTTTTTTCTTTTTACATAATGTGTATGTATGTTTCTTGACTCTTCAAAATTTCCCAATATTTATGGGAAACAACCTATTTCTTACTTTCCATAAATTAGAACATTGGGCCAGGCATAATGGCTCACACCTGTAATCCCAGCACTTGGGAGGCTGAGGCGGGCAGGTCACCTGAGGTCAGGAGTTCAAGATCAGCCTGGCCAACATGGTGAAACCCTGTCTTTACAAAAATACTAAAATTAGCTGAGCATGATGACAGGTGCCTATAACCCCAGCTACTCAGGAGGCTGAGGCAGGAGAATCCCTTGAATCCGGGAAGCAGAGGTTGCAGTGAGCCAAGATGGGGCCATTGCACTCCAGCCTGGGTGACAGAGTGAGACTCTGTCTCAAAAAACAAAACAAAACAAACAAACAAACAAAACATTGTTAAGGCACCTTTCTTGTCAATTTCCTGTGCTATAACCAAATAATTCATTTCCAACCAGAAGCAAGTCCATGAAAAAAATCACAATATCACTTGAACCCGCAAGGCAGAGGTTGCAATGAACCAAGGTCGCGCCACTGCATTCCAGCCTGGGCAATAGAGCAAGAAACCATCTCAAAAAAAAAAAAAAAAAAATCACAACAAAAATAAGCAAAGTGTAGATGATGGCTCTGTATAAGTAAGGCCAAAACAGTTTATGGATTCTTTAGAATCCAGACATGACCACTAACCCAACTAAAATAGCTTTTTCTTTCTTTTTTCTTTTCTTTTTTTTTTTGGTTTTAAATTAACTGAATTGTTCACAAATTATGTTAGCATCATTGAACTAACTTGTTGAAGCCTAGCATCAAGCCTATGCTTCTTTCAGCCCTTGAGGGCAGGGTAGGGAGGGCAGTAAAGATGAGGAGCTCAGAGGAGTTGGGAGATACATGAATTCTCTAGTACTTCCTGCTGGTTTTCTCCAGGCCCTAGGTGACTTGCATAACCTCAAAAAAAGTATCTGGTCTCCATTGAATTTATTTGAAGGCAGGATTAGGGAAAATTCAGAATAATAGTGAGGACTAAGTTCTGATTTTTTTATCTTGCCCAAATTCCTACCTAAGGGTCCTAGGGAGTCATGTCCTACAAACCGTAAATTCTCATCAGATGGGTTTTATTTGATCCTATATATAGTGACTTACTTTTCTTTTTTCTTTTTCTTTTTTTTTTTTTTTTTTTTGTTGCTGCTGTTGAGACTGAGTCTCGCTCTGTCGCCCAGGCTGGAGTGCAGTGGCGCAATCTCGGCTCACTGCAAGCTCCACCTCCCGGGTTCACGCCATTCTCCTGCCTCAGCCTCCGGAGTAGCTGGGACTACCGGTGCCTGCCACCATGCCCGGCTAATTTTGTTTTGTATTTTTAGTAGAGACGGGGTTTCACCATGTTAGCCAGGATGGTCTCCATCTCCTGACCTCGTGATCTGCCCACCTCGGCTTCCCAAAGTGCTGGGATTACAGGCATGAGCCACCAATCCCGGCCTATAGTGACTTACTTTTCAGTCTTACTCTGGCATAACATTATGACACAAGGAGAAAATATTAAACCGCAAAATATATTTTCTTGCCATACCTTGAAAATGTCCTGCAAAGTCTCTTGTGGGAAAAATCCACATCCTGTAGAGAATCCCCTTTCCCCTTTGGTTTCCTTCTTTCCTTTCCAGATCCAGGAGATAATCAACTAAGAGCCAGGCACCCTTTTAGGTCCAATAAGAAACATTTTACAACCTACTCTCTCTCTCTGTCTCTTTTTTTTTTTTTTTTTTTTTTTTTTTGAGATGGAGTTTCAATCTTTCGCCCAGGCTGGAGTGAGGTGGCGCGATCTCAGCTCTCTGCAACCTCTGCCCCCCGGGCTCAAGTGATTCTCCTGCCTCAGCCTCCCAAGTAGCTGGGATTACAGGTGCGTATCACTACACCTGGCTGATTTTTGTATTTTTAGTAGAGATGAGGTTTCACCATGTTGGCCAGGCTGGTTCACCTGCCTTGGGCTCCCAAAGTGCTAGGATTACCGGTATGAGCCACCATGCCTGACCACAACCTGTTGTCTCTCTGAAGTCTGCTGAGAGATTCTTCTGCACAATAAAACTTGGTCTCCACAATCCTTTATCTCAACCTGAACATTCCTTTCCATTAATCCCAGGTCTTCAGATAAACTCAACCAGTTGTCAATCAGAAAATTTAAATTTACCTATAGCCTGCTTTAAGTTGTCCCGCCTTTCTAAACCAAACCAATGTATTTCTTAAATGTATATGATTGATGTCTCATGCTTTCCTAAAATATATAAAACCACGCTGTACCCCAACCACCTTGGGCACATGTTCTGAGGACTTCCTGAGGTCTGTGTCATGGGCCATGGTCACTCATATTTGGCTCAGAATAAATCTCTTAAAATATTTTACAGTTTGACTCTTTTTGTCGACAATAATTACATTTTAAGATATATTATAAATAATGCCCTTCCAGCCTAGGCAACATAGCAAGACCCTGTCTCTATAAAAATTTAAAAATCAGCCAGGCATGGTGGCACACACCTGTAGTCCTAGCTACTTGGGAAGTTGAAGCAGGAGGATTGCTTGCATGCAGGAGTTTGAGGCTATAGTGAGCTACGACAGCACCAGTGCATTGTAGCCTGAGTGACAGAGTGAGACATTGTCTCTAAATAAATAAATACATGTTTTAAAATAAATGAAAAGAAAAATGATGTTCTTGGCTGGGCGTGGTGGCCCACGCCCTTAATCCCAACACTTTGGGAGACCGAGGCAGGTGGATCACTTAAGGTCAGGAGTTCAAGACCAGCCTGGCCAACATAGAAACCCTGTCTCTACTAAAAATTCAAAAGTTAGCTGGGCATGGTGGTGCACACTTGTAATCCCAGCTACTCAGGAGACTGAGGCACTAGAATCACTTGAACCTGGGAGGTGGAGGTTGCAGTGAACTGAGATCACACCACTGTACTCTAGCCTGGGTGACAGAGTGAGACTGTGTCTCAAAATAAAAATAAAATAAAATAAATATTTTAAAAATGATGCTTTTAATATATGAAAAGCAATAGCCAAGTCTATCACATTTAAACTTCAAGTTTGTAGAGTACAAAATAGACAATGTAAAGGTGGCACAACAAAAATTCCCATCTATGATAACAGGGTGACTCTTGAATGCCAGTGTCTCCTAAGCAAGACCTGCCTGTGGGCCCCAAGCTGAGCAGCAACAAAATGTAATACAACATATAAAGTATTACAAAAGTGGTGTGGGTACATTTTAGAAACAGAACTAATATCTGAAGCTATTTCCTGAAATATGTCTGTGGGATTGTGGAAGCTAAAGCAACTCCATCTTAGATGCTAATCCACCATGTTGACATCTGATTAATCTGTGTTCCCGGAAGGCCTCTAAGATTTCTACTTTTTCCATTGTTACAGTGAATCCTTCCCTTAGGTCAAAACAACCTTGACCATAAATCCTACCTTAGCCAGACTCACACAGCATTCTTGCCTTCCCCTTGGAAGTCAACTTCAATTGTGCTACACATTTTTTCCCTGTGATATTTAAGCCCTGGGTCTGAAGGGTAATGGAACGGGAGTCCACCATCTCCCTTTTGGACATCTGAGACTGTGCCTTCTTTTTGTAAATCCCTGTTAAATGTTTCTTTCTGAGAATTGGTTGTATCAGCCTCTTTCTTCAGCCTCTCAGCTTCCTCAGACGTTGGGGTAGGTTTGCATAGACCTACTCACCACAGAACAGTGGTCAGGTGAAGTTATTTAGAGTGCAGTATAGAGATGTCATCCCAGCATTAGTCAGAGCTTAGATTTCTTTAAATTTGTGGAGTGTAGTGTTTTTGAAAGTGTGTTCCTTGAAGCCCTAGAGTCCTCAGAAGCCACCTCAGTGGATGGAGAAAATCGAGCAATTGAGGCCCTGTGCTATTCACCTTTGCATTAGCTGGTATAGCTTTACTTTTATCTTTATGTGTTTTACATAATAGGGTGATGAAGAAGAATTCTTTCTTTCTTTGTTTTCCTTTCTTTTTTCTTTTTCTTTTTTTTTTTTTTTTTTTTTTTTTTTTGGTTGTAGATAGGATCTCACTCTGTCGCCCAGGCTGGAGTACAGTGCTGCGATCTCAGCTCATTGCAGCCTCAACCTCTTGGCCTCAAATGATTCTCCCACCTTGGCCTCCCACAGTGCTGGGATTACAGATGTGAACCACTGTGCCCAGCCTGACATTATTTTCTTTACACTGTACACTTCAGGCATGCTGAACTATTACACATTTCTGGGCTCATCATAGTCTCTCCCTTACTTCTGAACCATTATATATGCTATTTCATATGCCTGGAATGTTCCCTACACCCATCCTACTGTTACTTGTCTAATTCCTACTCATCTGCAAGTCTCACCTTGCCTCCCAAACGAAACTACATGGCCTACGTATACCTACATTTTTGTACTCAACCCTGTAACTACAGGGAAGAAGAGACCTTGGGTCAAAAACTCAAAACACTCCGGGCCACATGACAAATTTGACAAAAATGTAAGGTACGTCTTCCAACTACCTTCTCTTGTTCTGAATACACACCCCCAAACTGTCAATTATAATTGGATTCCCATGTAGTTTTGTCTTTAAAGAGTAAATGCACTGGTCCCATTGGTACAGCACAACTCACATAAAAAATTTGTTGCCCTTTGTAAATTAATACCATTTCAGCCTCTGTACGTTTGAATATTATGAGTCTGCTAAGAGAAGAATTTACTTTCAACATGCTGACAAAAATTCAAGTTTTGAAGCTGCTGAGCAAAGATTCAGAGCCTGGACCACAGTGAATTTACCAATTTAAATGAGCATCCTGAGGTCTCTTGACAGCTAGCCAGCTGGCCTCCCTACATGATATAATTAGGATGATGGGCTGCATACAATTTAGACCTACAGCACTTCTATCTCCCCTTAGAATTTGATAGAAACTCAATGATAGATGATTCCAGAGGCTAATTCTAACAATACCATTGATTAAACTCATAGATTACTTAGAATGGTCTGAACATTTAAAGTAATGCAGTAAGGACTCAAATAAATGGTTTTTGTGAAATACTAATCTGAAAATGTCTTGCTAGCATATAGATGGCAGCATAAGTAAAGAATAGAGATGGTAAAGTACTCTAAAGTATTATTACTAGTGACATTATTATTTTGTAAAAATATATTCTAGTGGCCGAGCACGGTGGCTTATGCCTGTAATCCCACCACTTTGGGAGGCCGAGGCGGGTGGATCACGAGGTCAGGAGATCGAGACCATCCTGGCTAACACGGCAAAACCTCATCTCTACTAAAAATACAAAAAATTAGCCAGGCGTGGTGGTAGGCGCCTGTAGTCCCAGCTACTCGGGAGGCTGAGGCAGGAGAATGGCGTGAACCCGGGAGGCAGAGCTTGCAGTGAGCCAAGATCGCGCCACTGCACTCCAGCATGGGCGACAGAGTGAGACACTGTATCAAAAAAAAAAAAAAAAAAAAAAAAAATATATATATATATATGTATATATATATTCTAGTGAAAGAGGTACATACACACATTCCCTCTCTCATTTACATCATTGTTTCTAAGTGATATCAAATGAAATTTAATATTAAAATTTGTAAGATAACATAAACAACACAATACACTTTTTTTTTGTTTTAGATGAAGTCTCACCCTGTAGCCCAGGCTGGAGTGCAACGGCTCAATCTTGGCTCACTGCAATGTCTTCCTCCTGGGTTCAAGCAATTCTCCTGCCTCAGCCTCCCGAGTAGCTGGGATTACAGGCGTGCACCACCACGCCCAGCTAATTTCTTCGTATTTTTGGTAGATACAGGGTTTCACCATGTTGGCCAGGATGGTCTCGAACTCCTGACCTCCTGATCTGCCCACCTCGGCTTCCCAAAGTGCTAGGATCACAGGTGTGAGTCACCGCGCCCGGCCCAATATGCCTTTTTAAAACTTTTTCAGGACAATGCTTGTTATGAGTTAATTGGCTAAAAATGGGACCCAAAAATATATTCTATTGACATATTTTGGTTAATATAAAAAATAGACATTTAGATGATGAAAAAAAGCAACAAACAAATTAACCTGAAAAGAAAATTAAAGAACAACTTGGGAAACATACAGTACTCCTCCTCTTCCTTTTCCCTAATGCCTCTTTCCTCAGGTTGTAGAGCATTGTGTGGCCTTCAGGAAAAAATATCAATTTGCTCAATTAAATTAAAATCCAGTTTGTAATGTTGTTCTGTTGACCTAAAGGGAAAAACTGAGGCAAACGGAATGTAAGTAGAGAGTTTATTTGGGCCAAGTTTGAAGACTGCAACCTAAAACATAGACTCAAAGTTCCCTGAATATGTACTCCAACTAGCAGCAATTACAAGTAGCTGGGGTTTTGTTTTATTTTATTTTATTTATGAGAAAGGGTCTTTCTCTGTCACCCAGGCTGAGTGCAGTGGCACAACCATGGCTCACTGCAGCCTGTGCCTCGTGGGCTCGAGTGATCCTCTTGACTTTTTTCTTTTTTTTTTTTTTGGTAGAGAGAGGGTCTCACTGTGTTGCTCAGGCTGGTTTTGAACTCCTGGGCTCAAGCAATCTTCCTGCCTCTGCCTCCCAAAGTACTGGGATTACAGGCACAAACCACCACACCCAGCCACAAGTAGGTTTTTAAGGGACAAGAAGAGGTGATCTTACACTGTTTACTGATATGGTTTGTCTCTGTGTCCCCACCCAAATCTCATGTTGAATTGTAATCCCTACATGTCAGAGAAGTGGCCTGGCAGGAGTGACTGGATCATGGGGGGCGGATTTCCTCCTTACTTTTCTCATAAAAGTGAGTGAGTTCTCACGAGATCTGATGGTTTAAAAGTGTGGCACTTCCCCTTTCACTCTCTCTCTCTTCCTGCTCTGCTACGGTAAGACGTGCTTTGCTTTCCCTTTGCCTTCCGCCATGATTCTAAGTTTCCTGAGGCCTCCCCAGCCATGCAGAACTGTGAGTCAATCTAACCTCTTTTTAAAATAAATTACCCAGTCTTAGGTAGTTTTTTTTTTTTTTTTTTTTTTTTTTTTGAGATGGAGTCTCGCTTCATCACCCAGGCTGCAGTGCAGTGGCACAATCTCGGCTCACTGCAACCTCCACCTCCAGGGTTCGAGTGATTCTCCTGCCTCAGCCTCCCCAGCAGCTTGGATTACAGGCATCTGCCACCACCCTGGGCTAATTTTTGTATTTTTAGTAGAGACGGGGTTTCACCATGTTGGCCAGTCTTGTCTCAAACTCCTGACCTCAAGTGATTCGCCCACCTCGGCCTCCCAAAGTGCTGGGATTATAGGCATGAGCCACCATGCCCTGCCTCAGGTAGTTCTTTATAGCAGTGTGATAATGGACTAATATATGTACCAATAATTTACATTTAAATAATATAATTTATTGATTGGCTGTACCATGTTCTTTGTATCACAAATTTCAGGAACATGAAGATAATGGGCAGTTCAGCTAGTCAGAAACAAAATGGCTTTTTTTTTCTTCAAAATAGGTGTATTTAAACAGAGACAGGGTTTCTCTATATTGCCGAGGTTGATCTCAAACTCCTGGCTTCAACTGATTCTCTTGTCTTTCCAAAATGCTGAGATTACAGGATGAACCAGCATGCCAGCCAAAATGCCTTTAAACAATTGTCCCTGACTGGGCACGGTGGCTCACACCTGTAATCCCAACACCTTGGGAGGCCAAGGCAGGAGGATCCCTCGAGCCCAGGAGTTAAAGACCAGCCGGGGCAACAAAAGCCATGATCATGCCACTGAACTTCAGCCTGGGCAACAGAGTGAGACCCTGTCTGAAAAAACAAAAAACCTGATAAAGGGCACGTTGGCTCATGCCTATAATGCGAGAACTTTGGGAGACCAAGAAAGGAAGATTGCTTGAGCACAGCCTGGGCAACATGGTGAGACCACATCTTCACACTCACACAAAAATTAGCCAGACATGGTGGCATGCACCTGTAGTCCCAGCTACTCTTGAAGCTGAGTGGGGAGAATCACTTGAGCCAGGGAGGTCGAGGCTGCAGTGAGTTGAGATCATGCCATTGTATTCCAGCCTGGGAAACAGAGCAGGACCCTGTGTCAAAACAAAAACCCAAACAAAAAACAATTACCCCTGGGCATAGATGCAAGATGGTGGGGGGTTGTAGGATGTGACTAAAGTCACATACTCATGTCTCTCTGGGCCTGGCACCTCTTGCAGACCTCACATAGCTCAGATTGCTCTGAGCTATATTTCTTTCCTCAATTCACTCAAGAAACTGCGCTATATATGTTGTTACTGCATAACATGATGGGAAGAAATGTAAAACTAATAAATAATTTAGTTTTTTTATGAGAAGTGACAAAAATCTTTAAACCCTTTCATATACTGAAGAAAAAGTCTGAAATAGCATATATCGTAATTTTAAGTAGAAAAGTTAGGGGTATTGAAACCACCTTCGCAAAAATAAACACTGAGAAAATTATGAAAGAGGTCTGACCTGACTGACTCCAGCTTGCTTACACTCTCCAAGCTGCCCTTCTTCATTCCTGGGTGCAGGCCAAACTAACTTTGGGAGGAATTTAATTTATAGTCTAACTTTGAAACAAAGATGATAACAGCAGTTTCCTGAAACAAACCTCCTTCTTGCCAGGGGGACCAGACTGCCTTTGTAAGACTAACATATTAACCACAAGATTAGAAATGATGGCTTAGGAGCCATGCAGCCAGAAGCCACAGGATTTCAACCCTCCCCAGTTGCTCCTAGGGATAATATTACTATTGTAAAACCTGAGATTGGTGCTCAAGATATTTTTTAGACCCTGCATTATGGTGCATCAGCTGGCACCTCCTGATCAATCAGCACTCTCCACTCCCTGGCCCTCTACCCACCAAACTATCCTTAAAAAAATGCAGTCTCTAAATTTTGGGGGGGACTGATTTCAGTAATAAAACTCTAGTCTTCCATTCAGCTCGCTCTGTGTGAATTAAACTCTTTCTGTATTCCAATTCCCCTGTCTTAATAAATCATCTCTGTTTGGACAGTGGGCAAGGAGAACCCACTGGGCAGTTACAGTATTATTAGGTTAATAAATATATTTGTCCAGGAGTTCGAGTCCAGCCTGGACAACATGATGAAACTCTGCCTGTACAACAAATGCCAAAAAAATTAGCTCAGCATATTGGCCCATGCCTATAGTCCTGGCTACTCGGAAGGCTGAGGTGGGAGGATTGCTTGAGCCCAGGAGGCTGAGGTTGCAGTGAGCCGTGATGGAGCAATTGCATTCCAGCCTGGACGACAGAGTGAGTCTCTGTCTCTAGAAACAAAAACAATATATATTTGTCCCTCCATATTGACAATCTTGCTAAATTTTAAATACTGTGAGGTAGAGTAGATTAAAGGGATCTATTGTACCTTTTGCTCTGAGTTAAAAAGTTGAAAACACTTGGAAAGAGCAAGCCATTTTTAAAAGCTGAAGGCATTCGGAAACACCAAGTCATTTTTCAAGCTTGCATAGTAGCTTCTGACCTCTAGTGGGAACTTGGCTTGAATAACTATGCCTACAGTGTAGAGGGAGCCATATCTACTCTTGTTTTGTTTCATTCTGTTGAATTTTTATTTTCGTGTCTTGTTTCTGTGGTTTGAAGAATAACTACTAAAATTTGGTTTAAGTGTAAATCCTCTAAAGAAATTCTTGCCAGAGCTTTTCTTTATATTTTAACTTGCTTACTCAAGCAACTTAAGCAACAGTTAACTTAGGAAGTTTTTTGTTGAGGTTTTTTTTTTTTTTTTTTTTTTTTTTTTTCCCCATGCAAAAGAGGTATCGTTTGTGTTGAAACCTGGGTTTCACTGGACAACACAATTTACCTGTGGTTGACCTGAGTTTCACTGGACAACACAGTTTACCTGTGGTTGGTTGTAAAATGTTCTGTAATTCAATAAAATAAAGATAAAATACAAGACTCTTTTGGTGGATAAAAATTAATCAATATTTTGACTTTAAAGAAGCTTTGTGTTTCTTTTTAAAATCAATGTTTTGACTTTAAAGAAGCTTTGGTAAGAATGTTTCAACACTGAGTAACATTCTGTTGAACTTTGCAAACATTGTATATGATTTTAAAAGTAATTTATGATAATAGGAAGTTGCATTGGTTATTTACTTGCTCTGTATTACTTTATATATTGTAACTTTTCATTGCAAAGATAAAAATAACTAAACAGAAAGTTTGTAACTAAGCATTTGGTAGCACCGTCTAAGCTTCTTACTTATTTCATTTATTCCTCACAACAATCCTGTGAGGTAAAAAGTAATGAGGTGTTTTGTTGTTGTGATTGTTTGTTTGAGACGGAGTTTCGCTCTTGTTGCCCAGGCTGGAGTGCAATGGCGTGATCTTGGCTCACCACAACCTCTGCCTCCCAGGTTCAAGCGATTCTCTTGCCTCAGCTTCCTGAGTAGCTGGGATTACAGGTATGCGCCACCACACCTGGCTAATTTTGTATTTTTATTAGAGACAGGGTTTCTCCATGTTGGTCAGGCTGGTCTCGAACTCCCGACCTCAGGTGATCTGCCTGCCTCAGCCTCCCAAAGTGATGGGATTACAGGCTTAAGCCACTGTGCCTGGCTAGTCATGAGGTTTAAAAAGATTAAATAACTTGCCCAAATTAAGAAGTGATTGAGCAAAGATTTAAAACCAGACAACCTGACTCGAGAGCCTGCAGTGTCAATGATTTCTAATACTTAAATACCTAGTATGCTGGTTACACTAGTAAAGAGGCAATATTATTCTAGGAGTTTAAATGTTTTATTTACTTTTTTATCTATATATTTTTTAAAAAACATTCTCATAAGCTTTCATCACATATAACTCTATGGTCTTCATAATTTTAATTTCTAATGCCTAACAGTCTATCAACATTAGAATGTAGAAAATCAATCCACAAGGAAGTTTGTTTTTTTATCTCTATTGTTTCATTTTTAGTATATATATTTTAGGTTTTTGTTCGCTCATTAAAAAATGTATAACAAATCAGAAGCATATAAAGTGCATTCCATGTGTCATTGTATAATTTTTAAAAAGCTAAAACCATGGCTCTCATCTAGTACGTATATAAAGAGTTGTCTGAGCATGCTGGCTCACATCTGTAATCCCAACACTTTGGGAGGCCGAGACAGGAGGATTGCTTGAGCCCAGGAGTTTGAGACCAGCCTGGGCAACATAGTGAGACCTTGTCTCTACTAAAAATAAAAAGAACTTAGCCACCTGTGGTGGCATGTGCCTGTGGTCCCAGCTACTCAGGAGGCTGAAGCAGAAGGATTGCTTGAGCCCAGGAGGGCAAAGTTGCAGTGAGCCATGATTGCACCACTACATTCCAGCAGCCTGGCTGACAGAGCAAGACCCTGTCTCAAAAAAAAAAAAAATCCAAAAACAAAATCAAAGAGCTCATAGATAAGAGAGTCAACAACAGGAGAAAGCCAATTCAAAGGGGCATAGGACAGGTAGTCACTGAAAGAAAAAACAAATGCTAGACTATACTAGAACAAACAAAAATGCTAGACTACGATTACTAAATTACATAAAAACTGGTTAGTGCCGCATAGGGTAATAAAACTAACTGTTGGGTTGTAGTCTGTTTACCAGCCTCACAACATCTGCATCTCTATGGGACAAAGGTTATTTGCACTTATATTACACAATGATTATTTGCATCACTATCTGGTTTTCTACAATTTACTTTCTGCTCTTACATCTTTACCAATTATCACTATCTATTATATTGCATATCTTATATATTTACTTTGTTTGCTGTCTTCTCCATTAGAACATTTTCCCACTTCTGTACACTGCTATATCCCCAATGCCTAGAACACTGCCTAGCACATAGAATGTACTTAAAAGTATGTGTGGAATAAATAAATAAGAAAAAATTTTTCCATGCTGGCTAACACGGTGAAATCCCGTCTCTATTAAAAATACAAAAAATTAGCTGGGCATGATGGTGGGTGCCTGTAGTCCCAGCTACTCGGGAGGCTGAGGCAGGAGAATGGTGTGAACCCGGGAGGTGGAGGTTGCAGTGAGCTGAGACCGCGCCACTGCACTCCAGCCTGGGTGACAGAGCAAGACTGCATCAAAAAAAAAAAAAAAAAAGAAAGAAAGAAAAAAATTTTTTAAATGCAGATCAATTTGCCTTTAAAACCACAAGCTATTTTTTTTTTAACTTTTTACCTTTTTCTCTTTTTTTTTTTGAGACTGGGTCCCACTCTGTTGCCCAGGCTGGAGTGCAGTGGCATGATCTTGGCTCACTGCTGCCTTGACCTCCTGGGCTCAAGCGATCCTCCTGCCTCAGCCCCCTGCGTAGCTGGAACTACAGGTGCATGCCACCATGCCCTGCTAATTTTTGTATTTTTGGTAGAGGCAGGGTTTTGACATGTTGCCCAGGCTGGTCTTGACGTTCTGGGCTCAACTGATTCACCTGTGTCAGCCTCCCAAAGTGCTGGGATTATAGGTGTGAGCCTCTGCACCTGGCCCCACAGTTATTTTAAAAGGAAAAATGGGGGAAATGTAAAGTAAACAAACCCCAAGTACATTTAAATGTAAGTTAAATCAGCTGTGTAAAGGACACCCAAGCCCTCATATTGGTGATTGAACAGAGAAAAGCTTGTTTCTACCTATTTGTGGAGAGATGAATAGAAACGACGTGTGATGAGGAAATAAAACATGGAGAAACTGGAGAAAATCTACTAACCCCTCGTTCTTTTTTTTTTTTCTTTTAAGATGGAGTCTAGCTTTGTCGCCAGGCTGGAGTGCAGTGGCGTGATCTCAGCTCACTGCAACCTCCGCCTCTCGGGTTCAAGCGATCCTGCCTCAGCCTCCCAAGTAGCTAGGATTTCAGGTTCATGCCTCCGTGCCTGGCTAATTTTAGTATTTTTAGGAGAGAGATTTCACCATATTGGCCAGGATGATCTCAATCTCCTGACCTCAAGTGATCCACCCACCTCAGCCTCCCAAAGTGCTAGGACTACAGGCGTGAGCCACCGCGCCCAGCCTTACTAACCCCTCATTCTAAAGGTAAATGGAAGGATACAACTTGAGAATGTAGGAGAGAAAAAAAATTTCTTTTCCTCTATTCTTTTTCATTGTGTGGGTCCCTGCAAGTTAGCCTGACAAAAGATAGATTAACAGAAGAAAAGGCATACAAATTTTATTTAATGTTAATTTTTAGCAAACAGAGGTGCTTTTTGTTTTTTGAAGAGATGGGATCTCACTGTGTTGCCCAGGCTGGTCTTGAAACCCTGGGCTCAAGCAATCCTCCCACCTCAGCCTCCCAAAGTTCTGGGATGACAGGCATGAGCCACCATGCCCAGCCCACAGGGGCTTTTCTAAAAAATGAAGTGAAGACTCAGTAAAGCAGATAGGCCTAAGAGCTTAAGTACCACTTTAAACAAAGAATGATAAATTGTGGAGATGGAACAAGGCAACAGAAAAGTGTTTTAGGTTTCCAAGGGCAAATGGTGGGAAGGTAAATATATGGGAGGAGAAACTAATGGAGTAAGGTTGATTTGTGCAGGTCCACTTTGGTATTGACAATCTACAGAATAGGAGAAAATTTTTGCATTCCATCCATCTGACAAAGGCCTAATATCCAGAGTCTACAAAGAACTTAAACAAATTTACAAGAAAAAAAACAACCCCATTAAAAAGTGGGCAAAGGACATGAACAGACACTTCTCAAAAGAAGACATTCATGGAGCCAACAAACATACAGAAAAAAAGCTCAACATCACTGGTGGTTAGATAAATGCAAATCAAAACCACAATGAGATACCACCTCACACCAGTCAGAATGGCAATTATTAAAAAGTCAAGAAACATGGCAAGGTCCACATCGGTGGAAGAAAGCAAGCAAGCTAGGGTGGTAGATTATTACCTGTAAAATTATCTGGCCCTGGTGGGTTTTCTTTGTATGTATGAGAAAATTTTTAAATACTAATTTAATTTTTATGATAATTGTGATTTCTCCTAAATTCATTCATTATATTCTCTTCTTTTAATTTCTGTTTATCATTATTGACCTTTTCCCTCTGTCTTTTAAAAATTATTATTATTTTCTTTTTGAGTCAGAGTTTCACTCTTGTTGTCCAGGCTGGAGTGCAATGATGTGATCTCGGCTCACTGCAACCTCTGCCTCCCAGGTTCAAGCGATTCTCCTGCCTCCCGCATAGCTGGGATTACAGGTGCTCACCACCATGCCCAGCTAATTTTTTGTATTTTTAGTAGAGACGGGGTTTCACCATGTTGGCCAGGCTGGTCTCGAACTCCTGACCTCAAGTGATCCACCCACCTCAGCCCCAAAAGTGCTGTGATTACAGGCATGAGCTACCACGCCCAACTCTTATTTTTTATTATTTGAGACAGAGTCTCACTCTGGTCACCCAGGCTGGAGTGCAGTGGCAAGATCACAGCTCACCACAGCCTCCATCTTCCCATCTCAGGTGATCCTCCCATCTCAGCCTCCTGAGTAGCTGGGACTACAGGCAGGTATCACCAAACCCAGCTAATTACTGTATTTTTTGTAGAGACAGAGTTTTGCCATGTTGCCCAAGCTGGTCTCTAACTCCTGGGCTCAAGCAATCCTCCTGCCTTAGCCTCCCAAAATGCTCAGATTACAGACATGAGCCATTCTTCATTTTTCTGGCCTATTCTTCATTTTTAGTTTCCCATTCTGGCCGACTTGACCATTATCTTTTGCCTAGATGACTATAGAATCTTCCTCTCTAAATGATTGTTTGGCTGGGTGCACTGGCTCATGCCTGTAATCCAAGCACTTTGGGAGGCCAAGGAGGGAGGATTATTTGAGCCCAGGAGTTCAAAACCAGCCTGGCAACAAAGTGAGACACTGTAAGAAAGAAAAGAAAAGAAAAGAAAAGGAAAGAGAAGAGAAGAGAAAAAGAAAGAAAGAGAAAAAGGAAGGAAGAAAGGAAGGAAGGAAAGAGGGAGAGAGGGAGGAAGGAAGGGAGGAGGAAGGAAGAGAGGGAGGGAGGAAGAGAGGGAGGGAGAGAGAAAGCAATAGGAGGGCAGGGGAGGGGAGGGCAGGGGAGGGAAGGGAAGGGCAGGGCAGGGAAGGGAAGAGAAGGGAAGGGAAGGGATTAGCCAGGTGTGGTGGTAGACGCTGGCTGAAGAAGTAGGAGGATCACTCCCAGGAGGTCAAGGCTGCAGTGAGCCATGATCACACCATTGCACTCCAGCCTGGGCAACAAAGCAAGACCCTGGCTCAAAAATAAAAATAAAAAAGTCATTGTTTATATCACAGCCAGAATGGTCATATTTAAACATAAACTAGATTTCTTTTCCTAAACATAACCTAGCCTATAAATCATTAACCAGTTTATACACATAATTCTGCTCCTTGTTCTATTCTCACTTAACAATATATTGGACCTCACTATGTTCAAATATGACATGGGACATACATTTTTTTTTCTTAAAGTATTCTTTGTTTATATGAAATTCAAATGTAACTGGGTGTTCTGTATTTTTAGTTGCTAAATCTGGCAGCCCTACTTCTACCATTGGTCCAACACAAGGTGGCTGTTCCAGTTCTAGCCTCCACTCAGCCATGGGAAGAGCTTAAGTAGGCTTGAGGAGCACAAGTCCAGTTCTCTTTAGGGCAAAACCTGGACATGTCACATATTACTTCTGTGCATATACCATGGGTCAAAACATTTCCACATTTAGCTTCTAAGGAAGCTGGGAAATGTAGTCTTTAGCTAGGCAGGCATGTAGCCAACTAAAACCCTATTGCCAAGAAAGAAAAGAAGAATGGGTACGGGAAAACAACTAGTAGTCCCACATTGACAATAATCTTGGCCAGGTGCGTCGGCTCACGCCTATAATCCCAGCACTTTGGGAGGCCAAGGCAGGGGGAATCACCTGAGGTCAGGCATTCAAGACCAGCCTGACCAACATAGAGAAACCCCGTCTCTACTAAAAACACAAAATTAGCCAGGTGTGGTGGCCCATACCTATAATCCCAGCCACTCGGGAGGCCGAGGCATGAGAATTGCTTGAACCCAGGTGGCGGAGGTTGTGGTGAGCCAAGATTGCATCATTGCACTCCAGTCTGGGCAACAAGAGCCAGGAAGGAAGGAAGAAGGAAGGAAGGGAGGGAGGAAGAGAGGGAGAGAAGAGGGAGGAAGGGAGGGAGGGAGGGAGAAAGCAATAGGATGGGAGGGGAGGGGAGGGAAGGGAAGGGAAGGGAAGGGAAAGGAAGGGAACGGAACGGAAGGGAAGGGAATCCCAGCACTTTGGGCAGCTGCGGCAGGAGGATCACCTGAGGCCAGGAGTTCAAGACCAGCCTGGCCAACATGGAGAAACCCTGTCTCTATTAAAAATAAAAATTAGCAAGGCATGGTGGCTGGTACCTGTAATCCCAGCTACTCGGGAGGCTGAGGCAGCAGAATAACTTGAACCCAGGAGGGGAAGTTTACAGTGAGCCGAGATCATGCCAATGCACTCCAACTTGGGCAATAGAGCAAGACTCCATCTCAAAAAACAAAGAAACTAAATGAGAACATAGTGAGAAATGAAAATTAAATCTGATTAGGCTAATACTTAGGTTTACTCTGCCAGGTGCTTTGCGAAACCTTTTACACACATTATTTCATTAAATCTTTTTCTTTGAGACAGAATCTCTGTCGCCTAGGCTGGAATGCAGTGGTGCAATCTCAGCTTGCTGCAATTTCCGCCTGCTAGGTTCAAGAGATTCTCCTGCCTCAGCCTCTCAAGTAGCTGGGATTACAGGCATGTGTCACCACACTGCCTAAGTTTTGTATTTTTAGTAGAGACGGGGCTTCACCATGTTGGCCAAGCTGATCTTGAACTCCTGACCTCAAATGATTTGCCCACCTCAGCCTCTCAAAGTGTTGGGATTACAGATGTGAGTCACCATGCCCTGCTTCATTAAATCTTTATTGCAACAAGAGGAATTATTATTATTATTATTATTTGAGACACAGTTTTACTCTGTCACCCAGGCTGGAGTGCAGTGGCACCATCTGGCTCACTGCAACCTCTGCTCCCGGGTTCAAGTCATTCTCCTGCTTCAGCCTCCCGGGTAGCTGGGATTACAGGCATGCACCACCATGCCCAGCTAATTTTGTATTTTTAGTAGAAATGGGGTTTCACCATGTTGGCCAGTCTGCTCTCAAACTCCTGATCTGAAGCGATCTGCCCACCTCGGCCTCCCAAAGTGCTGGGATTACAGGCATGAGCGACCATGCCCGGCCAAGAGGAATCATAATTCTTATTTGGCAATAGGGAAAATGGAGGTTGTAAGGGTTAAGTGACTTTCCTAAGTCATATAGCTGATAAAAGATGTAGCCAGTATTCAAAACTGAGGTTAACTTCATTATGCCATATTACATTCACACCTTAAAAAAATAAAATCAAGGTATCTGATATCTAGACAGAGTCTTACTCTCTTGCCCAGGCTGGAGTACAGTGCTGTGATCATGGCTCTCTGCAGCCTCACCCTCCTGGGCTCAAGAAATCCTGCCACCTCAACCTCCCAAGTAGTTGGGACTACAGGCATGTGCCACCACACCTGTCTAATTTTTGTATTTTTTGTAGAGATGGGGTTTCACCATGTTGCCCGGGCTGGTCTTGAAACTCTTGAGTTCCAGCAATCTGTCCACCTCAGCCTCCCAAATTTCTGGGATTACAGGCATGAGCCATGGTTCCTGGCCTTTAAACCTTTCATTATGGAAAATTTCACATGTGAAAATAGAAAGAAAAATGTAACAAAGCCATATGTACCTATTGCCCAGCTTCAATAATTATTTACACCCTGCCATTCTTTTTTTATGAATCTTCCCTTACCCCCTAAATTCTCACAATTTTTTCTTTTATCATGGAGTATTTTAAAACAAATCCCAGTCATCAAATTTCTCTACGTGTAAATATTTCAGTATGCTTCCCTAATGCCTAAGAACTTGAAAAAAGAAACATAACAATAACATTGTCATGCCTCCAAAGAATCATATTTAACATCCAGTCCAAGTTTAACTTTTCTTGATTGTCTCAAGAGTATTTTTATGGCTGTTCAAATAAAAATTCAAACACAGTGCAGACATTACATATTTTACATATTCTCTTAAGTCCGTTTTTTGCTTGCGTCAGCAGCACATATACCAAAATTGGAACGATACAGAGAAGATTAGCATGGCCCCTGCTCAAGGATGACATGCAAATTCGTGAAGCGTTCCAAAATAAATAAATTCATTAATTAAAATTAAAAAAAATTTTTTTTAGTCTACGCTTGGTGGCTCACGCCAGTAATCCCAGCACTTTGGGAGGCCGAGGTGGGCAGATCACAAGGTCAGGAGATTGAGACCAGCCTGGTTCACACGGTGAAACCCCATCTCTACTAAAAAAAAAAAGTACAAAAAATTAGCCGGGTGTGGCGGCGTGTGCTTGAAGTTCCAGCTACTCGGGAGGCTGAGGCAGGAGAATAGCGTGAACCCGGGAGGCGGAGCTTGTAGTTAGCTGAGATCGCACCACTGCACTCCAGACTGGGCGACAGAGCGAGACTCTGTCTCAAAAAAAAAACAAACTTTTTTTAAAGTCTCTTTTAATGTATGACAGTTCCCCTTCCCTTGTGTTTCCTCGCTTTTCTAATGCTTTTAACTCTGGGATCATGAATTAACTTTGTAACCTGCTATGTGTTCATTGAAGAAGTAAGGCTGTTTGTCCTGTTGAATTTCTTACATTCAGAATTGGGCTGACAGTTTTCTCCTGGTGTCATTAATGGGTTTTTCCATCACCTATACTTCCAGTAAGCTGGTAGTTTGTTGAAGAGGCTAGTCTAAATTCAGGTTCAAGTTTTTTTTTTAATTTGTTTTTATTTTTTCTTTGTGGGTTTTATATATATATGCAAGGTTAGACCATAGGTGGTACAGTAGCTTACTTTTAAAATAAACTGTGTAACTAATTTATTGAATGTGCTGAATTGGTTATTATAATCAGTAAACTACTTTTTCTTATCTACTGCTACCTTCAAGCAAGCAGATCTCCCTTCTTTGCCCCAGATGACATTTCAGGGAGATCTCTTAGCTTTGGGGCCATTCTCAGATGTGAGAAGAGTCTCATTTTCAGCTATGGAAAATTCTAGTTCAGTCTATATTAAACTTTAATTTCTCATCCAATTTAAATCTCCTGTCCTCTCTTCTCATCCCTATTCCTCCCCTGTCTTCTATGACAGCTGACAGGCAGGACCAGCATTGAGGAAATGGTACATGATCTGTCCTTTTACTCCATCTGGTGAACAGTCTCCACAGTGTCCCCGTGGTTCATGGATAACCTTATGCATTCTTGCCCAGTCAAACAATGGTGGTGTAATTGCTGCCACAGCAACCCTGTGTACTTGCCCTGTCACTAGAGGTCACTCTAGTTCCTCTATACCCCCTCAAACTCCAGGAGACCTGATGCAGGATTTTTGCTCCTTAGCTCAGCTAAGTCTGGGTTCTTGTCTCACGACCAGGAAGAATTAGGCACACAAACATCAAACAGTGAGTGGAGTAGAATTTATTAAGTGAAAGGAAAGCTTTCAGCAAAAAGAGGGGACACGGCAGGAGGTGGGGGTAGTTCTCCTACCCGAAGACAGGAAAGTTCCCCGATATGGCTGAGCCTGGGGCTTTTTATGGGCTCAGAATAGGGAGTGTGTGCTGATTGGTTTGTGAGTATCCAAAAATGGTCATAGCAAAGACACCACTCAAAGGTGGGCACAACAGTGTAGAAAACCAATTAGGAAAAGGTAGGTATATGTAAAATAGGTGAAGAGTGGGGATCAATCAAAGGAAAGTGCACCAAACAGGAAGGTGGGTTCTCAATCCCATCTGAGTATTTACCCAGGACAGTTTCTGTCTTGAAGGTTGGGTTTCACCAGGGACCTGCCCCTATCTGCCTAGGCATTTGCCTGCCTCCTGCCTCTATCAGACCCTTGTCAGGTTCTCCCCAAAACTTAATTGCCTTTCAGTCCTGTAGTAGCACTGGGCAGGCCTACACACTCCTCCAGCCCAGCAGGCATCTGGCCAAGGAGTAAAAGTCCCTCACCTGTTTCTGGCTAGCCCCTCGATTCTCTAAGGGGTGCTCTTACTGTCCCCCTTCACTTGGCTCCATCCCATGTGGAACAGGGAATAAATGCCAGTGTGTTCTCTCTTTTTGTGAAGTCCCCCCAAAGATGCACCTGTCTTAATGAAACACCAGCCTTCTCCGCTATAGGATTTTGGGAGTGACAATTCCTGGACGAGAAAGAATGACTGTGTCATAGTAAGGCCTGTGCACATGTGTGCAGATACCCTTTTCAAAATGGGGGCTACTTCCCACCCATTGTCAGCACCACTGAGGATTATCCTAAAAATAAACAGGAAAGTCCTAATCTATATTCAGACAAGTTTGTTAAGATTTACCCCTTGACTTCATTTTATAAAGTAGCTTAGCTAAACATACAGAATTTTCTAGTTTATTTTAAAATGAATGACTTAAAGAAACTATAATTTTTTTTTTTTTTTTGAGACAGGGTCTTGTTCTGTCACCCAGGCTGGAGTGCAGTGGCATGATCACTGCTCACTGAAGCCTCAACCTCCCAGGCTCAAGAAATCCTCCCACCTCAGTCTTCCAAGGAGCTGGACTACAGATGGACACCACCATGCCCAGCTAATTTTTGTATTTTTACTAGAGATGGAGATTTCACCATGTTGCCCAGGCTGGTCTCGAACTCCTGAGCTCAAGTGATCCTCCTGCCTCAGCCTCCCAAAGTGCTGGGATTATAGTTGTGAGCCACTGCACCCAGCCAAGAGAAACTCAAATATAAATGATACCCTTCAGGACATGTTTTCATGTGTCATTGGGATGTTAATAAACATCATATACAAGAGCTAACAAATTCTTATCTTTTGTCCGTATTTTAGAAGACCTGGGCGGCCTACCAAATATTAACAACAACAAAAGCAACAAAAGAAAATAATTTCTGGCAGAGCGTGGTGGCTCATGCCTGTAATCCCAGCACTTTGGGAGGCCGAGGCAGGCAGATCACCTGAGGTCGAGAGTTTGAGACCAGCCTGACCAACATGAAGGAACTCCATCTCTACTAAAAATACAAAATTAGCTGGGCGTGGTGGCATGCACCTGTAATCCCAGCTACTCGAGAGGCTAAGGCAGGAGAATCACTTGAACCTGGGAGACATAGGTTGCAGGGAGTCATGATTGTGCCATTGCACTCCAGCCTGGGCAACAAGAGTGAAACTCCATCTCAAAAAAAGAAAAAGAAAAAGAAAAAAAAATCATTTCTAAAAACAGCAGAAGACATGGAAGCAGGTCCACAGTGATAGATCAGCTATGTTAAACATACTCAGTCTTGTTTTCTATTTTAGCCTTTGTACATAGAAATATTTACTTGTTTGATTCACATCTTTGTTAGACACAACCTATACCATTTTAATTGATGTGTTAAGGTCTATGTGTATTTTTTTAATTAATGGGTTTAATTACAATTGCTGTGTAGATAATTGCTTATTCAATCCTGAAGTAGAACTGGAATTAGGAAATGAAAAGAGGGTCCACTGACTCACTACAGTCAGCTGAGCACACTCTTATTTTGCTCTCAGAGTAGAGGTGAACAATAATCTAATCAAGAACTGCATGGTGGTGAGTCAGTATTCAAAGATGAATGGGCCAAAATAAGAGTTTAAAAACATGTGAGACGTGTGGATGGATATTACAATAGGTCAATTGCATCACATTAAACTTATTCTGGACATGGCTGGTTAAGTATGCTTGAATCTAAGTATTATATCTTCCAAATGTGTGCACTTAGAAAAGCTTCAGGCTCATAAAAGGATGAATGTTTGTGGAAGAAAGGAAGGAGGAATAAAAGAGGAAAAGGGGGGAAAGGAAAGGAGGGAGAAAGAAAGGGAGAGAGGGAGGAAAAGCAAAATGGTTTTCACTACTTCATTTCAACCACTGAGTGAGTATAAATTGCTAATGATTTTTTCATGGTGTGGTTAAAATGTTGATTTTAGGCCTAGTCACATAAATGAAATAAAAGTAAGAGTTTAATTAAAATTATGTTATGGTAATAATCGAAAGGATGACAGCACAGCTTGTGTTTGAAAAAGGAATGTTAAGAGTTTATATGTTTTTGGGTTTTTTTTTTTTTTTTTTTCTTTTGAGACAGAGTCTTGCCCTATCACCCAGACTGGAGTGCAGTGGTGCGATCTTGGCTCACTGCAACCTCCATCTTCTGGGTTCAAGTGATTCTCCTGCCTCACCCTCCTGAGTAGCTGGGATTACAGGAACCCACCACCACGCCCAGCTAATTTTTGTATTTTTAGTAGAGATGGGGTTTCACCATGTTAGCCAGGCTGGACTCGAACTCCTGACCTCAGGCAATCTGCCTGCCTCGGCCTCCCAAAGTGCTGGGATTACAGGCGTGAGCCACCAAGCCCCGTCATGTTTTTGTTTTTAACTCTGGCATCATGAATTTACTTTGTAACATATTTAACATTCCAGAATATCAATGTCATGCCCCTCTGTGTGAAGAGAGTCCACTAACAGGCTTTGTGTGAGCAACAAGGCTGTTTATTTCACTTGGATGCAAGTGGGCTGAGTCCAAAAAGAGTCAGCAAAGGGAGATAGGGGTGGGGCAGTTTTATAGGATTTGGGTAGGTAGTGGAAAATTACAGTTAAAGGGGGTTGTTCTCTTGCAGGCAGGGGTGGGGGTCACAAGGTGCTCGGTGGAGAGCTCCGGAGACTTAATGTCCAGGAGAAGGAATGTCACAAGGCTAACTGATCAGTCAGGGTGGGGCAGGAACAAATCACAATGTCATCAGTTAAGGCAGGAACTGGCTATTTTCATTATTTTGTGGTTTTTCAGTTGCTTCAGGCCATCTGGATTTATAAGTGCAGGTCACAGGGGATATGATGGGGGCTCAGAGGCCTGACAATCAAGTCATTGCTTTGTTCTCTTGGAAACTCCATTTACCAAGTCGCTTGAATATAGTTACAAATGTATTTAAACACAAAGACATGGTAATTAATAGAAAGGAAATGTTCCATTAAGAAATACAACGTAGAATGCATGTTTAAAGCAAACTTGTAGAAATAGAATTTCAGGGCAAGACAGTACTTCAGTCATTCTCAATTCTGTGTCACATGCAGCAGAGTTAATCTTTGTGTAAGTCTTGAGTCTTGGATACAGATGCTGCAGAGAGGGTCACAGCCATGGTCTTGTGGGGCTCACATAGAGGCTGCATCCCTTGAATTGCCCTCCCCCTTCTCCCTCCATTGCATGGGAATATCGTTCAACCTGCTGTGAATTTGCCATGTGGTGCTGTCACCCTTCCTTCATTTCAGTCCCTTGAAGTAATCTACAAGGACATGGAAGGAGATGAGAAATTGCCTCATGGCCAAAGTAACCCTTCTCTTCAGGGTGTTCCTATGGTATTTTATTTTGTTTTATATTTTTTTTATTTATTTATTGTTTGTTTGTTTATTCTTTTGAGACAGTCTCACTCTGCTGCCCAGGCTGGAGTGCAATGGCATGATCTCTGCCCACTGCAACCTCCGCCTCCTGGGTTCAAGCAATTCTCCTGTCTCAGCTTCCAGAGTAGCTGGGATTACAGGTGCCTGCCACCACACCTGTCTAATTTTTGTATTTTTAATAGAGACAGGGTTTCACCATGCTGGCCAGGCTGGTCTCGAACTCCCGACCTCAGGTGATCTGCCCGCCTCAGCCTCCCAGAGTGCTGGGATTACAGGCATGAGCCACTGCACCCGGCCTATTTTATTTTTTGAGACAGAGTCTTACTCTGTCACCCAGGCTAGAGTGCAATGCATGATCTCGGCTCACTGCAACCTCTGCCTCCCGGGTTCAAGCGATTTTCCTGCCTCAGCCTCCCAAGTAGCTGGGATTACAAGTGTGTGCCACCATACTTGGCTAATTTTGTATTTTTAGTACAGATGGGGTTTCACCATGTTGGTCAAGCTGGTCTCGAACTCCCGACCTCTGGTGATCCACCCGCCTTGGCCTGCCAAACTGCTGGGATTACAGATGTGAGCCACCGTGCCTGGTCCCCTCTGGTATTTTATATGACTATATTGCACTGATCACATTGATCATTTTAATTTCTTGCCCCTAAAATATTCACTCCATATAAATTGAGTTCATATTCATTTTGGAATCCTCATTGAACAGGCTTTCTTGTATGCCCATACTGATCAAGGTCTGTGTTAGATATTACATTTAAAATTGAACAAAGTAGGTGTGGTCCTTAAATTTTGGAAGGGTTGCTGGCATCTGAGGAAGACAGTCATTATCTAAATCAACAGGAAAAATAGAAGATTGCAAGTTGTATTATGAAGGAAGAGACCAGGGTTCCAGGGGCTAGAACAATAGGAGAGGCAGAATCAAACTGAGGATTTAGCAAAGCTTCTTTGAGGAACCAACATTTAACTTGAGGCCCACAACTAGGAGCTATTCCGGTTATTCAGGCTTTGAGTGAAAAGAGGAATGTGCCTGCCATATGGGGCACCACATGGGAAGCTGGGGGCAACTGGACCTGGAATACATTGGGCAAGGAGTGAGTGATGGGGGAGGGTCAGGGCCCAGGGGCTGTGGGGCCTTAGAGGCCACATTAGGGATTTTGTATTTTATCCCAAGTGCAAACTATTTAAAGTTTGAAGCAGGTAAGTTGCAGTGGCTCATACCTGTAATCTCAGCACTTTGGGAGGCTGAGGCAGGAAGATCGATTGAGGCCAGAAGTTCAAGATCAGTCTGGGCAATATGGTGAGACCCCCCCGTCATCGCTACAAAAAATTTGTTTTTCAAAACATTAGCAGGCCTGGTGCCACATGCTATAGTAACAGCTACTTGGGAGGTTAAAGCAGGAGGATCACCTGAGCCCAGAAGTTTGAGGCTGCAATGATCCATGACTGTGCCTCTGCACTCCAGCCTTGGTGACATAGCGAGACTGCATCTCAAAAACAAATAAGTAAATAAAAAATAAAGTTCAAAGTTGGCAATTGATGTGATTTGCATACCCTGCCTTGTGTTCACTGGCCAGTATTGAATATTTAGAAATAAACTAAACATGAACAATGAATCAATGATACAGTTCATCTATGCCATTCCCTAGTTTTACCAACCACAGGCAATTAGATTAATGCAATATAGTTTGTTCTTAGAAAATATGTAGTAGAGGCCGGGCACGGTGGCTCACGCCTTAATCCCAGCACTTTGGGAGGCCGAGGCAGGCAGATTACCTGAGGTCAGGAATTCGAGACCAATCTGGCCAACATGATGAAACCCTGTCTCTACCAAAAATACAAAAATTAGTCAGGCTGTGGTAGTGGGTGCCTGTAATCCCAGCTACTCGGGCGGCTGAGGCAGGAGAATCACTTGGACATGAGAGGTGGAGGTTGCAGTGAGCCAAGACCGTGCCATTGCACTCCAGCCTGGGCAACAGGGCCAGACTCAGTCTCAGGAAAAAAAAAAAAAAAAAAAAAACCTGGGCGTGATGGCTCACGCCTGTAATCCCAGCACATTGGGAGGCTGAGGCGAGTGGATCACCTGAGATCAGCAGTTTGAGACCAGCCTGGTCAACATGGTGAAATCCTGTCTCTACTAAAAGTACAAAAATTAACTGGGTGTGGTGGTGGCAGGTGCCTGTAGTCCCAGCTACTCAGGAGGCTGAAGCAGGAGAATCACTTGAATATGAGAGGCGGAGGTTGCAGTGAGCCAAAATTGCACCATTGCACTCCAGCCTGGGCAATAGAGAGAGACTCCAGCTCAAAAAAAAAAAAAAAAAAAAAAAAAGAGAGAAAAGAAAAGAGAAAGAAAGAAAAGAAAAAAAAGAAAACATGTAGTAGAAATTTGTTTTTTTTTTGAGATGGAGTTTCGCTCTTGTTGCCCAGGCTGGAATGCATGACGCGATCTCGGCTCACTGCAACCTCCTCCTCCTCTCCTACCTCAGCCTCCCGAGTAGCTGGGATTACACGCATGCACCACCACGCCCAGCTACTTTTTTTGTACTTTTAGTAGAGATGGGGTTTCTCCATGTTAGTCAGGCTGGTCTCCAACTTCCGACCTCAGGTGATCCACCAACCCTCGGCCTCCCAAAATGCTGGGTTTACAGGCGTGAGCCACCGCACCTGGCTGTTGACTTTTAGTCACTCACCATTCCCTTTCCTTTTCTACTAATCCCTCATTTTATTTTGGATAAGTACACTGTGATGGTTAATTATATGAGTCAACTCGACTGAGCTAACAGATACTAGGATAGCCAGTAAAACATCATTTTTGGATGTGTCTGTGAGAGTGGTACCATTTGAATCAGTAACGGAGTGAAGAAGATCTGCCTTCACCAGTGTGACTGTTCAGAGCACAAACGAAACAAAAAGGCAGAGGAGGGGTGACATCACTTTCTCTTCTTGAGCCAGGACATCTATCTTCTCTTGTCCTTGGACATCAGAATTCCTCGTTCTCAGGCCTTTGGACTCTAGGACTTGCACCAGGGTTCCCACCACCCCGTCCCAGTTCTCAGTCCATCAGTCTTGGACTGGGATTTGCACCACTGGCTTCTCTGCTTCTCAAGCCTTTGGCCTCGACTGAATTATATCACTGGCTTTCCAGGTTCTCCAGCTTGCATCGTTCATTTGTTTCTTGGCCATTTGGGAGTCTATACATTTTTTTACACTTCCTTTCCAAGAAATCAAATACAGGGCTGCCAGTTGGGCACACCCTCAATGAGTATGGCTGATGCTACTTGCCATGACAACGTTGCCTGGTTTCCTAATGTTAACGTTAGCTCCTACCTTCTAAGTTGGGTCACTGAAGTCCACCTTTATAAGTGGGTGTGTTCTGGAAATAGCTGTTTTTCTGTAGACACAGTATCTGTGATCCCTGTATTGGATCCACTGAGTTATAATACTCTCCTAAATCTCACTATGGGAGGCTAGTCTATGTAATTGAACTATTGAACTTCTGCCTCAAGAGCTAAAACCCAGCTCTACCCAACTAGAGCCCTGTGAAGTCTTAGCATTCCCCTTCCTGGGGGCCTAGAGACTCTCTACTAATCCCCAATTGCTGTCTAGGGCTCTACTCTAAAAAGATGAACAGGCCAGGAGTGGTGGCTCACCCTTGTAATCCCAGCACTTTGGGAGGCCGAGGCGGGTGGATCACTTGAGGTTAGGAGTTCAAGACCAGCCTGACCAACATTGTGAAACCCCGTCTGTACTAAAAATACAAAAACTAGCATGGCCTGGGGGCGCACAGCTGTAATCCCAGCTACTTGGGAGGCTGCGGGAAGAGAATTGCTTAAACCCGGGAGGCGGAGGTTGCAAAGGGCCAAGATCACACCACTGCACTCCAGCCTGAATGACAGAGAGAGACTTAGCCTCAAAATAAAATAAAATAAAATAATAAAAAGATGAAGATTCATAAGCAAGTTCCATGCTAATTTGAGGCATTACCTCTTCATGGAGGCCTTTACTGACATGCTTCAACTGTAAACTGGACTCTCTTAGATATTAGCATTGGATACATTTATGTCAAGTCTGCCACTTCCCTTTGAACACCAAATTGGACCACCTGCTAGCATCCTTGCGGGTCTGAGTCATAGTCATGTCATGTGCCCCATCCTGGCTCCAACCACTACTTTCTCCCCACCAGCCAGGCACCAGGTCCCTGCATGCCTTGAGGCTGACCTACTAGATAATGACATCTGTCCTTTTTCCTCGGTTATTAATGTCTCGATTAAATATAATTTTTATTGATTTGAACTTTTAAGCAAATAAAAAAATTGTTTTGCTTCATTGAAATCTCCTTCTTTGAGGTCAAAAAATGATAATGCACAAATCTTTTTCTTTTTTTTGAGACGGAGTCTCATTCTGTCTGTCACCCAGGCTGGAGTGCAGTGGCATGATCTCGGCACATTGCAACCCCCACCTCCTGGGTTCAAGCAATTCTCCTACCTCAGCCTCCCAAGTAGCTGGGATTACAGGCATGTGCCACCACACCTGGCTAATTTTTGTATTTTTAGTAGAGACGGGGTCTCACTATGTTGGCCAGGCTGGTCTCAAACTCCTGACCACAGGTGATCTGCCCACTTCAGCCTCCCAAAGTGCTGGGATTAGAGGCATAAGCCACCGTGCCCGGCTGACTTACTTTTTTTAAAAAAAAAACTTTAAAAAATTTTAATATAGATGGGATCTCACTATGTTTGCCCAGGCTGATCAGAAACCCCTGGCCTCAAGTGATTCTCCTGCCTCAGCTTCCCAAATTGCTGGGATTCCAGATGTGAGCCACCATGCCTATTTTTTTTTGTTGTTTGTTTGTTTTTGTTTTGTTTTGTTTTGGTAACTCTCATAGCTTTTATTGTTTTCCTGCCCAGGATTCAAACATTTCAATCCAAGTTACATACTGAATTAAAATCATTTTGGCAAGGATAAGCAAGTATCCCTTAAAATTTAAACAAGAAAAAATTTTGTCTGATATTTCAATGGATTTTCATACTTTAGGTCAGCATATTTCTTTGAATTTAGATATGTGGAAATACTGTGGCATTTGGTTTACAAAATAGGCCATTCAGTAAGACCGTAATGTGGACAGAAAGTTCTGTAGAACACAGCAGCATGGGGAAGCAAGTGATTTTTTGCCAAGCTTACTCCAGGTACTTAAACATGGCCCAATTCTGCAGTGAAGGAGAAAAGCATAATTAAAATTTCTAACCTTGTACCTTCTTCTTCTGTTCTTATGCACAAAATTTCACTCCCAACTATGCCCTTTACACCTCTTTTCCAACCTCTGCTCTTCCAGGGTATGACTATGCTGTTTGGTTTCATTTGTCCAGAAATATATCAGGCAGATTCCAGAATTCTGAGAGAGGAAACCATTGTTTTTTTAGGAAATTATATTCTCTCTTTTTTTTTTTTTTTTTTGAGATGGAGTTTTGCTCTTGTTGCCCAGGCTGGAGTGCAGTGGCGTGATCTGGGCTTACTGCAACCTCCGCCTTCCGGTTTCAAGCGATTCTCCTACCTCAGCCTCCCAAGTAGCTGGGATTACAGGTGTCTGCCACTACGCCCAGCTAATTTTTGTATTTTTAGTAGAGACGGGGTTTCACCATGTTGGCCAAACTGGTCTCGAACTCCTGACCTCGTGATCCACAGGCCTCAGCCTCCCAAAGTGCTGGGATTACAGGCGAGAGCCACCGCACCCGGTCGGAAATGCTATTCTCTATTGGCACTTGGAACAAATCATTTACAAGCTCAAAATGTTTCCATAATATATTTTAGAAAAGAAAAGAAAAAAAAAAGATCAAGTTGCACATCAGGAAGTTTTTCAGAGAAAATATTATCACTGCCAATCACTAGTCATGTTTTATTGCCTCGGCAAAACAAATGAATAAGAAATATTTGTTCCCATAAAAGCACAACTGTGATTGCAAGAATTCTGAAATTTGATTTGGTTGCTAGTGGAATGAGTCTGACCATTAATCTCTGAACTATGACCCTTTTCATACGTTAGGATTTGACGTCAACCCGAAAATGGGAGGATTAGCCACATTTTTGAATTCTAGAAGTTTGGCTAGTTCATAAGCGCTATCCAAGTGCTTTTGGTGAGGACTAACCTCTAATTTTTTTAATCTTGCCCAAATTCCTATCTAAGAGGTCTGGGGAGTCATGCCCTACAAATCATAAATTCTCATCAGATGGGTTTTATTCAACCCTATATATCATGATTTACTTTCCAACCTGACTCTGGCATAACATTAGGAGACAAAGAAGAAAATCAAAATATTTTACCCCCAAAACATGTTTCTTGTCATATTTTGAAATGGCCCTGCAAAGCTGTTCTTTGTGGGGGGAAATTTGCATCTGTAAAGAATCTCTATTAATATAGCTAGATCTTTTTCTTCCAGACCCTCCCAATCCTAAAGAGATTAACTAAAATCTGAATAGAAAACATTTGTCACCTATTGTCTCTAAATGCAGCCACTATAAGACTTCAAAAGAACTTTGGTCTCCACAGTCTGTTATCTTAACCTGAACATCCCCTTTCTGTTTATCCCAGGTCTTTAGACAAACTCAACCAATTGTTAACCAGAAAATGTTTAAATTCACCTACAGCTCCCACTTTGAGTTGTTCCACCTTTCTGGACCAAACCAACGTATTTCTTAAATATATTTGATTGATGTCTCATGCCTCTCTAAAATGTATAAAACCAAGCTGTGCCCTGACCTCCTTGGGCACATGTTCTCGCATGTTCTGAGGGCTGTGTCACGGGCCATGGTCACTCATATTTGGCTCAGAATAAATCTCTTCAAATATTTTACAGAGTTCGACTCTTTTTGTCTACAGGTGAATGGTGGTTTTTAGATAGCAAGTTTTAGAAAATTGAAAACTGTTTGACCACTCACTTGGTCGTTCTTTATTGTATCAGCCTTTGAGTGTAGATTGCCCTGACTAGTGTTCCAGTTCACTGTTCCCATAGAAAGGTGATATTTCTTTTCTTTCTTTTTTTTTTTCTCTTAAATAATATGTTATTTATTTTTGCTGGTTTGGGAGTTGCTTTTTGTTTTGCTTTCTGTTTTTTTTTTTTTTTTTTAATTTGACTTTAACTTCTGGGATACATGTGTAGAATGTGCAGTTTTGTTACACAGGTATACATGTGCCATGGTGTTTTGCTGCTCTTATCAACCCATCATCTAGGTTTAAGCCCTGCATGCATTAGGTATTTGTCCTAATGCTCCCCCTCCCCTTAACCCCCACACCCCAAAAGGCCCCGGTGTGTGATGCTCCCCTCCCTGTGTCCATGTGTTCTCATTGTTCAACTCCCACTTATGAGTGAGAACAGGCAGTGTTTGGTTTTCTGTTCCTGTGTTAGTTTGCTGAGAATGATGGCTTCCAGCTTCATCCATGTCCCTCCAAAGGACATGAACTCATTCTTTTTTATGGCTGCATGGTATTCCATGGTGTATGTGTGCCACATTTTCCTTATCCAGTCTATCATTGATGGGCATTTGGGTTGGTTCCAAGTCTTTACTATTGTAAACAGTGCTGTAATAAATATACGTGTGCATGTGTCTTTATAGTAGAATGACATATAATCCTTTGGATATATACCCAGTAATGGAATTGCTGGGTCAAATTGTATTTCTGGTTCTAGATCCTTGAGGAATTGCCACACTGTCTTCCACAATGGGTGAACTAATTTACACTCCCACCAACAGTGTAAAAGTATTCCTATTTCTCCACAGCCTCGCCAACATCTGTGGTTTCCTGACTTTTTAATAATTGCCATTCTAACTGGCGTGAGATGATATCTCACTGTGGTTTTGATTTGCATTTCTCTAATGACCAGTGACAATGAGCTTTTTTTCATATGTTTGTTGGCCACATAAATGTCTTCTTTTGAGAAGTGTCTGTTCATATCCTTTGCCCACTTTTTGATGGGGTTGTTTTTTCTTGTGAATTTGTTTAAGTTCCTTGTAGATTCTGGATATTAGACCTTTGTCAGAAGGAAAGATTGCAAAAATTTTCTCCCATTCTGTAGGTTGCCTGTTTACTCTGATAATAGTTTCTTTTGCTGTGCAGAAGCTTTTTAGTTTAATTAGATCCCATTTGTCAATTTTGGTTTCTGTTGCCATTGTTTTTGGTGTTTTAGTCATAAAGTCTTTACCCATGCCTACATCCTGAATGGTATTGCCTAGGTTTTCTTCTAGGGTTTTTATGGTTTTAGGTTTTACATTTAAGTTAATTTTTGTATAAGGTATAAGGAAGGGGTCCAGTTCCTGTTTTCTGCATAGGGCTAGCCTGTTTTCCCAGCACCATTTACTTAATAGGGAATCCTTCTCCATTGCTTGTTTTTGTCAGGTTTGTCAAAGATCAGATGGTTGTAGATGTGTGGTGTTTTTCTGAGGTCTCTGTTCTGTTCCATTGTTCTATATATCTGTTTTGGTACCGGTATCATGCTGTTTTGGTTACTGTAGCCTTGTAGTACAGTTTGAAGTCAGGTATCATGATGCCTCCAGCTTTGTTGTTTTTGCTTAAGATTGTCTTGGCTATACGGGCTCTTTTTGGTTCCATATGAAATTTAAAGTAGTTTAGAAAGGTGATATTTCTTAAGGATGGTGTGACGGTTAATACTGAGTGTCAACTTGATTGGATTGAAGGATGCAAAGTATTGTTCCTGGGTGCCTCTGTGAGGGTGTTGCCAAAGGAGATTAATATTTGAGTCAGTGGACTGGGAGAGACAGACCCGCCATCAATCTGGGTGGGCACCATCTAATCAGCTGACAGCATGGCTAGGATAAAGCAAGTAGAAGGGCTGGGCACAGTGGCTCTTGCCTGTAATCCCAGCACTTTGGGAGGCCAAGGTGGGCAGATCACCTGAGGTCAGTTAAAGACCAGCCTGACCAACATGCTGAAACCCCGTCTGTAGTAAATATACAAAAATTAGCCAGGCATGGTGGTGGGCACTTGTAATCCCAGCTACTCGTAAGGCTGAGGCAGGAGAATCACTTGAATCCGGGGGACGGAGGTTGAAGTGAGCCGAGATCGCACCACTGCACTCCAGTCTGGGCAATAGAGTGAGACTCAGTCTCCAAAAAAAAAAAAAAAAAGGCAGGCAGAAGAACATGGAATGGCTAGACTGGCCTCCATCTTTCTCCCATGCTGGATGCTTCCTGCCCTCGAACATCAGACTCTAACTTCTTTGGCTTTTGGACTCTTGGACTTACACCAGTGGTTTGCCAGGGGCTCTCAGGCTTTCGGCTACAAACTGAAGACTTCATTGTCAGCTTCCCTACTTTTGAGGTTTTGGGACTTGGACTGGCTTCCTTGCTCTTCAGCTTGCAGACAGTCTATTGTGGGACTCACCTTGTGATCGTGTGAGTCAATACTCCTTCATAAACTCCGTTTCATTTATACATTTATCCTATTAGTCCTGTCCCCCTAGAGAACCCTGACTAATAAGGATGGAGAGTGGGATACACTTTTCCCAACTCACTCTATAGAGCCTTCTGTCACACATACATAAAAATGTGTATCCTCAGCTGGAAGGGGGATGTCAAATTTATATACTGATTAAAATTTGTCAACACACCATAAAAATTCATGGAATAGTACTGTGCCATGCATTCAGGTACAGAACTATTGTCTTAGGTCTGGTTTGAAAAAGCAGCTTACTCTGGCTAAGAAGGAAGCTTTCCTTGACAAATAAAAAATCCATCTTTGTGGCTGAGGGTCTTGGCTGGTTAGTGTAGGCCAGTGTTTTCAAAGTGCCTCACAAATGAGATGAGTTTTAGTAGTATATAGACACAGCAATAGCTAAAATAGTTATCCTGTGATTTCTTTCCAAATTCTCTTTAATCCTTCTGATTACATCAAGAAGAAAATTTTGATTTGGTACTGCTACTTTTTTTTTTCTTTTAACCACTTCTCTTTTTTTGTTTGTTTGTTTTTTGTTTTTTATTGGTGCTGCACAAATTAAACCACTTCTCTTCTAAAGAATGACAGAGAGAGAAGGTGCAAGGAAGCCTTAGGCTCAGAGCTTTCAGTAGACAATCCTGTCTTATTAGGATTTAATAACACTGTTTTGCTTTCGTTGTGATTAGTTTTACAATTACCTTCCCTTTCTGACAAATGACACCAGTCGTGTAACATATTGGTGGAGCACATGGCAGCTTGCTTCCCCCAGAGCAAGCGCTGGGGAGTGGGGACCCATGATGGAAGTGAGTCTTTTTATTACCTAATCTCAAAATGACATCCTATCACTCTACCATATTCTATTTGTTAATAGCAAGTCATAAGTTGAGTCAACACTCAGGAGAGGGGGATCACACAAGGACATGAATACCAGGAAGCAGTGATCATTTGGGCCATTTCAGAAGTGTTTGCCACAGGGATATATTGCAATTGCTGTTTTCCTTCTTTTCTCCAAGAAATAATATGCTCCATGGGAACAGAGATAGTGTCTTGTTCATTGGGAGCATTCCTAGCACTGGACATAGTGCCTGAGACTTAAACTGCTCATAAATGTTTCTTTGAAGGAAACGAAAAAGGAAGGGAGGGAGGAAAGGAGGGAGGGAGGCAGGAAGGAAGGGAGGAAATGAATCAGCATGAGAAGATCAGGGCACTTTGCTAATCCATAGAAAACAGGAGATGGTTCTTTGGGGAAGGAAAACTCAACCATAAAAAGGATTGTGAAGAACAGAGTCAGTACTTTTATTTATTTCCTAGTCTTGAGCATAAATGAGCTTCTAGGAAAGTGGAAGCACTCTGTGAAGAGACAACGCCCACCATCTTGCTCCCAGGGTAGCTTCTGTGGATGGTGGAGAGCTGAGCTATAAAATAGCACAATGTGTTACCCATGGAAGGGCAGTCCTGGTTGAGGTTCTTAATTGTGAATGTACAGATTCTGTTGAATGAATTGTGATAACCTCCAATTATCAGGAAAGAATCAATTAGGGAGAACTCCTTGGTGCTTTTTTTCACTTGCACTTGCAGAGTGCAGCAAGAAGTTACACTGAATGCACATAGACTGCTAGACTGCTTTGGCATTTAAAATTATAGAATAAACATATCACTTTGTTAGCATAATTCTTTTTGTGTGTGTTGTGGGGGTGACAGCATCTTACTCTGTTGCTGTGGCTGGAGTGCAGTGGCACGATCTCGGCTCACTGCCTCAAGGGTTTCTTGAGGCACCTCGACCTCTGTTCAAGGGTTTCTCCTGCTTCAGCCTTCCGACTCGACCTCTGTTCAAGGGTTTCTCCTGCTTCAGCCTTCCGAGTAGCTGGGATTACAGGTGCCTGCCACCATGCACTAATTTTTGTATTTTTAGTAGAAATGAGGTTTCACCATCTTGGCCAGGCTGGTCTTGAACTCCTGACCTCAAGTGAGTGATCTGCTCACCTCGGCCTCCCAAACTGCTGGGATTACAGGTGTAAGCCACCATGCTCAGCCTTTGCTAGCATAATTTTAATGGCTCCATAATATTTAATCTAACAGATATGGCACAAGCTGTTTGGTCATTACTCTACTGTTGCATTTATGGGTTGTATCCATTTTCTTCTTTTTTTTTTTTTTTTTGAGACAGAGTCTCACTGTCGCCCAGGCTGGAGTGCAGTGGCGTGATCTCAGCTCACTGCAACCTCTGCCTCCTGGGTTCAAGCGACTCTCCTGCCTCAGGCTCCCAAGTAGCTGGGATTACAGGCATGCGCCATCACACCTGGCTAATTTTTCTATTTTTAGTAGAGATGAGGTTTCACCATGTTGGCCAGGCTGGTCTCGAACTCCTGACCTTAGGTGATTCACCCACCTCGGCCTTCCAAAGTGCTGAGATTACAGGCATGAGCCACCGCGCCCGGCTGGGTTGTATCCATTTTCAACTGTTATATAAAATGCTTCAATAAATGCTTTTGTAAACTTATCTTTCCACAATTGTATAAATATCTCCTTAGGTTGAATTCCTAGAAATGGAATTGCAGGGTAAAGAGTATGCACTCTGTGTGTGTGTGTGTGCATATGCATTTGTGTATACTGTCAAATTGCCCCCAGAAATTACGTATAAACTTTCATTCCCAATTTATAGATGTTTATACACATTTGATGAGACAAGATTTTAGCTGGGCTGGGTGCAGTGGCTTACATCTATAATCCCAACACTTTGGGAGGCTGAGGTGGGAGGATCCCTTGAGTCCAGGAGTTTCAGATCAGCCTAGGCAACATACGGAGACCCCATCTCTCTCTCTCATTCCATATATATATATATATATATATATTTTTTTTTTTTTTTTTTTTTTTTTTTTTGAGACAGAGTTTTTGCTCTTGTTGCCCAGGCTGGAGTGCAATGGCGTGATCTCCGCTCACTGCAACGTCCGCCACCCAGGTTCAAGCGATTCTCCTGCCTCAGCCTCCTGAGTAGCTGGGATTACAGGCGCCTGCCACTGCACCCAGCTAATTTTTGTAGTTTTAGTAGAGATGGGGTTTCACCATCTTGGCCAGGCTGGTCTTGAACTCATAACCTCATGATCCACCTGCCTCGGCCTCCCAAAGTGCTGGGATTACAGGCGTGAACCACCGCGCCCGGCCCCCGTCTCTATATTTTAACTTTTTTGTTTAAAAAACGTTTTAGCTATTTTTTTAAAGTTGCCAATCTGGTAGCTGAAAAATAATAACTTATTGTTTTGATTGTATGTTATAGTCATTAATGCTCCCCCCAAGCACATGATAAGATTTAATTTTATGAGCTGGGCATGGTGGCTCATACTTGTAATCCTAGCACTTTGGGAGGCTAAAGCAGGCAGATTGCCTGAGCTCAGGAGTTTGAGACCAGCCTGGGCAACATGGCAAAACCCCCTTTCTACTAAAAATACAAAAAAAATTAGCTGGGCGTGGTGGCACATGCTTGTAGTCCCAGCTACTAGGGAGGCTGAGGCACGAGAATCGCTTGAACCTGGGTGGCTGAGTTTGCAGTGAGCCGAGATCACACCACTGCACTCCAGCCTGGGCAACAGAGCGAGACTCTGTCTCAGAAACAAAAACAAACAAAAAAGAGATTTAATTTTATGGCCCTTGAGGTTAAGCGGGGCCATGTGACCTGGTCTGGTCATTGAGTTGTGAATAGCAATGGTATGTGTCACTTCTGGGTTGAGCAAGACCTTTCAGAGTTCTCTTTCACTTCTGCAATTGATTACCAACAATGTTTCAGAAAATGGCCTGGGTCCCATAATTGATTAACATAAACATACTCTGTTCAGTTTGATAGAACAACATGGAATAAAGACTCTAAGTAAGGCATGATGAGTATGAACAAAAAATATGACTTCTTTGTTGTAAGCCACTGAGACTTAGGGTTGAGCGTTATGGCAGCATTATCTACACCATCCTGACTAATACATTAAACATCTTTGCTCACTACTGAGACTAAACATATTTTCCTGTATTTATTGACCATTTATTTGGACTTCCCTTTTTGTGAATTTTCTGCTCATGTCCTTGCATGTTAATTTTTTAAACATATGACGCTCAGCTACACATTTGTTAAACCTGGACCTGATCATCACTGAGGTATCAGGGAGAAAGATGAAGTCTGTGAACTAAGAAAAATAGATGTATCACAATAGTCTCTAATACCCAGGGCAAGATTTCTCCAATCTACCTTTAAGGATCTGAAAATCCTTTGCCACAAATTGTTTTTTTTTAAAGCCATGTGCTTTCATTCAATGATAATGTCAAAATTAATAGAAGCATATTTTGGATCATTTGAATGGTCACTTTATAACTGAAGGATGTTATTTACTTTTATGATCAAAATGGTTTCTTATGGGCATCAATACCACTACTTTTATCCACACAGACTCATAAGAAAAAAACAAATGTGAACATAATACATAATGTAATGTTTTTGCACCAAGTGAGGGACAAGTGGTATTTCAGCATATTGTACACAGTAAGATCAGAGGTTGCACAGCAGAATTACTAAAGAAAATTGTGGGAGCATTGGGTCATCCCACAGTCTGCAAGCAGGCTCAGCTCAAAAGAATCTGGCCCAGAACACAGCACCACTTTCACATTGTCACTTATCTCAGTTATGGTCCTTTGCTTGCAAACAACAGACATAGATTCTGACTAATTTAAGCAATAAAGAACTGATTGGAATAATACAAGAAAACACAGTATTCAAGCAACAAAAAGAACAAATCAGGCTCAAAAAGAACCAGACTAGGGGATCTCCAGGGGCTTCAGTACCAGAAATTCCTGAATCAGTACATTTTGGATGCTGCCAAGAAAATGACTCAATGACTCAATCCAGTCTTCTTTTTTTTTTGAGACAGGCTCTTGCTCTGTTGCCCAGACAGGAGTGCAGTAACCCTATCATGCCTCACTGCATCCCTGAACTCCTGGGCTCAAGAAAATCTCTTGCCTCAGCTTCTTGAGCAACTAGGACTATAGGTGCATGCCACCACGCCTGGCTAGTTTTTTAAAATTTATTTTTTGTAGAGACAGGATTTCGCTAAATTGCCCAGCAATCCTCCTGCCTCAACCTTCCAAAGTATTGGGATTACAGGCATGAGCCACAGTGCTGTGTCCATCAACCCCAGTCTTCTATCTGTGTGTCTTTATGTTCTAGATTCAAATTTCTGGCTTCATTTGGGTCATATGCTCTTCATATGAGTGGGGTAGGGGGAGGATGTTTGAGACTTCAAAATACTCAAGACATCTGGATGCTTAATGAAGAAAAAAAGTTGTTACAGTGGGGCACAGTGAGTTCACACCTGTAATCCCAGCACTTAGGGAGGCCAACACAAAAGGATTCCTTGAGTTCAGGAGTTCAAGATCAGCCTGGGCAACATGGCAAAACCCCATCTCTACAAAAATACAAAAACTGGCCATGCATGGTGGTGTGCACCTGTAGTCCCAGATACTCGGGGGACTGAGATGGAAAGATTGCTTGAGCCTGGGAGGTCGAGGCTCCAATGAGGTGAGATAGCACCATTGTACTCCAGCCTGGGCTGAGATCCCGTCTCAAAAAAAAAAAAAAAAAGTTTATATATCTCAAAGAATGTGTGAGATATTAAGGGTCACTCCTAGAAGGTATATGGGATTTAATCCTTCCTGAACAGAAGAGTGGATGGGACCTTTTTCTTATAAAGACCTTTTCTTTTCTTGCTTTTTTTTTTTTTTTTTTTTTTTTTGAGAGATGGAGTCTTGCTCTGTCACCCAGGCTGGAGTGCAGTGGCGCAATCTCGGCTCAGTGCAACCTCCACCTCCCAGATTCAAGTGATTCTCCTGCCTCGGCCCCTACCAGTAGCAGGTACAGGCGTGCGCCACCATGCCCAGCTAATTTTTGTATTTTTAGTAGAGACGGGGTTTTGCCATGTTGGCCAGGCTGCTCTCAAACTCCTGACCTCAGGTGATCCACCCAGATCGGCCTCCCAAAGTGTTGGAATTACAGGTGTAAGCCACTGCGCCCAGCCCATGTTATTTTATTTATTTATTTATTTATTTAAGACAGGCTCTCACTCTGTTGCCCAGGCTGGAGTGCAGTGGCATGGCCATAGCTCATTGCAGCCTCGAAATCCTGGTCTCAAGCTTTCCTCCTGTGTTGGCTTCCCAAAGTGCTAAGATTGGGGAACTGTGAGCCACTGTTCCCACCTGCTATGAACATCTATGTCCATATTTGTACATGTAGACATAAGTTGTCAATTGCGAAATATGGTTAGGTAATGGTTGGACTGCAATTTTCTTAACTGACTGGAACTTGTAAGTCTCTCAGTCTTTGCTAAGGAGCTCTATGTGCATGTTGGAACTTGCCTTTAACACTCAGCCAGGCAGTTTTCAACTCTGACTTAGCATTCACTTCCTGCTAATATAGTTTCAAGATCAGCCAGAGGTGAGAGTTCAGGGCCTTCTCAATTCTTTCCTGAACTTGTACACAGCCCTGGGCATGCATATAGTTCTACTCATTTGTATTGCTTTCTTTTTTTTTTTTTTTTTTTTTTTGAGACCGAGTTTCGCTCTTGTTGCCCAGGCTGGAGTGCAGTGGCACAATCTCAGCTCACCTCAATCCTCAATCTCTGCCTCTCAGACTCAAGTGATTCTCCTGCCTCAGCCTTCCTGAGTAGCTGGGATTACAGGCATGCACCACCACGCCCGGCTAATTTTGTATTTTTAGTAGAGATGGGTTTCTCCATGTTGGTCAGGCTGGTCACGAATTCCCAACCTCAGATGATCTGCCCACCTTGGCCTCCCAAAGTGCTGGGGATTACAAGCATGAGCCACCGTGCCCGGCTTTATTGGTATTGCTTTCTAGACTCCCAGGAATCTATCACAGCATGTCAAAGCCCCCTGTGGACATCTCATTCCCCTTCTTTTCCTTTTTTAAAGTTTTTTCATTATTCTATTATTTTGCCCTCATGTTTATCTACTACCTCAGTGTAATCACCTAATGGGTTCCTCTTGCCTGCTGTCCAGAAAAGCGAATGCACTCAGAACAGCAGATTTATAAAGCAAAGAAGGAATTTAATAATTGCAGGTCTGGCCAAGTAGAAGCTACAAATCTTGTGACATCTGGCCACATGACTCTTGAGCAGTAATGCATTATAGAAAAGCAAGCTAGGGAACAAATGGCTGGTTATCATTTAACTGTACCTACATTTTAGCAGAAATCAGCTCTGCCCCTCACCATAATCCTAATCTTGTGGCCTTTCATTAGTCTTAAAAAGGTGGTTTCAGTTTTAAGGAGGAGGTCAGTTTTAGGGAGGTACTATTATCATCCTTGATGCAAAGTTAAACTATAAACTAAATGTCTCCCATGGTTAGCTTGACCCACACCTAGGAATAAGTGAGGACAGCCAGCCTGTGAGGCTTGAAACAAGATGGAGTCAGCTATGCTAGACTTCTTTTGCTGTCATAATCTTTACAAAGGTGATTGCATCCGGCAGCCATGATGTTAAACAATTGCCTCTAATTGTTTTTAATAAACCCCCATAGAGAAAAGGCTCTTTTCACTGCATGAGCTCCAACTCAAGTCAAACAATGACAACCTTGCAATTGGGGTCTTCCAGGGACCTATGAGACAGGTTAAATAATGACCATTCCCTGGGGATGGGGTTTTGAAGGAGCCCCAGTAACATTCTACCTTTCCAGTGGCTGACAGGCTGCTGGTTTCCACTGTGATCATTACAAATTTGTTGCAGCTTGTTGGTTTTGTGGCTTGTGGCTGCCTTGTTGCTTTTTAAGGCTTTCTTCGAGCTGCAAAAAGTGGGAATGGAAATAGAAAAAGTTAAAATGACACAAACTCTCCCTTTCTGAGTTTCAGTCACTTTTCTTGAATAAATATTCTCCAGATTGCTGAAAGCTTTTGATTTTCCAGAATTCTGAAAAAGTTGATTGCATAAATGTTTGAATCATTCTCATTGTTTTTATGGAAGAGAGAATATTGGGAAGGTCCTTACTCCACCACTTCACTGACATGACCTTATAAAAACCTTTTGATCTAAGAATAATCAACCATTTTATAGATTAGTAGTATTGTAGTGCATCTCATCCATTATCTAGTTTCCAAGCTGTATAAATTATGCTAATTTTTCTGCCCTTTTTTTTCTCTAAGTCCATTGTATTTCTCTTTGATGTTAAGTAAAGTACTTACTGATTCCACCTGATGATCAGATTGCCTCAGAGGACATCAAGCCATTCTAGCCAAGAGATTAGCTGTTTCACAAGCATTAAAATTAAAGGATGCTTGAAGATTGTAAACTAAGTAGTTTTAAGGTAGGGTTGCCAGATTAGCAAATATAAATACGGGACCCCCAGTTAGATTTTAATTTCAAGGCTGGGTGAGGTGGTTCACATCTGTAATCCTGGCACTTTGCAAGGCTGAGGTTGGAGGATCGGTTGAGCCCAGGAGTTCAAGATGAGCCTGAGCAACATAATGAGACTCCATCTATACAAAAAGTTTTTTTAAAAATTAGCTGGGCATGGCAGTGAACACCTGTAGTACCAACTACTTAGGAAGTTGACATGGGAGGATTACTTGAGCCCAGGATTTCAAAGCTGCAGTGAGCCTTGATCATGCCACTGTGCTCCAGCCTGGGCCACAAAGCAAGACCTTGTCTCAATAAATAAATAAATAAAATGAAATGTGAATTTCAGATAAACAATGACAAAATATTTGGGACACATTTACACTAATCATTTTCTTGTTGTTGTTGTCGCTTATCCGAAATTCAAATTTAACTGGGCATTGTATATTTGATCTGAAAGCCCTGTTTTCGGTGAAAAATAAACAAAACAATACCTGTAAAGTCATTCTCAGATGACTTGATGGTGATCCTTTCTTCTGTTTTCTTTTAAACCACTGTTGAAGCTCTTTTCTAGTCTATAAGAGATAACTAGTTTTGATTAATGTAGGTTTAGTTCTTTTATGGAAAAATATGTTAATTTGGCATGGTGACAATCCTGTCCATATTTCTTATACATTCAACAAGTATATTTAAGATGGTCTACTTATATATACTAATCAAGATTTGTAGTCTGTACAACCAGAATTTTAAGTTCAGCTCAGCTCCTAGGAAAATACATGTATAGAACAAATATGCTTATGAAAGACCTCTAGAGAGCCAGAACACTCAAATCAGGAAAACAAGCCAAATCAGTAAAGTCAAGGACTTGCAGGTAGATAGATAAATATGTAGGGAGAGAAAAAGAGAAACAGAGAGAGAGAGAGAGACATAAATTTAAGCAATTAAATACAATGGCACAGTTTATTCCATAATATGGAATTTATTATTCATTAATAGCAATCATTTACAAATCATACAAAGCATCAGTAATTTGGAATCTAGTTGTCACTAAGGAAGACAGGAACTCAAGAAAACTCAGATAAAAAAAAAACCCTCAAAATATGTGTTGTGAACTAAGAAAAAAAATCAAAACACCCTCCAGACATAGATAAGGCTTTGAAGAACCTCTTTGGGACTCAGAGGCAGCTTTTAACCCCCGGTAACACATACTTTCAATCCACTGTAGTCCTCTTACTTAATCATTCAAAAATAATTTCAAAATACCCTTAAGAAATTGAAACCCAGACATGACAGAATTTATATACTATTTCCAACTCTAATTGCTTTTCATATCTCTTCATTAACCATGTATTAATCAACTAGTCTGTGTCAAGCACTGTGCTATCACTCTATCTTTTCAGAATCAATTTCTCTTTGGTCATCAGTCAATCATTTTGCCTTATAACGACACTGGGCAGCTCTAAACATGGAAGCAAGCCCTGGAAGAGACCAATTTGATCACCAAATGTTTTCTTTCTCACTATTCTCACCACATCCCAGGTGCCCCCGTGACTGCCTTATTTCCGTTTGGCTTCTCTTTGAGACACTGCTTTGTTCCACTGTCTCGAGACTAGCAACATCATGAGGGAATCTGGTGTGGAGAGGCAGAGAGGAGTGTGTATGCGACACTGCCCAGCCCAGTTGCTGTCCAGGGGTGTCAAGTTGCCCTCAAAATATCACTTTGTGCAAGACTCAGCCAGGAGGAAATGACATTCTCAGCCTCCTACGTAAAGACTCAATCACAATACTTCCTTTGATTAAAAATCTAACCAGAATTCTCTACAGCTGCTTGATGTCCTGAGTGTAAGCTCTACATGGAGAAGAAAGCATCAAACATTCATAAAATGGAACTCATTTCTTTGCTTCCACCTGCTGCTCTGAGCAGCAGTAGCCACTCTGCACAGGCAGATAAATTGTGAGTTCTGAGAAGCTAAAAAGATCACCCATTCAAAACTGCAAATATCCTTACCCAAGCTACCAACTGTCTACCCCATCACCACCACTGTGGTGATCTGTTGACCAGATTTTCTGATACTGCCACTTCCAAGGTGATTAAGTCTGGGCAGTGGCAACAGTTCAATTTTTTTTTATTTTATTAAAGTTATTTCTGAAGATGGCCAACTAGACGCAGCCAGGAAGAGCATCTCCCGCCGAAAGACCAGACCATCAGGGAAACTGGGTACACTCTGAGCAGATCTTTGGAGATAAGGCATTGAGAGTGAATGCAGGGAGGACGTAGACCCCGGGCTGAAGGCAGAGGAAGCTGAGAACCATGCACAGGGCTGCCAAGCACCAGGACTTGTTCCTGGCCCCCAGTGGTTCCTTGGGAAGGGGTGAGTTAAACAGGTGGGGAGCAGCTTACTCTCACCACGGACCTACAGACTTCTAGTGCAGCAGACCCCATGACCCCCATTTGAGCTGGCAAGGAGAGCTGTTCAGAGAGGTGGCAGGGGCAGAACTCTAGCTTGTGTGGAGTCCAGAGGGTTTGGCATGAGAATGGCTACAGTGGAGCATGGCCAGGGAGGCCCATCCTTCAGGGCTTGCCATGCTCCTCTGGGTGGCTTTGCCTCTTGGTGACTGCCAGACCTAGACGAGCAGGGCAGTCTTCCCTGTGGGATGGGGCCAATCTAATCTGAGTGCTCCACTGTCAACCAGCTTCTTCTGGGGCCCCAGCCTTGCTGTGCTTGCTTGCAGCATAGCCTTGGATGCCCAATCAGGGTGCTTCCTGAGGGCCTTCATTTTAGCTCTTTCACTGGCAGAGCACTCTTAACCATTGGAGAATTCCAGCAGACTGACCTATGCTAAATGCACCCACCTGAAGCCTCCCTGAACCACAGCCTCCCCCTGCCACTTTACCTGTGTACACTTGCCCATGCCTGCCCTCATGCCAACACATACACACACTGCTTTGCATGTGTGTCTGCATGGGTGGAACCTACTTCTCTTTTCCCACGGATATGTGTGCGTGCATTCCACCACCCCACTGCCAGTGTGAGCATGTGCCTGGATGCCACCACCCTGCCCCCACCCCACCCCCACTAGTGCCCCACCTGTGCCACTGCTGCTGCTGAAATACACATGAGCACAAATCCTGTCATTACCACCACAACAAAGCACTTTGGCCAGCACTCTCCATCAGAGTTTTGTTGCCACCTAGCCAGGAATACTTCGACCCCCTACCAGCGCAGCAAGTTCTTAATCTCAAGGGGCCAAAGAACAAAGCTGGAGCCCTAGTACCAGCCCCACAGGGTTAGAACACACAGCTCAGGAGTGCTGAGCTGAGCCTTGGGCCCCTAAAATCTTCCAGAAACAAAGCCAGTCAGCTGAACCCACCTTATATCACAATCAAACCCTCAAGGATGTCAAAGAATATAAAAGCAAAAAACTCCATCCAAAGGACTGCAGCTTCAAAGGTTAAGGAAACATCAGCCCACACAGATGAGAAAGAACCAATGCAAGAAGTCTGGCAACTAAAAAAGCACCTTCTTACCTCCAAACGACTGCACTAGTTCCCCAGCAACGGTTCTTAACTGGCTGAAATGGCAGAAATGACAGACATAGAATTAAGAATCTGAATAGGAAAGAAGATCATTGAGATTCAGGAGGAAGTAGAAATCCAATCCAATGAATATTAAAAATCCAATAAGTCACCAGGCACTGTGGCTCCCACCTGTAATCCCAGCACTTTGGGAGGCCGAGGCGGGCAGATCATGAGGTCAGGAGCTCGAGACCATCCTGGCTAACATAGTGAAACCCTGTCTCTACTAAAAATAAAAAAAAATTAGCCGGGTGTGGTGGCAGGTGCCTGTAGTCCCAGCTACTCGGGAGGCTAAGGCAGGAGAATGGTGTGAACTTGGGAGGCAGTGCTTGCAGTGAGCTGAGACCACACCACTGCACTCCAGCCTGTGTGACAAAGCGAGACTCCATCTCAAAAAAAAAAAAAATTCCAATAAAACTATACAAGAGATGAAAAGTGAAACAGCCATTTTAACAAAGAACCAAACTGAGTTGATAGAGCTGAAAAACACTACAAGAATTTCATAATATAATTGCAAGTATTAACAGCAGAATAGACCAAGCTGAGAAACAAATCTCAGAGCTCAAAAACCAGTTCTGAAATCAACTGAATAAGACACAGATTTAAAAAAAATTAAAAAATTAAAAAATGAACAAAACCTTTGAGAAATTTGAGATTATGTAGAAAGATCAAATCTGTGACTCATTAGCATCCCTGAAAGAGAGACAGAGAAGGCAAGCAACTTGGAAAATATATTTGAGAATATTGTTCATGAAAATTTCCCTAACCTCACTAGAGAGGCCAACATTCAAATTCAGGAAATGCAGAGAGCCCCTGTAAGATACTATACAAGATAACTATCTCCAAGACACATAGGCATTAGATTCTCCAAGGTCAACATGAAAGAAAAAATATTAAAGGCAACTAAAGAGAAGAGGAAGGTCACTCACAAAGGGAACCTTCATCAGGCTAACAGCAAACCTTTCGGCAGGAACCCTACAAGCCAGAAGAGATTAGGGCCTATATTCAACAATCTTAAAGGAAAGAAATTCCAACCAAGAATTTTATATAAGTTTCATAAGTGAAGGAGAAATCCATTTCAGATAAGCAAATGCTAAAGAATTCTTTACCACCAGACCTGCTTTTCAAGAGGTCCTCAAAGGAGTGATAAATATGGGAAAAAGAGATCATTACCAGCCACCACAAAAGCACAAATACATAGACCATTGACACTATAAAGCAACTACACAATCAAGTCTGCATAATAACCAGCTAACATCATGATGACAGGAAAAAAGTCTGCACATATCATTAACCTTGAATGTAAATGGGCTAAATGTCCCACTTAAAAGGCACAGAGGCTGGGCACAGTGGCTCACGCCTGTAATCTGTAATCCCATCCTGGCACTTTGGGAGGCCAAGGCAGTTGGATCATTTGAGGTCAGGAGTTTGAGACCAGCCTGGCCAACATGGTGAAACCCCATCTCTACTGAAAATACAAAAATTAGCCAGGCATGGTGGTGCACATCTGTAATTCCAGCTACTTGGGAGGCTGAGGCAGGAGAATCAATTGAGCCCAGGAGGTGGAGGTTGCAGTGAGCCAAGAGTACACCACTGCACTCCAGCCTGGGTGACAGGGAGAAACTCTGTCTCAAAAAAAAAAAAAAAAAAAAAAAAGGCACAGAATGGCAAGTTGGACAAAGAAGCAAGACCCAACTGTATGCTGCCTTCAAGAGATCTACCTCACATGCAATGACATGGATAGGATCAAAGTAAAGAGATGAAAAAAAATCTACCAGGCAAACAGAAAACAGAAAAAAAGCAGGGATTGCTATTCTAATTTCAGGCAAAACAAACTTTAAACCAACAATGATCAAGGAACACCAAGGGCACTACATAATGGTAATGGATAATGGTAATGGGTTCAATCCAAGAAGAAGACTTAACCATCCTAAATATATATGCACCCAACAGTGGAGTACACAGATTCACAAAACAAGTTCTTAAAGATCTACAAAGAGACTTAACCCCATAATAATAGTGGGAGGCTTCAAAATCCCAATGATAGTGTTAGACAGATCAATCGAGGCAGAATAATAACAAAGATATTTGTGAGCTAAGCTCAACACTTGACCAAATGGACCTAACAGACATCTACAGAACTCTTCACCCAAAACAACAGAATATACATTCTTCTCATCTGCATATGGCACTACCTTAAAATTGACCACACAATTGGTCATAAACAATTCTCAGCAAATTCAAAGAAACGAGAATCATACCAACTACACTCTTGGACCACAGGATGATAAAAATAGAAATCAATACTAAGGAGATTGTTCAAAACCATATAATTATATGGAAATTAAACAATCTGCTCCTGGATGACTTTTTGCGTTAACAATGAATTTAAGGCAGAAATCAGGAAATTATTTGAAACTAATGAAAACAAAGATATAGCATATCTTTAGATATAACATATCTCTGGGACACAGCTAAAGCAGTGACAAGAGGAAAGTTTATGGCACTAAACACCCACATCAAAAAGTTAGAAAGATGTCAAATTAACAACCTAATATCACACCCAGGAGAAAAAAAAAAAAGAGCAAACCAACCTTAAAGCTAGCAGTAGAAAATAAATAACCAAAATAGAGCTGAACTGAGTGAAATTGAGACATGAAAAACCATAAAGAAGATCAACAAAACCAGAAGTTAACTCTTTGAAAGAATAAATAATATTGATAGACCACTAGCTAGACTGTGATGGTTAATATTGAGTGTCAACTTGCTTGGATTAAAAGATGCAAAGTATTGTTCCTGGGTGTGTCTGTGAGAGTGTTGCCAAAGGAGTTTAACATTTGAGTCAGTGGACTGGGAAAGGCAGACCTACCCTCAATCCGGGTGGGTACTATCTAATCAGCTTCCAGCTCAACCAGAATAAAAGCAGGCGGAAGAACATGGAAAGACTAGACTGGCTAAATCTTCTGGCCTCCATCTTTTTCCTGTGCTGGATGCTTCCTGTCCTCAAACATCAGACTCCAAGTTCTTCAGCTTTTGGACTCTTGGACCTACACCAGTGGTTTGCCAGAGACTCTCGGGCCTTCAGCCACAGAGTGAGGGCAGCACTGTCAGCTTCCCTACTTTTGAGGTTTTGGGACTCAGACTGGCTTCAATTGCTCCTCAGCTTGCAGACAGCCTATTGTGGGACTTCACCTTGTGATGATGTAAGTCAATACTCCTTAATTAAATGCCCTTTAATACATACATCTATCCTATTAGTGCTGTCTCTCTAGAGAACCCTGAATAATACCTAGACTAATAAAGAAAAAAGAGAGATTCATATAAATACGAGCAGAAATGTCAAAGGGGACACTACCACCTAATCCAAAGAAATAGAAAAACCCCTCAGTTTTTGTTCATAGAGGTGTTCACAATAGTCAGAACTATTATGAAATAAAAGGCATCCAAATAGGTAGGGAGGAAGTCAAACTATCTCTCTTCATAGGCAATGTGATTCTTTATCTAGAAAACCCCATAGCCTCTGCCCAAAGGCTACCAGAACTGATAAACAACTTCAATAAAGTTTCAGGATACAGAATCAATGTACAAAAATCATTAGTATTTCTATGCAACAATAACATCCAAGCTGAGATCCAAATCAAAAACATAATCCCATTCACAATAGACACAGACACACAGACACACACACACACACAGAGACACACGTATAACCAATACCCAGGAATACCATAGCTAACTAGGAAGGTGAAGAATCTCTACAACAAGAATTACAAAACACTGTGAAAGAAATCGGAGATGACATAAACAAATGGAAAAACATTCCATGCTCATGGATAAGAAGATTCAATGTTCTTAAAATGGCCATATTGCCCAAAGCAATTTATAGATTAAATGCTATTCAATATATAAATGTTTATATATTCATTGTTATTTTTCACAGAATTAGAAAAAAAACATTCTAAAAGCCATATGCAACCAAAGAAGAAGCTGAATAGCCAAAGCAATCGTAAGCAAAAAAAAAAACAAAAAAAAAACAAAGCTGGAGGAATCACATTACTCGACTTCAAACTATACTACAAGGCTACAATAATCAAAATAGCATGGTAATGGTACAAAACCAGACACATAGACCAATGGAACAAATTAGAGAACCTAGAAATATAGCCATATCCCTTCAACCATCTGATCTGCAACAAAGTCTACAAAAACAAGCAATGAAGAAAAGTCTCCTTATTCAATAAGTGGTGCTAGGATAACTGGCTAGCCATATGCAGAAGATTGAAACTGGACCCCTTTTTTTCACCATATACAAAAATCAACTCAAGATGTATTAAAGACTTAAATGTAAAACCTAAAGCTATAAAAGCCCTAGAAGAAAACCTAGGAAATACCATTCTAGACATAGGTCCTGGTAAAGTTTTCATGATGAAGACATCAAAAACATTTGCAACAAAACGAAAAACTGACAAACAGGACCTAATAAGTTAGAGAGCTTCTGCACAGCAAAACAAACAAACAATGGAGTAAACAGAAAACCTACAGAATGGGAGAAAATATTTGCAAACGATGCCTGTGACAAAGGTCTAATATGCGAATCTATAGGAAACACTATACACATATTAAGCAAAAAAATCAACAATCCCATTAAAAAGTGGGCAAAGGACATGAACAGACACTTTTCAAAAGAAGATATCCAACAAACATATGAAAAGATGCTCAACATCACGAATCATTACATAAATGCAAATCAAAATAAAAATGAGATACTGTCTCACACCAGTCAGAACGGGTATTAAAATAGTCAAAAAATAGGCTGGGTGTGGTGGCTCAAGTCTGTAATCTTAGCACTTTGGGAGGTTGAGGAGGGCAGATCGCTTGAGCTCAGGAGTTCAAGACCAGCCTGGGCAACAGGGCAAAACCCCGTCTCTACAAAAAATATTTAAAAATTAGCCAGGCATGGTCATGCCTGCCTGTAGCCCCAGCTACAGGCACGTAAGGTGGGAGGCCAAGGTGGGAGTATCACTTGAGCCTCAGAGGTGAAGGCTGCAGTGAGCTGAGATTGCACCACTGCACTCCAGCCTGGGTGAGAGTGAGCCCCTGTCTCAAAAAAAAAAAACAAAAAAACAAAAAAACAAAAAAAAACAAAAAAACAAAAACAAAACAAAAAACAGCTGGGTGCAGAGGCTCATGCCTGTAATCCTAGCACTTTGGGAGGCCAAGGCAGGTGGATCACCTGAGGTTAAGAGTTTGAGACAAGCCTGGCCAACATGGTGAAACCCTGTCTCTACTAAAAATACAAAAATTAGCTGGACGTGGTAGAGCACACCTGTAGTCCCAGCTACTCAGGAGGCTGAAGTAGGAGAATTGCTTGAATCTGGGAGGCAGACGTTGCAGTGAGCGGAGATCATGCCACTGCACTCCAGCCTGGGCGACACAGCAAGACTCCGTCTCAAAAATAATAATAATAATAATAATAACATGCTGGTGAGGCTGTGGAGAAAAGGGAATGCTTACACAGTGCTGTTAGGACTATAAATTAGTTCAGCCACTGTGGAAACCTGTTTGGTGATTTCTCAAATAATTTAAAACAGAACTACCCTTCAACTTAACAATTGCATTATTGGGTATATACCCAAAGAAAATAAATCATTCTATCATAAAGACACACACATGCATATGTTCATTGCAGCACTATTCACAATAGCAAAGACATGGAATCAACCTAAATGCCCATCAATGGTAGACTAGATAAAGAGGTGGTACATATACAGCATGAAATACTTTGCAGCCATAAAAAATAATGAGAGCATGTTCTTTGTAGAAGCTGTAGGTCGTTATCCTAAATGAGCTAATGTAGGAACAGAAAACCAAATACCACATGTTCTCACTTACAAGTGGGAGCTAAACACTGAGTACACATGGACACAAAGAAGAAAACAATAGGCACTGGAGTCTACTTGAGGGTGCAGGGTGGGAGGAGGGTGAAGATAGAAAAACTAACCATCAGGTACTATGCTTATCACCCGAGTGACGAAATCATATATACAACAAAACCCCGTGACATGTATTTACCTATATAATAAATCTGCGCATGTAGCTCTGAACTTAAAAGTTTAAAAACACAAAACAGCCGGGCACGGTGGCTCATGCCTGTAATCCTAGCACTTTGTTAGGCCAACGCAGGCAGATCTCTTGAGGTCAGGAGTTCAAGACCAGCCTGGCCAACATGGTGAAACCCTGTCTCTACTAGAAATACAAAAAGTAGCCAGGCATGGTTGTGGATGCCTGTAATCCCAGCTACTCGGGAGGCTGAGGCAGGAGAATTGCTTGAACTCGAGAGGCAAAGGTTGCAGTGATCCAAGATGGCACCATTGCACTCCAACCTGGGCGACAGAGCAAGACTCCATCTCAAAAAAAAAAAAAAAACAAAAACCAAAAACCAAAAATAACAACAACAACAAAAAAACATCTGATGTATCTCTCAGAAAGCAATATTCCATTTATGTTTCAGGACTGGATTTCTCTATGGGCTTATTGGTGTATATGGGAGACAGAGCACGTTCTAATAAATATTGTCAATATTTGCTTACAACAAATTTCTTTCTTCTTTTTTAAAATTTTCTTTATTTTAGTTTGAAAAAAAATAGAGATGGGGTCTCACTAGGTTGTCCAGGCTGAGCTTGAACTTCTGAGCTCAAGTGATCCTCTTGCCTTGGTTTCCCAAAGTGCTAGGATTATAGGCATGAGTCATTGTACCTAGTATCTCTCTCTCTCTCTTTTTTTTTTTTTTAAATAAAATAGAGACAGAGGCTAGGTGCGGTGGCTCATGCCTGTAATCCCAGCACTTTGGGAGGCTGAGGCAGGCAGATGACGAGGTCAGAAGTTCAAGACCAGCCTGGACGACATGACAAAACCCTGTCTCTACTGAAAATACAAAAATTAGCTGGGCATGGTGGCACATGCCTGTAGTCCCAGCTACTCAGGAGGCTGAGGCAGGAGAACCGCTTGAACTCGGGAAGCAGAGGTTGCAGTGAGCCGAGATCACACCATTGCACTCTAGCCTGGGTGACAGAGCGAGACTCTATCTCAAAAAATAAATAAATAAATAATAGAGACAGAGTATGACTATGTTGCCTAGGCTGTTCTTTAACTCCTGGTCTTAAGCAATCCTCCTGCCTTGCCCCTGCTAAAATGTTGGGATCACAGGTGAAGCCACCATGTCCAGCCTTTTTTTTTTTTTTTTTTTTTTTTGCTTTCTCTCTCTCTCTCTCTTTCATAAATTAGAGATGGAGTCTCACTATATTGCCCAGGCTAGTCTCAAATTCCTGGCCTTAAGTGATCCTCCCACCTCGTAATCTACTTTTTGGGGACTAATGAGGTGTAGCCAAAATACAACATGTGGGAGGCAGTAAATGTAGAGATTAGGAGTAGATTTGGCAAGCCAGACTGCTGTGGTCACACCCCAGCACAGAATTTATGAATCCGGCTCCTCTCCATTCAAATCTCTGCCAAAAATCACCTCCTTCTGGAGGCCCACCATGACTATTCTATTTAATACAGCTTACCCCACTGCCCTATCACTCTCTACACCATTCTCATTTTATTATGCTCAGAGTATCTATTATTCTCCGAAGAAGCATTTCTTGAAATCTAGCTGGTAATCTTCTTTCCTTATTAGAATGTAAGCTCCATGAGAGCAGGGATCTCTCTGTATCAGAATCTGTATTGTGCTTGGTAGGTAGTTGACTCAATAAACATTTCTGAGTGAATGAATATATTATATGGAAATTGAAGAATACAAGCTTCTCCACATAAGCACGTGGCAGAAAAGACAAAAAGAGAGGTAGAGAAAAAGACTCTCTTTTTATTTAAGCTTCCCTCCCCTGTTGAAATCCACTACTCCAAAAAAGGGAGACACTGACCAAAACAGAAACAAAAGAAACTAATTCTTGGTTTTTATGCTTCCTGATAATTTAAGGGATTTTCATAGATAGGTTTGACAAATGCAATTTTTTTGCCTTAGGCACTGGCACTAGAAACTATTAATAAACAAGATTGGCCTACAGAGGGTGCTAGTTCTCTTCAAAAAAGTAAAAGAAGTGCATGCGCTTTTCCACTGGGTCTGGGAAAGAGTTTACAAAACAAGCAGAGACACAGCTTAGTAACAACTAATGAAACGTCTAAATTGCCACATTTTGCTTCATAAAAAAAAAAAAAGGAGGAATCTGTGAAAGTGCCAGAGGCATTCAAAGACGTCCCCTGAGGAAAAGAATTGGCATCATTTTTCAAATGCAAAGAGAAGCTAAGCTAAGAGAAGCATCCATTTAAAAAGTTTTTTTAGTTCTTATTTTTGATAGAGAAGGGGTATCACTATGTTGACTGGCCTGATTTTGAACTCGGAGGCTCAAAGGATCCTCTGCCCCTCAGAGTGCTTGGATTGCAGGTGTGAGCTACCAAGAGAGGCATCCAGAAGTTGAAAAGACTGAATCTGTTGTGAAACAGAAGACCCAGGTCGGGGGAAGTTGTTGCCAGCCCTGGAGGGAGGAGAGGTGACAGGCCTCTGCCACATTCCACCCCCACTTCATGCTGGGACATGGGGACCTGGAGACCTAGTGTGAGATGCCTGTAGACTCTGTAACTGGAGGAGTGTTCTGACAGCTGTGTTTCCTGAAACTGAGTCTTGGTTTCAGAGTTCAGCAAGGGATATGCATGGTGGTGGTAGCGTTGGGACAGAAGCGGGGCACTACTTGAGAGTTTTGAAATATGTAATTTGTCACAGCAAGGACAAGGGCAAGTGAGCCTGGCAGGAGGGAGGAGCCTCTTCAAAGTCTGGATCTGCAAAAAAAATCTTCAGAAGAGGAAATGAAACAAATAAGCGAGTTCTTAAAAAAGCTTTTGAGCTCTCTAAATGAGCAATAGTTGAGGCAGCTTTGATAGTCCAAAGCTAACCTCAAGGCTGGGATTCTTTTATTTATTTATTTATTTATTTATTTATTTATTTATTTATTTATTTATTATTTTGTAGAGATGGGAAGGGGAGGGGTCTCACTATGTTGCCCAGCCTGGTCTTAAACTCCAGGCCTCAAGCAGTCCTCCAGCCTTGGCCTCCCAAAGTGTTGGAATTACAGGCATGAGCCACTGTGCCAGGAAAAGGTTAAGAGTCCTTTTTTTTTTTTTTTTTTTAACTTCAAGGCTGAGATTCTTAATCCTAGTACTCTAGACGTCATATTCCAGTGATCAGATGCAGAATCCATAAGTGCTCTGACAGGTCTTATCATTATGTGTGGTGTTTTCACTTAGTGAGTGCCCTTGTTTTGTCAGTTCAAGGTGGCTTGCTTAGTTACTTTATTGTAATGTTCAATGGCTAAACTTTAAACAAAAATCAATAAAGGGCAAGGAATGAGTTTGCAAAAACTATCAGCCACTTCCCTCAATTTAATTGTAAAATCAATCAAATCTGTTTTTTGGCACAGTGCAAGGAAAACATCTATTTGTCCAATAAACTGTCTCATTGATTAAATGGTTCATTTGGAAGAGATAACAAAAGTCTAAGATTTTAATCTCAAGGAAAAATGTATCTTGCAAACATGTTTTCAAGATCCTGAGATCATATTATTTTCCTTTAAGGATTTGCTTCATCCCAGGTGTTCATCTAATCCTACTTTTGCTATTTTTAATCATTATTCATCTATGTAAAATGGAAAATCTATTTAGATGCTTAAAAGTCAACGTAAGCTCACAAACCTGAATTTCAGCAACTAAAAAGGGAGAAGTAATAATGATTCAGTTCTTACTGGGAGCTACTTTATACACTATTTTATTTGGACCTCATAACAACTATATGAGAGAGAACTGTGCACTCTCTGCCAGGGGTTAGGGTTAACATAAAGCCAAAACCCAGGCAGGTCACGAAAATGAGCAAAGCAGGCCAGTTATGAGTGCTGTCACCTTACAAGGAGGTGGAAACAATGTTTCCGGATCCTGTTTCTTAAGAGAAGCCAAAAGATTTACGTAAAGTCTCCTGATTTTTTTTCAATGGTGGTAATTGATTAAAATAAATATTTCCAATACTGTATGTACTGAATAAAGAAAATTTGGGGCTGACCCTGGCCCAGCAACTGCCACTTAGCAATGTCTGGTATTGAAGTGAAAATAAGGCTCAGGGCTGGGCACGGTGGCTCATGCCTGTAATCCTAGCACTTTAGGAGGCCATGGTGGGCAGATTGCTTGAACCCAGGAGTTCCAGACTAGCCTGGGCAACATGATGAAATCCTGTCTCTACAAAAAGTACCAAAAAAAATCAGCCAAGCATGGTGGCAGGCACCTGTAGTCTCAGCTACTTGGGAGGCTGAGGTGGGAGGATTGCTTGAGTCCAGGAGGCCGAGGTTGCAGTGAGCTGAGATTACACTACTACACTTCTGCCTGGGCAACAGAGCAAGACTCTGTCTCAAAAAGAAAAGGCTCAGGAAGGTGACATCACTATGCTAATTCAAGGAGGAATGAAAGAGTGACCTCATGGGACAGTAGATCAGAGAATGTTCTACCTGGTGGCCAGCCTATTTGTGGGGAGGGGTCCCTAAGAAGAGGCTGTATGCTGGCTTGGGTTATGGAGGGCCAAAGCTCAGGGGCCTGGGGGAAGGAGAGAAGCTTAACCAAAGTTTGGCTAACAGGCATTTTGTTCTGATTGATCAGTGGTGACAAGCAGTTCAGCTAGTCATTTAGGAGGTCAAAAACAGAAGACTGGAAGATCCCTATCTAGTTTTGTCATCAGTAGACAAAGGGGCACTCATGAAACTTGTCTAAGTCATACGGGGAAGGGTGGCCCCTTGCAGTAAGTCATTTTCCAGAACGTAAAAGGGCAATGGGCTTTCTTAACCTTCAGGTAAAATTCCACTTTGTCAAAACATAAGCATGATGTAGACAAAGGTTGAGAGTGAGATCAGGCTTATTGCCCAGTCTTAAGCCATTTAAACCCAAGGTGGACTTTCCCCTCAGGAAAGAAGGGAAGGAAAGAAGCTAGGAAGGCCCTGGCTAGGTTCTGTGTGGGTTGGGGAATGTGAATCCTGATGGAGCAGCCTAAAGAAGTCAAGCAGTCCTGTAGCAGCAGCCGTGGGGGAGGTTCCTCCTGGGAGTGGAGGAGGGCGAGTGCTGCAGGTCCATCAGTGGAAATGGGAATGGACCATTAGGCGGAGAAGACTTATCGAAGCTGCGAAGTCCAAGATCAAGGTGCCAGCAGATTCTGTTCCTGGTGAAGGCTATCTTCCTGTTTTGCAGGTGGCTACCTTCTCGCTGTGTCCTCATATGGTGGAGAGTGAGACTTCATCTAAAAAGAAAAAAAAAAACCCACTCCGGACATAGTGACTGTAGCTGGGTCTTGGACTGCAAGAAGACCATCCTGGTGAGAAGATCTTGACCACAGGTGATATTCACCTTGGATAAAAAACATTCTGATAATTCAGAATGTTTGTGCAAATAAGATTTCTAACCCAGTTCTATGGAGGTATAATTTATATATGGTAAAATTCACCTCTTTAGGTATTCAGTTTATGAATTTTGAGAAATGCAATCACCAGCCACTACAGTGAAGATTCAGAACATTTCCATCACCCCAGAAAGCCTCCTAGTGACCCTTTGGAGTCAGTCCCCTCCCCTCAGCCTGAGCTCCTGGTGACCAGTGATCTGATTTCTATCCATGTACTTCTCCCTTTTCCAGAGCATCACCTGAGTGGAACCGCACAGTATTCCACCACAGTATTTTGCATCCGACTTCTTTTCCTTGGCATGTGCTTTTGAGATTCATCCTTTGCTGTTATATTATCAGTGGTTTGTTCCTTTTTGTGGAGAGTATTTTATTGTTTGGATATACCACAGTGTGTTTATTAGTTTATCGCCAGTAGATGGACATTTGTATTGTTTCCTGTTTCTGGCTGTTAGGAATAAAGTTAATATAAATATAAAAAAAAAAAAACCCAATAAAACAAGAAGCTAGAAAGTTGCTAGTTTTCAGTAGAGGGGGACAGGCTGCTGTAGAAGCTCAGGACTGCTCTGCTTTTGGCACCCAAAGGTGAGAGTGTTTTGCTGAAGGCAGCAGCTGTGAGGAGTGACAACTCCACCAAAGTCAAGGAAGCAGGTGTAGAACAGGCAGGTCATAGGTGGCAATCTGTGGTCCTAAAATACCCTGGAAAAGACCGGGAGCCCTTACAGGATTGAGAAACCAAGAGAAAATGTGGGGCAAAAAAATTCCTCAGGTTTCATTCACAGTCATCCCCACAGCCATCTTAAGTCATCAAGAAAGATTCGGAAAAGCTCCGAGAATCAGCAGATGGGGGCTAGTGCAAAATAATACTTTTTGTCTTAATTATTAGTAATCTCAATCCCTCACTCAATTCTTAGGTTGATGCCTGGGAGGTAATATTTACTACCTTGCATTTCCATAAATGGTGACCTTTTTTATATGGATGTTGGACACCAGGGAATGCTCTTAAGTTAACTGCATTTCATCAGATCCCCCTACTATTTAAATTGATCTTATTTCTATCATTTCACCTCAAGATTTATTGTTCTTATCTTACATTCTAAAGAACTGAGGGCTGTCTTTGAAGTGGATATGAAAAGTTTCACCTCAGTCTACCAATATATCATTGAAAGTTTAAAATAACAAATACAAGAACAAAAATACTCTCCACTTGTCCAAGCATCCCAGGAGGTCTCTGTATTGTTTAAATTACTTCTGAGTTTAAATTGCAATTGCTCTAGTAAATTAGCTAACATCTGCTGTCTGCCTGATGATGAAGACCACCCTACTAGAAACCAAATACACTCTTTGCTTGAGTCATTTATTTACTATCCAGGACAACACTGACTCACAGCAGTATAATATGAGCCACATTTTATTTTAAATGTTGTAATAGTAACCACATTTTAAAAAGTGGGAACAGATAAAATTAATTTAATAATACATATTTAGCTCAGTTTATCAAAAGTATAATTTCAATACATAATCAATATAAAAATTATTATTATTATTTTGAGATGGGATCTTGCTCTGGCACCCAGGCTGGAGTGCAGTGGAGCTCACTGTAACCTCAACCTCCTGGGCTCAAATGATCCTTCTGTCTCAGCCTCCTGAATAGCTGGGACCACAGGCACACATCACAATCCTGGCTAATTTTTTAATTCAACTTTTCTTTTCTTTTTTGAAATGGAATTTCACTCTTGTTGCCTAGGCTGGAGTGCAATAGCACAATCTCAGCTCACCGCAACCTCCACCCCCCGGGTTCAAGCAATTCTCCTGCCTCAGCCTCCTGAGTAGCTGGGATTACAGGCATGAGCCACCACTCCTGGCTAATTTTGTATTTTTAGTAGAGACGGGGTTTCTCCATGTTGATCAGGCTGGTCTCGAACTCCCAACCTCAGGTGATCCGCCCACCTTGGCCTCACAAAGTGCTGGGATTACAGGTGTGAGCCACCGTGCCTGGCCTTATTTAACTTTTTAATTTAATTTTTTATTAATTATTTTTTTATTTAATTATTTTATTTAGAAATTTTTATGTAGAGATGAGGTCTCACTATGTTGCCCAGACTGGTCTCTAACTCCTGACCTCAAGTGATCCTTCTGCCTCAACCTTCCAAAGTGCTGGGATCATAGGTATGAGCCACCACACTCAGCCAATACAAAAATTATTAATGAGATATTTTATATTCTTTTGTCTTCATACTAAGTCTTCAAAATTATGTGTGTATTATAATCTTATAGCACATCTCAATTTGGACCTGCTACTGAAGGAGATTAGCCACCCCAAAATATGCCACTTTGGCAAAACGATTATTTTGAGCTGAAAGCAATTATGAATTAACAGACGCTGGAAGGAGGTCTCTGCCCTCTCCTTATCTGCCTAAAATCAGAGCATAAACTTCCCTTGGTGCAGGTCCCCTCTCCAACCCTCCCCTGCCAGGAAAGGAAGAATGACTATTATCATTGGAGAGGAGGAGTCAACACTGAGATGAGTTTGCACAAACAGAACTTACTAAAATAACCTTTACCTTCCATTGGTTCTCTCATCATTTTGTAGTTACTTCCCTATGATTTACCATCCTTTGAAGCCCAAACTCTTTTCTCTTTGTTAAAATGGTATATAAGCCCTCAAGTCTAACTGCTTCTTTGAGTTTCACTTCTATTATGTGAACTCCCATGCACATAACTATTAATAAACATTGTGTGCCTTTTCTCTTATTAATCTGTCTTTTGTTAGTTTAATTTATTTAACTTAAGAAGATGGAGGAAAAGTTTTTCTTCCCCATCACTACATTTCAAGTGCTTAATAGCCACATAAAGCTAGTGGCTATATATTAGACAATGCAGGTCTAGGAGAATATGTAGCATAAATCATTTCTAATCTACACTTTATTTTTTTTTCTTATGCAAAACCTATTTTTGTCAGTACTTTTTCCATGGTTGCAGAAAATCAGCATAAACAGTGTTACATTTTAGCAGCTACCAGCAATTAGTAACGTAATGGAGTCTGTAATACTTTAGTTTTATATTCTTGAAGGTTTCAGAGCATGAGAAAAAGACCAGTCCTTTCCCAAATTTCTTCGTACTTTGGTCCTGAAAAAGCTATTACTAATAGTTCTGCAAAGTGAAAAAAAGTAAATCTCAATTTAAAAATTACACGTGGTTTTAAAAACAAATAAATACAAAACGAGACTATATCAAAAAGCCAGGCACGGTGGCTCAAACCTGTAATCCCAGCACTTTGGGAGGCTGAGGTGGGTGGATCATGAGGTCAGTTGTTCAAGACCAGCCTGGCCAACATGGTGAAACCCCATCTCTACTAAAGATACAAAAATTAGCTGGGTGTGGTCATAGGCACCTGTAATCCCAGCTACTCAGGAGGCTGAGGCAGAGAATTGCTTGAACGTGGGAGGCAGAGACTGCAGTGAGCCGGGTTGTGTCACTGCACTCCAGCCTGGGCGACAGAGCGACAGAGTGAGACTCCTTCTCAAAAAAAGAAAGACTAAATCAAAGTAAGAATTCACTTTGTACTTTGCTGGAATTTTCTATTCTGTAGTCAATGGTGGTTTCTAGTAGTGCAGGGTAGGGAAACTCCAGAGCCCAACTAAAATAACCACATGTTCTGAAGTTAATTAAAAGTATAAATTAGTGTTATAAATAGCAAGATGTCCCATTCAATGGTTTTAATTATTTTACTTCTTTGAAACAACAAATGGATTTGATTAAAGAATAATTTGATCTATTAAAATGTAATTAAAGGCATGTGTTTGAGCACTTCCATTATTTCTCCAAAAATATAAAGATGTGCCCTTTATCCCTTTGTATATATATTTTGGCTGCATTTAAAATTTACACAAGTGTTCAATACCTAAAATCTAAAAGTAGGATTAGATGTAAAATTCCCACATGATTGTTATTTTATTTTTCCCACCACCATATCAGACATGAAAGATGAATTGCGAATCTTCTTCCTACTTTTCTTTCATGCTCTGCTCTGCTCTGAATGAAGACTCATGCTGTAGCAGTTAAATGAAAATAAGATCTTTTTTCCTTTGGCTTATCGTTACTAACAAAGGATTTTTTTTGGGGGGGGGGTGGTAATAATTCCTGGTAAAGGAGAAGAAAAAAACTCATCATTAACAGGCCCAGCAGACTTTATGGTGATATCAATTAAATTTTTGATAAATGAATGACTCTCTGAGTAAATGAATGGATATGGCCATGACATAGGATGTAACAAATACTCAGGAACCTGGTATTAGAATCAATGCCCAGTTCTGAGAAGGCTCTGAGTGTCATCCATAGTCCTTATGCAGTCTTCCACGTGTGATTACTCCATGATGACTATTCTCTGGAAGCTTATATAAAAATAAATCTGCAGAAGGTTAGGGATGTTTGGGGCTGTTAGTACAATTCTTCAAAGGAGCTGAAGGTCTGATCAGATCTGTACAACTTTGCACATCTTGCATCCTGCCACTTCCCCAAATCTCTGCTGTTTAGTTCAGCTATTACTGCAACTATTCACTTAAAAAACGAACTGTCAAGAAAACAAGTTGTGGCTCTACTGAAGCCTAAAGCCAACCACACTGTGTTGCTTCTAGCCTTGTTTTGTGTTCTGATTCTATGCCAGGGGTTTAACTTACAGTTCACGGACTCCTACTTGGATCATGGCTTTGGGAAGTCTATGAACTTCCGGAAATAGCATGAGTCTTCTTTTTTTCTTTTTCATTTTTATACCAAGGGCTTTCAGTGGATTCTTGCAGAACCAAGAACCACTGCGCAAAGCACACGTGCACACTGGGAACTGAGAAGCAACACTGTCATAATCAGTCAACTGAGAAGAGCCCACTGATGCCTGACTGCCAAGGACCCTGCTAAGCTGCTTTGCGTCAAGAGAACAGACAATCCTGGCTTGGCACATTACATTTCAGCAATGGGGTGTCCTTTGGACTAGCGGCTTCCATTCAGTCCACACACAACTGTAAACCACACTGGGCTTTACGGATCAGAATTTTTAACTATAGAGAAAAGATCGTGCACGGGGGTAGTATATCAAATTGCTGTGCCCGGGTCTTCTACACCACACCTATACAGGGGTGGTGATTGAAGTTAAGAGCATCACTTTTTTTTTTCTTTTTTGAGACAGAATGTTCCTCTGTCGACCAGGCTGGAGTGCAACGGCGCGATGTCGGCTCACTGCAACATCTACCTCCCTAGTTCAAGCGATTTTTGTGCCTCAGCCTCCCGAGTAGCTGGGATTATAGGTACCTGCCACCATGGCTGGCTAATTTTTGTATTTTTAGTAGAGACAGAGTTTTGCCATGTCGGCCAGGCTGGTTTCGAACTCCTAACCTCCAGTGATCCGCCTGCTTCGGCCTCCCAAAGTGCTGGGATTACTGGTGTGAGCCACCGCACCTGGTCGAGAGCATCAGGTTTTGATACAATAAACAAAAGTAGAACTTGACCGTGAGGTAATTGCCATGTCATACCATGGAAATAGCTGCATGAGGGATGGCTGAGGATATTCATCTCTACAAATCATTTTCAAAGTTTATCTAGGTTATTGAACCAAAAAACCATGGGAAAAAAACAATGGTATGTATTCTTTCACACTTGATCTTAGAAGCCATGGTATGTATTCTTTTATTCCAAATACTTATCAAGCTCATCTAATAAGAGCAATTTATCTCCCTGAGAAACTTTGTGCTTCTGCCTTGGCCCATGTTAATGAGCCATGTTTGGCTCATGGTGGCTCATTCCCATAATTCCAGCCCACCTTAATGTACTAAAGGACAAAATCACACGATTTTCTCTTATATATGAGAATCAATTGTGAACTTTTGAAAAAGGTGTTTACAAAGCCAGTAATAGATAAAAAGTTTTTTAAGTTGCCAAAAATCAGCAGCAAATTTAACATTTCTTGGGTAAATATTAGAAGCATTTCCTTTAAGGTTGAGAATGAGCTAGGATGCCTCTTGTTTTTTTGTTCTGTCTTAAAAATTGTTTTGAGACAGTCCTGCTTCAGCCCCACAAAGTATTTTGGGATTACAGGCATGAGCCAGCATGCCCGGCCTCTATGAGGCCTTTTAAATTACCTTTTCTTCCATGTAATATTGGGAATTTTGATCAAGAGACATAAGTAAGCAAAAAGATCAGAAGAAAGAGAGTCAGGAGACTCAGCTGTCATTATTTACAGATGATATAAATATTCACAGAAAACTCACAAGAGAATTGGCAGAATCTGTTTAGAATTGTGAATAGAGTTCAGCAGAGTTCCAGAGGCCTTTCTGAGCTCTATTAACCTAGGAATTAACCTAACAAAAATGCCCAGCTTCTCTTGAAGAAATCTTTAAAATTCTACGAAAGCTGTATTTTTCCAACTTTAACGTACCTCCAGATAACCTGGGGATGTTTAAAAAGCAGATTCTGATTCGGTAGCTCGGGGGTGGGGCGGAGCCTGCGTTGACATTTCAAAGCCTGTCAGGTGATGCAGCAGGCCCTGTACAACACTTTGGGTTGATGGTCCTGATGCACTTAAAGAATACATGCAGACAGAAGGCATGCTCATGTGGGGACTCTTTACCATTGCAAAGACTCTCATTCTCTCCAAACTAGTCTATGATTTTTAATACCATTCTCACCAAAATCCCAGTAAAATTTGGGGGTCAGAGGTACTTACTTAATTTACATGAAAAAGGTCAACTTTCAGAAAAAAAAGTGGGGAAAATGGAGAATTTGGCTACCATATATTAAGACATGTAACAAAACCAGGGTAATTAAAAAACACCACCACCAATTTGATAATGCCCAGGAACAGACAATAAAACAATGGAACAGAATATAGAAACAACCCAGAAACAGACCACATGATATTGATTTATGAAAGAGATGGCATCAAAACTTTGTGGCTCATGCCTGTAACCCCAGCATTTTGAGAGGCCAAGGAGGGAGGATTGCTTGAGGCCAGAAGTTCGAGACAAGCCTGTGCAATATAGTGAGACCCCATCTCCATTATTAATAATAAAAAAAAAAACCTTGGTGAAACAAAAAATACATTGATAAATGGTATGCACAAAACTGGCTTACTAGATGGAGAGGATAAAAAATTCTCTCTCTGACACACACACACACACACACACACACACACACACACACACACACAGTCTAAGCTAAATACCTGAAGTTGTTTATGCTTCTGGTAGAGATTGGTCTTGGGCTTCTGATTCAGAGGCAGAAAGCAGAGGCGAAAGACACACTCTTTCTTTTTTTTTTTCCTTTTTTTTTTTGAGACAGAGTCTCGCTCCACTGGCAGGCTGGAGTGCAGTGGGGTGATCTTGGCTCACTGCAACCTCCACCTCCTGGATTCAAGCAATTCTCCTGCCTCAGCCTCCCGAGTAGCTGGGACTACAGATGCGTGCCACCACACCGGCTAATTTTTGTATTTTCAGTAGAGACGGGGTTTCACCCCATTGGCCAGGATGGTCTCGATCTCTTGACCTCGTGATCCACCCGCCTCGGCCTCCCAAAGTGCTGGGATTACAGGGGTGAGCCACCACACCCGGCCAAGACACACTCTTTCAAGCAAGCTTCCTGCATCAGCACATGGGATCCACTACTTAACTCCTTCAGTTAGTCACTCTTGGCCTTGCCATTCATGGAAATTCCTCTGAGATTCTCACAACAAGCCAGTTCTCATACATTGTCTCAGTATATGGTATTGTGAATTGAGTTTTATGATTTCTTTTTTTTGGTCTTCATTAGTATTTTATTGCAAACTTGGAAAAAGGCACGTGAGGAGCTGATAATCTTATCCAGGTTTAACTACACTCAACTTTTTGATTATTGAAGCCAATGCATTAAAGGTTTTCTCTAACTCTGTGTTGTTCACAAATTTTATTTTCATATCCTTGTTTTCATTCAAGTTCATAATGACTATTTGAATAGGTCAGAGTCATAGACAAAGCTCTCAGACAAATAATTAAGAGCTTTCCCACAAAGCTGGTATAGACCTACTGGTTGACCCTACGTGGGGATAAGGCACTTCCTGATTCTTTCCCTTTGTATCCCTCCTCTCTATAGCTTAGGCCACCTGACTTCTCTCTATGGGCGTGGTCTCCCCCATTTGTCTAGGGATAATACTCAGAATTTGAAGGTCTCCAGACCAAAAATCTAGAACTCAGCACAGGATTGTGATTCCTCCTTGTACAGTGCTGGCCCTTAGGGCTAACAGCCGAGCTTCTGCCATGCATGTGACCCTTTCTTTTTTCTTTTTCTTTTTCTTTTTTTTGACAGGGTCTAACTGTGGCCCAGGCTGGAATGCTGCGGCATCATTACAGCTCACTGCAGCTTCGACCTCCCCAGCTCAAGTGATCCTCCTGCCTCAGCCTCCCGACTAGCTGGGACCACAGGCATGTGCGACACCAACCAGCTAATGTTTTTTTTTTTTGTTTTTTTTTTGTTGTTGTTGTTGTTTGTTTGTTTGTTTTTAGTAGAGATGATGTCACATTATGTTGCCCAAACTCATAGCTGGTCTTGAACTCCTGCCCCCAAGTGATCCTCCTGCCTTGGCCTCCCAAAGTGCTAGGATTATAGGCATGAGCCATTGCACCTGGCCAATGCTTTCTGAAATTACCGTTTCAATAAACTGCTTTTTATCCCCATTATTCTCTAACTGGAGTACCTTTATATTTTTTTAAAAACATGTTTAAACTTGGGATCTTTTCATCCATTTTGCATATATCCTCATGCAGAGACTTCTCCCCACCCATACCCCAATACTAAAATTACAAGCCTGTGGCCTGTCCATCTTTCTGTGGTGCCCATTCTTGCCTGCCGAGGACTACCATTTGCTCCTGACTCAAGTACACTGCCCACTTATTAGTGTGCCCACCATTCCCATTAGACACTTGCCAACCTCCCCCATCCTCTTTGTTTGCCTGAACCATGTATCTGTTTGTTACCTGTCACAGTATCTTTATTTTTTAAAATTTATTTTAATTGTAAATTGACAGATTATAGTTGTATATATTTATGAGATTGTTGTGGCTCAGAAAACAATATCCCAAAGTGAAGGCCTCAGAGGTAGCCTCAGAAGCAAGTTCTCTCTGACCTTCTCCTTCCCTCCTGTCTCTGGCCCATCAGTCTCCCCCGAGGCTAGCCATAAAAACTATAATCCTTCTTCCCCAAGGTGTGTTATAGAAACTAGAACTCCTGTTCCTCAAAGCCAGCCATAAAACCTAAAAACATTACTCTAACCTCCTGCCACTCCCCGACCTTCCTGTGTAAGACCTGGCCATAAAGAAATCTCTGACTTACATTGTTTAACGATAGGTCATAAGACACTCATTCCAAAAAGGGTTCTGCCTCATACCTGGAAGGAAGACAGCTGCACAGAGAGGCCAGGAAGAACCTTAACAGACAGGCCTTGCTGGGATTCCCCACTCGGTCTATTTCCATAAGATTATACCTTTTCTGTCCAAACACAGTTCTACACTGCGGTCCATTCTTCATGGAACCTAAGTATAAAAATGGATGGTTTTACCTGTATCTTTGGGTCTTCATTCTAAAGGCTCCCATGTCATATAAAACTATGATTAAATAAATTTGTATGCTTTTCTCTTGTTAACCTGTCCTTTTTTATAGGAGTGTCAGCTTGGACCCTCAGGATGGGGAGAAAAGGGATCACCCCCTTTCTATCCCTATGAGGTACAAAGTGATGTTATGGTTCTCTTTTTCTTTTTTTTTTTTTGAGACAGGATCTGGCTTTGTCACCCAGGCTAGAGTGCAGTGGCACAATCTCGGCTCAGTGCAACCTCTGTCTCCCGTGCTGAAGCAATCCTCCCACCTCTGCCTCCCGAGTAGCTGAGACTACAGGTGCACGCCACCAAGCCCAGCTAGCTTTTGTAATTTTGGTAGAGACAGGGTTTTGCCATGTTGCCCAGGCTGGTCTTGAACTCCTGGGCTCAAAGCGATCTACCGCCTTGACCTCCCAAAGTGCTGGGATTATAGACGTGAGCCACCAGGCCCAGCCCATGATGTTATGACTTATGAATACAATGCGGAGTAATTAAATCAAGCTAAATAACATATACATCACCTCAAATACTTTTTTTTTGTGGTGAAGACATTGGAAATTTACTGTCTTAGCAATTTTGAAAAGTACTATACACGATTATTAACTACCTTCACCACGCAGTGCAATTTATCTCAAAACCAAACCAAAACACAACCTTGCTCCTCCTGTCTAACTGAGGCTGTATACTTTGACCATCAACTCCTCATTCCCCCAGCCCCCAGCCTCTGGTAACCACCATTCTACTCTCTGTTTCTATGAGTTTGATTGTTTTAGATTCCAAATATAAGTGAAGACATACAGTATTTGTCTTTCTGTGCCTGGCTTATTGCACTTAGCATAATGTTCCCTAAGTCCATCTCTGTTTTGCAAATGACAGAATTTCTTTCTTTTTCAAGGCTGTCACTGTACCTTTAAAATGCCATGATCTGTTAACCAGTCTTGTCTTCCTCAGCATCTTGTCTTTCTTCAGCACTACATCATCTCCTCAATATTTTTCCATCCAATATTGGCCAAAATATTATAAGCAATTTTATCAAATGCTTGCTGAAATCCAATATGTGATGGTGGTGACTTCCTCCGGCATGTAATCTACTAATCCTATCAAAAAAGGAATGTTTAGCTTGGCACGCTTGGTCTCAGTGAATCCGAAGTAGTTACCACTGTTTACCTCTCCTTTCTTTAAATGCTTGCATGTCAAATATTGTTCCATTCTCTGGAATGACTTTTACCTGTGAATGGAATCTTGAATGTCATTCTACAGTAAAATTCTCAACCAAAAAAAAAAAACAAAAAAAGCCACTGATTTCTAGTCATCAATCTATAAACACTAAAGACATTTTACTAGTTCACATAGCAAAAAAATTCTGAGGTAGGGTGGTTTCAGGTTGGTTGATTCAGCGTCTCAATAATATTATCAAAGACTCAGATTCTGGCCAGGCACAATGGCTCATGCCTATAATCCCAGAGCTTTGGGAGGCCTAGGTGGATAGATCATTTGAGCCCAGGAAGTTGAGACCAGCCTGGGCAACATAGTGAAACCCTGTCTGTATAAAAAATACAAAAATTAGCCGGGCATGGTGGCATGAGCCTGTAGTCCCAGCTATTCAGGAGGCCAAGGTGGGAGGATCACTTGGGCCTGGCAGGCAGAGGTTGCAATGAGTGGAGATTGTGGCACTGTACTCCAGCCTGGGTGACAGAGGGAGACCCTGTCTCAAAAAAAAAAAAAAAAAGACCCATATTTTTTCCATATCTGTGCTCTGCCACCATCATTATGATGGCCTTATCTTTGGCTGGTTCTCTTCATGGAGGCAAGGGAGCTATGGCAGCTATGACCTGCTTTTCTACAGGTCTTCTTTTAGGAGCAAGAAAAGCATCTAGGAGCTCCCCTTGCCTGACCTGCCACGGTTTTATTTCACAGAACTGGGTCACTTTCCCCCTCCAAACCAGTCACTGGCAAGCTGAGACAGATCAGAATTTAATCCCGAGACATACAGGGAAGAGATGGGTAAACCCTTGAAATTGGCTGTTTACCAACAAGAGAAAGTCGACAAATGCTCTGGGCTAGGAAACCCTACTGTCTGGTCCAGACTGGAGGAATTACTGTCTAATTTGGAGAGTGGTCATATTTGAAGACGGTTACTGATGAAGACCTATTAAAATAACATGGACTTTTTATCTATTCAAAACAGCTTAAAACAGGACTGTGTCCAGAACAAAGGGGTAGATTAAGTTATCTCTAAAATTCCCGGCCAACTGTTTAATGCTGTGATTCTGTTCTCATTGTTTTCACTGTGGAAACTGCTTGCAATTTGGAAGAGTGCGTGTCAGCAATGTTTGTGCTGCCAGCAAAAGTGAATAGTTGCTGATCTGTGTGCATTTCCCCAAATAGCACATTTGTGGAAAACTGAGTCATGGGGATTCTAGGTACTGTGAATCCATCATCTGCACAATTTTCTGAATGCCTTACATCTTAGACACTGGCGGCTTCCCTGTAAATAAACAAATTGTAATGAGACAGTTGACACATAACATGGGATTGGCCAAAGCAAAGCAGGTTTAGCTAACTGGTTTTCCTCTGGCAAATTGTTCCTTTTTTTTTTTTTTTTTTTTTTTTTTTTGAGACAGAATCTTGCTCTGTCACCCAGGCTAGAGTGCAGCGGCATGATCTTGGCTCACTGCAACCTCCGCCTCCTGGGTTCAAGCGATTCTTCTGCCTCAGTCTCCCAAGTAGCTGGGACTACAGGCGCGTGCCACTGTGCCTGGCTAACTTTTGTATTTGTAGTAGAGACAGGGTTTCACCATGTTAGCCAGGCTGGTCTTGAACTCCTGACCTTGTGATCCACCCTCCTCAGCCTCCCAAAGTGCTGGGATTACAGATATGAGCCACCTTGGCCGGCCATTGTTCCTTTTTATTTATTTTGCCCTGAAAGCAGATGATGGTGTTAAATAAAGCAACAAATTAAATGTGGATGTTAGTGCTGCAATGGAGGAAAACTTGCAGAAAAATTGACCTGACTTATTTAATCAAGTGCAGAGACATTACTGTGCTACCTGGGGAGCTATTCAAATACAATACAATCTATATGCCTTCCACCTGAGCAACCAAGTTCTTACAGCGCTAACTAGAGAAGGTGCAGGGGAGGGGGGGAGGACTGGATAAAGTTATTTTTGTGGCAGTTAAGCTTCGATTACTTGTAGATCCATAAATCATCAGCCAAGGTTCTCTTTTCTCCAGCAGTGAGCACAGGGAGGAGGAGGTGCATGCAAGCGATACTGCAGGGCCAGAATCAGAATCATCAGCACGTAGCAACTGATTGGATTTCTGGAGCAAGAAAGAAGAGTTGAAGATAATGTTGAACTTTCTCATTGGGAGATTTTACTAACATTATTGAGCAATTACTGCATGATGGATGTTACGCTAAGAGCATTCTACAATTATTATACCTCTTACGTCTCCCAGTAGTTCTGTTAAGTAAGTACTATTGTTTTTGTTTTAGAGACAGAGTCGGCTCTGCCACTCAGGCTGTAGTCCAGTGGTGCAATCTCAGCTTACCATAGCCTCGGGCTCAAGCGATCCTCCCACCTCAGCTCCCCAAGTAGCTGTGGTCCCAGCTGGCTCCATATGAAAAGCCTCTTGCTTCCTTAATTACTAACCAATGGTAATAGTTTTTTTCTTTTTTGTTTTTTTCAAGAGACAAGGTCTTGCTCTGTCACCCAGGCTGGAGTGCAGTGGTGGTAACATAGCTCACTGCAGCCTTGAACTCCTGGGCTCAAGGGATCCTCCCACCTCCGCCTCCTGAGTAGCTGGGACTACAGGCATATGCCACCATGCCCAGCTAATTTTCAAATATTTTGTAGAGACCAGGGTCTTGCTAATTGCCCAGGCTGGTCTTGAACTCTTACCTCAAGCAATACTCCTGCCTCAGCCTCCCAAAGTGCTAGTACTTCAGGTGTGAGCCACCACCCCCGGTGACCAACAGTAATTCTACACTTCAATCTCTTGCATCCTTACCCTTATCTTGTGTCCTTATGATCATCATAAATAGCTCATTTGGCCGGGCACAGTGGCTCATCCTGGGCAGCACATGAAACCTCATCTGTACAAAAAAATATAAAAATTAGCCAGGTGTGGTGGCACATGACTGTGGGCCCAGCTACTTGGGAGGCTGAGGCAGGAGAATTGCTTGAGGCTGGGAGGTCAAGGCTGCAGTGAGCCGAGATCATGCTTCTGTACTCCAGCCTGGGTGAGAGAGCGAGACCCTGTCTCCAAAATAAAATAAAATAAAATAAAAGCTAATTTGTCTCAGGCTTTGAATTAATCTGCATTAGCTCATGTAATTGTTGCAATAACTCTATGTGGTAGGTACTCTCAGCCCTGTTATACAATGGGTTTGAAATGACTACTGATATACAGAGGTTTGAAATGATGTTACTTGCCCAAGTCTCATGGTGAATGGAGGAGCAAGGAATGGAACTCAGCTCATTTAACACCAAAGGTCTGACCACCACACAGCACTGCCCTCTTTAGCCAAACTAATGTTTTTGTCTTTCTTACTTTTGACCCATTTTATTCCACCTTTCTGAGGTATTTTCAGCATTTTCATTAAGCTAATGAATACAACAATTATTTAAGCAGCTAATCCTTAAATATGCTTCTATAAAATGTCCTTTTAGTTTCATTTTCTCCTTATCACTCCCCAAACCCACCAGACCTACACTTCATATTTTCCCAAACGTGTATACACAAGGCATTCACCTGCTTTTATATGATGTCCTTTCCTGTTCATCTCAACCTGGTAAGGTTAAGAAGGAAAATGATTTTACATATCAGAGGGGAGAGTGCTACAAAAGAATATGAGACACAGACAATTTTGTAAAAAAAAAAAAAAACAACTTTGTATGAGATACCTTATGTACATACACAGAACAGTTAAATCCTGGGCAACATGAAAAAACCTCGTCTCTACAAAAAAATACAAAAATTAGCTGGGCATGGTGGCACAGGCCTGTAGTCCCAGCTACTTGGGAGGCTGAGGCGGGAGGATTGATTGAGTCCTGGAGGTCGAGGCTGCAGTGAGCCATGATTGACAGAGTGAGACCCTGTATCAGAATAAATAAATAAATAAATAAATAAGAATATAATAAGCCAAAAGTGAAGTACAGTGAATGACTAAGTGTTCTAAAGAAAAATAAAAGCAACAGTCCATGGAAGAGGTAGACCTTAAGGATGAGTGGGATTTGATGGGAAAAGGGTGGAAGCTAGAGTGAAGACAGAAATCAACATCTCATTACTGACAGCTATTTATCAAGCACCTCCATGTGTTTGGCCATTAAATTAAAGTTTTGAGGATAGAGATGGAAAAGCTGCTTGCTGTCTTTCTCCCAAATACTCTGTGTTTGGGAAAGGCTTAAACAGATAGCAAAATACACAGTGACACAAAGAGGCACACAATACACCGAGCAAGAGTTTCAGGCATTCTGAAAATGCAGGGGACATATCCCAGTAAGAATGGTAAGCCCTGGGACAGAGGGTGAGCGGTTTACATGGATCAAAGGGCTCGCTCATGATAACAACAGCCTTCTCTAAGCCAGGCACTGAATACTGTGGATACAAAGAGCCCAGAGTCATCAAGAGGAACCAGGAACTCTAACATGATGTGTGGAGCAGGCTATGCAAAGAGGGGTACCTCTCCCAGTCAGAGGCATCAGAGAAGGCTTCCTGGTGGAGGTGAGTAGGAATCACGTGCAATCGTGCAGGCGAGGCGGGGAGAGGACACTTCTGAGCAAAGAAACTGGTTAGAAAATGTACTGGTGTGTAGGGAGAAAGAGGGCCTCCAGGTCACTCAGGGTTGCTATGAGAGCACGAAGTTTAAGGCCAGGAGCAGTGAGATGACATGGAAGAGAGAGGTGGTGACTGGCTGCCTTAGGGAGCCTGGGCTTGATATTGAGCCAGGAAAATGTTTTAAGCATCCTTTAGGTTAGGGAGCTGTATGAATTAGATTCAGGTTGAGCCAAGGTTTTAGCAAGCTTCAAATGCCAAACTGAGCAAATCTTCCCTCACTGTGAGTTTGCTGTGATCACTGTTCTTATGGTTCAGAGAATAACTGTGCTGTAGATATTAGGCTCAATTCAAAGTGGAGCTGCTGAAAAATTTATTAGTGCTGGAGTGCATAGGATGCTGTTCATGCATGACTAGCATTTCAAAGGGCTGTAGATTAAAAGTGAGAGGTCTCTGAAGTCCAATTTCAAAACCCAGAGCCTCTCCGCCACTTATCTCCTACTTCGCACCAATCCTGGAATGAGTCTATAGACCACTGTAACTTCTCCTTCTCAACTTCCACATCTTTTCTTCTCTTTCTATTAGCAACCTTTATATTCCCTTTGGGTGTTTTCTTTTTCTTTCTTTTACCACTTATGATGCCCACATGGTCATACTATGGGAAATGCAGAGCTGAATCCCATTAGAGTCCATTGAGAGCCTGCTGTGCTCCAGGCATTGTTTGGGGCATTTTAAAACATTATCTCATTTAATTATCCTAGCAACAGTAAAAGGCGGGTGTCATTTTACATGAAGAATTCGTGGCACAGACAGGATAAATTACTTGCCCAAATTCACACAACTAGTAATGGACAGAGGTTTTTCACATAAGCTTTTTGGATGTGAATTGGAACACACTCGTCTCTGTGAATTCCCAAAGCTCTTGGGATAACAATACAAAACTTTGTCATGACCTACAAGGGTTTGGATGGCGATTTCTCCGCTCTCTCACCCTACAACCAAACCCAGACAATTGGCATCCAGGGCCCAAGGTCCTGGCCACTCTGGCATACTGTCTCTGGGTTTCGAAACAGTTCATTTAGGATCCTTTATATACAACGAGTTACAAATCATATTCTGTGAGTTTCTGATCTAAGTTAACAGTTCTTTCTTACCAAGGAGACGATGAACACACACACAGACAAGAAAGAGCTGCAGGGAAGTAACAATAACCTCCAACAGGTTCTTAGTTGGAACGGACCCATCACAACAGACAAACAGGAGAAAAACAGAAGTTTATTAATATGGATATTTTATACACGCATGGGGGACATCCAGAGAATGAGTTTTCAAAGAGGTGGCTTTAAGTTCCAGTTTATATATAGCATCTTCAACAAAGAACAATAGATTTTTAGACAAGTGGCAAGACAACAAGAAAGGACTTTTTGAGTTTCTGTGAGCAGGCTGGCAACTCAAGGAAAAGCAAACAAACAGCAGATAAACGCTAGTTAGGAAAGCCTGCCAATGCAAATTCCTCTGGTTCCGACTCTAGGCTGATGAGGGTCTAAAGCTGTCTTCAGTGGTTAAACTTTTCTTGAGGGAAAAGGCGGGGGTTGGTGGCCAGGATATTTTTTGCCTTTGTAAATCTATGTCCTCCTTTTGGACAAATTGAGGCAGAGACCTCTCCTGTACCTGTTTCTTCTTGAGCATCTTCAGCTCAACAATCCTTCATATTTTGGGGAAGATATTCTGGTCTCCCACAGAGCCTTTCAAAGAAGGTTCAGCTCTGGTCTGGGTTCCTCGTCTCTCACTATTATCTGAGTTTGTGTCTCCCACCCTCCTCTGAGTCCATACTGGTCTGTGGAAGAAGGCTGCTTCCCTGAATAAAGGCCCTAATGTTCTATTTGCACAAAGCTCAGTCTTTCTCTATGCTGAACTTGGCTTTATTACTAAGTGGCTGTGAGATTTTCATGTTGTCAACTCTCCTATCTCAGTTTCAGTTTCCTCATCTGTGCAAAATCAGTCATCCCCAAAGTGTTGCCCAGATCAAAAATTTTAGAATTCTATGAAGAGCTTTACCCACTAGTAGAAGAGAGAATTAATACATTCATCAACGAGGACCCCATTTGCACTATTGTCCAGTATAATTATTTAAACTTTCTATCTTTGTGGCATTTATGATTACTTATTGTAAATGAAACTGGTGTGAAGGACACACATTTTTAATGCCTTTAATTGTCATCCAAAGGCGCTTTCCAGCTGAAAAATTCCATGATTCTAAATGTGTATCATCAATTTCATGTCAGGCAGGATCAGAGGCTTGGTCAATATTATTTTTTCCACAGTGAAATTGTGTAAGGCAGGAGATCCTACTTAAGCTAACATATGTGTATCCTTCACAATGGAAGAATAAATAAAAGTATAAGTTGTGGATTTGCTAATAGTTTCTTCCTGCTAAAAATATTAACCTCTTCTATTCCTTAACAATAACTTAACACATGTAGTTTTAGCTTAAAATTTTGGGGAACTTTTGGTGTCTTGAAGTATTTTCTGCAAATTTATTTCTCATCTCCAAATTCTATGTCCCTTTTCTGAATGTTCTTGATGCTACATTTTCATGTATTCATCAACTTGAGATGTTTGGCTCCTTTTTTTTGTTTGTTTGTTTTTGAGACAAGGTCTCACTCTGTCACCCAGGCTGGAATGCAGTGGCATGATCATAGCTCACCACAGCCTCGACTTCCCTACCTTAGGTGATCCTCCCACCTCAGCCTCCTAAGTAGCTGGAACTACAGGCACGGGCCACAATGCCCAGCTAATTTTTGTATTTTTTGTACAGGCGGTGTTTTGGCATGTTGCCCAGGCTGGTCTTGAACTCCTGGGCTCAAGTGATCCTCCTGCCTCGGCCTCCCAAAGAGCTGGGATTACAGGCGTGAGCGACCACACGTGACCTTTTCTACTGTTCTCTGAGCTCCCCAACATTTTCATATTTGCCAAATCACTGTTATGTACAGAGAAATCTCCATCAACTATTTCATTATTTGAAAGAAGCGACGCCAATAAAGAATTTACTCTCTGTTTACTTGGACATAAAGAGCTACTCCAAATTAAGACCTGACATTTTCTCATCTCCTTCTTTGCAATAAAAATAAAATTGAAATTAAACTGGGATAAGTGCAACACATTGTATCTAAGCAGCCATTGTCAAACTGTTTCTAAATATCAACAGTAAAAGCTCTAATCTGAGTCAATTTTGGAATGCACATATATTCCAAAGGGAAATGAATTTTCAAAATGGTATAGGACTCAACATCGCATATTTTAGTCTTCAGGCCAAGCAGGAAAATACTAACAAGCTACTTCTTCCAATTTTGCTATTAATGCAAATTGATGTAAAACTACCTGCTATGGGCGAAACACTCAGCCTCTGCAAATGGTCTCATTCTGAAACTGTCAGTGTCAGAGAAATGGTGTTTCCCTTCCGCAGCTCATTGAAATGGAGATGGCATGGAATGGAGTAAAGGGATGGGGATCTGCTTTCTAATCAGGCAAAATTAGATTCATTTGAATTGGTGCATGGACTGAAATGAAGGGAAAATCCAACCAGTGCCTATTTTTACCTCCTTAGACAGCCTTTGAGCAGCTAGGCATAGTAAAACCATACATGCTAAAATTTCCCACATTGATACAGAATTCATGAGGAAATTATTTTCACACTTTAATGGAATGGGTCTATTGCTTACATTATACAATGTAAGGGAAAAAATTACTAAACTCAGAAGCACATTTCCATATTTCTCATCAACTTAGTTTCTTTGATACAAACATAAGAAGCTACCCCAACTATTACAGAGCACATTTTGCAAATTTCACTAATGCATCGTACTCATGTGACATCAAAAGCAAAAATATCAAAGCAAACACACAGACAACAAATGAAAGCAAACCTTTATAGTGTATCATTCAGTGAAAAATACATGTTCTAAAGAGTTGTGATATATGATACTACGGAACTATAATATATTCCAGTTTCTACAATTTCAGTTCTTTTCAGATTTGGTGTTTATAAAATAACCTAGTAAAGAAGTGGTAGGAGAAAGTGAAATTTTACACAGTGGATTATGTGAAACACAAACTAATGAAACCAGCCAAAGTTTCTGAGTTCTTTTTTTTTCCCAGCCTTCCCCCAGCCAAATGAGTTTTTAATTCATATAGGATTTTTAAAAATCATTTATTTAATTCTCCTATATTTTAGAATAATAGCGTTCCTAGGTTAGTAGTTTTCAGACTTTAAGTTTTCAGGACAGCAAAATTTCCCAAGGCAGTAGAAAGAGCTAACATAGAGTTGCCAAACTGTTAATTTTGCCAATAACAACAATAACAAAAAGCTACCATTGCCATCATTTCAGACAGGAAAGGATATTTCCACACCAAAAATGTAGGAAGTTCATAATGTCAGAATACAAAAGAGCTCTTCCCAAGAAATACAATTTGTTAACCGTAGATAATTTTAAAGGATATACTTATAGTTTTATATACATTTAGAAACATTTATAACATTAAAATTTATTTTATACTACAACAAATATTATGTTCCCTTGGTACAATTTTTTTTTAATTTGATAGCACTATATGTATTTCATACTCTGGTATTTGATAGCACCCATGATGAAGGGCTCTAAGGTGTCATTTGTTTTGGTGTTATATTTTTATCAGTGCCATCATGAAAAATTCTGTTTTACAGATATGAGCAAAAATAAAAACAATAGTCTTAATAGTGTTTTGTTTTTTGTTTTTGAGATGGAGTTTCACTCTTGTTGCCCAGTCTGGAGTGATGGTACGATTTGGACTCACTGCAAACTCTGCCTCCTGGGTTCAAGCGATTCTCCTGCCTCAGCCTCCAGAGTAGGTGGATTACAGGTGCCCGCCACCATGCCCAGCTAATTTTTTGTATTTTTAGTAGAGGCGGGGTTCCGCTATGTTGGTCAGGCTGGTGTCAACCTCTTTAGCTTGGGTGACTCATCCACCTCGGCCTCCCAAATATGCTGGGATTACAAGCATGAGCCACCATGCCCGGCCTAATGCCGTTTCAATTATTCTGACATAGTCTAGGCAAATCAATATGCTCAGGAACAGTAGCTCCCACATTCTCAAGTCCTTCCTTTTACCTTGCTTACAATGGGCAGGTAGAAAGGCCGGTTGAGCCAGGCCAGGTGGGTGGCTGGGACTCCGCAGGAAGTAAGCTCAGGACTCTCCTCAGTTATTGCCCCTCACTTTCAGGGCAGAACCATATGGTCTCCTTGCCTTACAGAGAGAAGCTGGGAATTTTTACAATAGGTGTTCTGTGGGCCAGTAAAAACTCTGGCCCTTCCCGGCATTTGGGAACCATTGAAATGGGTCCTTTAGTCTTTGAATTCCTGAATTTTGTGTAATCCAGAGGAGCCTGAGACTCTGCGTGGCTATGGGTTGAATCCACAGCCATCAAAAAGCACCTTCCCACTGGTAAGTTAAACACAGTACAAAAAGCACTGGTTCTAGGGACAGAAAAGTTGTGTTCAAGTCTCTATTTAACATAGACAGTTGACTCTTGAACAATGTGGAAGTTAGGGGTGTTGACCCTTCCAGGAGTTGAAAATCCAAGTATAACTTTTGACTCCCCACCAAAACTTAATTATTGATAGCCTGCTGTTAACCAGAAGCCTTACTGTTAACATAAATAGTCAATTAACACATATTTTGTATATGTATTATATATTGTATTCTTACAAATAAAGTAAGCTAGAGAAAAGAAAATGTTATTAAGAAAATCATAAGGATGAGAAAATATATTTACTACTCATTAAGTGGATAATCACAAAGGTCTCATCCTCATCATCTTCACATTGAATAGGATGAAGAAGAGGAGGAAGAGAAGGGGTTGGTCTTGCTGTTTCAGGGGCAGCAGAGGTGGAAGAAAATCTGAGTTTAAGTAGACTCACACAGTTCAAACCCATATTGTTTAAGAGTTAACTGTACTTGATTTCATAATGTTTTCTAATGTTTTTCTCATGTTCAGATGGGGGTTGTGGGGAGGAAGACCACACAGATAAAGTGCAGTCAAGAATTCTTGATAGAATTTGGGAGGCCGAGGCGGGTGGATCACGAGGTCAGGAGATTGAGACCATCCTGGCAAACACAGTGAAACACCGTCTCTACTAAAAATACAAAAAATTAGCCAGATGCAGTGGTGGGAGCCTGTAGTCCCAGCTACTCAGGAGGCTGAGACAGGGGAATGGCATGAACCTGGGAGGCGGAGGTTGCAATGAGCGGAGATCGCTCCACTGTACTCCAGCCTGGGCGACAGAGCGAGACTCCATCTCAAAAAGAAATAAAAAATAAAAAAGAATTCTTGATAGAATTCTCATCATATTCTATCAAGGTTACATAGTATCAATAGAACATCACTATTGATATCAACCTTGCTCAACTGGTTGAAATAGTGTTTGTCACATTTCTTCATTGTGAAGTTACTTTTCCCTCTTTCCACACTACTCTTCAGAAGGAAGTCACTTAAAGAATGGGAAGCTATGTTCCACCTCCTTCAGGGTACAGTACCCTCATAAATTGTTTGAAATTCATTTACATGGAAGATTTGTCTATTCTCCTCCATCTATTTATTTATTTGACAATTTATTTATATCAATATGTTGTCATTAGTTTTCATTTCAACTGTTCTAATATGTGTATAGTAATGGTCTTAATTTGCATTTCCCTTAATGGCTAGTGATATTGAACATATCTTCAAATGCTTGTTTGCCATCTTTGTATCCTCTCTGGTGAACTCTCTGGATGTCTTTTGCCAACTTTCAACTAGATTCTTTTTAATGTTGAGGTTCAGAGTTCTTTATATATTCCAGATACTAGTCCTTTGTCAGATGTGTGATTTGCAAATATTTCTCCCAGTCTTTAGCTTGTCTTTTTATCTTCAACAGGGTCTTTTGCAGAGTAAAACTTTTAAATTTTTGATAAAGTCCAATTTATTATTTTTCTAACGGTTTGTGCTTTTGGTATCACATTCAAGAACACTTTACCAAGCCCAAGGTCCCAAAGACTCTTCTATGTTATCTTCCAAAAGCTTCATAGTTTTGCATTTTACATTTACCTCTATAATTCATAATCAGTTAATTTTTGTATAAGGTATGAGATTTAGATGAAGATTTATTTTTGTCTATGAATATCTAATGAGCCAAGAATAATTTTAAGGAAGTGATATCAATGGAAATGAACTCTAAACCAGATGGGAAGAAAATGAAGATGGGGCCAGGTGTAATGGCTCATGCTTGTAATCCTAGCACTTTGGGAGGCCAAGTCGGGGGGATCCCTCAAGCCCAGAAGTTCAAGACCAACCTGGGCATCAAAGTGAGACCCCATCTATACAAAACAAAAAATTAGCCTAGTGTGATGGTGCAGAGTACTGTGGTCCCAGCTACTCTGGAGGCTGAGGTGGGAGGATCCGAGGCAGAGGCTGCAGTGAGCTGTGATCATGCCACCACATTCCAGCCTAGGCAACAGAGGGAGACCCTGCCTCCAAAAAATAAATAATAAGTAAAGATAGAAGGCTAACAGATAATTCTTAAGTGTCAGAGTCCATGCTTAAGGTAAAATAAATGTAGCTACGGGCTGGGCTTGGTGGCTCATGCCTGTAATCCCAGCACTTTGGGAGGCCAAGGTGGGTGGATCACCTGAGGTCAGGAGTTCGAGACCAGCCTGGCCAACATGGGAAAACCCCATCTCTACTGAAAATACAAAAACTAGCCAGGCATGGTGGTGCGCACCTGTAATCCCAGCTACTAAGGAGGCTGAGGCAGGAGAATCGCTTGAACCAGGGAGGCGGAGGTTGCAGTGAGCCGAGATTGCACCACTGCACTCCAGCCTGGGTGACAGAGCGAGACTCCATCTCAAAAAAAAAAAAAAAAAAAAAAGTAACTACAAAGCCAGTCAGCCAAAGACTAAGAAATAGATAGTAGTTGGAAATTTCAGAAAGAAAGCAGGTACTGGTGGTGTAAATAAAAAGCCCAGTAGTGGCCAAGGGGGTGACTGGCTGAGATGAGGTGGAGTGGGGTAAAGAAGTTAAGGAACTGAGATATCAGGGTGTAGAGAGGCAGCCTGTGAAAGCTGAGGTCAGAGAATGATGCAGGAGTGGGTGGAGAGAAAGCACATTGGTCAGGGGCTCAAGTGTTTTTGAATGAGCAGGAATGAGCGGAGGTCAAGGAGATGACTGGTCCAAGATGGGGGGAAAGGAGCAAGAGGAGACAGTGTCAGGAGGGAGGGAGAGAAATGCTTTGCAGTCAACAGTGAGGAGCCAGGGGGATGCTTTTTCTACTTCTTGGCCTTAGGGTGCAAGGGGGATGAGAAAGAAAAAACAAAACAAAACAAAAAACTATCCTGTCCTTGAAGAGGCAGTGGGGAAGGAAATGGCCTCAGAAGTCTTCCAATGTCCGTTAGAGCAAACAGGTGAAAGGAATATTTGGAGAAAATGCTGCATGAGATGATCCCAGGACAAGAGGCAGGAGGGCAGTTTCAGGAACTCAGAAATACCAGGAATAGGAAGAAGGCTTTGAGTCACACTGGAGAGCAGAGCCCAAGTGACAGAGCTGCCCTTGGTTATCATGAAATTCTGAGGGATACGTCGTTGTTAGACTGGGCCTGAAAGTCAAGAGTGGAAGTTCTAAGAGTCCTCAGAGAAAAAGAGGGTGAGCTGATGTTCAGGCCTCTAACTGAGATAATTATGTGAAAGCACTTTGCTTATTTATTTATTTGTTTATTTGTTTTGAGACAGGGTCTCGCTCTGTTGCCCAGGCTGGATTGCAGTGGCATGATCTCGGCTCACTGCAGCCTCCGGCTCCCCAGTTCCAGTGATTATCCTGCCTCAGCCTCCCAAGCAGCTGGGATTACAGGCATGCGCCACCACACAGCTAATTTTTTGTATTTTTAGTAGAGATTGGGTTTCACTACGTTGGCCAGGCTGGCCTCAAACTCCTGACCTCAGGCGATCTGCCTATCTCAACCTCCCAAAGTGCTAGGATTATAGGCCTGAGCCACTCCACTGCCTAAGCACTTCATTTATAAAGCTGTGTCTTAAAAAGCTGGAAATCACTAGCTATTGTTAGGTGGTGAAAGGCATTACACAAAGCAAATTAATATGTTTGATACTTGTTGTCCAGAAATTATATATTTATGATTATATCTACACACACGATAATATTAAAAAATATCCATTGTTGCTGGGAGCAGTGGCTCACTGCTATAGTCCCAGCTATTCTGGAGGCTGAGGATGGAGAATTGCTTGAGTCCCGGAGTTGGAGGTTACAGTGAGCTATGATCATGTCACTGCACTCCAGTTGGGGTGACAGAACAAGACCCTGTCTCTAAAAAATAAAAATAAAAAAATCCATTGGCCTAGACATAACAATTTCATGGTTAGTTATATAGACAAATATATAAATACACACATACACGTTAGCCAAAAATGGTAAGTTCAAGCAGCTGTAAAATAAAATGCAATCGGACATTTTACAGCTTGTATTTTAAGGTCCTGGCTCAGTTCAATCTGTCTTCTCACTGGTTCCTGCTTCTCTCTTCTTTGTTCTACTTCTATTTCTCACCATGTTTTGACAGGTGAGGTTGTTCATGCAAAGGGATCCAACAAAAATACAGGAATGCCACCTTTGCCTCCTCAACCAGGACAGAGCAACCCTCCCTTTCCTCCTTGCAACAAAGCAGGCAAAACACACATTCTCCTACCGCCCCACCATGAAGCTGAGGCACGAATGGCAGTGATGCTATTGTTTTGCTTGCAGGGAGGGAATTTTCATGCAATCAATAAGTCACCTGCCCTCTTTGCCCAGGATCAGCTCTCCACCCAAACCCCTGTGAGCTTCAGTGGTAGAATACTTCAAGCTTCAGCCAGCACAAACATGTCACAGCAAGAGGGACAGCGATTGTATTTGCACACACAATTTGTTTAAGTACAGGCTTTATTTGATCCTTAAAAAAAAAGAACAGCTTTGGTATTACATTACAACCAAAGGAATTTAGCCTTTAACCTGCAGTTTCCCTATTCTCAGTGATATAAAACCTTTTTCTGATAAGAGGTGAGGCCCAGTGAAATTTTATTCTTTTCCCTCTTTCCCGGAGGTGAGGTAATGAACTAACAACTTAATTAGACCCTGTTTTATACCAACTAAAATAATAGAAGGGAGTCTTTGGTAACATGGCAAAAAAAAAAAAAAACAAAAAAAAAACCCCAGGAACATCAGGCATCATAATACAGAGAATATATGATTAGAATTAATCAGGATATGGAAAGATATGTTTATCCTGTAGATACTTCACCCTGAAGCCATACCATTTTTATTTCCCCTCCATTGGGCATAATGGAAGGGACTTGAACCCTCTGCAATGGACTGAATATGCATTCCCCTGAAATTCATATGTTGGAGTTCTAATTCCCAAGGTGATGATATTAGGAATGGGGCCTCTGGGAGGTCGTTAGAGTTAGATGAAGTCCGGAGGGTGGAACCTTCATCATGGGATTAGTGCCCCATATAACAGGCCTCAGAGAGATCCCCTGCTTCTTCTAGCATGTGAGGTTACAGTGAGAAAACGACTGGCTATGAGGAAGCAGGCCCTCACCAGACACTAAATCTGTCAATACCTTAATTTTGGACTTCCCAGCCTCCAGAACTGTGAGAAATAAATTTCTGTGTTTATAATCTACCCAGTCTATGGCATTTTGTGATAACAGCCTGAAGGGACTATGACATTATTCCCCACTGCCCAGCTCCACTGAGAGCTTGAGAGCTAGGACTCTAGAGGACACCCGAGAGAGAGAGGCTGGCTGGAGAACAAAGGGAGATAGGCTTTTTTTTTTTTTTTTTTTTTTTTTTAACAAAGGCCTTCTTGTTGCTCACAAAGGAGGAGGATTCTCATAGACTAATTTCCACCAATGGAAAAAAATAAGAGCAGCTTTGCCCCATCCTCTGAACCCAGTGTCTCTCCAATCATCACACAGCAAGGTTTTTTGTTTTTGTTTTTGTTTTTCAGGTAATGGTCTGTGTATTTGTTTTCTATGCTGTGTGACAAACTACCACACGCTTAACAGCTTAAAGCAACACATGCTTATTATCTCACATGCTCTTTGAGTCAGGAGCCTGAACACAGCTCTGCTGGGTTCTGTCCTTAGGGTCTCACCTGGTGGCAATCAAGGTGTTGGTCAAGGTTGGGTTCTCATCAGAGGCTTGACCAGGTAAAGATCTCTGTGCATACTCCCTCAGGTTGTTGAATTTATTTCTTTGCCATTGTAGGGTTCATGGCAACTCAATTCTTCAAAGTCAGCAACAGAGAGAGAAAGAGAGAGAGAGAGAGAGACTCTACCTGGGTCTACTAAGAAAACAGAGTTCTACATGAACAAACATGATCTTGGGAATGACACCCCATTACCTTTGCCATATTCCACTGGTTACAGGCAAGTCACAGGTCCTGCCTACACTCAAGAGGGCAGAAACTTCAGGAGATAGAGATCCTGGGTACCACCATAAAGTCCATCTGTGTCTCTCTAGTCTAGAAATTTAAGGGTATAGCCAAGGAGTTCTAGAAGCAACATTTGTAGAAGAATCATAAAACGAGGGTAGATATTTTAAGTCTACACACATATTCACACACCCTAACCTACAAATAAAATAAAGGTAGGAGTTTTTCTTGGTGGTCAATGGCATGAGATATTGTAGTCATGCAGTGTGGCTTTGCATCTCTGATCTATAATTTATTGGTTGCTTAACTTTACTAAGCCTCAGTTCCCATCTTTAAAATGGGAATCATGGTACTTATCTTTGAAGCTGTTATGAAAATTAAATTAGATAAAGTAGACAAAACACTTAGCACAATGTCTGGCATAAAAGTGCTCAAAAAATGATTGCTATTGTATCCGGGTAAGATCCTGAGGTGCCTCAAACAAAGTAGAATTTTATTTTTTTAGTTTTATATACTTAATTAACTAACTAATTTTTGGAGACAAGATCTCCAAAAGTCACTCAAGCTGGAGAGCAGTAGTGCGATTATGGCTCACTGCAGCCTGTAGCTCCTGGGCTCAAGCTATCTTCCCACCTCAGCCTCCTGCATAGCTGAGACTACAGGCATGTACCACCATGCTAACTTTTTTTTTTTTAGTAGAGCTGGGGTCTCAATATGTTGCCCAGGCTGGTCTCAAACTCCTCGGCTCAACCCATACTCTCACCTTGGCCTCCCAAAGTGCTGAGATTACAGGGGTGAGTTACTGCACCCAGCCCAAGGTATGATGTTCTCTAGACACAGATAACTTAATCTTCAAGGTTGGGTTCCTTCTGAGATCTAAGAGGTTTGACACCATTTTGGCTCCATGCTTCCCTCAAAACCATGGTCTTTTTAACCTCCTGAGTGGCTCTACCAGGATCTCAGCCTACCTTTTCCTGTATCTTCATCAATGGAACCGGTAAACTTTTGCAATGCTGAGTTCAAAGTCCCTGCAGACCTTCACACTTCATAACTGGAATGCCCTGGAGGAGGCTGGCCTCTTTCCTACCCACCTATGCCTCCACCCATCCTGTCCTTAGGCAGACACCTACGGGTCCTAGCTGACTGTCTTAGCACAAGCTTCCTATATGCTAGACCTGCTTAGACCTTGGAACCTGGCTCCTGAGATGGATTCACTCAATTATTCACTCACTAAACACCTAGGTGACACTTACCAAGTGCCAGACACAGAGCTAGTTTGAAAGAGAGAGAAGAGTGATGAAGACAGAACCCTCTCTTCAAGCAGGCCATTGGCCAATGGAGAGGCAGACACACACCAACAGAGTAAAGCCAACACTTGACTTTGGACAGGAATATATCGGACATCTTACACCAATCCCTCAGCCTGTGAAAATGCAATGATCAGCCGGGCCCCTTGCTTTCTCCCATGTCTCAGTTCCATCAAGATTCATGCTTTCTGTACGGTCTCACACCACTTGTGCATTTCCAACTTCTACTACAGTTTTATGCCTCACGTGATAAGCAGTTTTTGTGCTAGCTGTTTAGTAAATGTTTAGTACTTACTAAAACATTTCATACACCATGTTTTCCTTTCTCCGCAGAACGTGTGTGATGGACTTATGGACTCATTCACTGCATCGATCTTGGGCACTGCCCAGCTTCATGTTCCACTCTCCCGTTTATCCCAAATTGCTGAGGATTTCCTAAGAACCATCACTTTCCAGAGCTCATTATTTTCTGTTATTTGCCTCAGCAGCACAAGCTGTTTTCACAAAGAAATAAAGGGTCTTCTATTCCAGAAGAGTTCTTCTATGCATGTAGGTGAGCAGACAGTGCAGAGCCATGCTGAGGTGTGTGTGCCTTGCTGTCACTGTCTCTCCTCCGGGAGGAACACTAGGCTCCTGTACACCAGGCTTCCCACAGCCCAGGAGGAACACATCCACGCCTTGCCAGTCATTTGCATCTTAGTAAGACTAAAACTAATAAAACTAACAATAAAACTTAAAATAGATTGAAGGATTACAGTATGCCAAGCATATATGTATTGTGTTATTTGGCCCTCACAGTCACCTTTTGAGCTAGGCACCAGTACCAGCTTTAAGAGCTCAGGAAGCTGAGGTGTCAAGATTTTAAGTCATTTGCTCAAGGTCACACAGCTAGGAAGTGTAGTGGGAGAGTCAGTCCCCCATTTGTCCAATGCAGTGCTGTCGCCCAAGTGTGAAGAGGGATGTGCGGGTCTGAGAACAAAGTTAGCCTGCTTAGTACTTTGTCCAAGGTCAGCCCTGGCTCCAAGCCCAAGAAACAAGGCAGGATCAGCAGCCACAAAGTCCAACAGTCAGCCAGGCTCCCATACTGCAGGGGTCTCTATCACAGCCCAGCTCTGGATATGGGCAAATGAAAGCTAGCAGCAGAGTACCCAGGCTACCTCTGCACAGGGAGTGACTGCGGAACTTCAAGAACAAAAGAGAGGCAAAAGATGTGGGGTGGCCTGTCTGGGAGGGACTAGGGAACAGGGACACCTTGCAGATAACTCTCAGGACTGAGGAGTAAATATCTTTTATTAAACAAAGCTTATAATTCTGACTCTAAGCCTGGCGTTCCTAACAATGGCAGGGACTGATGGCTGTGAAAGGCACTAATCAGACACAGTAGATTCGTGTTTACACTGGGAAGGGCCGCTGATCCCGCATAGGCCTTTGAAGCCACCCGTGCTCACACAGATTGTAATGCACTATGAAGTCATGTCTTCAAATAAAAGGGAGGAGTTGAAATAGACCTGTCTAGCCAGTTATTTCTCTAAGGCACTTCAAAGAAACATTTTCTTTGATCGTTTTGACTTTCCATCTATAAGAAATGTGAACATATTACTCATAGAAATTGCTGAGAGACCTCAGGCTGATGGGGGCTTCAGTTTGACCCATCGCCAGTGAAATGGGAAGGATAAGGTAGGGAAGGGCACACTGGTTCTTAAAACTTCCACCAGGAAGTGACACACATCCCCCACTCCCTCACATTTCACTGGCCAAAGCAAGTCACCTGGCTTATCTAACTTCAAGGGGAGCAGAGAAACACCATCCCACCACATGCTGAGAGGGAGGGTGGGCAGATACTCATGACCCCCAGTAAACAGCACTGATGACTAACACAAAGGCCAAGTGATAAGGAGGTTGTTTTTAGGAGGTCAAATGAAGGAGTATATTCTTCAAGAAAATAAGGCACTGATGAGCTTTGTTACATCTCCACAGTAATTTCTAAAATGGAATTTCCCCATGAAGGCCTTTAATATGAGCATTACAATTGTTTAAGAAAACAAAGTGTCCTGATTTGACTAAATTATCAAGGAAAAATGTGGAAATTACAAAACTGGGACCAAAGCAATTTTCCCATGTGTAACTGGAGGATGAAACAATCCGTCTCTCATTCTGGATTGTTGGTGGGAAAATCCACTATAGGACTCTACAAAGGAAAACTACCAAAACTTGGATGGCACCTTAAACCTTTTCTCCCTGGAACTTGCCTATTATCTCGCTTTTTCTCTCAGCAGTTTCAACGCATTTTACATGTATCACCACGTCTGGAGTTTCAGATAACCTGACGATGACTATTTATATTTCACTCACGTGTTCCTTCATTCAACAAACATTTATTTTGAGGATCTACTACACGCAGCATTCTTCTCTAGACACTAGGGATACAAAGATAAGACATGGTTCTACCTGTAAGGTACTTATTAACAAATTTAGTTGAGGGAAGAAAGAACATGAATCAGAAAATTATAGAATATTGCAAAAGTACAGGCTGGTCTCAAGGTAGTGAGATATCTTAATTGATTTTTCAGTCAGCTGCAGATCGAATTATTCGTCCTACTCTTCCCTTCTCATTACCGTACTTGACTAGACTTTAAGAAAAAAAAAAGTAGGCCAGGCTCGGTGGCTCACACCTGTAATCCCTGCACTTTGGGTGGCTGAGGTGGGCGGATCACCTGAGGTCAGGAGTTCGAGACCAGCCGGGCCAACATGGTGAAACCCCGTCTCTACTAAAAATACACACACACAAAAAAAAATTAGCTGGGCATGGTGGTGGGTGCCTGTAATCTCAGCTACTCAGGAGGCTGGGGCAGGAGAATTGCTTGAATCTGGGAGGTGGAGGTTGCAGTAAGCCCAGATTGCACCTCTGCACTCCAGCCTGGGTGACAGAGTGAGACTCTGTCTCAAAAAAAAAAAAAAAAAAAAAAAAAAAAGGTGCCAGCTATTATGGGAGAGCTGAAATGATATTTATAAGGACATCACCTTCCTTGCAAGGGAGTAGTGTCCGTGTAGGGGTCACTCAGTACACAGGGACATGGCTTGAGGCAGTGCAGGTGTGCATTGCACAATATCAAGGCACACTCATCCCCTTACAGGCTTCTTAGATTTATGCAGATGTCACTTAGGTGTCTTGAACCACGAGTACTCCTATCTGTGCCACCATTTGAACTGCGAACAGGACAGCCAGCAACGAACCAACCCTTAGTTCTCTGAAATATGTTCATCATATGCTTACTCTTATTTTTATTAGTATGATATAATGATAATCTCTAACTTGCTGAACAATTTTTTTTAATAATCATCGATTATACATCCAGTCTGACTAAGACTGTTCTAACCACATTGGAAGTCCGAGATAAAGATATGCCACAGTCCTTGACCTCAAAAAGCTTTAAAACTAGATGGGGAAGAGAGACAAAAGCACATAAATCAGTTCGAGGATAATTAAATGCTAACTTGTGTAACACTAAGTTTAAATACAATCTGAGTTATGAAGACCAAGACATCAGCCTTAGATGGGACTTCATCTGGAGCTTAAAGGACATGGAATATTTGGGTAGGCCAGGGGAAAGAAAATGATGAGAATGTATGACTCTATCGATCTTTGGCCATTACTTCCTGGGCAAAACACCTCAAAGCTCACGCCTTGCTGATGGAGAGTAGCAGCTGCCCCTGTTGTCACAGCAAAGAGGGTGGCACAGCTGATAAAGGGTAGGGAACTCTGCCCATCACTCTCTGACCTGCTCTAACTCCTTTCAGCACATCAAGTTACCCTGTGCCATTGTCCCAGGTTCCTTCCGTGTAGAGCAAGTCCTTCCTTCTGCTATTACCTTGCAGCAGTTAAGAGCACACGCTAGTTCACTAATTCTCCAAGTGTGGTCCCCAACCAGCAACATGAGCATTACTGGGGAACTTGTTAGAAATGCAAATCCTTGACCCCTGCCCCAGACCTAGTGACTCAGATAGTCTGGGGGTTAGGTCCAGCAATGTGTGGTTTCCCAGTCCCTCCAGGAGATTCCGGTGCACACATGTTTGAGAACCACTGGGCTCAGCAGACACCCTGGCTTCAACTCCTGGCTCTGTTGGCACTCATCAACTCCGTGCCTCAGACAGATGGTTAATCCTGCTAAATCTCAAAAGGATATAATAGTAGCACCCATCCCCATGGGGCTATTGTGAAGAAAAAATAAGTTAATGCATAATGCAAGGCCCTTAGCCTAATTAATCCTTGATAATTGGTAAGCACTCAGTGACTTAGTACAATTATCGCCTGATAAGATTTCCCTTTACTTTTTTTTTTTTTTTCATCCAGGCTGGAATGCAGTGGCACAATCATGGCTCACTGTAGCCTCGACCTCCTGGGCTCAAGTGATTCTCCCACCTCAGCCTCCTGAGTAGCTGGGACTACAGGTATACGCCACCAAGCCTGGTTAATTTTTTGTATTTTTTGTAGAGATAGGGTTTCACCATGTTGCCCAGGCTCACTTCGAACTCCTGGGCTCAAGCAATCCATCTGCCTCAGCCTCCCAAAGGGGTGGAATTACAGGTGTGAGCCACTGGGCCTGACTCGTTTTCTTACCATAACATGGTTGGGAAATCTTATCTAAAGATATGTTTCTCAACATATCTAAAGATGTATTTCATTGCTCCTTCTCTTCTCCTTCACCACTGTCATCTCCAATAGCCCCATTCTCACCACTCTTTGGCTTACTAGTCTTTTTTTCAATAGCATAAGATTTACCATTTTAATCAATTTAAGTGTACAGTTCAATGACATTAAGTACATTCACATTGTTGTGTTATCGTCACCACCATCGATCCCCAGAACTTTTTTTTTTATCTTTCCAGACTAAAACTCTGCACTCATTAAGCAGAAATTCCCATGGCCCCTTCCCCTTCTCATCCCTGGAAACCAGCAGTCTTCTTTCTGTCTGTCTCTGGGAATTTGACTACTCTAGATACTTCATAAAAGTAAAATCATACAGTATTTATCCTTTGTGATTGGCTTATTTCATTAGCATAATATCCTCAAGTTTCATCCATGGTGTAGCACAGGTCAGAATTTTTATCCTTTTTAAGGCTAATATTCCATTGCGTGCATAGTACACATTTGTTTCTCCATTCATCTACACATGGACACTTGGGGTGCTTCCATCTTTTGGCTGTTATGAACAGTGCTCCTGCAAATATAGGAGTACAAATGTCTCTTGGACTCTCTGCTTGTAATTTTTTTTTTTTTTTTTTTTTTTGAGACAGTCTCACTTTGTTGCCCAGGCTGGAATGCAGTGGTGTGATCTTGGCTCATTGCAACCTCTGCCTCCTGAGTTCAAGTGATTCTCCTGCCTCAGCCTCCTGAGTAGCTGGGATTACAGGTGCCTGCCACCATACCAGGCTAATTTTTGTATTTTTAATAGAGATGGGGTTTCACTGTGTTGACCAAGCTGGTCTTGAACTCCTGACCTCAAGTGATCCACCTGCCTTGGCCTCCCAAAGTGCTGGGATTACAAGTGTGAGCCACTGCATCCGGCCTCTGCTTGTAATTCTTTTGGGTTTATACCCAGAAGTCGATTGCTGGTGGTTTACTAATCTTGATAGCCCCCATCTTTAAGAGAAGCCTTAGTTTCCTGTCTCCTCTGTCAAGGTGGCTTAGCCTCCACTACCAGAGAGCAGTACATCCTCCTTCTGCATCTAGGAGAATGTTATAGGAGTATCTTGTATTCTTCAAAAACTTGAAACTGGGTGAGTAAAGGGCCAGTTTTCCTCTAAAACATACTTAGGCCCCTCTAACCCTAGACTTCATTTCATCAGAGTAAATGGTTTTTATTGTCTGTCTACAAATACAAACTCCTCAAAGAGAAAACTTTATTTTCTGCCATTCCACTGGTGACAAGGACCTGAGAATAAAGGAGGATTATAGGGCAGACTGTCTGCTATGATAACTTATTTTTCTTCCAGTTGTTTCCAACCAAACATACAGTATTATTAACTTTGACTGTGGTCGTCATTTTGGCTTCAGGCTTAATCTATTTTGACTAGGAATATTGTCCTCGGAAACACTACAATTTCCTGAAGAGACTGCAAATCAGCAGTCTTGACTAAACTCATACATGGCCGTTATCTTTCCTCTGCTTGAAAGATGTACAAAGACAGTATGTCATTGTGAGCCAGGAGGTTTTCTTTATTTAGCGTCTGCCTTCTGGCTCAGCTATAAGGTAAGGCAATTAGGTACCCAACATTTATAACAGACATGTTTAACTTCCCTGATATGTCCTGCAGAAGTTAAGCAAACACAAAGATAATAGATTTTAACTAGCAGTTAGGAAGTTTAGACTTCAAACCTTTGAGACTGTATAAAATATGATGGCGAGACAATGGACAATGTATTCATTTACTACTTAAAACCATCTTGAACTGAAATATTTAAGGTAGAATCATTTCTACCTGTGAGGTCCACAAGAAATGTGTACTAAACATCTTTTAATGCAAGACTTTGATGTTGAGCATGGTCAAGAATAAGCAAAACAAATGTGATCCCTCTAGGAGGCAGTGTTGTGTAGTGGAGATATCTTGATTCAGGTTGGCTATGTTGCTGTTAGCCTCCACCTCATACTGGTTATATGACCTTGAGCAAATTACTTAAGTTCTTCATATCTCAGTTTCTTCACCTGAAAAGTGTAGATACTATTAGCACAGGAAGGCCATTTCCTGTCATTTAAGGGTAACTGGTATCTGGAAATTCCCACATTGATTGATTGATTGAGACAGGGTCTTGCTCTGTTACCCAGGCTGGAGTACAGTGGTGCAATCATATCTTGCTGCAACTCAAACTCCTGAGTTTAAGGGATCCTCCCACCTCAGCCTCCTGAATAGCTGGGACTTCAGGTGAGCGCCATCATCCCTTACTAATTGTTTCTTACTTTTTTTAGAGACGAGGTCTCCTTATGTTACCCAGGCTGGTCTCTAACACTTGGCCTCAAGCCATCCTCCAGTCTTGGCCTCCCAAAGTGCTGTGATTCCAGGAATGAGCCACTGCACCTGGCCTCTAGGGCTACTTAAAATAAATGCACCAAAATATCATTTGGAAAAAGTAGGTGTTATTGGGACATTTTCTTGAAAAATGAACTAAAAATTACACCAATTATAAAACTGTCTTACATTTAACCAAATTTAGTTTAAAATTTCAACTGTACAGTTATTCTCAGAAAAAAATTCAACAAATAAATTAGTTTGGAGCAATAATCTATTGCTTTGGTATTGGATTCTCCCTTTTGAAGCACTTGTCACTGTTCCCATCATTGTTTTCTTCAATTGTTAACAGGTTGAGTCATGTCAAATCCTTGTTTGCCATTGGCTTGCAAGTAGTTCTAGTAGCTCTCCTCCATCACTTTCATCAACTTCATGAAATTCTAAATGTTTAGCAAATTGTGCTTTTTCCCTTTGCAGTCCTTCTGCTTTATATTTTCAATGTAGAGTATCATGTTGTAAATATCTGACAATTAATGAGACTATGGCCAACAAGGGTGACTGGCCCACTGGTCAGAAAATATGATGGATCAAACAGGAATAGACATTTGAATGGAGACTGATTTTAATAAAGGGCCAGCTCATGACAATTTTTACTTTCCCAACACCTATTAACTACAGAGACGTGGAAAATGAGTACTCAGATAGCATAAACGCTCCATTTCTCATTAAATTGTCAAATGCCATGGCTCAGCACAGTGTCACATGAGTAACATGTGTGCCTTAGCTGTTAATATTCTCATTATTTATTTAAGAGGACCCACATGTTCACAAAGGAGTTGAAGGCATTTAAATACAAATTGTATATAAGCTAAGAAGAATATTTTCCTTAAATCACTCCACTTTTCCATCAATAAACACCATGATTAGAGAACAAAGGAATCCCTCACTCTTAAACCTGCCTCTATTCCTTATTCCCCTTTCCCCTTATTTTGTCTTATCTTCTCTCGGCAACACTTATTGCCATCTGACAGACTGAAAGTTTATATATAAATACATGTGTGTGTGTTTTCATCTTTCTCCTGCCACTAGAATCTAAATTTCAGAGTGCAAGGATTTCCTTTGTTCATTTATTTGTCCCTAGCACCAAGAACAAGATCTGGCAGATGGTGCGTGTTCAGTAAGATTTGTTGAATAAATGATGAATGGAAGACTCCTCATTCCAGGGCCCAAGTGCCCAGGGACCATCACAGCAATTCCATGGCTAGGGATCCCAATGCACTATGTCCTGAAAGAGTCTCTGATGTGAATAGGAAACACAATCAGTGGATACTGTGCAAATCCTAAGAAGAAAAGACAGCACAGAGATTCCAAGAAGCACACGGTAGATTGAAAGGCTGTGCACAGTTACTGCAAACTCAGCCCTGATTTGTGGTTGAACTAGGCTCCATTCTAATTCAATTCAATTCAGAAGGAATAGAAGGGTCTTCTGTGGGGCAAAGGAAGCAAGTTGGAATTCTCCCTTCCACAAAGAAAAAGATATGTGTTTTTGCATCATGGTGTAGTGGAAAGAACTACCTGTACAGATCAGAAAACTGGTGTGCTGATCTCAGCTCTGACGTGACTTGGGTCTGTAACTCAGCAAAATCACTTCAAGCTTTCAGGGCTCTACAGCTTCATCTGTATGACCAGAGGGTGTGACTAGATCAGCATTTCCTAAAGCACGATCCTTGGAACAACTGGCACTCTAGACCTGCACTCACAGGTAGTCGCTAGACACATTTAGCTATTGAGCACTTGAAATGTGGCCAGGGTCACATTTTAAAATATAAAAACTAAAACAACATACAAGGAAAATTTAAAGTGTCTCACTAATAATTTTTATGTTGATTAATGTTGGAATAATAATCATTTTGTAGATTGGGTTAAATACATTATTAAATTTGGGATAGAAGGGGAGGCTGGGCATGTTGGCGGAAAGGGGTATATGGGGACTGTCAGTACTTTCTATTCAATTTTGCAGAAAATTGAACCTAGAACCAAAAAATGAAGCCTATTTATAAATAAATAAAATTTATATAAAAAGTTAGGTTTACGTGTTTCTTTTTACTTTTTAAATGCGGCTACTAAAACATTGAAAATTACATATGTAGTTACAGATACAGTTGGCAGAATATTTCAACTTGACATATATTTCTATTGCTGTTCTATAATCTGAAAGAAGAAAAAATGTTTCTCTAACCAAACACTGTACATCATATCCCCCACATTTCACCACCCCTCTCCCTTGTCATCACGCTCATTATTAAGGTGTGAATATCGACATGGATATAGGGTGTGGAAAGGTAGACAATGGAGATTTGGAGGGGCGATGGGATGGGAGAGGGGTGGATGATGAGAGATTACTTAATGTGTATAATACATGTTATTTGGGTGATAGATGCCCTAGAAGCCTTGACTTCACCACTATGCGATCTATGCATGTCACAAAATTACACTCATACCCCATAAATTTATGCAAAAAAATACCCAAAGTGTGTTTAATACACAGTATGGAGAAACATGTTTGATTGGCATTTTCTAGATGCATTTGATAATGGAATCTATTTTCCACTGACCATCTATTCATACCCTTCAGTTCTGAGGAAGATATTCTGGAAATGTCAGATCTAGATTCTCTGTAAAGTCTTTTTGGAGTCCAATAATTTGTGACATTAGGATTCTAAGGATGTGGAAGGAGGCCATGAGTGAGAGTCTAACATGCCTGTTCAGATAGGGAGAGTTTTAAGGAGAAATCATGTTCTTCACCAACACCTCACAGGAGAGGTAGCAGCTAACTGAATGCTGAAAGGGAAGAAAATTGGGAGACCAGAGCCTGGAATCAAGGGACTGGGGAGGAGAGCCAAGCTCAGGCCCAGGGGGTCTCCTAAGAGAAGTAAACCTGGCTCTCTACTGTGTGGGATGCTGATGCTTGAGAAACCAGCACCACAGGAAATGTCAAAGTCCTGGATAGAAGTTGGAAATGGAAAACATGAAGTTCCAGCAGCAGCAGCAGTATGAGCAACTAGAGGGCTGCAGAAATCCCACCGTTGAAAGAACTCCTTCCATGTCAGTGGGTCAAACCCAGCCAGGGAGGCTAGGCTGCTCCACACTTCCACCCTCTCACCCCCAGGGCTCCAGAGAGCAGATGAGGAGAAACCCGTAAGGATTTATCTAGCCAGATAAAGCACTGAAGCCACAGCCTGTGGCCTCTGACCGAGATTTCTACGTGAGTGATAGGAAACCTATTTCTGTGCCTGACATTTCTGCCTGTTTCCAGACAGGGTGTCCCAACTCAAGTGCTATGTGGCTTAGGATTTCTGGGGTTCCATTATGAATTGAAGTTTCTCTGGGATGAACCTCAAAAATTTTCCTACCGTATTGCTTCCTAACTTCTCCTTGGTCCTCTGAAACTGCCAAAGTCTTGCTTTGTAGAATTACTTTCTGTAAGCTCCAAGTGTGTATTTATTTTGAATTAACATTGTTTACAGCTTTATTGAAGAATAATTTATATACAATAAACTTCACCAACTTAAAGTGTGAATGGATTTTAGTAAATGAAAATAGTCATGCCACCACCACCACAATCACATTTTGGAACACTGCCATAACCCCGAAATTGTCCTCAGGCCCCTTTGCATTCAACTCCTGTCCATATCCCCAGCCCCAGGAAAAAAACAATCTATTTATTGTCCCTTTAGTTTTGTCTTTTTAGGATTTTCATTAAATATTTTGAGACAGCCAGGTGGGAAGGGATCCCCAGAGAGACTCCAACCGGCCTGCTCCCCGGGAGGAGTGCGCACTGGGGTGGAGCCTTGGGAAGTTCGTGCCATTTGCAGGGGGAGGAGCCTGGCCTTTCTTCTTCCTGGGTGGAACCCGGGATTCAATCTGTGAGGCGGAAGCCTTTACTAGCAGGACTCTCACTCTGCTGAGGGTCCCTGTTTGCCCTTTTTTTCCTTTTCACCCAATAAATTCCATTTTTCTCACCCTTCAAAGTGTCTGTGGGCCTAATATTTCATGGCCGTGTGACAATGACCCGGCTCTTAGCTGAACTAAGGAGAAAGCCCTACAACGATTTCAGGTAAATGGAATCATACAGTACTATACATGGTATTTTGTTTTTGGCTTCTTTCACTTAGCCTGGTGCCTTTAAAATTCATCCACATTGTTGCATCAGTACTCTATAGAGGAGGAAAAATAATTTTTCCTCTACCTTTCATGAGTTCTTAATTGGAACAGACCCTTGTAACAAAAAACAGATTAATAAGAGAAAAACAAACAGAAGATTAATCACATGTATACCTTATGCATATGTGGAAGATACTCAGGGAAGAGTGAATAAAATCGCCAGAGTAGATCTCAAAAGCTTGCTTACACTTGAGACTACAGTCATGTACCATGTCCCCTGAAATAAAGAAAGAAGGGTGTGGGAAATGCCTAGTTATGGGGAACTGGCCAGGAAAAGCCCCATAAACGAGGTTTAGATTTGTTGTACAGATTTAAGCCTATGCCTTCTCCATTGGCAAGAGTGTCTAGTGATCTACCATCCTTTCCTCCTGGTACAGAGAGGGAGACAATCTTACAAATGGAGAGTTCCTTTATAGATGTACATTTCTCTTACAAAAGGGTAACCTCTACTCTCATTTTCAGAGCTTCTCCTGTGTCTGCTGTTTCCCAGAAGAATCACCTCAAATAATCCTTATGCCAAAAAAGCATATTTTGAGGTGGTATATTCTGGTCTCCTACAGTCATATTTTGGGGGTATTGTGCCCTGTAGCCCCATCAACTCCATTCCTTTTAGTTGTTAATATTTAACTGTATATCACCATTTTCTTTTTATCTATATATCAGTTGATGGCCATTCAGATTGTTTCCAGTTCGGTGTTATTATGGAATGATGTTATGAACATTCATGTATGTCTTTCAGTGGGCATATTTTCTCATTTCTCTTGGGTAATACCTAAGAGTGGAATTACTGGGCGGTAAGTGTATGTTTAACATTTTAAGAAGCTTCTTTTTTTGAAACATCTGTATTGTTTTCCATTGCCAACAGCAGCGTATGAGATTTCTAGTTGCTCTATAGCCTCACCAACACTTATTATTGCCAGTATTTTTAACCTTAGCTATTCTAGTGTGGGTGTAGTGGTCTCCCATTGTGGTTTTAAGTTGCAGTTCTGTAATTACTAATGATGCTAAGCATTTTTTCATGTGATTTTTTGACAGTTCATGTATTTTCTTTTGTGCATTGTCTATTCAAATATTTTTCTCATTATATTATTGGATTGTTTTCTTAAGTTGTAAGAGAAATTAATGTTATCTGGATACAAATCCTTTGTTAGATATATATTTTACAAATATTTTCTCTTAATGGCTTAGCTTTTCATTTTCTGAATTGTGTCTTTTGACAAGCTAATGTTTTAACTCTTTATGAAGCCCAATTTATCAATTTCTCTTTTACAGTTCATGCTTTTTGTAATCTATTACATAAGAAACTTGCCCTAATCCAAGGTTACGAAGATTTTTTACTATATGTTATTCTACAAGGTTTATAGTATTGGCTCTGAGATTTAGGTCTACTCTCTGTTTTGAGTGAAATTTGTGTATGCTGTGAGGAAAAGGTCAAGGTACCTTTCTTAATATAGAGATCCAGTTATTCCAGTATAATTTATTGATGGCTGTTCTTTTCTTACCTTGGCACTTTATCAAAACTCAATTGACTATGTTAGTGTAGGTCTATTTCTGGACTCTCAACTCTGCTGCATTAATCCACATACCTGTCCTTATGCCACTACCACACTGTCCTGATTTTCTAGCTTTTCTAGTAAGTCCTAAAATCAGATAGTATAATTCCATTAACTTTGTTCTTTTTAAAAATTGTTTTGGGTATTCTAGTTCCTTTGCAGATGCTGCATTTTAAATAATGCTTTAATGATTGGGAAATATAGCATATCTAATACTATACCCATTTTATTTATTTATTTATTTATTATTTTTTTTTTGAGACAAAATGTCACTCTGTTGCCCAGGCTGGAGTACAGTGGCACCATCTTGGCTCACCGCAGCCTCTGCCTCCTGGATTTAAGCAATTCTCCTACCTCAGCCTCCCGAGTAGCTGGGATTATAGGCATGCACCACCATGCTTGGCTAATTTTTGTATTTTTAGTAGAGATGAGGTTTTACTATGTTGGCCCAGGCTGGTCTTGAACTCCTGACCTCAGATGATCAGCCTGCCTCGGCCTCCCAAAGTGCAGGGATTACAGGCGTGGGCCACCACACCCAGCCATGCCCATTTTATAGACAAGGAAGCCACAGACTTATAGACAAATATCTGACTTCACATCACAAGTCTGAGTTTCTGTCTTTTTGTGGTCACGTCTCATTTTCCTACTGGACTGCCAGTAAGGATCCTATGACAGCAGAAACTATGTAGGTTTTCTTCACTTCTGAATCCCAGGTAAAGTAGCTTTTATAGTAGGTTTTCAACAAATACTTCTTGAACAAAAGAAGGAATCAGGCCCAAGAGAAATTCAATGACTTGTGTCTGGTACTAAGGTCAGTAGCAGAACTGAATCCAGAACTTGAGTTTCCAAACCCTTCATTTAGTACTTTTTCTATCATGCAATGTGAGTGGAGGAGATAGAGAAGAAATGCAAAGAAGAAAAAACAAAGCAAATGATGTTGGTGTAGATAAGAGCATTATTAGAAAGTTTGATAAATGCTTTTGTTTTGATACATCTCAGCCTATAGCCTGCAGCTGCCAGCCACTAAACACTTAGATGTTTATGTTTTGCTTGAAATACTTTTTAACATGCAGAGGGATATCCAGATGATTCACAGATCCCAGACCACAGCCTAAACAGGAGGCAACATTTCCTTCCTGAGCATGGTTCTAGGAAAATAAAGAACAGGTGCATGAGGCCAGAATGAGTCTCTGGGGCTCACAGCAGACAGACCCCAGCTGAACTCTTCTGGACTGACAATGCTTCCAATGAGGAAAGATCTTCAGGGAGCAATGTTTGGCAATGATTTTCTCCCTACAATCTAATTATAAAGTAATTTCAATCAAATATATACAAACATATATATATATATGTATATATCTTGTGCTATAGTTCTTCTTTTTTTAAACCTGGAAAACCAGGTGCCAGAAAAAATAATAACACGGTGTTAATCTGAGAAGGAAAGTAACTGGAAAAGAGGATAAGGAACGTACAACAATCAGACAGTGGAGGTGGCTCCGACTCCACAACCTCTAATTCATGTGACATGTAATCTTCTTAAACAATGATTATAGATACTAACTGTGTATTTGAAGGGGATGGAATTGTCATTAAGTGCTATGCAATATCCTGTCAACCAAATTCTCCCTTCAGGTAAACACATGTCGCTTCTGTTGAAATTAGTAGGTGTCACAGGTAACCGGGAGGCAAGTTTGGTTCTGGAACCTTACAAGGCACTGTGAAGACTTTGATTTACAAGCGATTATTAAGGAAGATTTCCACCAGAAGTAGTCATCCATAGGGGAGAAATTAAGTATCTTTATTTCAATAGAGTCAAGAAACATTCGCTGATGGTAGACTTTGTTCAGAGCAAGATGCTGAGTGTTGCTGCGACAATCCAAGAAGAAACACGGACAGCCCTGCCCCAACTTGCTCCCAAATCTGCAGGTGAAAGGCAGACCATCTCTTGTGTCTGCCTCATTCCCTCAGTTCTCAGCTTAAATGTCACTTTCCCTGGATGACATTCGATTTGCCCAGTAAGATGCAGCATATTTGTAATTACTTATTTAAGGCTTGTTTTCCTCTTTACCTCCAAGAAGAAAGGGACCACGCCCATCTTATGTTGGCAGGCTGTGGATGTCTTGAGAAGAACACAGGTTCTAGAGCCAGCAGCCTGTGTTCATATTTCAGCTTCACCACTTATCTCAGTATGATCTTGGGCAAATCACATAACTTCTCTAAGCTTTGGTATCCTCATCTGCCAGACAGAAATAATAATTCTCTAGTACTTATCTCATAGCACTGCTCTGAGCTATGATTAAATGAGGTAAAGCCACTAAGTGGCCTGGCATGTATTAAGCCCCCAATAACAATGAAATAAAATGTCAGCAGATAAATGAAGTTCATCCCTTTAGTGAATAAAAAAAAGACAATGGTTGCCATTCTCTGGTTATTATAATGATGATACAACAACAATAATTCTTATTGAATGCTTACTATGGGCCAGGCACTGTAATAAATGCTTTACATATAGTCAGTGAATTTAGGACATGTGGATATCAAGCCATCGATGACAACCCGGCCTTTTAAACTCTTCTCTCTGGGCATATCAGCATTTATTAGGGAAGCAGGACCATCAGAAGAGCCAGTGTTGGTGGCATACGAATGTCTGTGTTAGTCAATGTCTTGGAAGGAACTGAATGACATGCTCAAAGGGTTAATTGAGGAGGATGAAATGAAAGAACTGTGTCAAGGATTTGGGCACGGTTAAGGAAAACAATAAGCATCAAGGAATACCTAGGGACTAGCAGCATTTGGGCTGTTACTTCCCCTAAGCTTGAATGGATAAGAAAGAGAAATGGTGTTTCCAGGGTGCAGTGAGATCTATAGTCAAGGGAGGGGAGCTGCCCTGCAGATGCAGTAGTGGGAGATAGAGGATCCCAGCCATGCCAAAACCATGGTGAGGCAGGGAGCATCCAGAGAATGCTCAGAGCACTCTCCTCCTGCTTGCTTCATCTCCTGTTGCTACCTCTCCATGGCCAAACTGTGCTAGAAGCCAGACAGTGATGGAGCCAAGGTGATGCAGCCCATAATTATCTCCTCCTGAAGCAGAGAATCAAACAGAGAAGGGCTGAGAATGAATCTATTTAGAAGAGCAAACAGAATAACCTGCACAAAACCACTGACCATCACATCTAGTCAAACTTGAGTAAATTCATGTTGACTACATGAAGAACATTACAGGGAAGTGAGGAATCTCAACAGTTAAGCCAAGCAAGACTGTCAGAGCTTAAAAAGTTAAAAAGAGGTTGGGGATCTGGTTCTCAGTCTCTTTCTGGGCTACCTTATAGCAATTTGAGGCTCCGTCATCAGTTTCTGCAAGGTTTCAAAGATCCAGGAGAAGCTTAGTGTTGTGTCAAGATGCTGATGGACCCATCACAGAAGTTTAATCCAACCTCCATCCCAGAGTCTTCACAAATGCTCACCAAAGAAAATTCCCAGGACGATTCAGGGGCCTCTCAAATCTGCTCCGAGACGTTGACAAAAAACCTTAATAACTTGACTGTCAATGCTAGTAACGAATCCCCTTCCCCTCTACCGGAATGTTCACTCCATGAACAGTCTACAAGAGCAACAATCCTCAGGGAAATCACAGATCACTTGCTTTACAGGAGGAGAGGAGTAAGAACATTGCTGTCTGTGCAGAGAGAGAGGATGGCAAGATTCAGATACATGTTACTCGGCGGAGTTCATCCGCATGAAAGAATACTAACAAACACTGGGCTTAAGGGAGTTAAGAAGGAATCAAGACCATTCAGATGTCCCTGCAGTTTCTGCTTGTTTAACAGATGGGATCCTTCTGAGAATGCTAGAATAGGGAATTTTGACACCAAGCCACTTCAGCCATAAACCTTATTCTTGTACCTTTTTTTCTTGCTGGTAATTTTATATAGCAGATTGAGAAAGCTACTCTATGCTACTATAGACTATACACCAATACTTTTGATAATGAGTTCTAGGATGTATTTTTCTTCTTGTATCTTTTTCTTCCCGCTATGATACTAGTAATTTATAAGGGATCTGTGTAATTTGAATGTATTTGAATAACTTTAGCTCTACTGTTTGATTTGACCCAAAGAAGCCAAGACGACATAAGTATTCCCATGTGTCTTAGAAGCCCAAAGTCAATGAGATGAAACCCAACATCAAGAAATTGAAGCAAAGTTACTTGTGGATAAAGAAAGCATTAGGTAGTTTGGCTATAGCATAATAATTAGATTTTCTGGCTTTCAAAATTTTGGATTGCAATCACAGCAAACTTTGTTATTTTTACAGTTTTCAGTACAAAAAGGAGTTTATATAGAAACAGTAAAGTTGGCATTTGAGTACCTTTAAAAAACAAAGTTAAAAAGAAAGACAAGCTTTTATTTCCTGCTACAACTACTGAAGATGCAAAAAAGGTAAGGGCCATTAGTTAGCAACCAGTGTCTATTATTCCTCTTTCTGCTGTCATTGTTGAAAGATGAAAGTTCATGCAAGCAGGCTCCATTCTTGCACATGACCTAATTATCATATTTAGTTGAATGTAAAAACCCTAGTTTTGCTGATGAATCTGAAACATCACAGCCAATCACTTTGCCTTCCCATTTTCCTGTCTAACATCAACTGATTAAGATTGGGAGTATCTTCTGTTTGTTAAATGAAGCACAATTCTTCTGGATGATATCTTTATATTTTATTTTTTTGTTGTGATAAAATATATAATACCTAAAATGTACCTTTTTAACCATTTTTAAGTTTACAATTCAGTGGCATTAAGTACTTTCACATTGTTCTGCAACCATCACCACTATCTATCTTCAGAACTTTGTCAACATCACAAAAAGAAACTCCCTATCTATTAAACAATATGTCCCATTTCCCTTCCCCCCAGACCCTGACAATCACCATTCTACTTTCTGCTTCTGTGACTTTGCCTATTTTAAGTACCTCACATGAATGGAATCGTATAGTATTTGTCCTTTTGTGACTGGCTTATTTCATTTAGCACAATGTCATCAAGGTTCACGCATGTCATAGCGTGTATCTGAATTACCTTCCTTTTTTAAGACGGAATAATATTCCACATTATATGTACATACCATATTTCATTTATCCATTCATCTGTCAATGGACACTTGGCATGCTTCCACCCCTTGGCTAGTCTGAATAGTGCTGTTCTGAACATGGCTTTGCAAATATCTGTTCTAGCCCTCATTTTCAATTCCTTTGGTCATCTACCCAGATGTGGGATTGCTGGATCATATGGTAATTATATGTTTTAGTTTTTGAGAACACGCCATACCATTTTCCATAGCAGCTGCAGCATTCCCACAGCAATGCACAAAGGTTCCAATTTCTCTACATCCTCACTAATGTTGCAGAACTTTATCCTTAGTTCAGCTAAAACCAGGCTCTTTCACACGACCAGGAAAGATTATGCTTGCGGACATATACAAGAGTAAGGAAAACGGAATTTATTGGGCAAAAAGGAAAAAGGCAAAATAATTCTTAGCAAAGAGAGAGAGAGTCCTGCTAGCAGATTTACTGCCTCACAGATTGAATCCCAGGTCACCACACAGGAACAGGAGAGGCCAGGCTCCTCCCCACTGCAAACGCCATGAATTTCCCGAGGCTCCACCCCGTCCTCCCAGTGTGCAGGTGGGCATTATTCAGAAAGAATCAGTCAGGAAATGGCAGGCTTCATCCAGAACCAGCAGTCTGGTTTTTCAGCCTTCAGGCTGCTTTAGGCTCAAGGGCGGGGTTTTGCCAGGGGACTTTTGGCTGCCTCCTGTCTCTATCACTAACACATATTTACTGTTTCTATTTTATTTTATTTTATTTTTTTGAAGACAGTCTTACTCTGTTGCCCAGGTTGGAGTGCAGTAGCACAATTATGGCTTACTGCAGCCTCAGCCTTCTGGGCTCAAGCAATTCTCCCACCTCAGCCTCCCAAGTAGCTGGGACTACAAGTGTGCACCACCACACTCAGCTAATTTAAAATTTTTTTTCTAGAGACAGGGTCTCACTATGTTGCTCAGACTGGTTTTGAACCCCTGGGCTCGTGAGCCCCCTGCCTCTGCCTCCCAGAGTGCTGAGATTATAGGTGTGACCCAGCATGTCTGGATTTTTAAAAAAATAATAATAATAGTCATCATAATGGGTATAAGGTGGTATTTCCTTATGGCTTTGATTTGCATTTCCCTAGTAATTAGTGATGTTGAGCATGTTTAAATGTACTTATTGGTCATTTGCATATCTTCTTTGGATAAATGTTTGTTTAGATCTTTTGTCCATTTTTAAATTAGGTTATTTGTTTTGTTGTTGTTGAGGTGTAAGAGTTCTTTATATATTCTGGGTATTAATCTCCTATAATATTTATAATTTGCAAATATTTTTTCTTATTCTGTGGATGGCCTTCCTACTCTGTGGATAATGCCTTTTATGCACAGAAGTTTTTAATTTTAATGGAGTCCAATCTATGTATTTTTTCTGGAAGATTTATCTGATTTTATTTTAAGACAGAGACCTCAGCTCACTGCAACCTCCGCCTCCCAGGTTCCAGCGATTCTCCTGCCTCAGCCTCCCGAGTAGCTGGGATTACAGGCATGTACCACCACGCCCAGCTAATTTTTGTATTTTTAGTAGAGACGGGGTTTCACCATGTTGGCCAGGCTGGTCTTGAACTCCTGATCTCAAGTGATCTGCCTGCCTCAGCCTTCCAAAGTGCTGGGATTACAGGCGTGAGCCACCATGCCCGGCCAAAGATATCTTTTAATGTAGGCTTTGCACGGCTAAAATTTTTGAAGAGCAAGGCTCAGATTGGATGTGGTTTTGGTTGTGGTGGATTTTTATTCTATTCAATTTACAGCAGAGCAAAAAGAATAAAGGCTTAGGTTTCATAACTCACAAAAGTACACTAACTGATTCATATACTTTGGATGATTCCATCATATGTCCAGCACTGAAATTTTTCCTCATGGCAATTGAGGGATACAGGTCTCCCTGCCTCCTCTCCAGTCTATTGGATGCTCTAGCACCTTGCCGGGAGGCACCAGAAGGGAGTCAGATGAAAGTTACTCTTTCACTTGTAGGTCACAGTGTATTAGTCTGTTCTTGCATTTCTATAAAGAAATACCTGAGGCTGGGTAATTTATAAAGAAAAGAGGTTTAATTGGCTCATGTCTCCTCAGGCTGTACAGGAAGCATGGATGCATCTGTTTCTGGGGAGGCCTCAGGGAGCTTTTATTCATGGTGGAAGGGAAAGCAGGAGTAGACATCTTACATGGAAGGGGCGAGAGACAGGGAGAGAGAGAGAAAAGAGAGATAGAGACGGGGGGTGTGTCAGACACTTTTAAACAACCAGATCTCATGAAAACTCACTATTGGGATGACAGCAGGAAGCGGGATGGTGTTAAACCATGAGTAACCACCCCCATGATGCAATCACCTTCCACCAGGCCCCACCTCCAGCATTGGGAATTACATTTCAGCATGAGATTTGGGCAGGGACACAAATCCAAACCATATCACACAGTAACCCAACTCATTTTCTTAAGCAAAGACAAACTTAAAAATGCGGAAAACATTTAAATTCTGCTCAGAATTAATTAGCTCCTATAACTGAAAGAGAGAGCGGTATCCTGGCTTCAGGTATGGGTGGCTCCAGGTTTGCAAACAATGTCCCAGCTCTGCTCTTCTTGGGTAGGCACCATTTTTAGTTAGTACTTCTCTTTTTTTTTTTTTTTTTTTTTTTTTTGAGACAGAGTCTCTCTCTGTCACCTAGGCTGGGGTGCAGTGGCGTGATCGCAGCTCACTGCAAGCTCCGCCTCCCAGGTTCACGCCATTCTCCTGCCTCAGCCTCCCGAGTAGCTGGGACTACAGGCGCGTGCCACCATGCCCGGCTAATTTTTTGTGTTTTTTAGTAGAGACGGGGTTTCACCGTGTTAGCGAGGATGGTCTCGATCTCCTGACTTCGTGATCCACCCACCTTGGCCTCCCAAAGTGCTGGGATTACAGGCGTGAGCCACCGCACCTGGACAGTACTTCTCTTTATGATAACAAAATGATGCCTGTTGGCTCTTAAATTATTTCTTACCTTCTCAGCAGCTCCAAGCAGAAAATAAGTTCTCTTTTCCTTATAGTTCTAAGAAAGTCCTTGTGTGATCTTTTATCTTAAAACTGACTACACTGTTGGCCCCACGGATGAGTAAACATCGGTGGGTCAGCTGAAGTGCTTTCTTTGTTGGGGAGACACGTTCTCTGATGAACAACTATGGTCAATATTGACACCTGTTACACTATGAATGTATTTCTTCCCATCATTAACTTGCTTCAGCTCTTACATGGAGGAAATACTCATACTGATGGTACACTATTCAGGGCTGCATGAAGATGCCCCTGCTCCCAAGATGCGAGGGACCAGTGGGCTAAGAGCAGCAGAAAGAAAAATCCATAGATATATTTTGTTTTGGAAACCAACATTTAGGCGTACATCACTGCCTCATGTAGTATTTCAAAGTAAATAGAATCAGTTCACTAATCACCCAATTCTGCTTGTTTTTAAAAAATATAAACACCAGCTAGACTGAAGACTTGAATAGGACTGAGTGTATGTGCATATAACATAAGGAGAAAAGCTGTGAGTATAAGAAAAACGCCTATCTTATTTTCTGACACCTGTCCAAACAAGCAGAGGAAGGTGAAGACAGAAGACCATTTCGGCATATTAAATATGAGAAAGAAATAAAAATACTCTGGGGCCTGTGAGCCAGTGATCTATCCTCTGACATAACTGTTATTTCTATAAAGTACAATTTTGAAGCTCCTTGACAGCTGAAAGTTGAAAAATTACTTGTTTATCTTTTTCACTCCTCCTTAAATGCCAAGTTTACATTTTACTCTTCGTACCACTATGTTACTTTCTACCTATTCTGCAGGCAGTCAATTTAAAATATGATGTATTTGGCTGGGTGCAGTGGCTCACACCTGTAATCCCAGCACTTTGGGAGGCTAAGGTGGGCGGATCACCCAAGGTCAGGATTAGAGACTAGCCTGGCCAACAGGGTGAAACCCCATTTCTACTAAAAATACAAAAATTAGCTGGGCATGGTGGCAGGCACCTGTAATCCCGACTACTTGGGAGGCTGAGGCTGGAGAATCACTTGAACCCAGGAGACAGAGGTTGTAGTGAGCCAAGATCGTACCACTGCACTCCAGCTTGGGTGACAGAGCAAGATCATGTCTCAAAATAATAATAATAATAATAATGAAAAGATTTATTTGCCTCCTTATGAAAGAAAATTTTAAAATAAAATAAAATGTAACATATTCCCACCCCAGGACCTTTGTACTTCTTGTTCCCGCCACCTGGAACACTCTTTCCCTAGAGAGCTATATAGCTCACTCCTCCACTTCATTCAGGTCTCTGTTCAGTCGCCACCTCATTATAGGGGCTTTTCCAATCACCCTATCTAAAATAGTCTCCTCCAACCCCATCACTCTCTCTCTACCTTTTCTTACAACACTCATTCCTACCTGATATTTTATACATTAACTTATTTTTATCTGTTGTCCCCAATAGACTGTAAGTACTACAAGGGCAAAGACATTGCTTTGTACCCAGGCACTGCTTTATCTCCAGCACACAGAACACTGCCTTGTACATAGTAAGTGTTCAATGTATAGTATACAGTGAATATATCTCAATCTTTTTTTCATTGCTACAGACAAGACAGCATTGTTCCCATGCAAGGGCACACTCCCACAGGGATAAACACATCATGGCAAAGCTTAAAATTAATTTTCTGGCAGTACAACCAATGGTGGATTTTGTTTTAGTTGGAAATTGGGGGTGGAACTCAAAAGCATTTTACAATTATGTCAATGATAAAGATCACTTATTTAAAGATCCCAAAGCTCTTATAAGGGAAAAAATAGAATTATGTCTTACAAGACAACACAGCAAATCAAATTTAAAACTTTTAAATATATATTTTATATATATATACTTTTTTTTTTTTTTTGAGATGGAGTCTCGCTGTGTCGCGCAGGCTAGAATGCAATGATGCGATCTTGGCTCACTACAGCCTCCGCCTCCCAGGTTCAAGTGATTCTCCTGCCTCAGCCTCCTGAGTAGCTGGGACTACAGGCGCCTGCCACCACGCCTGGCTAACTTTTGTATTTTCAGTAGAGACGGGGTTTCACCATGTTGGCCAGGCTGGTCTTGAACTCCTGACCTCAGGTGATCCACCCACCTCGGGCCTCCCAAAGTGCTGGGATTACAGGCATGAGCCACCGCCCCAGGCTCGCATTTTTTAATTTATTCATTCAGTGCCCATCACATGGATCCTGTCAACCTTCAGTGGACCATGGGCATACACTTTGGGAAACGCTGCCGTAAAACAAATACCTGATTAAGTATTCATTTTAGTTCCCAGTATGTGCCTGATACAGTTCACTGCTTATGAAAGGAATATAAAAATATGAACAGGCCTTTGAGGAGCTTATAACCGAGTAGATACTCAATAAATATTTAGAGAGATCAAATTTTAGAGATCAAAGCAATGTATATGTCTAGTATCATTAGAAAGAATGAAAACACTGGCCGGGTGTGGTGACTCATGTCTGTATTCCTAGCACTTTGGGAGGCTGAGGCGGGTGGATTGCTTGAGCTCAGTAGTTTGAGACCAGCCTAGGCAACATGGTAAAACTCTGTTAAAAAAAAAAAAAGAAAGAACAAAAGGAAGAAAGGAAGGAAAGGAGAGAGGGAGGGAGGGAGGGAGGGAAGGAGAGGGGAGGGGAGAGCAGGAAGGGATGGAGGGAGGGAGAAAAGGAAGGACGGAAGGAAGGAAAACACCTTTGTCCAGTGTTGAGAATAAATGCAATACTTCCAACTCTGTGGTCTCAAGATTTGTTTTGCTGTATCTAATGCGGATGACCTTTATCAGCAAGACACCCATTAACACATAGAAGATAAGTTGCAGTGTGAATAGTGCCTTGAGACTGTGGCAATAAAACTGGAGCCACGCCTGAGTTTGCAGTTTATTTGGCCGCACGTGGCCATGGAAAGTGAGCATGAACCATCATTGTATGATATACTCAAGGCTCAGGAATATGTATACAGGTTATTAAGTCAAAGTAGCTGTAAAACACTGCACGAGAGTTGATTCAGTCTGTTAAATATTTTACACCTCTTACAAAAATATCTACCCAAAAAGAAAATTAGATACAGTGAATAATTCACAACATAAATGCTCTTGTGTGGGCAGGAGTTGGGTGGTATTTGTTTTTATGAGGTGAAATCTGCAGTTATAACATAGACTTCTTCCTAGAATGGCAACCAGGATTCTAAACTGGCAACAGGCAGCTGCAGGCCTGATGTGAATTTACAGGTTGCCTAGTAGTGCTACTGAAAAATAGATTGTGTGGTAGGAGGTTTTCTCATAACTTTTTTCTTTGTCATTGCTTTTCTTCTTCTTTTCCCTGTGCAGGCTGTAAACAGATTGTAAAATGTGTGACACCCCAGAATCTGAGAAAAAATACAAAGCTACTTTTAGTATCCTTCACCATAGCCTACAAGTTCTTTCCTTCCTCCCTTCCTCCCTTCCCCCACCCTCCCTCCCTCCTCCCTCCCTTCCTTCTTTCCTGCCTTCCTTCCTTCCCTCCTTCCTTTTTTTGAGACAGGGTCTTGCTATGTTGCCCAGGCTGTTCTCAAACTCCTGGACCCAAGTGATCCTCCAGCCCTAGCCGCCCAAAGTGCTAGGATTACAGGCGTGAGCCACCAGCACCAGGCTGCTCTTGCTTTTCTACCCAAAACTGCTGGACATGTGCACTTGATACCTATGACTTCATCTACTTTCAGACAGCCATGAGGGGTAGGAGCTAGGGAATGAAGGTGGGGCCCGATGAATGAGTATATCAATCATGTTTTTAATTTTAGATATCTTTTGGTATTTCAACATTTTGGGGAATTTACAGACCCCAGAAGAGACCACCCCTCCCGGGGCTATCTAATTCCTAAGGATAATAACTTGCCTATAAGCATGCCTTTCACACACAAACCAACCAAACTCAAGCCCATATTCACCAACCACCTCCTTATCTATCTCTCACACACTAGCCAATATTTCCCCTGAGCTAAATTATCTCAGGGCCAGGTATTAGGCAACCACAGACCACCTAGATAAACCAAAGCCTGCTGGGATTATTCAAACTAGGCAAAGCTGAACTGTTTGCCCTGCCTTACCTTTCCTGCAGAAACAAGGCTCTAGCCTAAGTGTTCCCCTCGCTCCTTTGTCCCTTCTGACAGAATCTGCATGATGTGGCGTTTCTCCTCTCAGAAGAGCAAGTAATAAATTCTACTTTCAATAGCATCGGCCTCTCCTTGTCGTCACTCAGTCCGTACCTCCATAAGTTAAAATCTCACAGATGCAAATGGAGAAAATGGACTTTTGTAGCCATTTTTAGGAACAAGGCAGCTTGGCTTCAAATCTTGCTCAGAGACAAACTACTTTCCCCAAGGCATCATCAGTGACCGTAACACACACCTAGTCACCTAGTGTAGGATGGGAGCCAGGCATTCTCTCTGCATGGCTTCCTACTTCCCACGTGACATAAGGTTGCATGGCCATGCGCACTCCTGTGTTGACTTTCTACAGCAACATTAAGGTCCAGAAAATTTGTGTGGCCTCCTGAAGAAAGTAGGAATGCAGATCTGTAGAGGGAGTGTAAAGGTGGAGCCCTGCTCTTCCGATTCTCACACAGAGCCACTGGAACAATTATAACGAGCATGGCTGTAAACATTTATTTACTGAGTGCCTCTCTCTCTGCTTCATGTTTTACATGCATCGTCTCACTAAACCCTTGCAACAAGGCCATTAGGTAAGTCCTATTATTATCCCATTTTAGAAATGGGAATTTAGTGTTAAAGACACTGGTCATATAGCTGGTAACTGGCATCTTGGGACTTGACAGACTAACTCTAAATTCATAGCCCACACTCTAAATCCCTACTCTATATCATCTGTCCAAGCTGAATGAGGCTACCTCTCCCTCATGAGACAGAATTCAAGAGTCCAGTTCCCTTTGTGAATGAAACATCAGTCTGAAAACCTTAACTCCTAGTTGGGCACCTTTAATTGGCTGATGGATGGTACCATGTCTCCTTCCAAACCAAACATATTTTTGGTAGGTTTTCAGAAGCAAGATCAGCTCCAGGCAACACTGTGAAATAGGCAACCCTCTTGGTTTCTGGTGACTGAAACCAAGTGCCCTCACTACCTCTGCAGATGACCCAGATCACTCTACTCCCAATACCGTCTTCTGTGGTCTGTGCCTTAGGCCCCAAATTCATTCTCTGCCTTCCTAAACTTATCAGAATTCTCATTCCACTTTTTTGAAATCCATTAAGGGCTCTGGATTCAAATGAACCTGGTTTCTAATTCCAGTTGTACAGCTTTTAGCTGTATCACCTTGAGACCCAATTTCCTTATTTGTAACACTGTCACAATAACATAGACTTTCTCAGTTTTTTTTAATAAGAATAAAATGTGGCATATCCAGTGTGTTGTCTCAAGATCAATTCTTAACACATGGTGCTCCATAACGATAGTTCAGCCATGAGGAATATTTCCCCAATTTTCATATATGCTATTTAAACAAAAAGTAATAACACTGGCTTCCAGAACCACAAAAGTCAGACTCTTTCCATTGTAGACATACATCACAAATACGTCTTGATAGACCAACCAGGAAAGTAAGCACTGACCTAGCACATTTGCTGGGAATTCAAGTGATATGGTTTGGCTGTGTCCTCGCCCAAATTTCATCTTGAACTGTAGCTCCCATAATTCCCATGTGTCATGGGAGGGACCCAGTGGGAGGTAATTGAATCATGGGGGCAGGTCTTTCCCATGCTGTTCTCGTGATAGTGAATAAGTCTCATGAGATCGGATGGTTTTATAAAGGCGAGTTCCCCTGCACACACTGTCTTGCCTGCCACCATGTAAGATATGCCTTTGCTCCTACTTCACCTTCTGCCATGACTGTGAGGCCTCCCCAGCCATGTGGAACTGTGAGTCCCTTAAACCTCTTTCCTTTATAAATTACCCAGTCTTGGGTATGGCTTTATTAGCAGTGTGAGAACAGACTAATACACATAGGAAGTTCTGTTAAAACTAGACAGTAGAATAAATGAAAATTAAGCAATTAATCTAATAAGAGATGTAAGAGAATGCAGTCTACTTTACAATTTTGTCAAATGTTTGGAGCTCTCATGTCATAAAATTCTAAAAGGAGAATTTTGTAAAAAATTCGTCACGGAAAAAGCACTAAATCAAGCATCATAAGACAAGCATCCTCATCACTGCTCTGCCACTTATTGGCCATATGACCTTGTATATATCACTTGACCTCTATGGATGTCAATTTCCTTCTCTGTAAAATGAGAATGTTGGACCAGATAATCCCAAGATCTTTTCCAGTTGTACCACTCTTTGAGTCAATGACTCCGCCATTATCCCTCCCCTTGTTCTCTGGAGATTTTGTTGCCAAAATAATTAGTGTTGCCCCCGAGTAACATCACGTAGCAAAGTCCAGTCACGCACAGGAATTCTAGGCACTGTGACTGCGAATTCTAATCCCTCTTTGGTCATGCCATCATTGAATGACCTTGGGCAGGCACCTAACTTCAGCTAACTGCCTCACCAGCCCTCCAGGGATTTGCCCGATAAATTTCCAACTCCTTACTCTCCACAAGCTGCCCTCCAAAATGCCTTTACAATGCTTAACTTGGGACCACCCATGACAAATCATGAAATTAGGCTTTTTCTCTGAATAATTCTCAATCATAGTATGTTTCTGCCTCAAACATAAAAGCCTTCTTTTCTTCCTGTTAAAATCATAACCGTCTTTCAAGGGAGGTGAAATACAAGTGAAAACTTAAAAGGCTGAAAAATTTGTCAAATCTATGGCAAACTCAAGTCTGGGTAGAAGAACTGATACACATTGTATAATAGAACCACCATGATTTCATTAGGCTAGAACAAAGGGTGGAAACTAAGGAGAAATACAAGCCCTCAGCAGGTATTTTTGAGCAGATGTGTCTTATAATAGGATTGGCACTACAGTCTCTGACCTAAATTTAATGGAAAATAAGTCCAATATTTCTATTAATAATAATAATATAATAGCTGTCATTTGTTATGCAAATATTGACTTAGGCATTCTGATAAGGGATTTACATGCTGTACCTATTAGAATGCTTTCAGCTGCAAGTAAGAGTACCTAACTATAAGGGGCTTGGTGGTTTCCTGTCTCACATTGGCTGAGGAGGAGTTGGTCCCAGGGTTGGCTAATTGAGCAGCATGACACCAGGGAGCATCCATCCTCCAACTCTGCTATTTTCCATGTGTGGGTAATATCACCCCTTGTGGTTGCACAATGGCTGCAATGATTCCAGGTGCCACACAGATATTTCAACATCTACCAAAGCACACCTCCCACATATCTCTTTTTATTGTTTAGGAAAACTGTACCCAAAAACTTCCTACAAATTTCCCCTGACATCTCATTGTCCAGGATTAAATCACATTACCCATACCTAAACCAATCAACGACAAAGGAAATGGGACTGCCAATATCATCTTAGATCAATCATGATTCACCTCTGGTTCACCTTCCTTGAACATATGGTATGGTGACCACCCTACCCAAACAAAACTGAGCCCCACTGGCAAAGAAGGGGAGGGTGAGCTGGGAATTGGCAGTTGGGTAGATAACAGTGTCCACTACACACAAATTATTATTTCAACAAATACCCTCTGAGGAATTATTATCTTCATTTTGTAGATGAGGAAATTGAAACTCAGAGAAGTCAAGTAAATTGCCCATGGTCACACAGCTAGAAGTTGAGAAATTCTGTGTTCTTAACCACCATATTGATAGTTCTGAAGTTTCAGTGTATGCAAGAAACATTAGAGAGTTTAGTACAAACATAGATTCTCAACTCAACTCCACACCCAGGGATTCTGATTCAACAGTCTAGGAGAGGAGCCCTCAGTCTTCATTTTCAACAAATAATTTCAGTTAATTTGGATACAGGTGGTGTATGAACCACATTTTGAGAGAATAGGATTGGCTATTACTTGGACAGAAGTCCGACTTAAAACAAAAACAAGGCCAGGCATGGTGGCTCATGCCTGTAATCCCAGCACTTTGGGAGGCCAAGGCAGGCAGATCATGAAGTCAGGAGATCGAGACCATCCTGGCCAACATGGTGAAACCCCGTCTCTACTAAAAATACAAAAATTAGTTGGGTATGGTGGCGCGCGCCTGTAGTCCCAGCCACTCGGGAGGCTGAGGCAGGAGAATGGCGTGAACGTGGGAGGTGGAGGTTGTGGTGAGCCACCGCACAGTCTGAACAACAGAGTGAGACTCTGTCTCAAAAAAAAAAAAAAAAAAGAGCAAAAAAGCCCCCTGATTTTCTGGAAGTCCCAGACTCACTATCTACAAAAGCCATCCATCGTTTTTAAGTACCACCACAGAAACATCTCATCCCAGTCCCTCTATAGTCCGTACAGGTCAGCCCCTATATAGTGTCAAGATCTTGCTCCCTAATTTAAGAAGGTTATAGATAAAACTTTCAGATGAGGGGAATGAGCTCCATGAGAGATCTAACAGGTCATCTAAGTAACCATTGAAGAATGTGGGAAGATTTACGGTTGAGGACAGTCAACTCTTGTGGGTAGGGATGAGAGAAAGCCATCATCACCCTTTAAATATTGTCTAGGATATTACGTGTAAAGGACACTCAGAGGTAGGATCAATGATAAGAAATTATGAGGCAGCTCATTTTGTTTTACTATGTGGGAGAACAGACTAATAATTAACTTGGTCAACAATGGTAAAGGCTCTCCACCTCACAAAACACTCCGAATGCATTCCAGCAGAGGCTGGCAGACCCTGTGCCTGTCACCAATGCTGTAGAAGGGAGTCCTCCATTGAAAGGAAGCATTGTGCAGATGACTTCTAAAATATGCTGTGATCCTTCAACCACATCCTCTGCAAACTGACTTGTATTCTTTTTTCACTATAGTCATTTCTGCTGAATACCTAGGGGTACCATTTAATTTCGAATGCATTAATGTCCTATTTTCCCAAATTGATAGAATATGTCTGACTCTTCTTTGTGTCTTCATGGTACCTAGCTCAAAACCATGCTCATCATAGGTACTTAATAAATTGTTGGTAAATGTAAAAGGATGGCGTAGAATGGCGGGTAAGCACATCCAGATGATGGGTAGAAGATAACTGTTAGTACTTCTGCCCTGTTTACCACCATTCTTCCCTCTCTGGACAAGGGGCATGGAGGCTATATTTGCAATATGCACCCTCCTCGCTGGCCATTATTGATTGGGTCAGAAATTAACATGTGAGGCAAGCTAGGGCCATAAGACTGACACTAAGATATTAAGACAATCTTTTAAGGTGGCTATAATTGTAACATGTGAGCTAAAAAGCATGATCTACTGAAAAAGAATGAGGCAGATGACAGACAAAGACTGAGCTCCCTGGCTTTCCATCTCCTGGGTCCCCATCCCTTCCTGAGGCTCATGTATAAGTGCGCCTTTGGTCTCTGAGATGAACCCCTCTGTCTTTGTAAAATTCTTCCTCCCTCCTTCCCTTTCTTCTTTTCTTGTTTTAGATTTTATTGAAGTTGGTTTTAGTTCATCTCAATCAGAATATTTAATCCAAAGAAATTTGTTCCTGAGTTTGCTGTTGAGGCCACTGATGCAAATAACTCATGCTCTTAGAATTCCAAGAAAATCCAGGATTTGGGGGACCCCAGTGACTACAGAGCATTTAGACCTTTGCATGTTACCAGATATTTTAGAAGGTTCGAGACTGGTTCTACTGCAGGCTGATTTTCTTACCACTCCAAACCCTAACCTGCAGGGGCATCAAAGCTCTTATGAAGGCTCCACCATCAGACCACAGGTCTCCTTATAACGAAGATCCCATCCCCTGCAGAAGAAATTTTGAGGTAGGAACTAACCTCTAGCGCAATGAGGCAAGGCCAGCCCAAATAACAGATGGGAATATTTAGAGGTATCTAGAACTCCGTTATGCTACAAAGTGTTTCTCCGTACAACATCTTGGGTCTACATAAGGCAGTATCCCTGTAAGATGCAAATCGTCTTTCAAAACCACATTTATCAGTGAGTAGTCAGTCACATGAACCTTTGTACTTCAGTTTTGTGGCAAAACTGTTTCCCAAGATGCCTGTGTTTTTCTTAATCTGTGCCCCATGCTGTTAAGCAGAGCATGTGGCCTGTCACTTTGACATACTTAAACAGGCTGTGAACAAATCCAGCTGATGCTTTTCCAAAACCCATTTCAATCTTGGCTGCAAGGGCATCCCTGGCTGTGAGGGGTAGGTAGAAACAGATAGTCCAGGAGTAGGCAAGGAGATCATTGAGAAATCCATGTTTTTCCCTCCTGCAATTAGGATATCTCTTATGTTGGCTAAAGATGGCAAATCATTAATACATGGGAGATAAGAAAGAACCAATCCTTTCCCCTTTCATTCTTATTCCTTAGAGTTCTGATGATCATACTTTGCCTAGGACATTCGGAGGCCCCTGCCATAGTCCTTTCATCAGCCCTTACTGCTTTTTGATCCTTTTGTTTTTCCCCAGGCATAACTGCCCCTTGTGCTGAGTTCCCTTAGGAAAGGAATCACGTTTCAACAAGGTCCTCACATTGTAGAATGAAATCTCTCTGACTCATTGTATAAATATGCAAAACCCTAAATTCTCTTAATTAAAAAAGTAGAACCAGGGAAGCCAACTCAACTTCTTGCTCTGAATCTGAACAGAAGTGCTGTTTGGTGAAAGCAACTCCTCAGATGTGTGACCAGTTCGGCATCCACAGACAGTAATGAGGAATAACTTTAATAACCAATATTCTATAAGGATAGGGACTGTCATCAGAAGAGACATCAATAATCTTCTCTTGGCAAATGAACAAACAAAAATCACTCCCATTTTTTCACTGATGCTTGAAATTTCTTTAACAGGAATTAAATATTTCTGGAGAGGCTATATGTAATTTTGGCTAAAAGTTTAGGTATTTACTTGTTATTGCAACTAGGCAATAAGTATCAAAATTTTTCAAAATATGCATACCTTTCGACCTCACAATTCCACTTCCAGAAATTTATTTCTAGTAAATAATCTGAAAGTTGTACAAAAAAGTCTGTACGTGAAGCTTCATTATAGCTTTTTAAAAACTTCTTATAATGCAAATTTCAAACATACGCAAAATTAAAGAGGATAATATGATGAACCACTGTGTATGTACCACCCAGCTTTATCAGTTATCCACATTTTACCCAGCTCCTGTTTTATTTATTCTCCACCATTCTTTTTCATTGCTATTTTTGCTGGAATGTTTTAAATGCAATTCCAGCCATCTGGCATTAGTCTTTTAAATATTTTAGTTGTAATATTTTTAAAATAAGAATTTTTTTGGATCTTATTATTACCTGGTATCTTTCTTTCACCATCCAAGTTAGCAATAATTTCTGAATATCCTCCAATACACATTCATGTGCAATTGCAGAATGTCAAAAATGTCTTTTTACAATTTGTTTAAATCTGGATCCAAAAATTTTCACAGGTTGGATTTAGTTGATAGTTCTCTTAAGTCTCTGTAACCTATGACATTGTCTCCACTTTTTATTATGCCATTTATTTGTTGAAAAATTAAGGTCATTTTGTCCTGTAGAATTTCTCATATTCTGGATTTGGTCAATTGTCTCCCTCTTGTATCATTTAATCATTTTTTTTCCCCCTGTAAACTGGCAATTAGAGCCTGAGGCTCAATTGAATCCAGGTTCTCTTTCTTTCTTTTTTGGGTAAGAATACTTTGTAGATGGCTCTGTGTACTTCGTATTACATCACATCAATAGGCACATCAGGCTGTTCATCCCATTTTTAGTGGTGTGTACATCAATTAGCAGATTCAAGTGCTCTCAGCCTAATCCCTCCATTATATACTTTTTCATCAATTTTTCGCCTAATGGTTTTAGCAGTTATTGATGTTCATTGCCTAGATCCATTATCTCGTTAGAGATTTTAAAGTGTTGATGTTGTAATTTTTTAATACCATATTGTTACATTAGCTCTTCCTTCTGTAATGAAGCTTTTGAACCCCAGCTTTTTATTTTTTAAGAAAATGTCAGTTATCAAATAGTAAACACCTATAACCTTCACCTAGATTCACCAGTTGCTAACATTTTGCTACATTTGCTTTATCACTCTCGTTATTTATACTTATTTTTTGCTGTTTCATTCAAATTAGTTTACAGACATTATGGCAAGCTTTAAATATTTCAGCTTGTGTCTTCTAATAACGATGACATTCTCCTCATAACCATAGTTCCACACTCAATAAATTTAGCATTGATTCAATATTATCTAATAAAGATTTTTTAATTGCCAATTGTCACCAAAATGATCATATATGTATGTGTGTGTGTATATATATATATATATATATATATATATATATATATATATATATACTTTTAAAATCCAGAATCCTTCAAAGGTACATGTGCTACAGTGGTATCATGTCCAGTAATTTTCTACTTCCATCTTCTTTCTACATTTATTAGTTGGCATTCTTTTGTAAAGAAGAGCTTTCTCTTTTCCTCCATTGCCATCATTATTTTTTAGATGCTCATATTGACTCAAATTTGTCCAATGCGAGCAACCATAACCTGGTTACTGCATCATTTTGACCCAGTCCCATTGGTCTTTGAGCATTTCCTTATTTTCTGGCACACGTGATTCTAGGCTCACCTTACACTTTCCCAGTCTCACACCTAGAATCAGCAGTTTCTCCAAACTTCCCTGGTTCTTTTCAATGAAAAGTGCTGTTTAGAAACCAAGATTTGGCTGCTAGATATGCTTCTAGATATGCTCATTGTTTCTAGACCCTGTCAGTGCACAGAGCTAAGAAATATATCTTTCAAGAAACGTGAGTTCATACTGATACCTCTTATTCAAATCCTATATCATAGAGAAATCTTCCTCCATTCTCCCTTTTTATATTTTATCTTCTCCCACAGTAAGAACCCTCATTTCCAAAAAAATTAAGTGTTTTATTGTTTGCTATATGCTTTAAAATGCACAAAATATTCTTAGTATTACTTAGCAATAGTATTGTACCACCACAAAAAACAAGTAAAATTAAATATTTCTTTAAAGTTCCTTCTCTTCATAAAATATATTTTATTAAGGTGTATTAAAAATTTATTTGAGGCTGGGGATGGTGTCTCATGCCTGTAATCTCAGCACTTTGGGAGGCCAAGGCAGGCAGATCACTTGAGCCCAGGAATCCAAAACCAGTCTGGCCAACACACCAAAACCCCATCTCTACTAAAAATACAAAAATTAGCTGGGCATGGTGATGCATGCCTGTAACCCCAGCTACTCAGGAGGCTGAGGTGGGAAGATGGCTTGAACCTGGGAGGCAGAGGTTGCAGTTATCTAAGATTGAACCACTGCACTCCGGCCTGGGCAACAAAGAGAGACTCTGTCTCAAAAAAAAAAAAAATTTTGAATTAATTCTGCTTTCTATGTAGGAATACTTGCTGTAGAGTTGGATATATAGTTAAGTTCATTTGTTTCTCTTTATATTCAATTTCAGTGTTGCCCTTTTCATTCTTTTGATTTAATTTTATTTTTTGAACATGTATAATTTTTACATGGTTCAAAAGTCAAAACTACAAGAAGGAAAACTCTAAAAAATAACAACCCTATTCCTATCCTTTATATTCTATTATTGTCCCCAAGCCTCTTTGGTGTCTAGTTTTATGAATTCATAGATTATTTTTGATATGTTTATGCTTGCAAATATAATCAAATATTTCTTCTTTTTTATTACTGTTATATATATTTTGCTATTTAAAAAGATTTATATTTTTAACACAGTGGTTACCTTTTTACTAATATTTAATTTTTTAAGGGTCATAATCCCTTTTTCTTACATAGACTTCTACAATTGGTTTGTACCTTTAAATGATATCTTCTGTCTGCCACATACTACCTACATATCAATCAATAGTCTTATTTTACTTCCTCCTTTCCCTTTCTCTTCTTCAATGTTTTCAGTTGTATTATCTCTAATGTATCAGAATGTATAATATATACATATTTTTCTTTCACCTCTGTTCCCATCTTTGTTTAAGTCTTAGAGCTACAATTAAATATAATCAGCACTCACCATCAGTGCTTTGCTGATATCTCATCATTTCCTGGTGGGATACATTTATTGTCTAGTAGATTTCTCAGGATGGAATCATGATTATGTGTATTCTCACTCTTGTATGTTTACAGCTATTTGCCTATAGCCTTGATATTTGAAGGTCAACTGGGCTAGATAACACAGACTTGTTTTTAAAAGTGGGAATTGAAACAATTCAAGGAATCAACAAAGATTGGTAATATAAATAAATAATGGTCAGTTAAATAATGGAATCCTGTCCATTCAACCATTATACATACTATAAACAGTGTGGAAAAATAGAAAATGATACATAAACTTGCAATGGTCAAATTTGTGCATATGAAGTATAAGGATGCTACAAATGTGTGTGCACATGTATTTAGTAAAAAGAGGGTTGGATATACATGAAAAAGTTAACAGTAATTTTCTCTGGTTAGTAGAATTATTGGTGGTCTTTAGCTTCTTTGTGTGCTTTTCTGTATTTTTTAAGTTGTAGCATTTGTGGGATTGGAGAGAATACAATTTTTTTGAAGAGCAAGACAAAGATCTAAAGTTTTCAAGGTTTATTTTTAATGTGCTTTCTTTAATCAATACCACAAGATAGGGTGTACCAAGGAAAAAGCAGTGTGATCTAATTAGCAAGCTCAGGACAGCATAAGCTGGCCTCAGTGCCCTGCCTGCGCTAGGCACTCAATCAGTTGGTGCTCGTGATGATGAAAACTAAAATGAGTCCGTTCCAAGCAAGAACCTTTTGGGGAGTAGAGTTAACTTTTCTGAGTCAAGCTCCTGCCTCCAGGTTTGCACCGAGGATGAAATGAAGTAGTATTATATATCTGTAAAACCCCTGTCACTTCATCCAGGCAGAGAAGATAGATTGTTAGTACCTTATTCTCAAAACTAACAGAAATGTGTTCAGTTTTACTTGTTCTGAAGAATATAAAAACAATATGGATGAATGGCCAGTAAAAGGAGCCAGAAGCAGCCTATGAGAGTGTTCTAGAAAAACATGAAGGGGACAAGAAAAAGATACGAGGGATAGATGGATAAGGAGGGAGAAAGAGATAGAGAGAGGACAAGATAAAGTTTAGAGCCTATCATTAGAATATGTAATACTTGGGACTTTGCCTTCCGTTTAAGTAAAATGGAGGAAATCTGTGCCCTTACATCCTGACTGTGCTGTCGTTATGATAAAAAGAAGTAAATGGAGTGCAGGGTACACTATACACCTGCTTCTTTAAGTAATCCTTGCCAGGTAACTAATCGCTGGGATTCCAAAGGTTGTTCTTCCAGTGGGGGTGACCGTGAACTGTACCCCAGAGCAACTGAATCAGAATTTGAATGGGAAATGTCAGCCATAGAATTTGTTTAAAACATCTCTTCCAATGATTACGATGACTAGCCTGGTTTAAGAACTGCTGGCCCATACATAGGGCTACCATCTATCCCCTCTGCTGGGACAGTCCCAGAGCAAGTATTACTAGCAGCCCTTTCTCTTACAAAAATCTCTCTGCAGGGTATATATTATGCAGTTTCCTATCTGTACCTTGCCTCCGCTATTGGCATTCTCAGTGAAGGTGCATAGGGATAGCCTTGTACCATTACTTTCAGTCCAGAACTGAACACAAGACGTAGAGAAAAATTACCCCACGAAATTAAATTTGCATCAAAGTGTAGACCAAAGTCAGATCTTCCCTGAGAGTGGAATCTGATGTATACAGAAAACAAAGGCATAACTTTAAGTGGGGGAGAGAGAATGGGAAACCCGAGACATCTCCAAGACAATTGCTTCTGCTACTTCACCATTTGGCTCAAGCCAATTGAGAGAGCCAGAAATGAACATAGGTTTGGTTTTATCTGCTGGTTATTTAAGAACTTTTGCTTGTTTCTTCTTTACCTCTTCCCCAGTTTCTGGAAGAGTCAAAATAAGATAATCATTTGGCAGTGATATAACATTGCTCTTCAACTGCTGAGAAACCAATCAATATTCCCCATCTAGCTAATGTGTCATTCAATATTGAGTGTTACCTTGTTCTAGTTTAATCCTGATCTGTTACCTCTAAAATAAGGACATGCAAAGATAAAGATAAAAACTTGGGCACTCTCAAAAATATTCATGTTATAAATATGTAAGGGAAAATATTTCAGGTCATAGTCCTCAGTACATGCCAATACATTCTTGGGGTACCCACTTTCCTGCAGCACCAGAAACTTTGGCTTCCTCCTATGCTCTGGACATTTTCATTCTTCCTCTTTTTGCTCATCCTCTTCCTGTATCCCATATTATGGGCCTTTTCCATGGAAAGCCTTTTCAATTAATTCACTTTTAAATTCATATTCATGTTACCAAGTTTACAAATTTTAAAACATGGTTTTCATTACTTTCAATTCAAACTATGACTCTATCTACAAAGCCAGTAAAACAAGAAGATCACCTTCAAAATTTCTCTGACAAGTTTCTAGAAACTCCAGTCGACAGACTAAACTGCTTAAAGAATCAATCTCAGGTACAAATTTAATCAATTAAATAGTCTTAATTTTAAACTGCATTTGTAAGTGTAACATGTTCAGATTCATTTTTACGTGCTTCAAATGCTTGACAGGATGAAGTTATAACCATAACAAGCAAAAACCTCCCTAGCATTTAAAGATCTCTTGTTGCAACTCTGATCAAATAAACTTAAAAATATAAATTGAATTATCTTAACTATTCCAGTTCTATTTACAAACTTATCTTTATAAACATTCACCTTACAAATCCCAAGATTAAAATGTTACAGATTTTATATTGCTATCATAAAGATAACTTTTTAGGGTCAGAACGTGTTGGATTCTTTTGCAATAGCAAACATACTGGCCCTTTTAGAGCAGCTTAATTTGGGCAGATGGAATTCAGCAACCCCTAGCCTAGGCTGGATTCAACTAATCTCTTTACCGCCTGATTGAATTCTTCATTCCTTTCATATTCTTTTTGTCCAGCTCCATCCACAAAAGCCCCCATCTGTCTAAAAACGATCAGCCTTTCTTTGACCCAAAATTTCATCAAATCATAGTCCTTTCTTCACGTTGTGTCTGAAAATCCCTTTGAAATGCACATATACTATCTTGGATGGAGACTGCATCATGGCTTTAATTCTCATAACACCATCAACACCACACACACATTGGTTTCACTTACTCAACAAGAGGCTCAATGAGGTAACAGACTATTATGAAATGAATTTCAATGTCTTCTAAAAACTTTTTTTTGTTGTTGATATTTGTTTAAAACACACTGTGGAAAGAACACAGGCCTTTTTGTAAGCAATTTTTGAAAGGCTTGTCTCCTAGGCAGCTACAAACTCAAGACATTGCTAGGAGAAATTCTGTTATATGAAGACAGGGAGAGCTGGAAGGGATCTGATGACCATTTGGTCCCACCCCATGCTGTACAAAGAAGAAAACTGAGCCCCAAAGAGCAGGGGCAAAGGAGGGTAAAATGCCTTCACTTCTTCTATGTTCCAATTTGTGTGCAAGTTGAACTTCAGTTGAGATGCACAAAGTGGCACTCAATCCTTTCCCACTCATGCACGTTGCAGACATTGCCATGCTCCTCAAGCTCACTCATCCCCTGGCCCTGAATTCCTAGAAGACCACTCAGCCTTCACCTCCACTGAGTCAGTGGCAGGTATCATACATTCACTCACCACCCTCAAACTTCTAACCCAGCCTCACAAGAACCTAAATACTTTGTGAACAGAAGCTAAATTTCAGTGAACCAAAGGGTGAAAAGGAGATGAATAAGTAGAGACTCTCTTTCCAGAAATCTGGAGAAGGAGCAAGGTTGCACAGCAGCTGAGGGAGGGATGCAGGGTCAAGGGCAGGAGGGAGGCTGGAGAGAGTTGAGCCTATTCAGCTTTTAGAGGGAGACAGAGGGAAGGAATTGAGCCTGTCCACAGAGACATGGAGGAAGGTGAATACATAGGGCAGAGAGGGAATGATTGGCAGGGAAGGAAGAACCTTGAGAAGCGAGAGCAGGCATGGAGTGCACAGGTTGAAATATTGATTTTGAAGGAAGGAGAGATGCTTCATTCTCCAAAATAGGAGGAAGAAAAGGTGGATATGGGCATAAATACTGCTAAGGATGTGAATGAGAAAACAGTCCAGATGACCATGAGGATGGGGGATAAGCCAGGAGGGAATGTAGACTGTGTGGATAAGGAAGAGTCTAGGATCTGGACACCTTCACGAGCTAACTGATGGGGTAGTGGGGATAAGGGAATGAGTGAGCTGGGAGGACCTAGGAGTTTGAGACTTGGGGATGAGGGAATCCTGAGTGATGACGCAGCAAGTTAGGGCTGTTGAAATCCCGCATGGCAAAGTATAGGCTACGTGAAAACATTGAGGCCGAAACTAAAGATCGGAAGAGTTAGTGCATCAGGAGGACTGTCTTCCTGGACACTGGAGTTACCCAGCTGGCAGTTGGCAGAACATGGGGGAGAGAAAGGTCGTGAGCCTGCTGCCAAAATCTTTTTTTTTTTTTTTTTTTTTGAGACAGAGTTTCACTCTTGTCACCCAGGCTGGAGTGCAATGGTGCAATCTCGGCTCACTGCAACCTCTGCTTCCCAGGTTCAAGAGATTCTCATACCTCAGCCTCCCAAGTAGCTGGGACTACAGGTGCACACCACGACGCCCGGCTAATTTTTGTATTTTTAGTAGAGTCTGGGTTTCATCATGTTGGCCAGGCTGGTCTCAAACTCCTGACCTCCAGTGATCCACCCACCTCGGCCTCCCAAAGTGCTGGGATTACAGGCATGAGGCACCATGACCAGCCCCAAATCTCATGTGAATATTGGAGACTGAAAGGCAGATTGACACATGATAGGGATAACATAGGACAAACTGTGAACCACAAAGCCAATGGAAATTTACATAAGAGAGAAGGAATAGTGACCTGGCAATAGCTTTGGAGAGCAAGAGAGATATTAATTCCTAACTCCCAGCCCAGAGGGGCAGAGGGCAGGTGAGCATGAGCCCTCGCCACTTGAGAAGGATAAAAGGGAAGCAGGAACCTTAGGGGAGACTAAGGTTCAGCTGATAGCAGAAGACAGAGGAAACATTTAGGAAAAATGTTAAAGATATATGAATAGAGTTCCAAAGGGCACAGTTGAATGATGTGGAAGGAAAGGAGAAAGGGCAAGGAGACAAAAAGCATCCCTTTGTAACGGGATAAAGATTAAAGAGGTTTTTATCCAAGGCAATGGCTGAGATTGAGAGAGACAGGAGGCAGGGAGACCTCTGGCCTTAACTGACTAGCTGTGTGACCTTAGGCAAGTTACTTGCCCTCTCTGTGCCTCAGTTTCATGATTGTGAAATAAGGATAATACTAATACTTACCTCATAAGATTGTTGTTGCTATGAAGATTAAATATGTTAATATATGTAATGCACTTAGAAAAATGATCAACACATAGTCAGTTGTGAAGAAGCATTAGTTTTGGAAGGAAAAAGATTCCACTCCGCACTTTCCTTCAAGTGACAGACATTCAATTATATCAAGTCCTGAAGAATACATCCTCATTTCCCATCACTTACACACAGCAAAAGCCCAGCATGCAAAAGAAAAAAAAAACCCAAAAAACAAACCCTATCAGAGTCAGTGATAGATTCAGTTTCTCAGTAATTAACTATTATCTGTTCCTGTACAGAAAGAAAAGAGTGCTTAAAAAGTTGGTTGAAGACAGAAAGAATCTAGAGCTATAAATGTTAAAGATGAACAGTTAATATCATCAGAGAAACAGAAATCAAATCAAAACCACAAGGATATATCACCTCATGCCCATTAGGATGGCTACTATCAAAAAAAGCAGAAAATAACAAGCGTTGGTAAGAACGTGGAGAAATTGTAACCCTTGTTTGCTCTTAGTGAGAAGGTAAAGTGGTGCAGCACTGTGAAAACAGTATGGCAGTTCCTCAAAAAATTAAAAATAGAACTAGAATGTGATCCAGCAATCCCACTTCTGGGTACATATGCAAAAGAATCGAGAGCAGGGTCTTGAGCAGATATTTGAATACTCAAGGTTATAGCACTACTCACAATAGCCAAGAGGTGGAAACAACCCAAATGTCCATCAGTGGATGAATGGATCAACAAAATGTGGTATATCTGTACAATGGAATAGCATTCAACCTTAAAAAGGAAGGAGATCCTGACACCTGCTACAATATGAATAAACATTGAGGATTTTATGCGAAGTGAAATAAGTCAGTTGCAAGCAGAAAGATACTGTATGGTGTCCCTTATATGAGGTCATAGGAGGGGCATAGAAACAGAAAGTATAATGGTGGTTACCAGAGGCCTCAAAAAAGAGAAGAAGGAGAGTTGTTTCATGGCTATAGAGTTTCAGATTTGCAAAATGAAAACGTTCTGGAAATCTGTTTCATAATGATGTGAATATACTTAGTACTACTGAAATGTACACTTAAAAATGGTTAAGATGGTAAATTTTATATGTTTTTATAATAAAGAAAAATGAAAACAAAAAGATCATCTAGTATCTCCCCCCTTCCCCTTTACAGGTGACTGAAGTAAAGCCCAGAGAAGGTAAGCGACTTATCCAAGGTCACACAGTTCACGGAGGCAGAATCAGGATCAGAACCTGGGATTCTGACCCCTGCAGTAAGGGTCCGTCCATTACATCCTGCTCTCTATGTGAGGTGCTGAGGTAATGGAAAAGATGACACTGTTGATTTATCAGTAGTGACAGTGACATTCCAATGAACCTGAAAGGGATAAAGATTCTACTCTGCTTATAAATGTTCATGTGCCTGTGCTCTTTCTCCAAATCTCATCAGGATTATTCAAACCAGCAGTCTCTGACAGGCCACAGTGGAAACCTCAAGATATTCACAGCTGCTCTAGTCTGGAGACAGGCCAGAAAGCAGATGAGAGCAGTTTTTCCGTTCCTGGGCTGTTGCCCCTGTAATTTAGAAGTTCCGACACTGGAAAACAAGAAGAACTCAGGGGCTCACTTAAAAGCAAGCTCAGTGTGGGGTCTCCAATGTCGTGCAGGGAAGCTGCTAGTCAAAACTTGCTAATTTGAAATGGGTTCACTGACTCCTTCTTCGGACTCAGGGAATGAAGTCTTTTTTCCCCACTTAGGAGTTTTTCTTCGGCTCCTTATTTCAAATTCCATAAAAGAGACAACAGGAAAAGCTGGCCCTAGCCCAAGAAGCAGAGATGAAAACCAGATCTCTATTTTTGTAAGTGTGATGTCTATAGGTTGCCTTCTATTTTATATCAGAAAGTTCTATTGTTTCCATGGAAACAATGAGTGTGGCTGAGGATCCCTACAGGACCTCAGCACTTTTGGGGCTTGGGTGATTGGTGCTATTGGCTTGGTGATTCCAAAAACCTCCCTAAGTTTCAAAATTTTAAAGCTCAAGCCAACCTTCTCACACCCCTGCTGTGCTCCTCCCATCTCTTTGACACACAGATACCTCATGCATATGGCACTGCTCTGAGCTCTGAAGGTGTTAGGAAAATCCTCCCTGCAGAAATATGACCTGTGATAAAGAACTAAATAAAACATTTTTTGGCAAGAACATTTCTGAAGATCTTTCCAATCCAGAAATATTTTTTTTGTTTTCAGTAACCCTACCAAGGCTGAACCAGGATGCCTATAAAAAGCCTTCTGTGTTCCCCTAAGCACTCTTAATGAATCCTCAGGAAGGATGGAATAAGAGGGGGGTCAGAGACCTGAAGCCCGTGCCAGAGGCTGAGCATGCCAGCTTGGCTTGGTGCACTGGTGGCAGTGCTCAGGGCCCCTGCCTCCTGTCCTCCCATTGGCATGGTCTCAGCCCACACTCCTTAAGGGAATTGGCTGTGCTCCTGGCTTGTCTCGCCTGTGTGTCTGCTAGTTATCGAACAAAGGGTGGGATTACTTCCATGCCCAGTTTCCCAGATGCTCGCAAGCACAGAGCCAAGAATCAGCTGAAACAGAAGGGACAACTGAGCAGAGAAGCCCTCTTGATGAGACTCGGCCACACTTGAGCTGTTGTTCCTGCCACGAGACACACCTGTCATATAAAAGCCAACAAGCCATACAGGAAACATGGTGTGCCTCCTGTTTACAGCCGATCCTAGAAAACAAAAACTTTGCTGAGACAGCACCAAACGTGAAAATGGGGAGACCAGCCAAGGGGCCTGAACCGTGCACAGCCCCTCTCCCTGTTGCATAGACAGGAGGAGGAGTCAAAAGCTAAGAAGGTTTTGCTGCTTCCAGAAGCTGTTCCCTCACCTCCTCCTCTCCTTCACTAGGTATATTTTCCCCAATCTTCAAGGACTAGCTTCAGAGCCTGAAACTCCAGGAGCTGACCCCCTGATAAAACTTTTTACCCCAAAGTAAACGCAGGCAAGATGCTTGCTCCGGGTGGAATGATGGGCACCTCTTGGTTCATGGCTACCTTCTGCAAGCTAAAAGGACCTACAGGGTAGGGGTGCATACTATCCCTGGAAACCGAAACACAAGAAAGTCTCTTAAAACCCCCTTGATCACCCAAATGTCCAGAAGTCATTGGACCATCTGAGGCTCCTCCAGCCCCAATTCCTTCAGGAGCTAATTGCAGAAGAATTTCAAAAACGATCTCTCATCAACTTGTCCAAGGAAACCAGGACTCAATATACCAGAAAGTTGTGAAAATGGGGTGTCCAGTGGGATGACTAGATCCAAGGTTTAGGGAGAATTAGAAGGGAGATAGGAGAATTGAAGAAAGGTAAGGACAAAGAGGAAGATTATTCCAGGGCAAGAGAGAAAAAACCAAAAATATTAATTGGAGTAAATAAGAAAAGTATTAATTGGAGCTGTTTTGAGGGATCCAGAGAGGAAACCATTCCCCTGGCACAAGGTACATGTTTTAAGGGCAAGAGAAAAAAACATATGAAGAGCACTGAGTAAAAGCACTGAATTTTTTTCCTGGCTACTCCTTTGGAAAGAAGAAAGGGGAATTGTGTCCATAATTATGCATTTTTTTTTTTTTTGAGACAGAGTTCACTCTCTTGCCTAGGCTGGAGTGCAGTGGCATCATCTCAGCTCACTGCAACCTCCAGCTCCCAGCTTCAAGCAATTCTTCTGCCTCAGCCTCCCAAAGTAGCTGGGATTACAGGTGTGCACCACCATGCCCAGCTAATTTGTTTTTTAAATTTCTGTAGTAGAGACTGGCTTTCACTGTGTTGACCATGCTGGTCTCGAACTCCTGACCTCAGGTGATCCACCCGCGTTGGCCTCCCAAAGTGCTGGGATTACCAGTGTGAGCCATTACACCCAGCCTATGTCATATTCTTTACAAAGCTGAGGTTAAGGAAACCAACTTGGTCCTTGGATCAAGTCATTTATTTCTATAAAGCAGCTCCAGGCTGCTATAGGTAAGGAGAAGAGACATAATAATATAGATCAATACTGACTTGGGAGTCTTCTCTTCTGTGAGTTTCCATGAACAAAATTTGGGAGTCAGGGATATGGAAACAGAAGGGAGCTGCAACTCATTGAGCATCGCTCTGCTTTGAGCCCTGGGCTGAGTGCTTTATATTCAGGACCTTTGTACTCCAGATCCATACAAGCAGCTGCCCACCCAATATCCCCACTTGGGTGTCTAAAGGCATCTCAAACTCATCCCAAATTGAGCTTCTGCTCTTTCCCCCATATCCTGTTCCAGCCACAGTCCTTCATTCAGTGGATCTCAGCTCCATCCTTCCAGTGGCTCAAGCCAAAAGTGTTGGAGTCATGCTTCACCCTGTACTGCTCGCATACCCCATGCCTGCTTCAGTAAGAAAATCTGTTGGTTCTACCTTCAAAATGTAATCTGGAATGGCTGTACTTTTCCCTACCCCTACTGGCTCCACCCTGGTCCAGACCATCCTTGTGTCTCACTTGGATGATTGCAATGTTCTCCTTGCTTCTACTCTTGCTCCTTTGCAATCTATTCCCACCACAGTGGCCAGGGGGATGTTTTTTAACATGTCATATCATGTCATTCCACTGGTCAAAATCCGCCAACAGCTTCTCATTCTACTCAGAGTAAAAGCCCAAGTCCACCCATCTGGACCACATTCCCTCCCTGATTCCATCTAGTGATACCCCTTGCCCACTCGGCTTCAGCCTCACCAGCCTCTAGGCATCAAAGCTTTTGTGCTTACTGTTTCTTCTGCCTAGAGTCCCTGTCCCTAGATCTCACCCCCTCAAGTTTTTTCTCAAACATTACTGTGGGGAGGCTTTCCCAACTAATCTGAATAAAATGGCCTTCTTTCCTGCTTAATTTGTTTTCCAGAGCCCATATACAGTAACTCTTATTTATTTTCTTTATTTATCATATGTCTCTCTTCCCTAGAATGTAAGTTCCTGAAGTTAGGATTTTACCCACTGCTGTATCCCCATTGCCTAGAATGGTCATTGACACACGGTGAATGCATGATGAGTGATCTATGTAGTTGTGCCCTCTGTAAAAAGTCTGCTGGGCACGGTGGCTCATGCTTGTAATCCCAGGGATGTGGGAGGCTGAGGTGTGAGAATTACTTGAGCCTAGGAGTTTGAGCCTGCAGTGAGCTGTGATCACATCACTGCACTCCAGCCTGGGCAACAGAACGAGACTGTCTCAAAACAAACAAACAAACAAACAAACAAACAAATAAATAAATAAAATAAAAAAGCTATGAGTTGATGAATCTATCTCAAATCTATTCTTCATCCAGAGTCCTCATTCCAAGTGAACTACGCACCCAGCATCATGAGCTGCCTAAACTGTTGACCAGAGCATCAGCTCACGCAGCCCCAGGGAGATCCCTGATGTTCAGGCACTGTTGGGGGAGGAAGACAAGGTACAAAGAAACCAACAGGAGTCAATGTCAAGAATTTCACAGGGGATAGGAAATTTTGATTTGGTTCATGCAGCTTGGATTCCTTCAGAAAGCCTTGAACTGCCACCATTAGAAAAAGATACACACACATACACACACATGCACACACCCACACGCCCTGCCTGGGAGAACTGACATTACCAAATTCCAGAAAACCGAAAACAATCTTATCCTAACAGGGAGAGAGACATCATGGAGAACATGGCATTTAGTAAGGAGAAAAGGAAATATAGCTCCTGAGTTTGAATGGAAGAAGAACCTAAAAATAACTAGGCGGGGCGTGGTGCCTCACTCCTGTAATCTTAGCACTTTGGGAGGCTGAGGTGGGCAGATCACTTGAGGTCAGTAGTTTGAGACCAGCCTGGCCAACATGGTGAAACCCCGTCTCTACTGAAAATACAAAAATTAGCTGCACATGGTTGCAATTGCCTGTAGTCCCAGCTACTCGGGAGGCTGAGGCTGGAAAATCACTTGAACCCAGGAGGCAGAGGTTGCAGTGAGCCGAGATCGCACCACTGCACTCCAGCCTAGGTGACAAAGCAAGACTCCATCTCAAAAGAAAAAAATATGAAAATAAAAAAATAAAAATAAAAATAACTTGCCCTATTCAAAGATATCTTGCTTGCCATATATTTTATAATAAAAATAAATACATGAGTTGAGGGAATGAGGTGAGGGTATCTTTAATACTGCCTTCCATTAATATCTTGGCTTTCTTTCTGAGAACACATGGTACATTCCAGGAAGACAGCCCTGTCTTATTTCTAATTTTCTAAAATGATTGTTCCTGACTTTAGCAGTATGACATGGGTTTTTCCAAGCCCAATCACTCATGATTTTTTAGCCTAGTAATCTTTAAAACCAAAGATGCGTTTTGTCTTGGAGCTGGGGAAGAGGAAGGCAATGATCATTTACAGAGCCCTATTATGTGTCAGACACTTTATACTTCACTCCTCAAATTTGAAGTTCGTATCATTATCCCTGTTTCACAGATGAGGAGACTGAGGCTTAAGAGCATTAAGTGATTTGCACATGATTGCCCAGATAGCCAAGGCTTGACCTCAGGACTAATGAACTCCAAAAATGCTATTCCTTCAACTATGCAGTGTTGCGTTTTTCCTACAGTGACTAACAGAAGAGTGAGAGCTGTGCCTGGACATTAATAATGAATTAGCTTTATTTGTAAACCCCTGACCAAGAAAATATGTAATACACAATATCTATACCTGTAGACATTTTCCTTCATTCAAGGAAATAGCACTTCAAAAGAATGGAAATAACACAAAACAGTTTGATGGTAAACCAAAATAATCTGTTCAGGTCAAAAGAAGTCAAACTTGATCCAGCCTTCGAAGGGCATTTTCTAGCATCATCTGAACAAATCTTACTCCATCTGTAAGGTGGAGATAATTATTTAATTTTTAAATTTTTCATGTATGACTTTTTACACCTTTAAACATCTCTAACAATTGAAAGTCATGATGTGTATGATTCCTGAGCGATCCATTGGGATGCTACAAATAGCTGTTAATAGAAAATCCAGGCTGGGCGTGGTGGTGCACACCTGTAATCCCAGCACTTTGGGAAGCCAAGGTAAGAAGATCGCTTGAGCCCAGGAGTTCAAGATCAGTCTGGGCAATAGAGCAAAACCTCGTCTCCACAAAAAATACAACAATTAGCCAGGTATGATGGTGCATTCCTGTAATCCCAGCTACTCTGGATGCTGAGATGGGATGATGGCTTGAGCCCCAGGAAGTCAAGACGGCAGTGAGGCATGACTGCACCATTGTACTTCAGCCTGGGCAACAGAGGAAGACCCTGTCTCAAAAAAAAAAAAAAAAAAAGGAAAAGAAAATCCAAATGGGATGACAGAGTGGTTTTAGGTTGGCAATGTCAGTAGCTCTGTGGCATGACCAGGACACAGGTTTCTCTCATCTTGCCACTCTGCCACCCTCTGTGCAACGGCTAGTCTTCTTCTCAAGGCAGGCTCTTGTAATGGTCTCAAATGGCTGCCTCAGTTCCAGCCAACATTCAGATGACAATCTTGAGAGGTGGAAAAGGAATATTCCTGTCTTGGGTCTCTTGGGTCTCCTTTTACAAGTGAGATAAAACTTCCATCATTCTGGGCCAGGCATGAAATTGCAGGGATGACCTAGGAACCTATATGCTCCTAGTGATACAGAGGCACGAGCAAAGTCCAACTGCACAAGCACATTGCAAGCCTCCTTTTTCATCCCATCTGTTAATATTCCATTGCTCAAGGCACATCCATGGCAGAACCCAAAGTCAAGGAGCAGAGAAGTATACTGCTCCTGTGTTGGCACTGTGACGAGGGTTCTGATATATGCTACTACAGGGAGTGAAGAATTGGGATCAAGGATTTAAACTACCAGCTACACGGGCTCATGCCTGTAATCCCTGCACTTTGGGAGGCTGAGGTGGGCAGATCACCTGAGGTCAGGGGTTCGAGACCAGCCTGACCAACATGGTGAAACCCCATCTCTACTCATAACAAAAAATTAGCCATGCATGGTGGCGTGTGCCTGTAATCCCAGCTACTCAGGTGGCTGAGGCAGGAGAATCACTGGAACCTGGAACCTTGGCTGCAGTGAGCCGAGATCGCACCACTGCACTCCAGCATGAGTGACAGAGTGAGACTCCATCTTGGGGGAAAAAAAAAAGAATTTAAACTACCTAAACTACCACCTGTGGTTATATTAGGCAGAACCTTATGAAACTGCCATATTTCAAATACAAAATAGTCGAATGCTGACCATCCTGTATGATTCGGTGTAATGCCATCACTGGAACTTCAGCATGACCTTTTGTCCACTGGCTATCAGAACTCTCTGGAAAGCAGAGGACACAGTTGGTGGTTCAGAAAAAGCAGATTTACTAAGGACATAGGAAGTGAAAAACAGGTAATTATCTGTCTCTGATATAGCAGTATCATTCCCTTTAAGCAGAGTCATGCTACATTTGAATCAAGCACTTATTAGAATTTAAAGATTATGTGAAAATAAACCTTCAAGGTTGAGTCCCAAAGATATTTTTCCCTGGGAAGTCAGATGTGTCATGGTCCCATAGGAAGACTATTACTTTTAAGTAGAGATTTAATTACATTTTAGGATTGTCTTAATTATCCCCGCTCAATAAACTTCCTTTCCAATAGAATCCACGAGCAGCACATCCTAACAAAAGTTCCCTAGTTTGTCATCCCCTCATCCCTTTTCCCCTCCACCACGCATATACACCCATGAACTTGATTTCCCTGCCTCCACCTTAGTTCATTCTCATCTCTTTGGAATACCTGTTAGTCACTTGCTGACCTCCAGTCATCCTTTCCACACTCCTGTCCCCATGCAAACTACCTCCTCTGCCTTCCCATAATACTCTATATATCTGTAATATAGAATTTAACACATTGTAACAAAAATATGTAAGTATACATCCATTTCACCCTCTAGATTATGAACTCCTTGAGTTCAGGGACTGTGTTTTATTTATCTTTGTTTTTTTGTTTTGTTTTGGTTTGTTTTTGAGACAGTCTTGCTCTGTTGCCCAGGCTGGAGTGCAATGGCACAGTCTCGGCTGAGATTACAGGCATGTGCCACCATGCCCAGCTAATTTTGTATTTTTAGTAGAGATGGGGTTTCTCCATGTTGGTCAGTCTGATCTTGATCTCCCAACCTCAGGTGATCTGCCTGCCTTGGCCTCCCAAAAAATTTTGTATTTTTAGTAGAGATGGGGTTTCGCCATGTTGGCCAGGCTGGCTCGAACTCCTGACCTCAAGTGATCCACCCTCCTCAGCCTCCTAAAGTGCTAGGATTACAGGTGTGAGCTACCGCGCCCGGCACTCTCAGTTTATTTTTGGCTTGTGCAAAGTCTAAAGCAGATGTGCCTGCTTGGGCAGCTCTCCACCAAGTGGTAACGCAGGGATCCAACCTTCTTCCATCTTGACACTACCATCTTCAACATGTGGCTTCTAAAAACAGTGCAAACATGAGACATGTCATGGGAAAGGCACAGCAGATGCTCACCACCTTAGCTCAGAGATGACACAAATGACTCCTTGGCTAGTCACATGGCCTCAGTTAGAAATGGGGGTGTGGCGAGGAAGGCGGGTGGGAGGGCCTGGATGAGCAACAACTCTACACGATGGAAAGGGAGCATGAATCTTTGGTAGTTAGCTAACTATCTCTGCTACAGGGAGGAGAGAGGAAGAAAGGTAGGGAAAAAGGGAGGGAGGGACTTACTCAATGCCTAAATACATACATACTACTTTTTAAGTCCTGTGCAAAGACTTCTCAAATTTTCTGCCACTTAGATCCTTAAAACCAGATGTAGAAAGCAGTTGAACAATATGCTGAGAGAAAACACACCAAATATAAAAACTAAAAATAAGGAGGAGCCCATTGCAGTTTCATGTCTTAAGCACAGTCAGGAGGAAGGAAAGCTTCAGGATCTGGGGACAGGGTATACATATGTCTGCTTGAGTTCCATGTCTTAACTTGAGAGAGGAAGAGAGAAGAGGAGAATAGCAGGAATCTGCTCAACTGGAAAGCTTCTAAGGAGAGGAGGCTTATGGGAGAAGCGTTATCAAGGGATACATCCTGCTATGAAGAAGGCAGAGTGTTCACAGTGAAAAGCAAACCAGGGAATTGGGGGGACATGACTGGGTCATGAGAGAATCATAGTCATCACTATTTGGGAGTGGATGAGGAGTGAATCACCAATATGAGACTACATGTCCAGCTATTGCAGTTCAATGCGAAACATCTCTAACAAGTCATTTTAGCACCAGTAAGCTCCTGCTCTTGAGAAAAGCAACCACTATCCAGGAGGTTGCATACAGTGAGGAGGTCTGGGATTGGAAGCCGGGGGGTGAGAGAGGAGGAGTAAAAGCATCTGTGGTGGAGACTGATAGCTGTTCACTCAAATCCATTTCCTCTTCTTCCTGAGCACAGGGCCTCCCTTGCAGTTCAGCATTGCCATGTCAATGAAATATGAATAGAAATAGTATGGGCCCCTTTCAGAATCAGCCTATAAAATCCTCCTATGTGTGATCCTCCAAGTGTCTTCATCCTCTGCCAGCAAGATGCACATGGCAGTGAGGTCTTATGTTTTGGTGAAGCCACATTTGAACCTGGGTCCTTGAATGACTTCATGGAAGAGAGCCTACTTGCCTAGCTGGACACCTGCCAGGACTGTTAGATGAGCAAGAAATTAATTTCTACTCAATGATAGACACTGTGACTGCCACCCAGATTCCATTTCAATCAAGGACTTATTGCCACAGCTGAGGTAGTGCTGTCAGCAAAGAGTCCCTTCAGGGGCTGCCTCCCTGAAGAACAAGAGAATGGTTTTATTTAAGGTTATGCCCTTTTGAGAAAAGCCCACATCTGGGGATCAACCAATGTGAGGCTCCATGTCCAACATTGTGGTTCAATGTAAAGCATCTCTAACACGGCATTTTAGCACCAGGGCTTCTGTAGTCTTGACCAAGGTTTAAAGCATCTGGCCTGATTTACAGATCAACTTCTCTTTTGCCCAGTGCTGCTTCCGTTTACTCTTTTCTACAGGTTTTTAATGAAAGAACACTCTTTAATCAACATCTGGCACACTAAACCCTCAGAGTCGCCTTCCTGGACCCCCTGTCTCCCCCTGCCATGCCCCGTAAATACACTATGTTGTTGGATGTGTTTCATCTATATGCTGTGTTAGTTCAGATAAGCCATGGCATATTTGATCTACATATAGATGAAACATTTCTTCTGCTGACACGGCTATGCTAGGTTGGCCAGCACACATGTTCCTTGCTATGTAGAAAAGTCTAGGCCGTCTGCAATAGGAGAGAATTTTGTCAAGACACAAGCAGTAGAGACAGAGGCAGATGGGAGAGAGAAAATCCAGCTGGAGTGAGTCTCTTCCCAGTTTTTGTAGCAATGATTCCTAAAACTTTTCCTTCAGCAACTCTAGTATCTTCCCCAGTGACAGAAGCCATTGACTCCCTTTTCCTTCCTACTTTTTTTTTCTTAAGATGGCTTAAACTGGGTTTCTGTCATTTGCAACCAAAAAAGTCCCAATACAAGCGGTTTTGTGCTATGTAAGTGAATGAGTACCCTACCCTTTCACTGGTACTCTCTCAAAAGAAAATTAGAGACAGATTTACATAAACTTTTAATGAAACCATCATTTATTGAGAACTTTCTACATGCCAGTTCCATTCTACATACTTTTTTGTTTTGTTTTGTTTTTTTAGGCAAAGTCTCACTCTTGTCGCCCAGGCTGGAGTACAATGGTGTGATCTCGGCTCACTGCAACCTCCGGCTCCCGGGTTCAAGCAATTCTCCTGCCTCAGCCTCCCGAGTAGCTGGGATTACAGGCACCTGCCACCACGCCCGGATAATTTTTATATTTTTAGTAGAGATGAGGTTTCACCATGTTGGCCAGACTAGTCTCAAACTCCTGACCTCGGGCTATCTGCCCGCCTTGGCCTCCCAAAGTGCTGGGATTACAGGCGTGAGCCACTGCGCCCTGCCTATTCTACATACTTTTAATATATTAACTCAGTCCTCACAAGAGCCCCACGAGATGGGTACCATTACTATTATTCCCACTTTCAGACAGGAAAACTGAGACACAGAGAGATTATGAAATACACCCGAGGTTACCCAGTTTATGAGTGATAGATACCCCCAGCGCCTGTGCTCTTACCCAGTGATGCTCTCTTGCCTGTGTTCACACAGCCTGAGATGGGGACATGAGAGGCTTCTGTCTCATATGGGTTATATTCATGAATGACTAGGGTTCTTTCCCTTCTCTCTCTCTTTTTTTTTTTTTTTTGGTTGAGATGGAGTCTCACTCTGTCACCCAGGCTGGAGTGCAGTGGCACGATCTCGGCTCACTGCAACCTCCGCCTCCCAGGTTGAAGTGATTCTCCTGCCTCAGCCTCCCGAGTAGCTGGGATTACAGGCATGTGCCACCACGCCTGGCTAATTTTTGTATTTTTAGTAGAGACGGGGTTTCGCCATTTTGGCCAGGCTGGTCTTGAACTCCTGGCCTCAGGTGATCCACCCGCCTCTGTCTCCCAAAGTGCTGGGATTACAGGCATGACCCACTGCGCATGGTAGGTCCTTCCCCTTCTCTTTGTGCATCCATTATAACTTGCAAGAGCAACTACCTTACAGAAGTTAACAGCAAAAATGAACCAGAAGGCAGAGAAATTGATCCCCAAACTAACAAGCAAAAGAAGTAATTAGGGGTGCTGTGAGAGGAAAAGCCAGGGCTGGGAGGGTGTGCAGACCTGAAGTTATTTAAATGATAAAGGCACGGGGTGCTGCAGGAGAGACGTTGAAGGGTTAATGTTGGACATATAAACACTAGACCCGTTGGGAAGAGCCCAAGAGGCAGAGCAATCAGCTCTGAACAGTACACAGGAGGCTGACCAAAGAGCAGTGCTTTCTAAGCCAGGACATGGGCTAGAACCTGCCAGATAGAATGTGGTTTTCTCAAGAACCAGGAGAATGGGGTCAAGAAAGGTCAAGCTGGTAGGGAAACTGAGAGAGGCTCTGAGTCAAGAAAACCTTGGAGGGTAAAGTGTCAGGTCTCTAACTTCACAGTCCCTATTATCATGTAACTGTGAACTCTTCACACCCCGAGACTTCACATATTGGAGTGAAGAATTGGTTTCTTAAACTTCAAGGGCTAGGTGAGTGTGATGTTTCCTTACTGAGCCAAGGAATAACAGAAGAGTACGGGGCAGAGCTACATTCCCAGAGAAAAGTCAAGAGGAGTCCAGTCCTGACCCTGTGTCCACCATCACCCATGGGAGACAATGGTGAAGGCTTCTGCTGCTGAGTGTGGGGGACTCTGGCATTTTGTCACCACTCTTAAACTGAGTTTGCCTCCAAATATGTTAGCCTGCTTTAGAATAAACAGTGATAACAATCCATTTATTTGCAGAGAAGGACTTCCCTCCACTTGCCCTGGGTTAAGCTAAAGTAGAATGAAATATTGGTAAAGGCGGGCAGGCACACATTTCATCCATCACTGCTTTTTTTCCAGGATGCTTTTGACTACATCTTATGTGCATATAATGTCTCTGATGATAAATATTTCAAGATTAGAAGATTCTCCTTATTTACCACTGCCTACAGTCACTTTTTACAGTTTCACACCAATTTAACTATGAATACCAACTATGGTAGGTGATGACATACATTAGCTCACTTAGTGTTTGAAACTACCTCAAGAAAAGGGCATTATTATATTTCGATTGTGGTAAAATATCCATAACATAAAATGTACCATTTTAACCGTTTGGAATTTACAGTTCAGTGGCATTCAGTATATCTACTTGTTGTACAACCATCACCACCATCCATCTCTAAAACCCTTCCATCATCCCCCAACTGTCACCACCATCCGTCTCTAAAACCCTTCCATCATCCCCCAACTGTCACCACCATCCGTCTCTAAAACCCTTCCATCATCCCCCAACCATCACTATCATCCATCTCTCTAAAACCCTTCCATCATCAGCCACTGAAACCTCACACCCATTAAACAATAACTCCCCATTCCCTCTTTCCTCCCAGCCCCTGGTAACCATTATTTTGCTTTCTTTCTTTATTTAGCTACTCTAAAGTCAAATTGTACCTCAGATAAGGGCAGTCATAATATTTGTCCTTTTGTGTCTGGCCTATTTCACTTAGCATGTTTTTGAGGTTTGCCTATATTGTAGTTTATGTCAGAATTTTTTTCCCTTTTTAAGGTTGAATATATTCCATTGTGTGTGTGTGTACATACATGTAAGTATGTATTTTGTTTATCCATTTATTCTTTAATAAATATTTGGGTTATCCTTTTGGATTTTGTGAATAATGCCGTTATAAACATGGATGTCCAAATTTCTGTTCAAGTCCCTCCTTTCAATTCTTTTGGGTGTATACCTGGAGACGGAATTACTGGATTATATGCTAATTCTATTTTTAAATTTTTTAGGAACCTCCCTAATGTCTTCCACAGTGGCGGCACCGTTTTTCACTCCCACCAGTAATGCACAAGAGTTCTAATTTCTCCATATCCTTGAAAGCCATTATATTTCATCCCCAACATTACAGACAAGGAAACTGAGGCTCACAGAAATGAGGACTTCTCACAGTTACAAGCTACTGAATATCAGATCCCCTACGGGAAGCCAGGATTCCTGACTCCCTGTCCATCGCACTTCCCCAGTCCTACAGCTGCCTCAGTCACAGAACAGCAAAAGTAGAAGCCCACTGAAACCCAAAACCAGCAGAATTATATCCAGGAAAGAATTTGTGTCTGGGAGTTACTGTGGGGAAAAGCAAGAGAGATCAGATTGCTACTGTGTCTGTATAGAAAGAAGTAGACATAGGAGACTCCATTTTGTTCTGTACTAAGAAAAATTCTTCTGTCTTGAGATTCTGTTAATCTATGACCTTACCCCCAACCCCCTGCTCTCTGAAACATGTGCTGTGTCAACTCAGGGTTAACTGGATTAAGGGCGGTGCAAGATGTGCTTTGTTAAACAGATGCTTGAAGGCAGCATGCTCCTTAAGAGTCATCACCACTCCCTAATCTCAAGTACCCAGGGACACAAACACTGCGGAAGGCCGCAGGGTCCTCTGCCTAGGAAAGCCAGGTATTGTCCAAGGTTTCTCCCCATGTGATAGTCTGAAATATGGCCTCGTGGGAGGGAAAGACCTGACCGTCCCCCAGCCTGACACCCGTAAAGGGTCTGTGCTGAGGAGGATTAGTATAAGAGGAAGGCATGCCTCTTGCAGTTGAGACAAGAGGAAGGCATCTGTCTCCTGCCCGTCCCTGGGCAATGGAATGTCTCGGTATAAAACCCGATTGTACGTTCCATCTACTGAGATAGGGAAAAACCGCCTTCGGGCTGGAGGTGGGACATGCGGGCAGCAATACTGCTTTGTAAAGCATTGAGATGTTTATGTGTATGCATATCTAAAAGCACAGCACTTGATTCTTTACCTTGTCTATGATGCAAAGACCTTTGTTCACGTGTTTGTCTGCTGACCCTTTCCCCACTATTGTCTTGTGACCCTGACACATCCCCCTCTCGGAGAAACACCCACGAATGATGAATAAATACTAAGGGAACTCAGAGGCTGGCGGGATCCTCCATATGCTGAATGCTGGTTCCCCGGGTCCCCTTATTTCTTTCTCTATACTTTGTCTCTGTGTCTTTTTCTTTTCCAAGTCTCTCGTTCCACCTTACGAGAAACACCCACAGGTGTGGAGGGGCAACCCACCCCTTCAAGTTACCACCCCAGTTATTCTTATAATGGTGATAGCTCGAAACACACTGTTGCTAGAACTCTTCAAGCAGAAATGTATGTGGTTCAATGACAAGATTGATCCTGTTGATTTAGCAAACATTTCATCCTTCAGTCATCCGGAATTCATTAATTCATTCAACAAGCATTTATTGAGTGCCTATTAGGTGCCAAGCATATTTTTAAGAGCTGTGAACAAGACTGCCAAGCTTTCTCCTCTCATGGAACTCACATTCTCGAGAAGAAAACAGACAATAAATAGAAAAGCAATAAATTGGATCATTTCAATGTTATAAGCACACTGAAGTCTATGAACAGGGTGATGGGACAGAGTAATAAAGGCAGGGAGGAAGAGCGACTTTAGATACTGTGAAGCCTGTCTGGAAAAGGTGGTATTTAAGCTCCATGTGAAATCTGGTAGAAGAACATGTGGGCATACAGAAGAGCAATGTAAAGGTGTTGAGGTAGAAAGAATTGGAATGTTCTAAGAAAATCAGGGTGTCAGTCTGGTGGGACCATGGAAACAAAGAATGGAGAGTAGAGGGAGATGTAGTCAGAGAGAGGACAGGCACCAGATCAAATGGGTCTTTATATGATAATAGCTAATGTTTATTTAGCACTTACTTTGTGTCAGATGCTATTCCAAGTAATTTTTATGGGTTAGTTATTCAATCATTATGCAACCCTATAATTAAATACTATTATTATTCCCACTCTTCAGATGAGGGCACTGAGGCCCAGAGAGGCTACATAACTTTTCCAAGGAGCTCTAGTTGTTAAGGGGTGGAACGTAGATTTGAACCCAGGCAATTTGGCTTCAGAGTCTCGGTTCATAACCACTTTGTCATAGGACCATCTTGTGATTAGATGTTATTGCAAGATCAATAAGATATCAATGAAGGGCTTTAAGCAGAGGTGACAGGACTTGTTTTGTATTGTTGAGATGATCACCCTAGCTGCTGCATGGAGCAAAAAGGGAGGCAGAGAAACCAGATGGAGGCCATTATGGAATTCCAGCTGAGAGAAAGTCATGGTGTGGATGAGGGAGGTAGAGGTGAAACAGACAGAAATAGACACTGTTAGGATACCTTTTTGAAGCAGAGCTGTAGGGGTTTGCTGACACCTTGGATGTGGAGGTGAGGGGAGGGGAGGAACTCAGGCTCACTGCTAGGTTTTTTACTTGAGCCATGTGTCAAGTGGAGAAGACATCTAGTGAGTTGGGGGAAGAACAGGGTGTAGAGGGGATATGTGTTGAGTATTTGAATGTCTAGCATCCATTTCCCTAACAGCACCCCCATTTCTTGTTAGGGAACACCACCTCCTTTTTTTTTTTTTTTTGAAGCTGAGTTTCGCTCTGTCGCCCAGGCTGGAGTACAATGGTGCAATCTCGGCTCACTGCAAACTCTGCCTCCCGGATTCAAGCAATTCTCCTGCCTTAGCCTCCCAAGTAGCTGGGATTACAGGCGCCCGCCACCACATCTGGCTAATTTTTTTGTATTTTTAAAGAGACGGGGTTTCACCATGTTGGCCAGGCTGGTCTTGAACTCCTGACCTCAGGTGATCCGCCCACCTCGGCCTCCCAAAGTGCTGGGATTACAGGCATGAGCCACTGCGCCCGGCGGGAACACCTCTTTCTTATGAGTTATAGTCAAGCCGAGAGGCCATACATGATTGAGATAGTCCAATCAGGTAATCCTTTCCTGGAATGCGAATCTGAAGAAGGACAAAATTCAGTCCCTCCAGGAGCTCCTAACAAGTTTTTTCTTTTGCAAGGCATTTGCTGTGCTTCCTAGTTCCAAGTCCAGGACTCCAGCCTGCCATCAATTCTGCGAGTCCCAAAGCCTTCCAGCACATTCTGCCTGCCTAAGTTAGCCAGTGCCAGTTCTTCTTGCTTGTAAGCAAAGAAAGTACAGGTTGGGGATAGGATAGGGTAGAGGTGTGATGCTCATAATCAAGAGATACATTTTGGACAGGGTAAGTGTATTAGTCTGTTTTCACGCTGCTGATAAAGACATATCCGAGGCTGGGAAGAAAAAGAGGTTTAATTGGACTTACAGTTCCACATGGCTGGGGAGGCCTCAGAATCATGGTGGGAGGTGAAATGCACTTCTTGCGTGGTGGCGGCAAGAGAAAATGGGGAAGATGTAAAAGCGGAAACCCCTGATAAAACCATCAGATCTCGTGAGACTTATTCACTACCATGAGAACAGTATGGGGGAAACCACCCCCATGATCAAATTATCTCCCACTGGGTCCCTCCCACAACATGTGGGAATTATGGGAGTACAATTCAAGATGAGATTTGTGTGGGGACAACAGAGCCAAACCATATCAGTGAGATTAAGATGCCCATAAGACGAGTCAAGGAAGCTGTTTGATATATGAACCTATAGTTCAGGGGTGAGGTCTGGACCAGAAAGAAAGAAATTTGGAAATCTTCAGCATATACATAGTATAGTTCTGTGTGGGAAAATATGCCATATCTTTTGCTAAAAGGATCCTGATTTTCTTTCGGGGAAATATCCCTCCTTCTTGGCTAAGAATCATGACAGGCTGTTAATCAAAGTTCCAGATTCTCCTCTAGCCAAGAAGTAAGGAGAAGTCTCAGGCCTGAACAGTCAGCACAAGCCATTTACCCAGTCGTAGTGATTATTCAGGGCTATGCAGATAACCCAGATCATTTCAATAAGAATTAGCCAAAGGACTTTTAGTGGAACAATAAGGAAGGAAAAGTTGTTCTTTACAGAAGAATTGCTAAACTGGTACAGTGCAAGCTTGGAGCTACCAGAGCCTTTTTTTTTTTTTTTAAACCACCTTGGGACTGTAGCCTAATAAGAATGAGACCAACACAACACAACAGGAAAAAAGACCCAAGTAACAGAGGGAGAGAGGCCACGTGCTGATGCAGCATTGAGGCCCATGAGGCTGTCAGTCCTGGAGCTAACATCACAATTACATGAATCAATGAATTCCCATTTTTGCTTCAGAGTTGAGTTAGTTTCTGCTACTTGTAACCAAGTGGGTTCTGACAAGTACAAATGGCATTTAAATGAGTAAGATCACACAGGAGGAAAATGTAGCTAGGACTGAGCTGCAAAACACTAATAATTAAAGCTCCAGTAGAGGAGGAGGAGCCAGCATTTTGGTTAGATTGTTTCTTGTCTTTGATGACAATTGGGACCAGAAAGGTAATGCAATGTATTGTATCGCTGAAAGAAAGAGAATCTGTTAGCAGAGTATCGCAAATTTTGTTTAACTGTCTGATAGGTACAAAAAGGGCCTTATGTTTGCAAATTCCCAATATAAAAAATTCGCTTGTAGCTTAGTGTTGGCACGTTATTCCTGTGTTTAAAAGTCAGTACCTCATTGCTGAAGAGCACCATTGCTGCTGAGTCATGCCATCCAAGACAACTATGGCTACCTGCCTTTTCTTGGCACCCAGCATTCCGAGATGCTGGAATTCAGTGATTTTGGCGAAGACAAGTCAGACATGTGCGGACTGTTGGTAAATATGCACCAGCCCTTTGTGGCTTGACTGCCCAAAGTCAGGGAAGAGCTTGGACTCGATCTCTGCTGGCCCCTGAATTCATTTTGGATGAGGCAGGTTGGTGTGTGCTAACCAGGGTCCCCGTTCCTAACAATAGCCAGACTGGCATCGTTGGCTTCAAAATGGATTGTTCTGGCTCCCAAGTCAAAAGCGGCTCTGCACAAAACTAATATTTTGAGCAAATTGTACAGAGTTGTGCACAGTGGAATGATGAGTTTTACCCAATAGGGAGTGCTGAGACAGCCAAATGGTGGCTCTGAAGTGAGTGCCAGGAAGCTGGTCTTGGGGATGGGAGCAGAGTCATCATAGAAATGGATGAATGGCAGGGACTGCAGAAACAATCAAGTAAGAGTCTGCAATTAGAGGAAAGAGTTTGCTCTTTTAGCCAGACACAAGAAGACAAAGGGAAACTCTTCCTTTTGCCACACAGGAAAGAAAATGTGGATTTCAAGTTGTTTTATTCTGGGTTAGTAGGCTCTGAGAAGCACTTAGAGCCATCCAGCCAGCCCATGCTTTGAAAAACTATCATCATTGACTCTGTGAACACAAGGCTCATTGATAAACAGCACAATGATGCTCTTAAGTACTCAGGCACTGGAGCCAGACTGCCTGGCTCACCACTTCCTTCCTTAATGTTCCTGCGCCTCAGTTTCCTCACCTATGAAATGAGGATGACCATGAACGTGGGAAGCATTATGTTAATGAAATAAGCCAAACACAAAAGGGCCAATACCGCACGATTCCACTTATATGAGGTGCCTAGAATAGGCAAATTCCCACAGACAGAAAGCGGAATAGTGGTTACCAGGGGCTGGGGGGAAGAGGGGGAGAATGGAGTTATTGTTTAATGAGTATAGAGTTTCTGTTTGGGATGTGGAGAAAGTTCTGGCAGTGGATACTGGTGACGGCTACACGACATTGTGAATGCATTTAATGGCACTGAACTGTAGACTTCAAAATGGATAAAATGGTAAATTTTGTGTTGTATATATTTTACAATTTTCAAATTAAGTTTGTTGCTACAAACAAAAAATTGACCTAAGAAGTCATAGACAAAAGAATTAGTGCTGTGCGACTTCAGTACATAAAGTACAAAAAAATGGCAAAAATCCTCATTGGTGTTGGATTTTAGGATAGTGTTGTAACTGCCTGAGGGGTTCTTCCTGTGACCGCACAAAGAAAAACCATGGCATTATATTAAAGAAAGAGTTTTATAGACACAAGGCCGGCCATGCCACGTGGGGACCAATTTAGTACTGAAATAATTCTCTTCCAAAGCTCCTAGGTTAAGAGTTTTTCAAAGGCAGTTCGGGGGAAGTGATGGGGGTGATTAGGCCTGCTGCTGATTGGTTGGGGCAGAGATGAAATCATAGGGGGTCAACGCTGTCCTCCTGTGCACTGAATTGTTTCTGGGTGGGGCCACAGGAGTGGGGTTGAGGGTCCAAGTGGAGCCATCAGGTCAAGGTGAAGCCATGGGTGTCAGACATGCAAAAAAACCTGAAAAGATATCTCAAAAAGCCAACCTACAACAGAGATGTTATCTGCAGGAATCACTGGGGAAGCTGCATCTCCTATAACCTCTGGAATAATGACTAAACAATCCTTCATGTCTATACCTTAGCAAGAGACTCAGGCTCTTCTCCTTCCCCTAGCCTGGAGGCCTCCCCTTAGCTTTAGAAAAGCAATTGAGTTTGAGGGAAGGCCTATTATCATTTAAATTTACCCAAATGTCCCTCAAACTCAGCTCAGCCCCAAAGCCCAGGAATAATTAAGGGAAAGGCAAGATGGGGGTGGGGCGAGGGTAGCCCAGCTCACTGTTACAATTTTTCTTACTGATATAATTTTTGCAAAGGCGGTTTCAGTGTTGGTGTTGGATATCAACACCACTGAGGGTGGTGGAGACTGGAAAGGGAGTCTTAGGTGGCTGGTCATGTTTTCTTTCCTGATCTGCAGGCTGATTGCCTGAGTGTGTTGCCTTTGTGAAAATTATTGAACTGTCATTTATATGTGCACTTTATGTATATTAGACTTCAATGAAAAGCACCCCCCACCTCTACAAAAGACAATATTATCCTCCTCAGAGGGCTATTTTAGTATTCAGTGAATTAGTGCAGATAACAAACTTAGAACAGTATCCGGCATATAAGGGCCTCCTAAGTCATTTCCAGCAGTGTTAAAAAAACAAAAGAAAAGCTTTCCTCCAGAAAGCTTTGTGGACTCACCCCTGCGGTTGAGATGCCAATCATTCCCTTCTTATCCACACTTCCTGTGCTTTGAGATACTTTGTATTTGCTCCTCCAAATTCTCCTCCCTGCCACCACCACCCCAGACCCCAGCCCCGGCTTGGCTGTGTCCCTTTGTTAGAGTAGGTAGTTAGGCAGACATAAGCAGCGAAGGAGAGGGGCCTCTTAGCCCAGAAATGTCAGGCAACCATCAGGTGATGGTAGGGCTGTTGTTAAACTGTCTCTCTAAAATAATAATTGGGGTCAGCTGGCACCAGGGAAAGCTACTCTAACAATAGACAGAAAACACCTGAAGCTGGTGATTAGCAACTTCCAGATAAGATCTCAGGAGCTGGATGAGCAGGCTCAAGCATGTGCATTAATTAAGATGCAAAATGGTGGAGTTTAACTGGTATATGACCTTCCTCCAGGAACGCTCAACTTGTAAGGGAAAAATGCCTCAAGTGAACATGCGCACAACTTCCGTAAACACACTGTGCAGTGATCCTTCCCAAGCGCTGGCAGGCCACTGTGCGTGAGGATAGCCCACCCCAAGGGAAGAATCAAGGGAGGAGAAACAGAAACCCAGGAACCACGCCAATGGAGAAAACCCCAAGTCAAGGATCAAATAGGGCACTTGGATCTCTCAAGTTGCCCGCTCGGCCCTCTTCCAAGTGTACTTTGCTTCCTTTCTTTCCTTCCTGCTCTAAAACTTTTTAATAAACTTTTAATTCTGCTCTAAAACTTGTTTCTCACTGCCTTATGCCCTTTGGGTGAATTCTTTCCTTCGAGGAGGGAAGGATCAAGTTTACTGCAGGCCTGTCGGATTCACTGCTGGTAACACCTTTATTAAAGGTTGCAGGTCCTGTCCAGCAGGCCCCTCCACTTGGCTCTCTCCCCAGGTTCTGGTAACTGCCTCTTTTGGCCCAGGGGTAATAATGGTCCCCTGCAGTTAATCCCCAAGGATACTGTACTACTATCCCTTGTGGTTTCTTGTGGTTTTCTTATGCCCAGATCTTTATAAATCACTTCTTATTAAAATCTTCTCCAGTTTTCCCAATTGCAGTGTATTATTAACTTCTGGGACCTGACTGATATCTACCCGCTTAGAAAAGCTATGGAAAGCAGGCCGGGCGCGGTGGCTCACGCCTGTAATCCCAGCACTTTGGGAGGCCGAGGCGGGCGCATCACGAGGTCAGGAGATCGAGACCATCCTGGCTAACACGGTGAAACCCCGTCTCTACTAAAAATATAAAAAAAATTAGCTGGACGTAGTGGCGGGCGCCTATAGTCCCAGCATCTGGGGAGGCTGAGGCAGGAGAATGGCGTGAACCCGGGAGGCGGAGCTTGCAGTGAGCCGAGATCGCGCCACTGCACTCCAGCCTGGGCGACAGAGCGAGACTCAGTCTCAAAAACAAACAAACAAAAAAAAGAAAAGCTATGGAAAGCAGCCATGTAGGCTACGGGACCTCAATCAGTCAGATAACTGCTGACTAGGGCGGACACAAGCAGCTGACCACGCTGAACCAATCAGAATCATAGAAACAGAGGGATTGAACCAGTGGAGAACCACAGAACTATAAGATCATGCACAGGTAGAGCCAGGGTTGGGGCCATGGCAGCCCAAAGGCACCAGCAAGCGGAAGCTACTGTAGGGCAGTTGAAAAAAATTGGTCTGTGGGGAAAAAGGAACACATGCAAAGTATCATTTATTCATGTTTTAAATGCATTAATATATTCAAAAATGTGTTCTAACAATATGCAATCAAATGTAAAATCATCTAATGTGGTCTTCCCAGTTATTAAACTCCATTTTTTTTTTTTAATGTGGGCATGGAGGGGATGGAGTTTCACTCTTGTCACCCAGGCTGGAGTGCAGTGGTGCGATCTTGGCTCACTGCAACCTCTGCCTCCCAGGTTCAAGCGATTCTCCTGCCTCAACCTCCAGAGTAGCTGGGATTACAGGTGCACACAACCACACCTGGCTAATTTTTGTATTTTTAGTAGAAATGGGGTTTCATCATCTTGGCCAGGCTGGTCTCGAACTCCTGACCTCAGGTGATCCACCCACCTACACCTTCCAAAGTGCTGGGATTACAGGCGTGAGCCACACTCTATCTTTTTTTTTTTTTTTTTTTTTAATTCTTCAGCTAAAACAGTGGAAAAGGTGATTTATTATATGGTTGTTACACTCGGCCACAAATAAACACAGAAATAGTCCAGAATGTCACAGGTCCAGGGCAGAGGACCAACATGGGCATTTTGTTTATGAGCAAGGTGGGTCTCAGAGGTGATCGGCGATCAGAGGGCGATGAAGTTCTAGATCCATTGACACAAGCTCTAGACAGTAGCATGCAGTCCCACAACTTGTACCAGCATCCCCAGCGTCTGGCATTCCATGTTTCTGCTCCTGTGGCCTCCACGGTGCAACAAGCTAGCGGTTTACTTGGACCTCTGCCTCATCTTTCTTCTTTTGCGCTTCAGCCTGCGCATTCGCTTCTTCCTCCACTTGGCTCTCATGGCACAGAGGTTTCCAAAAAAAATGGCGCTAAGGCCGAGAGCCACACTCTATCTTTTTTTAAGAGACAAGATCTCACTTTGTTGCCCAGGCTGGGGTGCCATCATAGCTCACTGCAGCCTCGAACTCCTGGGCTCAAGCCATCCTCCTGCCATAGCCTTCCCAGTTGTTAGGACTACAGGTGCACATCACCATGTCCGGCTAATTTTTTAATTTTTCTTAGAGATGGGAATCTCACTATGTTGCCCAGGCTGGTCTAGAACTCCTGGCCTCAAGTGATTCTCCTCCCTTGGCATCCACAAATTACTAGGATTACAGGCGTGAACCACCATGCCTGGCCTTGAACTGTATCTTTAAAGCCCCTGAAATATTGTTCCTACCAAAGTAATATAAATGAGATTATGTCCTAAAATGAACTGTATGAAATGCAAGAAAGCTACTCATTATGAAATCCTGTTAATATATGTGTGTTGGGGTGGATAAGGTAAAGAATGATTGACGCTACTTAATAAATTGTGGTTATCCATTAGTACATTTTTAAATTAAATTACTAATGAAATACAACAAAGTAGAAAATATCAGCCTTCATCATGCTTCTAAGAGCAAATACTGATTTGTGAAACTTATTTCAGTGATACATATACTGGGTCAAGTGTAAAATGTATTTCCACTGGGTCAAAAAAGTTTTTAAAATTCTAGTTAACTGTGGTTAAAATATGCAGTTCAGAAATTACTGTGATGTACTACAGTGTGGGAGTAACACAGGAAGAAAACACAGTAGAGTTATTATAAATAAAATCTTGCTAACATCTATGGGAATCATATATTCTGAGCCTTAATATGTTCTTTCATAGATGGTTTTAAGTTGGAGGTGGTCATCGAGCTACCATTTCATCATCATCCTTCTCACTTTTCTCTTTTTACAAACTGGAGAACGGTACTGTCATCATTTAGGTATCCCCCCAGTGCTTGGAACACCATATGCACTAGATAAATGTTTGATACATCTCTAGAAAATGGTCTTTTCACAAAGCCATTGTGTTTACATAGAATCAATGATATGAATAAGATATTTAAAATTTCCATATATGCACTGCTGTAATCAAACATCATATGATCACTGTAATATCCCATAAGCAGTGGTTTTATATAAAAAAATTTTGAGGCCGGGTGCAGTGGCTCACGCCTGTAATCCCAGCACTTTGGGAGGCCGAGGTGTGTGGATCACGAGGTCAGGAGATCGAGACCATCCTGGCTAACCTAGTGAAACCCCATCTCTACTAAAAATATGACAACAAAAGAAAAATTAGCCGGGCATGGTGGCAGGTGCCTGTGGTCCCAGCTACTCGGGAGGCTGAGGCAGGAGAATAGCAGGAACCCGGGAGGCAGAGCTTGCAGTGAGTGGAGATTGCACCACTGCACTCCAGCCTGGGCAACAGAGTGAGACTCCGTCTC